>NC_000001.11:146934587-147559587 GCF_000001405.40 Homo sapiens | reverse complement strand
GACAGAGTAGAAGGGACATGAAAGTTTGGGTGCAAATCCTGGTTCTTCTTTTAACAAACAGGGAAATTCTGTGCAAAATGCTTCACCTATCTATAGTTTGGCTTGCCTAACCTAAACAGGAACAAAAGTACTTGGTATGTGAAATTTTGCAGTTTAAATGGAATGGCACATATAAAGCAACTGCTATGTTTATAGACAAGAGAGAGAAATACAAGCTGATGACAGAGGAATCTGATGGATTGGTAACAGAACAATGAAAAGATTTCTTATGACCTCCCAAAGAGCTCTGTCTTTGAGCCTGTCCTACTCAATTTAGATAGCAATGATTTGGCTAAAACTATAGAAAATACTTTTAAAAATCTCATTTGAGGATGTTACAAAATTAGAAGATCACTGACTTTCCTGGTAAAGAAGAAAAAAAAGTAGGAGAGATGACCATCAAATGCCAAAAAAAAAAAAGAAGAAGAAAGAAAGAAAAAACCTTCAAAATATCAATTCTAACAAGACAAATTTCAAAAGTGATAAAAGCAGAAATAATTTCAGCCCCACATAAAAATTACAAAAGTCCAAGTTGCCTACATAGAAGCATGTGTTTAAAAGGAGGAGGAGAAAAGGCTAGAGTAAAGGAGATGAAGTAGGGGGAGGAGGAGTTTATACTTATGTGATGAGGTGCTGGAAAAATCAAATGCACTCTCAGGCTGCACCCAGAGAAGTGTGGACTAAAGCAAGGGAGGTGATAGTTCACCTACTCCTTGTGGAGCCACGCAATCAATTTTGAATGCTTCTGTTTAAAAGGACCACAGACAAACTGAAGTGCATTCAGTATAGTAGCTGGAGAGAAAGAGAGATTTCTATATCATGTCCTATAAGGAACTCAGAATGTTCTGCTGGAAGAAAAGAAGTCTTCGGGGGACGCTCACACCTGTTTTCAAATACAGGAAGGGCCATGTCATGGTAAGATGCGTAAGGCTCACTCTCCATGTCTCCACAGATAGAACCAGGACCAACAAGTAGATAAAAGCAAAGCCCACTTGTGCTTCCACAGAGCGTGTGTGGTTCCTTGGGGTTGGTGGGGGCAGCAGGCATTATCAGACACCAGAGGAGACCAGACCAAGGAACGCAAGATTTCCTTCTACTCTTAGAAATCCATAGCAGCCATTGACTCCAGAGTCATCCAGAGTTTTCTCTGAGGAAAGGTCTTTGGGAGAGAAGTCCAAAGATAAGTGCTTTTAGGGGGATACCATGCATTTATTTATTTATTTAGCTCTGAGTTCTGGGCAAGTGCTGATTTCAATCAGCAGCATGGTACTAAGGACAGCATACTGGATTTTGAGACAGATTAATCTGGGTCAAACCGCAGCTCTGACACTTACATGCTATTTGACTTTAGGCAAATTACTTGACTTCTCCAAGCCTCACTTTTTTCATCTACCCATATTATTACTTAGTTTAAGGGTTGTTGGGAGAATTAAATGACATACCACATCTCACTGATTCTAAGATGCACATTTTTTAACATTGATAGTGTGTATGGTATACATACAGTTTGACTGGGTATGTTTTTTTTCTTTCATAGTGGCATGTAAAGTAATGTGGGTCTTACAAAAATCAATGGCAACTTACATTCAAAGGAATATGGTGACATATATTAAATAATTAGCATAATGGCTGACACACAGTGAGTACTCAGTACAATGTTAATTTCATCCTTCCTGTTTTAGACAACTGCTTCACAACCTCTTGAGGAACAGGGAGGTTCTAAATAATTAATAATTGGAAGAAGCCTACAGATTTCCAATGTGGAAAATTAATGAGAAAGTTTGCACCCATGGGATCCTATGGAAGATTATTTCTTTTATAGACATGCATATATAAAATATACATGTATACATATTTTTTCTCATCCCATTTCCTATGGTAGGGTAAATATTCTACAACTTTCCAACTCTGCTTGCTCAGTATATTTTAGTTCAACGTGAAATTCATTTATTGAGCACAAGGCTAAATGTGTTTGCCTGCTTTATCTTAGGAAGGAGGATATCCCTGCGATCACCAAGCCTCTACCCTTATCTTCCAAACCAGTCACTTACCACAGATGTCTTGTCAAGCTGAATATCCTCCAGATCTGACTTCTTTCCTCTACTGGTGCTCAATACAAGATGCTTTACTTTGTCACAAGAAGCATATAATAAACTCAAAGCTGCAAGGATATATCTGTAAGGGAAATTTTTTCTTGATCTGGCTGGCCTTGAACATAATCACCAGAAAGACTTTTTGTGCTCAGATATTATGGTTGTAAATGAGGATTTTTTTCCTCACATAAGAATGTATCTAGTCCATTATAAAATGTTATCAAGCAAGTTGTGTCACTGTTATTTTGTGCTAGTGAGTTACCCAGGTTAATTACATATTACTACAAAGTCATCTTCTTTATAGCTGCCTTACATTTTAAAACTATTTAATGGTATATATCATCTTATCTTGCAGCAATATTAGAAATTCATTTGCTAGATCTGTCTCTGTCTCTCTCCCCCTTGCTCAACTTCTAGACAGTAGATTGCTGCTTGGTACCCTGCCTGAGGATGTGCAGTGGCAAAGCCAAGCTTTGTTTTTGTTGGTATGGTCAGTTAGCTAGTCAGTCAATGGTCACTGAGGGCCCACTGTATACCCATCACTGCTCTAGGTTCTGAGACTAACTGGAGAGATACAATCTAGACCTTCAAGGCATTCATCTATGGCAAAGACATGAAACAGATGTCATATTGAGCAGGAGCTGTCTCAAGTGACCAACACTTAAGTGACTAATCTGTGGTCTCCATTCACTCCTTAAATGTAAAGATGGCCAGGTGCAGTGGCTCACACCTGTAATCCCAGCACTTTGGGGGCCAAGGTGGGAGGATCACTTGAGCCTAAGAGTTCAAGACCAGCCTGAGCAACATAATGAGACCCTGTCTCTACAAAAACATTTAAAAATTAGCTAAGTGTGGTGATGCACTCCTGTAGTTTCAGCTACTCAGGCTGAGGTGGGAGAACTGTTTAAGCCTGAGAGGTCAAAGTTGCAGTGACTGTGATTGTGCCACTGCATTCCAGCCTGGGCGACAGAGGGAGACTCTGTCTCAAAAAATAAAAATAAAAATAAAAATAATAAATAAATAAATAAATGAGGCTGGGCGCGGTGGCTCACGCCTGTAATCCCAGCACTTTGGGAGGCCGAGGCAGGCAGATCATGAGGTCAGGAGCTCGAGACCAGCCTAGCCAACATAGTGAAATCCAGTCTCTACTAAAAGATACAAAAAAAAAAAATAGTCAGGAGTGGTGGCGGGCTCCTGTAATCCCAGCTACTCAGGAGGCCGAGGCAGGAGAATTGCTTGAACCCTGGAGGCAGAGATTGTGGTGAGCCAAGATGGAGCCATTGCACTCCAGCCCAGACAACACTGTGAGACTCTGTCTCAAAATAAATAAGTAAATAAGTAAATAAATAAATAATTGTAAAGATGTAAGACCCTCAATCTGCTGAGCCTCACTGCTAGTAGTAGGCTACTCTAGGACACCTTCATGCCCTTCCTGCCACCAGTGGAGCTGTCTGCTCACCAAGAATCAGTGTTTGTTCCCAAGCCTATTTGTGCTACTTCTTCCTATTATTGTAATTACATAATTTAATTAAGCTTACTTAAAGTAATGAAATATGAGTGCAAAAGAGATGTTGTTTCTGTAAGATCTAAGGTGAATGTTTAGAAAAGGCTTTAAAAATGAGTTACTAAAAAATGTGCTATCAACTTAGGCATGAGAGAGCCAACCACAAAACATCATTAAATCTGGAAAATCTGATTGCCCCACAAATGTCTTTAAGATCTTGCTCCACTTTAAAGAACCCGGGACAAAAAATGATTGGGAAAGCTTCAGGGGTGTGACTTATGTAAGAAACGAGACTCAGAAGTCTAATAGGAAGCCTTCGACTCCAAAGATGGGGCCTTGGCCCAACATCAAAAACCTGAGGCATGTTTTAAATTAAAATAAAAGCTTAAGGTATGTTTCCATCATTTGGTATGATTCCTGCCTTAACTAACTTGTTCAACTAAATCGTTAGTTATTAATTGAATTGGGTATAAGGGTCTCTACTGTTGTTAACCAAATAATACGTTAAAAGCTACAATACAGGGTGTGAAGGCAAACAAGATGATCTCTTACAGGGGAAGAGAGGGCTTAGGACAGCCTCCATGGGGGCAGGTGAGTCCTGAGTTGGGTGCCAAAGTATAGAGTAGGAGTTCCTAGGGAAATAAGGAAAGCCAGTCACTTCCCAGGGGAGAAATCAGTATAGTCACATAACTCAGTGTTCTAGACTTCGTAAACCAACCCAGAGGCATGATAGCATAAGTTTGACTCTTTAGTCTGCCATTACTGTGTGTTCTTAAACAAGTCTTCTATGTCTCGGGGTCTGCATCTGAAAGATGAGGATAATAGCAGTACCCACCTCAAGGGGCTGCTGTGAAGATTACATAAGATGACCTCTAATTAATCATACATTAATAAAAATGAGTGCAAAATTATTTTAAGGCTTTTCAGGAGCAAGGGAGTAGGAATGCTGATTCTGAGATGAAGAAAATGTTTTATACTTCTAAAATCTCTTGCCAAGATCATTAAGAAGTAGGAGATTGAAGAGAAAGAAAGGTGGTGTGTAAGCACCAGGGACCTGGAGATATGTTGGCCCCTGAGGCAAGCACTCTCAACAACCAATACTCAACCAGCACAGTCCAGCCATCACTTCCAACTAGCTCACTCAGTTCCCCCAAAGATCCTGTAAAATAACTATTTCCACTATCTCCATTTTACCCATGTAGAAACTAGGTCTCATAGAAGTTAAACACTTCATTCAAGGTTGCGCAGACAATAAACAGGGAGCAAGGACTAGAACCCAGGTCGCCTGATTCCAAATTCTGTGGACTTCTCAATAGCCCAGACTGCCTTTCTCATGAGCTGTTCACTTCACAAACCCTGAGCTGTCATGTCTGGTATTATATTTTTTCATTTGTTAAAACTACTGGTAGGACAGGATGCTGCAACTAATAGCTAAAATGAGGATTGGAGATTATCAAGGATTCCAATTATCCTGCCTATCTCTGACCTCCATTACTAAGGATAAACAGAAGCCAGCTCCAGCAATTTTCTGAAATTTTCGTTAATTTTAAATAAATTTATACAATGTCATCTTTCCCTTTACCCAAAATTAAAATGTCCTTGTCTTTTCAGTTTCTCATTACAGATAAATCCCTGTATGTCTTTGAGACTGTCTGTTGTTCTTCCCTGGAACCTTTGTATTTCTGCTTTGTTTTCTTTGAAATGAAAGGACCCAATGCTGATTTCTGATTTTAAGGTGAATCGTAACATCAGTGTATATCATTAAAATGTTTTATTGTAATTACAGAAATAGTCAATGGCAAATTATGCACACTATATTATTTTCTGCATTATTCTTTATCCCATTCTCAAAGTTAATACAGCCTATTATATCTCATTCATTCTTCTGACTGCTGGTGCACAGTGAGCAGATGTCTCCATTGAGCAATCCACAATGAATCCAAGATCTTTTTCCTGAGCACTTACAAGTAGAGTAATTCAGAGCCCATCAGTGAGTATGAGCTGTTTCAATTGTTCCTTCCAGTGTACATTAGTTTGCACTTGTCTACATAAAATTTCAAAGAATCATAGATATTGAAGATGGAAAAGACCAGTTAGTTTATCAAACCTGCCAACTCTGCTGGCAAAAGCAAGCAAAGGAAGTAATCCTATCAGTTCATACTATTTTAATGATGCTTATTAATAATAATTACAATTACTGCTTATATTACATGGTGTCTTTCATCCCAAAATCAGTTAAGATGCTTTTTATTTTTAAGGCAGCATTTCTTTTCCAAAAGGGAACTAGGGCACAGACATCAATGTTACCATACTCAAAGCAAATCCAATGAAGCCAAGAATTCAATTCAGTTGAGTTCAATAAACATCTCTGAGCACAACCACTTGTAAGGAGAGGAACTCTGCTGGATGCTCTTGGAGATGCAGAGGTGAACAGGACCTAAATCCTTACCCTCTGGTTTACTCTCTATTAAGGGATTTGTGATAGTGAACACATATAGCTAATATGATCATTCTAAGCAAAGTAGAATATAGCATGGATGCAAGAGTCCTCTGGCTCTAGGAATTGAAAAAGACCGTGCAGAATGTGACATTTGAGCCAGTCCTTGAAATAAGAATGAGTCTAATGTCCATCTGCAGAGTTTGGGAAAAGAGAAGCTAAGTAAAGAACCAAACCAAAACAGAATAAGAGAGCTTAGCTGAGGTTCTACCTTACAGTGTAAAGACCAGTCAGTATGCACTTTGTCACAGCAAGTGAACAAAGTCCATAATGCAGAAGATGTCTACTAGGCCCTCTTTAAACAGGATTCGGATGTAGAAACTCAATATAACTGAACAACCTGAAACAACCACCAGAATATACTGACTACTAATCATGAATATACTTATGGAGACAAGGCAGAATGTTTTAAATTAGGACTGTCTCCAAAAAAACCACCAAATCCAGAAAGCCTGGTATTGTATGTAAAAAAAAAAAAATTGGAAATTCCCAACTGCAGACTAAAATCTCAAAGAGTAGATGAATAAATGACCCATCTGTCAGTACCTTAGTACTCCTTTGTACTGCACAAGAACTCACACTAGTGTCCCATATGGTCACACCAGGGATTTATAGGCCCTTGTTAGATTGCTGTTCAACTCTAGAACCCAAACCTAGAAAGCGTAGAACAGGGTATTTCATTGTGTGATTCCTTCAACAGAACTCTGGGTAAGTACAGACTAGGAAAATGCCAATATAGTCTTATGGTTAGTAAGAGTGGATATTTCTCTGCTTTCACTCAAGGAAACTAATCTTTAAAAGCATTATTATCTGTTAATCTTTTCGTTTGTTTGTTTGTTTTATTTTTTGAGACAGAGTTTCACTCTTTTTGCCCAGGCTGGAGTGCAATGGTGCGATCTCAGCTCACTGCAACCTCTGCCTCCTGGGTTCAAGTGATTCTCCTGCCTCAGTCTCCCGAGTAGCTGGGATTACAGGCATGCGCCACCACGCCTGGCTAATTTTGTATTTTTTAGTAGAGACAGGGTTTCCATGTTGGTCAGGGTGGTCTCGAACTCCTGACCTCAGTTGTTCCACCCGCCTTGGCCTCCCAAAGTGCTAAGATTACAGGTGTGAGCCACTGCACCTGGCCTCAATCTATTATTCAGTCATTACAATGCTACTTTATATCACCCTTTATAAAACCACTGGTGTGAAGAAAAACTAAACTATAGAAGACGTCTAGTACTTCCACATTCATCCCTCAAGGACCATTGCAAATGTCATCTCCTTCATGAAGTGTTCCCCAATTCCTTCCACCATTATTCCCTTCACCACCAAATTAATTGTTCTCTCCCGTGACTACCACAGTTCTTTTGATCCATTGGTATATGCTTTATAATTAGTTCTGTGAATATCTGTCTCTCTCCACCAGGATGAAAGCACCTTAAAGGTAGGGATTCAAGCCTCAGTCATCTTGCACCCCACAATGCCAAGCTAATTTTCATTGCCTGACATACAACAGATATTTATCATATTTGTTAAATCACTTCCTCAGGTCTCAGAGACCTTATTTTGACATATTTAAATTATTAAAACTTTTAAAAGTCTATACCTTAGTCCATTTTCTGCTGCTGTAACAGGATACCACAGACTGCGTCATTTATAAAGAAAAGAAATTTATTTGCTAGAGTCTGGAAAGTCCAAGATTAAGGGGCCACATCTTGTGAGGGTCACTCCATAGCAGAAGGCATCACATGGTGAGTGAACATGTGGGCATGGCAGAGGGAAAATGGGGGCCAAATTCATCCTTTTATCGGGAGCCCACTCCCTTGATAACTAACCCACTCCCAAGATAACAGTGCTAATCCATTCATGAGGATGAAGCCCTTATGACCTCTCCGCCTCTTAAAGGTCTTACCTGTTAATACTGTCATAATGGCAATTAAATTTGAACATAAGTTATGGAGGGAACAGCTGAACCGTAACAGTACCCTATCCAAAACTTATCCTTGACTAACCATGGCACTCAGAGTCAGAGACCCTAATAGGTGTGTGCCTGCCACTATCCTTCATTCAATCAGCATGTACCTTTGGCTGTGCACTGAAGAAGTACTGCCCTTAACAAGACCTGAGCCTTGACTCAGTCACTTAGCAATTATATGACTTTGGAAATCCTTTGCGGTCAGACTGACCCAGCTTTAGATAGACTTACACTCTAGTTGTCACTTACTAATTGGATGATGTTGGGCAAGTTATACTCTCTAGACCGCAGTGTCCTCAACTATGAGATGAAGGTATTAATAGCACCTATCGCAGTTTGAATGAGACAATGCCTGGAAGAGTTTAGCTCAGTGTGTGGCACATAGCAAATACTCAATTATTATTATTGTCTCCTCATTTATAAAGTAGAAATAATAATACAAGTCCCTCAGGATTGTTATAAGGAATAAATGATACAAAAAGTGGAATTTTACCCAGCACATTGTTCTGTCAACATTTCCTTCCTCCTTATGTTCTAGAATAATTGCTACAGCTGATTGAGTGCCTTTTACATATCAGGTAATGTGTATCAGTCACTTTAAATATATGATCCCATCTAATTTAATTCTTAAGACAAGCTATTTAAATAACAATTATTATCCCTATTTTACAGATGATGAACTGAGTTTCCGAGAGAATAAATAACCAGCCCAAGGTCACATAACCAGTTCAGGACAGACTGTTCCAGAAGTTACAAATAAGTTGGATCAAGTACAGAACAGGGAAGCATAGGAAGAAAGCACAGGAAGAAAGCACAGGCTTTGAAGCTCCCTATGGAGTTTAATGCTTCTATTTATCCTCATCCTGGTCCCCAATTCCAGTAGTATGCTTGCTTTTTAAACTAGCCTGTGGGATCCATGTCAATATATTCTCACTCTCACTATTCACCTATTCTTGCTTTTTGATAAATACATGAAATGACGTCACTCATCTAAGAGCTAACTCTAATACACTTCCCTCTCCCAATTTTTTTTGTTATAAATTTGCCATTGTTCTCATGGTCTTTTTATCTCAGTTATACTAATTGTCACCCATGAAAATTTTAATTTTTAGTAATCTAGTTAGCCTTAATTTCCTAGACTTCCATAATGGGCTTATATTAGCTGTGTCAAATATATTCATTGCCAGTTACGTGGAAGGGAAGATGGCCCTTCCATGGTTCGTACTAAAAGACAGTCCAGTTTTATACCAAGTGACAACCGCTCTACCCCTACCCATCTCCCTTTACCACAACATCCTAGACTAGAGGTGACCTTCTGGCTCACGGACAGCTCCAACCTTAAGCTGGCTAAGAACCTATAAAGCATGGCAGTGAAAAGATGAGTTGGGTTAACTGGATCCTTTCTTGGGAATCTAAATTAGGGAATTCTGAGAGAAGGAAGCAATTATCAGGGAAAATTGCAGCTGAAAGAATGTAAGGAAAGAAACCATGAGGAAAAGCCATGAAGTGGGAAGAGTAGAGAGAGTAGATTCTGGACATGGGGCTCTTGACAAGTCAAAGAAGCAACAATTAGGGGTGTAATTAAAAACCTATGAGATTGAGAGTGGTTACTCAGAAAAAAGCTAGAAGATCAAAGCAGTGAGTAGCAAAAGAGCCTGAGGAAAGCAAACACAGAGGGAGAGAATCAGACTGATATGAAAGAGAAGGTTGTCCCCAGAGCTGCCTCAGCACCTAAAAGGTTTCCGAGTCTTGATTGCAGGCTCTATCTGTGAGCATCTTCACGATGAATGTCACTTTTCTAGAGGAAACCTGAGTGAGTCAGTCCTTTGCAACCAGAAGCCCTTTTCTAGAGGGTTTAGCACTTAAAACCTTTTTTAGAAAATGAAAGTTAAATTACAGTGACTCCTTCTTTGTTTCAGATGGTCACAACTGCAGATTCCTGGAAGTCAGGCATTCACCTTCTATTCTCTGATTGTCCAGACTTCCTCAAAGATCTCTGATTTTTCCTGTTTCTGAGCTAGAAGAAACTTCTCTTCTTTAGCTACTACCTAAATATTAATAAATAGCAGGTAAGATAGGCAAACTTAACTAACTCATTTATCATCTGTGATTCTTTGACGTAAAAAATAAAGTTGTAGGAAATCACAAGGTCCAAGAGTGGGAAACATGAAAAACAAAAGCTTTAGGGGGAAAAAGCTGGGCATAAGAAAGTAGAGGAGGCCGAGTGCAGTGGCTCATGCCTGTAATCCCAGCACTTTGGGAGGTTGAGGTGGGTGGATCGCTTGAGGTCAGGAGTTCAAGACCAGCCTGGCCAACACGGCAAAACTCTGTCTCTACTAAATATACAAAAATTAGCTGGGTGTCATGGTGCACACCTGTAATCCCAGCTACTTGGAAGGCTGAGGCAGGAGAATCGCTTGAACCCAGGAGACAGAGGTTGCAGTGAGCCGAGATCTCACCACGGCACTCCAGCCTAGGCAACAGAGCAAAACTCAGTCAAAAAAAAAAAAAAAAAGAAAGAAAGAAAAGGAGAGAATTTGAGAGTATACGAAATGCTTTATTATGACTGTATATTTTATTCTTTGCAACAGGAGAGAAAACGGATACCCTATGAGAAATTTCCTTTCTTTAATGCAACATAAGGTTGCAATTTAAGATTCTTCTTGTCAATTCTTTTTGTATTTATACTTTTTTTTTGAGACAGGGTCTCACTATCTCACCCAGGCTGGTCTCAAGCAATTCTCCCACCTCAGCCTCTGGATGTATATTTAATTAAATTTATTAATTAGCTCTATTTCAATGTGAACTGTTTATTCATTCACCAACATTTATTGATTGCCTGTTCTGTTTCACCCTATGCTAAGGATTAGGGGTACAAAAACTACAAACAATCCCAATCTTTGAGGGGCCACAGCCCAGAGCAGGAGGCAGATGATTCTAGTGCAGTATGATAAGAGCCACATAAGTGCATACCCAGTCTAGGAGGTGGTAGAGCAGGAATGACATGGTTTGGGTCCAGGAAACTTCCCAGAAGAAATGCCCAGGATAAATCTTGAAAGGAGCAGCTGGAGCTGGCTTGGAAAAGATAAGGCAAAAAGACACTCCAGGCAGAGACAGCAACGTGGGCACTGGCACAGGAGTTAAAGTCCTGAATTCTTTAGACTATGGTTGCCTTAAACACTCCAGTGTGTCATGGATGTCTATACAGTAAACCACCAATCCAAGCATCCTTAGAGCAAGTATGACCTTAACCTTCACTCAAAATGACCCTTGTCCACAGACCCCCAGCAAAATTTCTCTCCTCAAACATATACTAACTACACAAGCCCTAAGGATAACAGAAAGTCCAACATATCTAGTATTATCCCAGATAAAAAGCTACTCCAAGGTTCATAAGTTTCTCTTCTGAGCAAATGACAGCTTGGTTTCCTTCAAATGCCATTAGTGGTAGTTTTGAATTTGCGTATTTTTCAGGAAAAAGAGTGATTGTGATTTTCATGGAATTACTAAAGCTCTCCAAAGTTTTAAACTGAAGGCATTTTGAATCTTTAAGAATACTTTTGATAACTACTTAGATCATTAAAAATTAGATTGGCAACAATAATATGTAGAATATGCTTTTCTTTTCCTTTATAATGTTTAGCATTCATCGGTAACCAAACGCTTCACAAATTTCTACAGAGTACATTCTTAGGTTCTAAAAGTCTTACTGGCATGTCCACTTCACTAAACTATTTCTTTTTTCCCGTCTTTAAAGTTAACAATAAATTTCTCTTATGCATCTACTTATTATTATTGTTATGACATTAAGCAAGATATTCAATGTCAGGAATTTTAAGCAACCCAGAATAAAGGAACATTGTAAGTCAAAAAATTATTACATACAGTGTGAAAAATCCTCTTTCCCAGCTAGAAAGTAATTATATCTTACATACTATTTTTTTCCAGATGAGAAAACGTAAAACTAATTAAAATAGAGTCAGTGGTTTACTGTCAAAGCAACCTTGAACTGGTTTCCCTTGCTCCAAGCAAGATGATATTCCTAAAACATGGCAGAAAATTTACTCTGGAGTTCTAAAAATTGCATTAAGAGCCATTGTGTGAAATTTTTAAATTATATCTTTTCAAAGGTTTAACCAATTTCAAATGAATAGTGCTTGGAATTACTCATAGAGATGACATGATTAATGAAAACATCATTCATTCTCTACCCTCTGTCTCACCCTCAATCACATTTCAGAAGCAGCTTATTACTCATATCTTAAAGGCATATATAATATATATGCACACACATATTTTATACACACATACACATACGTAACATATCAGCAAGTCTTCAATAATCTCTTTCAGGAGTTGCATGTCATAAAGATTGTCCTGTCATCCCCAAAAGCATAGTGTTAAACGCATAGCATGTATCATCAGCACTATAGTTGCTTACACTGTTTCTTTGCATCCTCAAAACAACATGTGAGCACAATATAAAAAAAAACACGATTTTTATGGAAAAGCCTGTGAGAACAGCAAAGCTAAGAGATGTACCCAGTGCCCGTCCATTTTAAATTCATACTTATACAGAAAAACATGCATTCAAAACAGCCTATTCTTTCAGAAATGGTTCTTTGGTCTCTTGCACATGTGTCTGCATGCTGACTGGCAATTTCTCCTAAAGGATATAAATTAAAATCTCACTTTTTCCCATTGAGCTTTTCACTTCAAAATGTCAACATAGTCGCTATGATAGATATAGACGTATAGGAATGAATCCTATATATCCACAAAACCCACTACCCTTTCCCCTTTGATAACTATAGTTCTTGAATTGGGCTTCATATAAGGTGACCAAAGACCAGATTCATGAAGTATCCTATTCACAGAATCAGAAAAATACTGAATAGCAGAGCTGGAAGGAAGCTTAAAGATGATTTAGTCCAATTCCCTCATTCTGAGAGGTCTAGAGAAGTAGAATGGGGATTTCTAGGCCACAGACTGGCAAAACCAAAGCTAGAAGCTGGTCCATTGCACTTTGTAGAAAACATGTCATTATTAAACTAGAACTAGGATCCCTTTTTTCGATGAACACTCTAAATTCTAGTGTTTTAAAAAAAGGGGGGGGATGGCAAAACTTAGGCAACTATTATTATTTATTATTTTTTTTTTTTGGAGTCTTACTCTGTCACCCAGGCTGGAGTACAGTGGCGGGATCTCAGCTTACTGCAAGCTCCTCCTCCTGGGTTCACACCATTCTCCTGCCTCAGCCTCCGGAGTAGCTGGGACTACAGGCGCCCGCCACCAAGCCCGGCTAATTTTTTTTGTATTTTTAGTAGAGACGGGGTTTCACCGTTTTAGCCAGGATGGTCTCGATCTCCTGACCTCGTGATCCGCCCGCCTCGGCCTCCCAAAGTGCTGGGATTACAGGATTAAGCCACCGTGCCTGGCCCAAGGCAATTATTTTAATGCCAAGTCAACACGTTACCTTTAATCTGAATGTTGTGGTGATTGCCTCTGTTCTCTGCTTCTCATCTCTTGCAGAGATGGCCTAACAAGGAGATTTAATTAGCTAGCAGTTTCACCCCTCATTTTCTTGTGAGTCCTTGGGTGAGTCACATAACCTTACTCAAATATAACAGAAGGATAACAATACTGTTTAATTCACAGAGCTGTTATAATAGAGGACTAAGCAGATATTTTAAAGTGCATTAAAATGTCAAGGTTTAAAAGGAATGGAGAAAATTTCCATTGTACATCTTATATTTATGTCTCTTGGGAGTAGAAAAACTACAAAATCCCCTTCAGTAAAGCTATATGCAAAAGCCGTATTTGTAACTAGTGAGTTTTGGGAATGTCCTGCATGTTGTGTTGGTTTTACTTTCAGCAGGACTAGAGACTCTAGAATTTTTATTTATGCAGAGTACCTACACATTGCACCTTTAAAATGTCATAACAGTCTTCAGTTTTCTTCCCCCAGAGTTAAAGATGACCTGTTATCACTGCTGTCTGGCTCTCCAGTTCTGTTAAATCTTTCCTCTGACCAGATCCTCGTTTTACTCACTCCTCAACTCCCCACTTGGATTACTCCTCTTCTTAGATTACTCTTCCAATGCCAACTCAGACTGCCTCCCCAAGAGGCAGCTCCCCGGTGAGTAACACACTTGGGGTGGGGGAGAGTATGTCGGAAGTGATCAAAGACTTGCAAATGAAGTGCATACCGCTCAGAGGAGGAGGCGTTGGCCACAGGTGCCAAATGCAGACCACAGCAAGCTGGCAAGCTCCGGTTTAGGTTGTTGCTACAATGTGGGCTGGGCACATCCCTGTGTAACAATGCTGGGTATGTAGAAATGACTCTTATTTTTCTCATGACACGACTTAACCACACATTATGTGTGGGTTCCCAAAGTATAGGCATCGAACCTATGATTTATGTGTGGGTGGGCATGTCTGTCTTCTAAAAAAACTATTAAATTAATCTTAAAAAAAAAGATGGATTGACAACACTGAAGACAACACTCCACTGAGTACTAGAGAAAGACACGATGTAGAAAATGGTGATGCCAACATTAACACAAATCTGCCTCCGTGGAAATGACTGGCATTTCAACCAGACACTATATTCTTTCCAAGAAAGGCCACAAATAGGAGGAAGAGAGAGAGAGAGAGAAAAAACATTCTATCTTTGATATCACTAAACCAGTCAGATTTTAATAGCACAACCAGAGATCTGCTAAAAAGGTATTTAATTTTTTTTTCCCTTTATGAGTCCTCACTGGGAGGGGTAGGATATGTGTCCTTGCTGGGAGGGGTAGGAAAGGTCATTTTATTATATTGTCTTTGGAATTCCAAGATGACAGTGATAATGGTGGAGTCTCTTGCAGCTGAGTGTTTAGTACCAGCCCTGGAAGAACGATGGAATCAGTAAAACGAGATCAGAGTCTCACTAACCACGGTCAACATGAATTATCCAGGTAACAATGTTAGGCTGCTCACTACAAGAGTGAAGTTACTTCATGGCACAAGTGTAGGGGATTAGCAGATATTATTTGTTGGTCTGTGTGCTAAGAAAAAGAGAGAGAGTGAAGGATGGTGAGAGAGGGAAGGAGAATTTTCTGCTCTTTGGAATTGCTGGGCTCCCTGTGAATAGGAATGGCACCAGTGGAATGGAGGTTGGCTGGGGCAAGGGGAACTCAGCCACACAGAGAAAGAGAACAGTTAGCTTATGTCTAGTTACACACTTTGAGTCAATAACTTATGCAACTCTATGCACTCCGTCATAATACTTGCATGCTATTCAACAAGTATCATCAATATTATGATTACTGGTTTGTGTGACCATGTGGTTAATGTTGATCATACCAACAAGACTGTAAGTTCCCTGAGGGCAGGGGTATATCTGCCTTTCTCTTCCTATATCCTCAGTGCCCAGTATTTGCCTGCTGCAGAGTAAAGAGCCCCAAAATATAAGTTGAATGAACAAATGAATACATGAATGAATTTATGCAAATTCATGTTGTGGACCCATGTTTGCATATTTGTACCATTTGATGACATGAGCAGGGCAGAGTGTGCTGCTGTAATCCAGCACAGCAAGCAGAACTACAAAAGGTGCCTCTCTTTGGTTGGCCAAGTGCTGGAGTTTGTAAAATCAAATGTGGGTGTGAGGTAAGGGTACCCGGCATGAAGACCCTTGGGGTACTCTGAACCCCAGGGTGTGGTCTAGATGTTACCACAGCTTTGTTGCACCCGCCTCAGATCAGTGCTTATCTCTCTTGGACCTTAACATCCTCATCTATAACATGATGGAATAACACTTCTTTTTCCTTGCAGTTCTTAAATTCTAACATTTTAGGAAGATATCTGGACCCTGAAATCTTGTCAGGAACAACCATGGTAAGATCTCTGACTATAAAGTAGAAAACAACTAAGTTTTCAGATATATATATGCATAAAATACAGCTTTATTTTAATAAAACCTTAAATGTAGGGGGACCTTCTTGCCAGATCCAGGCCAACTAATGGCTTTCCTTCAGCTTTTCCCATACTCAGAAGTCAGGTTTCCAGGCCTCTGTGAAAAGCACATAAATATTCTCAGCCAGGGCTGGCCCTTTGCTTCAATCTCCAGCTATCACAGGGAGTCAGTCTGATAAACATTTGCAGTTAGAATGGAAGGAGGCACAGCCTCCTAGACTTTTACAGATTTTTTTGGACAAGTAGCAGAGTCACAGAAAACCTAGAATTAGGTAAGAAAGCAGAACTCCTCCAGAGAATTCAGAGAGAGCTACAACTGAGAGCCTTTAAACAATCAATGTGTAGGAACAGAAGAAAGGAAATCCACAATTCAAGAAAATAAGCAGACATTTTTTTTCCTCAAAAAAAATTGTTAAGATGAATGTTAGGCACTGATTTTAGCCCTCTGTTCCATCCCTCAAGATGTCACTTGAAAAAGCAAAAGGTTTTATCCACAAAACCACCGGCGAGTAAACAGCCTTCACATTCTTAGCCTCGTACACACACAGTAAGATATTTACTCTCTGATAAACAGCAATTGTAAATAAATCTCATTTAATCTCTAAAAGCCACAATAAAAATCTTTAACCTCCAAGGTAGAGTTTACAGATGCGTCTGCATGCCCTGCCAGCCCCAGAAAACACAAGGTCTTGAATAAACTACTATACCAGGAGGCACATTTTCTCGCTCAAGCATCTTACATTGACCTTCTTTAAAACAAAAATACGTACAAGGAGGAGGAAAGGGGAAAACCCAACCCCTCCCACCCCATTCTCTGTACAAATCGGCCAATAAATCTAACGAAAAGACACAAGAGAAAAAGGACAGAAGCCAACAGGTGGAACAAGGCTTTTTGTTTCCTTAGAAATGCTCAGACACTTGATCTGTGCTCCTCAGTCTATTTGTCTCAGGGTGTCTTTAATGATGTTTTTATTACCCTGATGATGATGATCAAGAATAATGATAACACTTCTACTCTGTGATTCCACAGCATCTCTAGCTGACGATTTCTCCACGCGTTTCAGACACAGTGATCTGTTCTGTTTCGCTCAATCCCAGGGAGGCATACAGCATCCCTGATCAGCAACCTTGATTTTACAGATGGGGAAATTGAGGCACGGGGCACCCCACAACTCAACAGTCTCTACGACCAGAGGAATCCCTGAGACTGGAAAAGTTTCTGGATCGTCTTGTGGCAGAGTTCTCTTGCTCTCCCTTCTTGCCTGCCATGCCGCTCCTCCTCGGAGAGTCTGGGCTGGGGTGGTAAGGATCGGGGTGCCTCCCCTTCACAGCGAGGCACGCCAGGGCAGTGTGTGGGAAGTCCACACGCACACACAGACCCACGGGCACACTGGCACACACAAAGCTCGATGCAATCTCTGCAGTCACTCGGCGGAGCCCTGGCCGGCCCTTGCTCAGCCTGAGAATGCACAGCTCGGAGCCTGCAAGGCCTCCCTGGGCTCTGGGCTGGGGTTTCCCTGAACCAAGGCTCTGCCCTTCTCTCCCTCTTTTCCAGGCTTCCCTCTCTCGCGCTCCCTCTCTCTCTCTCTTTTCCCTCCCACCCTCACACCCTCCTCCCAGCCCTCTCCATCCACCCCTTCTCCCCCACCAACCCAGAGGCACAGATCGTGTTACTGGGGTTCCCTCGAAAGAGGGGCCATCCCCAGTCCTGGATGCCTTGAAAGACTTCCAGGGGCAACGCAGGAGCTCCAATCGCAGGACCCCAGCGCTCCTCCAGAGCAGCGCAGGAATGAGACCCCCACTTCCAGGCACAGGCGAACAAGCCTGCCACCGAAGAAGGAATTGTTAGGGCTCTTACCTTTTTTATGAGGAGAAATTCTGGAGAATCATTTCAGAAACTGAGGGGGGAAAGTGAATGAAGACAAAAAAGACCCTTTTCCCGCAATCCCTGGCCTCCTGGTATCAAGACACCAGGACAACATCAAAGCAACTTAGGGGGAACACTTTAGGGGCCTATTGTCTGCTCTGGTCTGATCTGTTTTTCTTCTGACTCCCCCTCTTGCTGCGGTGACACTTGGTACGGCCCAGGCATTCATGCCAAGTAGCTTTCACACATGGAAGCTTGTCTCAAGCAATTGCTGACAAGCCACAAACAAGACATTCTCCCTCCCTTCTCTGCGCCCCCCCACTCCTCCCCCCTCCACCTTTTCCTCCTCCCCTCTTGTCTCCCCTCCTCCTTTCTTCTGAATGCAAACTAAAACTCTCCAGTGACAGGCAGGCTCGCAGGCTTGGCCTAGCTGCGCACGCAGGCACACACACACACACACACACACACACACACACACACACACACACTCTCTCTCTCTCTCTCTCTCTCTCTCTCTCTCTCTCTCTCTCTCTCTCTCTCTCTCTCCTCTCTCTCTCTCTCTCTCTTCTCTCTCTCTCTCTTCTCTCTCTCTCTCAAGCAGCTCAGCTAGTTGCTGCTGCACTGGTGGAGTTAAGAGACAGGAAAAAGCCCAGGCTGAGTTGGGGGCAGGGAGAAAAAGAGAGGGAGAGCGAGAGCAGAGAGCCGCCTCCTGTGTCCTAGTAAAATGGCAGAAGAGAGGTGAGTCCTTTGGAAGAAAAGCAGTGGCCACACACGTGTGCACACATACACAGACTCAGGCCATCTCAGCGCCAGGAAAAGTGAAATAAATGACCCGACAAAGGAAAAAGCAAAGTCCCATTAGCTGGAGATTGGGGGAGTAGGGAGATAAGAGGGTGAGTGGCCCCAGGACTGGGGTTTCTGTTGAGTGGTTAGGTGATTTTTCTTCTTTACAATAGAGAAAAATTTGTTTCCTAAGGATCTAGCCTTCTTTCACTGCATAATTGAGCATGGACTTGAGCTACTAGTTAAAATAAAATCATGAAATGTGTAAATGTGTGAGTAAACTTAACTGTAGGTTCAACTTGTACCCAAGATATTTTTAAAGTGAAGCTTTTTTTATTTTTTTTTATTTTTTATTTTAGCAGAAACCCTAGAGAGCAGTAGCAAGGAGAGTAGTAACAAGTAGTGTAAACTAGGAGAGCTGTGAAGTGTGATGCTAAAGTTACTGATTGCCAGGCTGCTGGAATTTATGGAGGGTGGGCCTGAGAGTTGGAGGAGGGGAGGGTGAGTGTGCTGTTTTCTAGGAATAAGAGGGGAATGAGGTAGGATAATGAATATGGCAAGAAACAAGCAGGAATTTGATTGGTGTGGAGGGAGGAGGTGGGGGCTGTAAAGGAGTGGAGAGAGAGAGAGAGAGAGAGAGAGAGAGAGAGAAACAACACTGCATTAAAAAAAGAAGAAAAATGGAAGCCCAGAAAGATTGAAACATGCAGAGTAAATGAGATGGTAAAAGAAGGCATAAAATGTGAGCAAAAAGGAGCACAAAGGATGTGCAAATTTGCAGATGGCATGAAATCAGGAGGGCCAATTGAGATCAGGAAGAAGAATGACAGGATGATTATATGACATTCATATTTTTAGATACTGTGGACTCACAGACCTAACAAGGTCTCCTCTGCCTAGGCCAGAAGAGTTATCCCTATGCAACAGGATCTGAATGGAAGCTTAGCTCCTAACTGCTGCTGAATCAGTTCTGTACTTTTTCATGAAGATTGTTTAGACTCTATTCCTCAGAATCTTCCTTTACAAAATGGAAATTATGAGAACACACATCACTCATTCCTTCATAGGTATGCAGTAAAGAATAAATTATGACTTCTTTCATACTTAACACCAGCTAAATGAGGTGTCACTACCTAAAACTCACCACATCAAAGACACAGACTTGTTCCTGTTATTTTCCCCCTTAATTTGCTCCTCCATTATCCCTGATCCCTGAACTGTCTGTCCCGACTCCCATTAATGATGATGATGTGGTAATATAATAATAATAATAATAACCTTTTTTTAAGTATTTACTTGATTCTTAGCATTTTCCCACTCATTTGTATCATGAAGTAATTTTTGTTATGATCATTTCCATTTACAGATGATAGAAAAACGAGGCACAGAGAGGTTAAGCAACTTGTCTGAGGTCACACAGCAAGGCAGAGGTAGAGCTGAAATCCAACTGAGGCCTGTGTGATTCTAAAGCCCCAGCGTTTACCCGCCATATTATGCCTTCTCACTGGAGTAGTCCAGGTACTCCATGGCACTTCAAGTCCAGTCAGCCATATAAGTACACTGTTTTTTCTGTACCCCAGGGTTGGGTTTGGATCCTTTCATTTTGAGCCAGGGGAACTTCTGACCTCCCCTTAATAGGCTACTGACTCACTGTCCACTTCTAAGTGGTGGTGACTCACTATACACAATGAGGCCTCCCAGGCAAGAATTGCATAAAGGGTCGACTTAACCTTCAATGACTGCACTATTTTCAGATTGCTAGGCAATAGAGAAAGGCAGCTAAGACCAGAAAAGCTTCCCTTTCTTAAGTATAAAAAATTTTTTTAAATAAAAAAGCAAACTAAAAAGGCCCATAGATATTGATGATAATGGTGATGACAGCAACTAACATTTATTAAGAATTTCCATATATTAAACAACCCCATACAGTGTAAACTATCAGTGTGTCTATTTTCTAGATGAAGGAGCTGAGGCACAGAAGTGAAGGAGCGTGTTAAGGTAATCCAGCCAGGAAGTAGTGGCTGAGATATGGCCCCAGGTGGTCTGCCTTTCTAGAGACCAGGATCCCCACCACTATGCTGTACTGCTAAGGCAGCAAAAAGACTTGTTCCAATTGTTAGAGTGAAAATACAAATGCTCAATGAGAGAAAGAAGAAAGAGGCAATCATGATCCTAACACTTTCACATGCATTTTTAAATCTCATGATATCTCCTATAAGTAGTTAAAGAAAAAGAAAGCATGTGCCCAGGCCCCCAAACAACCTTTAATTTTCCAATTCCTCCACTTGGCAGAGGACAGAGAATGCCAGGCCTCCAGGCCAGAACATGTTGGTAAGAACACCAGGTCAGACTATCTTGCCTCCAGCACTGATGGCTTCCACCTGCCAACTCCAAAGAGAAAAAAGAAATTCCAAGTGGATAAGTGAACAAGGTCAATGCATGAGCATTTCTAAGTTTATTTTACAAGACTTATGAAAGCTAAGCATGGAGTATAGATGAAAATGTCCTAGATTCTTAGGCAGAAGAACTGTGAGCACGAGCCTTGCTATCTGAACCCTATTTCCTCAATTATAAAATAAGCTAATGACATTAGCTCTAAAACCCTTTCCAGTTCTGAAATGCTATCATGCTAATAGTTATCTGGTTGATGAGGAAAAGACTAGAAGCCAGACTGGGCGCGGTGGCTCACGCCTGTAATTCCAGCACTTTGGGAGGCCAAGGTGGGCGGATCACGAGGTCAGGAGACGGAGACCATCTTGGCTAACACGGTGAAACCCCGTCTCTACTAAAAATACAAAAAAATTAGCCGGGCATGGCGGCGGGCGCCTGTAGTCCCAGCTGCTGGGGAGGCTGAGGCAGGAGAACGGTGTGAACCCGGGAGGCAGAGCTTGCAGTGAGCTGAGATCACACCATTGCACTCCAGCCTGGGTGACAGAGCAAGACTCTGTCTCCAAAAAAAAAAAAAAAAAAAAGAAAAGAAAAAGACTAGAAGCCAAGGTAACTGATGAGGTGTGTTTGGCATGTATGTGTGTAAATGCGCTGGAGGGGGTTTAAGGAATGGAACAAGAATTAGACCCTATCTGGGCTGTTCTACCCAGATTGCAACACACCTCTTCCAAAATGCCTTCTACATAATATCCATTTTTCACTTTATTTTGTTTCACTGCTACAGCTCTCACCAATTACAAATTCACTTGCATTATTAATAATTTTTTTAAAATGTAAACACCTCTAGAAGGGATAAGGGAAGTCAGCCTTTCCTACTTTAGCATGAATTATTTCATTAGCCTACTTTTCTACAAATTCCTATATCATATCAAACAGCCATTTAGAGTAGAGGGAGAAGAGGAAAACAATAGTAGGAGCAGGTAGATAGTTTTGTAACTTAGAAGACTCCTTGGTGTACGGCAGGCCTGATTTGGGGGCTGTACAGGGCAGTAGAAAGAGAAGGGACACTAGGAAACAAGACAAGCTGTAGGAGGTGAGAAGATGTGAAAAGCAAAGACTTTCAAAACTTTTATCTAGCCCAGCCCAGAATGAATTGAAGGAGCTTCATAATTCTCCACATTCCCTCTCCCTTTTCCTGCATCTGGCACAGGCTCATAATAGGTTCCTATGGGTTCCCTATGGGACTTAATGTTCATTCAAAACATGGGAGAAATGCTCAGATTTCTAAACAACCAACTTACAAAATAACCTTACAAACTATAGCCCATTCATAATTTGACATCTACCTACATGTATATATTTAACTGTGGAAAAGAATGTAGGAGTGGGACAAATGAGACTTCTCCACATTTCTGGAAAGGTGAATTATCTGACATAAAGGAGAGAATCGAGCAGAAAATCAAGAAACAGATTTCAAGATTTACCAGATAAAGGAGCAATTTAGAGGCTGGCAAGATTAGAACTCACCTAATCTGAAAATAGCTACCTCTTACTAATAATAACTATAGAAAAACATAGCACTCCCCAGTGATTAAAAGCCAAGGTAAAATGGCTCGTTTTGGAATTAAAAGATCCAGGTTCTGATATTAGTGTGCTTACAAGCTAAATGACCTTGACCAAGTCTTTTAACTTTTCTGAGACAGTTTCCAATGAGTTACTATGTAAATGAGCTTTACAAGCAGTAAAGTGCTATACAAATTTTAGCTAGTAATATATAATAATGTTTAGTAAGAATAACAGCGCTATGTGCTAGGCATGTGCCTTACATGCATTATCTCATTTAATCCTTGCAATTCACCCTATAAGGGGAGTACTACTATTGGGAGTACTACTAGTGGTGTTTATGTACTTGGTCTCTAGAGCCAGACAGACATGACATTGAGTTACAGGCTCTGCTACTCTGTGACTTTGGACAAGTTACTCAACCTTTCTGAGCTTCAATTTCTTCATCTGTAAAATGAGGATATTAATAGTACTTTCCTCACGGGATTATTTTGAGGACAAAATGAGATAATGAATGCATGTGACATAATTAGCATAGTGCCCAGTACATAAAAAGTAATGAACAAATGTTAGATGTTATATTTGTTCTCATTTTACAGGCTTGCTGAGGTTAAGTACTTTGTCCAGGGTCACACAGTTCATAACTATAAGGGTCTCAAACCTGGTTCTGTTTGACCCAAAGCCCCTGTTATTTCAGCTGTTTCATATTGTCTATCTTGCTATGGATTTTTCTGACCCACAAATAATTGAAGGGACATACTAATTATCATCATTTGTTTTGCCCTTATTAGGTTCCCATTTGAACAGTTAGTCTGTAAACAAACACTCAAGGAAAATATTTTCTACACAGGGCACCTTAGAGAAATGATGTTAATATTTAAAAATACTATTTGAGGCTGGGTGTGGTGGCTCACACCTGTAATCCCAGCACTTTGGGAGGCCGAGATGGGAGGATTGCTTGAGGCCAGGAGTTTGAGACCACTGTGGCCAACATAGTGAGAGCACATCTGTTAAAAAAAATAAAAAATACTACATCAGCGTAGTGCAGGAAGTTAAATAAAAAGCTCAAAAAATTAAAAAATGGAAAAAATAAAAATACTATTTGAAAAGACCCCTCAAAGTGACCTATGGTAGAGTTCAAGCATCTCAGAAAAGCACAGTGACAAATTCATAATTTAGAACTTAAAAATTATGCATTTAAATTTCATCTTTTTCTCTTCTCAGCTAAGCTTCAGGTCAATAGAGAACATTAAGTGGCCAAAAGCTCCAGTATAGAAGAAAGAACAAGGCATCTGGGTAATCCACAAACTGAAATATGTAATATTAGATGGGTAGAAAACTGAGAACTACAGTTCATATAAGCAAAAATATTTAAGGGAACACAACTAACTTATAAATATGTGTTAACAAGAGATTCACATTATTGAACTCTGGTGAGAGGTGGCATCACTGTAGTGAGGAACAGAAATTCCCCTATCCTTCAGAATAAATGAGCGCAGTTTCTTTGTTCTTTTTAAACAATAATAAATCAGAAGGATGGACTCACATATGGGTAGGTTGACAGGATGACCATTCTAGAATTGGCCAACAGACTAAATGCCCAAGATCTTAACACATTTTTTAAAAGCACAGCTTTTTTTTTTTCTGGACCACTTTCTGAAAAAACTCTAATTGTTGCAGAAGACCTAAGAAGGATCCTGATTAACTGATAAGGGAGAGTCAAAGAAATTTGCTTGAGTTCATATGCATTTCATTCGTATTTGTAATTGTTATTTAAATGCATTAACTAATGATAAATTGGAGTTCTGTGCATTTCATGTAGAGATGCGGCACATATGTGTGTGAACACTCACACAGTGTTCCTCTTGTGAACACTGTGAATCCTCAAGTGCTCCTCTTGCAGAAGGAGCAGCCAGGATTGTACCTTATTAGAACCCCAGATATGAAAGTCTTAGAATGTCTATTATGAACATGGTATATGTGTAATAATACAACTGATATTTCAGTAGGACAGAAAAGCCACTTTGTCCTGTCCTAAACTCCTTCTAATGAAGATGTGGAAAGGAGCTTAGAACACTCTGAAAAAGGCCTTATGAATTGATATGAGCCAAAGCAAGGAAGGCACAAACTAGAACAAGTTGCATTTGCTATGGGCTGTGTTTGTAACGCCCCTTCCCTGAAATATGCTTCTGCCTGAAGCTTGCAGCTCATCAGAGCAGAAAGAGGCAGCAGAGACACCAGTGGGAGCAACTGATTTTGGTAAACAATGAACCAACTTCTCCCCCAGGGGAGCAGATCAGAGGAGATGTAATAAACTATGGAGAGAAACTCTCCAGCCATTTGCAGTGACTCATTCGCCAGAAAGAGACTGCTTCTTCTGATTGACCTTGGCTGCTGCAATGGTGTTGAACATGAGCTTACGCTGGCCTTGGTTAATGGGCAGAGAGTTTCAGGTATGACCTGGGGCACTCAGCTGTTCTCAGGGCTGCTTAGATGCCTGCAGAGGCAACAGCTACCTAGGCCACTAGCCACAGCTAAGTAGATTCTCTGCTGAAACTAATCTTGAATTCAGTTTGGACTGATTCTGAGAGGGCTATGTATAAAAGGATTTCTCACCAGCTGGGCTCCAGAGTTCGAGTTGTTCTGCCCTACAGAGCTAGATGGAGATAATTGCTCTGAAACTATTATAGTTGCATTCATAGTACATCTGGATCTGAGGTTGTTTGACCTCTGAAAACCTAAAATGGAAATAATGCAATTATCTGAGCTAAAGACAATTTAATAAAAAGCAGTACTGAAGCCAGGAAAAGGAAATTTATCTTTTATACCATGTCTTTTGCCTAGCAATGGAATGTGTACCTTTCATAAAGATGAAAGATGCATGAAAGGCTGAATAGAAGGTAGTGTTTTTCATTCAGTTCAATAAGTGTTTGCTATTACCTATTACGTGCAAAAGACTGTGCTAGGTCTGGGGACACCAAAATGAGGAAGACTTTTTCCCTGTTCTAAAGGAGCATTTCATCTAGATAGTAGAAAAGAGAAAGATGTACACTAGTAACCATGACACAGCCATCATGAAATAAATGAAGCCAGCAAGTATTATAGGCATTTTGAAGTGCCTGCACAACACATTCCCTCTGTTTTTGGAAAATAATCCCTAGACTACCTGTTCAGTTAAGCTTCTGCACTTATATTTATACTGTATGACCAGTTTCCCTGGCCAATCAGATTCTCTCTCCCATAAATTTATTTATTTATTTTGAGACAGAGTCTAGCTCTGTCTCTCAGGCTGGAGTACAGTGGTGCGATCTCAGCTCACTGTAACCTCCGCCTCCGGGTTCAAGCGATTCTCCTGCCTCGGCCCCTGAGTAGTTGAGATTACAGGCACACATCACCATGCCTGGTTAATTTTTGAATTTTTAGAAGAGACGGGCTTTCACCATGTTGACCAGGCTGGTATCGAACTCCTAACCTCAGGAGATCTACCCACCTCGGCCTCCCTAAGTGCTGGGATTACAGGCATGAGTCACGGTGCCTGGCCTTCTCCCAGATATTTAAAAGTAGGGTTCACGGAAGCTAGTTGATCTCTATTAGTTCTTGAACTGATAAAACTGATGAGGAAAAAAAAAAAGAAATAGACCCACTCAGAGACAAAGAGATAAGAATCCATGTGGCCCAAGCCAGAGAGAGAGAGAGAGAGAGAGAGAGAGAGAGAGAGAGAGAGAGAGAGAGAGAGACAGAATGAAGCCCGAAGCCCTGGTGGAGGTTTCCTGAATTTAGGCACACTAAGATGTTCCTAGTTCTAAATGATTCCCCTTTCTCCCTCCCCCTAGACTGGTTCTAATGGATTCCTTTTGCTTGCACCAATAGAGTGAAAGTGAAGCTTTGTGGTTCAACCCAACCCTTCTCAGTTGCCAAGCACTGTGCTAGTTCTGGATGAACAGCAGTAAATTGAACACGCAAGGAGTTTGAGGCTTCATAGGAATTTTGGTATGGGGGACACCCAGTGTTTAGTATATACTATAAAGAAGTGCTGAGAGGACTCTGAGGAGGCAGCAACTTTTAATTCTTCAGGGGGATTTTAACAGGTGTGGTGGGATCGTGCATCTCAAGAAGAGGAAAAGGCGCTTCTCACTGAAAAGGGACGGAGGTTATATTAAGATGTTACTTCTACGCTTCATTGCCCCTCTAATCTTCAACCTGGCTCCAGAATGGCAAGCTAGTTTGCTCCCTGTGACCTACAGGCCAAATCCAGCCAGCCACCTGTTTTTACACAGTACAGCAAGCTCAGAATGGTTATTACATTTTTAAATAGTGGTTGGAAAAAAATTAAAAGAATATTTCATGGCACCTGAAAATTATAGGAAATTCAAATATCAATCTCCATAAAGTTGTATTGGGGTTGGGCATGGTGGCTGACACCTGTAATCCCAACGTTTTGGTAGGCAGAGGTGGGAGGATCACTTGAAGCTAGGAGTTCAAGACCAGCCTGGGCAACATAGTAAGACCTCATTTCTACAAAAAAATTAAAAATTAGCCAGGCATGGTGGTGCATGCCTGTAGTCCCAGCTACTCAGGAGGCTGAGGCAAGAGGATGGTTTGAGCCCAGGAGTTCCAGGTTACAGGGAGCTATGATGGCACGACTGTACTTGACAACAGAGTAAGACCTTGTCTCAAAAAAAAAAGTTTTATTGGAACATGGCCACTCTCATTTATTCACATATTGTCTATGGTTGCTTTTGCACTACAACCACAGCATTAAGTAGCTGCAACGGAGACCGTATGGTCTGCAAAGCTTAAACTGTTTTTGTCTGGTCCTTCACATAAAAAAGGTTGCTGACCTGGCTGGGCTCAGTGGCTCACGCCTGTTATCCCAGCACTTTGAGAGGCCGAGGCAGGTGGATCACCTGAGGTCAGGAGTTCGAGACCAACCTGGCCAACATGGTGAAACCCCGTCTCTACTAAAAGTACAAAAAATTTGCCAGGCGTGGTGGTGGGTGCCTGTAATCCCAGCTACTCAGGAGGCTGAGGCAGGAGAATTGCTTGAACCCGGGAGATGGAGGTTGCAGTGAGTCGAGATCGCACCATTGCACTCCAGCCTGGGTGACAAGAGTGAAACTCAGTCTCAAAAAGAAAAAAAGGTTGCTGACCCATCCACCCATTCAGAGGTTTCCTCTGAACATTTGGGAGGTGGAGATGCAACCTTAGAAGAAATATAATAGAAACAAAACCATGTATCAATAAGTACTTTGTAAGATTATTTTAAGAATCATCCATAATATTTGCTGGGCGCGGTGGCTCACGCCTGTAATCCCAGCACTTTGGGAGGCCGAGGCAGGTGGATCACCTGAGGTCGGGAGTTCGAGACCAGCCTGACCAACATGGAGAAATCCCGTCTCTACTAAAAATACAAAATTAGCTGGGCGTGGTGGCACATGCCTGTAATCCCAGCTACTAGGGAGGCTGAGGCAGGAGAATCGCTTGAACCTGGGAGGTGGAGGTTGCAGTGAGCTGAGATCGCGCCACTGCACTGCAGCCTGGGCAACAAGAGAGAAACTCCATCTACAAAAAAAAAAAAAAAAAAAAGATCATCCAACAATTATTTGTCAAATGAGTAAAGACATGTAAAATAGTGTATATGTTTTGGATCTCATAGAATGTATATATAGATATACATATATCTAGTCTGAAAAGTATGCAATAAGCTATCAATATGGATTATTTCTTTTTTCTTTCTTTTTTTTTTTTTTTGTAGATGGAGTCTCATTCAGTCACCCAGGCTGGAGTGCAATGACACAGTCTTGACTCACTGCAACCTCCACCTCCCAGGTTCAAGCGATTCTCCTGCCTCAGCCTCCCAGGTAGCTGGGACTACAGGCGCATGCCACCATGCCCGGCTAATTTTTGTATTTTTAGTAGAGACAGGGTTTTGCCATGTTGGTCAGGCTGGTCTTGAACTCCTGACCTCAAGTGATCCACCCGCCTCAGCCTCCCAAAGTGCTGGGATTACAGGCATGAGCCACCACGCCTGGCCAATATGGGTTACTTCTGACATGTGGATCTTGGAGAATTTTATTTATTAAAAAATAATATAAATAATAACCACTTTATATGGACTGCTTACTATGTGCAGAGCACTGTGTTCATTGCCTTATGTGTATCGCATCTTATTTAAATTTCCCAAGAACTCTAGATGTTAGAACTATCATTGCTCTCTTTTAACAAATAAGAAAACTGAGGCACAGAAAAGTTAAATAAGACCACCCAGTGAGTATTAGAAGAACCAGAAAGTAAACATAGACAGTCTGCTGTGCTTTTAAGTGACTGAATATAGGGCATGGGTCAGTAACTATTAATATAGGGAATGGGTCAGTAACTATTTTATGTGCTTCCTCTCTTTCTAGTGCACCACACTTGGACTTTTTATATTATGCATTTCTTGTTAGAATTTTTAAACACTGGTTACTTTTGTAATCAGGAAAAAATATACTTAAAAATACCTAATATGGTTACTGGCACACAGTGAAGGTGGTGATAATGAGAAAGAGGAGGAGGAGGAGGATGACAGCTTACATTTGTTGACTTCTTCCTATGATCCAGATTTTGGCACAATGTACCAGGCACCTTACATGCTAGTTTAATTGAGGAGGCATTAGATAAATTATTATTGTTGTTATTATTCCTGTCACTATCAGGTGTTTCTTAGAGCCCCAGAGATAGGCTGGGGCTGTGTGGATCTGGGATGGAGCATGTCATCTCAAGTCTCTAGCCCAAGGGTTAGGAAGAAGTTGTTCCTAATACTTCCAGCCCTCCCTTGCAATTTCAGGTGGTCAGAATATGACTGGGTGGACCAGATGACTGCGGGCTTGAGTGACACAGAGTTCTAAATCTGGTTCCAGAATGTATTAGCTCTGTGGCCTTGCTGTAGTTCTTACGTTGTCACAGTTGGATATATTTATCCCATTTTCCCAATCCCACCTTGCCTAGCAGGGCAACAGGTATTCAAGACCACTGGGAAGGCCCTGCTGTCCCACTGGCAGGCCTCCCATAGCCTAAGAGCCTCTCATGAAACATTCATTTCCTTGGGTTAAAGCTCTGCCAGGGAGAGGTGACATATTAAGCCACTGACACCGTGGCAATTTAATTTCATGGAATCACAAGATGTTAGAGCTGGGAGTCACCTAGCATCTAAAGCCTCATTATTCTTGCATCTAAACCTATCTTTTCCTTTTTCCATCTACAGTGGGAGAGGTGTCCCTGCTCCTGTCTAAGCGAATCCTTCTCCTTGCACTGTGGATCCCACCTGCCATTATTCCCTCTCTTTCCCACACTGGCACCACTGCGCGCCTCTCTCCATCAGTATTTAAATAAGCTCATACACTCAGCTGTCTCTTAACTTCTCAGTCAAGCTTCTTTTTTTCTTTTTTTTTGAGACAGATTCTTGGTCTGTCGCCCAGGCTGGAGTGCAGTGGTGCAATGTCGGCTCACTGCAACCTCCCCCTCCTGATTCAAGTGGTTCTCCTGCCTCAACCTCCCAAGTAGCTGCGACTACAGGTGCCCGCCACCATGCCCAGCTAATTTTTTTGTATTTTTAGTAGAGATGAGGTTTCACCATGTTGGCCAGGCTGCTCTTGGACTCCTGACCTTATGATCTACCCGCCTCGGCCTCCCAAAGTGCTGGGGTTACAGGCATAAGCCACCACGTCCGGCCTCAGTCAAGCTTCTCTGAGATTTGCCTGTAAACTTTGAGGGGCAAATGGGAGAGCTCTGGGTATTTAGGACAAGCCTATGTTTAGGGGAGCCTGGGTCGCTTGGAGGAGGAAGAGTGAGTGACACAGAAGTTGGTTGAGAAATGAAGGAGGGAAAGTGGAAGCTTCCTGTGGACAATCTACTGTCTTCCTAATTTTACCTAAAACCAATACTAAGTTTTCACAACAATTAATAAATTATATTGGGTTTGGGTACCTGCTCTGAGTATGCTAGCTAAGTCCTGTGGGAGATACAGCCCAGTACCTACAACATAACTGCCTTTGATATGTTCACAGCTGCATCTGGATACTCAGTTACAGTATCAGCACAGGGCAGTGCATGATTAAGGCTAAACGAATGGTACAGGTTAGTGGTTCCCAAACAAGAAGCATCAGCAAGAGTCATTTGGGAACTTGTTAGCAAGGTAAATTCTCAGGCCGTGGCCCAGACCTACTGAATCAGAAACTCTGAGAGTCCTGGAAACCTGTGTTTTCAAATGCCCCCTGAGTGATTCTGATGCATGCTAGGGTTTGAGAACTGCTGGTACAGGCAATAAGAACCACTGTAGGCTGGAGTTTCAGGTCAGACTTATAGGGCATTTGGCACTTAAATTTGATTCTGATCAGTGGAGTAGAGCAAAGGGTAGAGAGTGATCAAGAAAGAGTAAACCAGATGAACAAATGTATAGATATTGGGTTGCATAAGCTAGAGAAAAGGTGGAGGGAGGGTGCTGAGTGGGGCAGAAAGAGGAGCGGCCTGGCCTGGTTGACGTGGAGATGCCTGCAGAGGATGATGGTGAGGGCAGGAAGCCTTGACTACTAGCTATCATCTGGGGAAATAGAAACCTCTTCTGTGTCTCTCCATAGAGAAGGCTCCACCTACCACATCTAAGTTCTTTCTTTCCTTTACCTTCACAGGCATTCTCTTCCAGTCTCTCATCTCCAGAGGTGAGGATCACCCCTCTCCTTTGACGTTCACAGCTCTGATCCAGGATGGCATTTCTTTTCCTGCCTCCCCCGTCAGTACTTCCTCCTTCTTCCTCTGAATCCACCCCCTCACTACTGCTGCAGATGAAAAATTATAAACCACTCTTGAAAAACTGTTCCTAGAGAGGATACACGATTTGAACAAGTTCCTATTCAAAGCGTCAGGGGAGCGACACCTGCCTCTTAAATTCTGACAGCGTATACCAGGGATTCATTAGGCAGGAACAGAGGATGGTTTTTGGAGTGGGCTTTCTACTGTGCCTCTACAGTTAAGTTACACAGGGACCTTGCAGAAGGCTCAATGTGTTATGATTGGAAGCAGCTCTCTGTGGGAAATCCCTTCCAAAGCCCAGAGGAATCCTTTAAGGTGGTGCAGACTTGTTTCCCAGTGGGATCTTCTCTGAAGACAGAGCCTCCAAATGCACGTTTAGGCTCTGATGTTTAGAGCACCTTATTCCCGAGAGGCAGCCTGGTGTTGTGGGATGTGCAGCAGGTGATGAATGTACTGGAGGAAGGGATTATTTTTTCTCCTAAAGGTTTTTATTGGAAGACCAAGGTGTTAAGCCTGAGCTCTTCTATTTGCTAGCCAGATGATTTTGCCTCATTGAGCTAACTTCTCTTGGTTGCCCTATCTGTAAAATGGGGCTAGTAAGGCCAACTTGCAGAGGCACTGTGAGGATCAAATGAGCGGTCAAAGTGCACTGTAAGTTACGCAGTCCTGCACAACCCTGCCGTTACTGCAATAGTCTCTAAGTTGGTCTGCCTGTTCCCCTGTCCTCTCCCTCCTCCATTAGACCTTGTCCAGTGCTGTGAACTGGTTTTCCCAAAATATGATTTTAATTAAATGGCAGGGTAATATTCAAGATATTATTAATATTTCCCACCTCTGCTTCATCTCCCAACATTCCTTTTCATCTTTCATCCTATATCCATCAGGTAATATGAGGGACAAAGCAAAGAGACAAGTGCTTGTGAATCCAGGGGTTCCAGCCCTTCACCACTTCCAGACCAGGAAAGATCTCGCAACCCTCACGAGGTGCTGTGGCTGGGGCCCTTGTGGAGCAGACCTACAGGATGAGGATGTCCCAGGGGCACGAGGGGGAAAGTGGTCAAGGACCAGCTCCCTTCCCCAGTGTCCGCTAAGCCCCCCAGAACTTGGTCTTCACCCTGAGCATGGGGGACTGGACCATCCATACTGAGGTGTTGCTTTCACCAGAGACTGGAGGGAAGGTTGGAAATAAAGTTCCATGTCAGTTCTTGGATATTTTAGTTTGAGGCTTGACATTTGAAAGGCTGTTACTGACCATGTTGCTTCTGTAATCAAAAGGCCTTAGCAACTCCTTACAGTCTTCAAATTCAAGTCCATATGTTATCCTGTCATCTTAGCTTCCTACAACCTAATCAGCCCGCCCTGCCCCAGCCAATCCATCAGATTTCCCAGTCTCTTCTTCCAGCCCTTTCCTGGCTCCGAAGCTCCAGCTGGGTCTATCCCACTCCCCACTAGGATCTCTGCCATGGAGTCCCACAGCTTCCTCAACTCATTATCTCCTCACCTCCTTTACTTCCTATAGTTCCTCTCACTGATAACAGCCTCACAAGAGACACACTTAGAGGAGCAGAACCTGGGAGCCATTCCAGTCCTCCCTCCACATTTCTCCCTACATCTAATCAATCCTAATATCCGGTAGAGCCTACTTACTCAATATTTCTGGATTCTGTTTCTTTCTCTGTATTCTCACCCCTACTGTTTTAGTTCTGGCTTCATTATTTTTCATTCTGACTTCGGCTCCTGCCTCTTTCCTTACCATCTCCTTGCCTCCCTCCTCCACGCTGCAGAGGTAGCAGAGTATAAGGGTTAAGAGTTTGGCCCAGGAGACAGAGCATCTTTCTGCTCCTTACTACTCAACTGACTTGGGGCAACAGTGCATGCATCTCTCTGGAGATGATAGACATTATTGTGAGGCTCGATGTTTAAATCACAGTTGGCCCTAAATAGTGTAAATAATGTAAGACAATGTTATTATTTATTATCTTTCTAAAATGCAAATGTAATATGTCCTTTCATATGAAATCTTTCAGTGATTGCCCTGTCCTCTGAATAAAGCCCAAATTTCACAGAATGTACTCAACGTGCCTTTATGATCTGATCTCTACCCGTCTAACTACCTCATTTCCCATCACTCTCCAGTGGCCTTTGTACTCCTTCCTCCAATGTGCATCCTAAAGGGCCTTTGCAGCCCTTTGTGCTTGCAGCGCCATGGCTCCCTCCTCACCCACTGAGCCCCCAGCTCATTCCCGGGGAGAACCTTCTGCATGCAACTTTACACCTACCTTGGCTGATACACTTATCACACTGTAATAGACGTTTTTCTTTATGAGTTTGCCTCCCCCATTAAACTACAAACTGTTGGAGGGAAAGAATGATGATGCGTTCATCTTTCAAGCACATAACAAATATTTCAAAAAAAAAGTTTGTTCAGTGCATTGATGAATCAATAATATAACAGCCATATTCATCCCTGCTTCTGTGAACTTCCTCCTAGTGTCTTCTTGCTTGGGATGCCATCCTTCACTCCCATCTGTTTAGCTAATACCACGCCTTCAAAGTCTGAATCAAGTCCCACCACCCTCAAAAAGCCATACCAGACTACTCAACCAGGCAACTCTGATAATGCTCACCCCAAGCAAGCTCTGTGGCCTCATAAAGCATGATCACATTCTGCCCTGTATTGGAGCTATTCTCATACAGATTGACACCAACATCAATGAAGCATATGTTCCTCGAGGGAAGGGAACCCATCCCAAGCTCCCTGTTTCTTATGGCCTTCGGTGCAGTGGGTGCTTAGTGTCTTTTAGATAATGAGTCAGTAAATGAATATATGTGAGCATGAACAAATGAATTGAGGTCTCCCTTGTCTTAACTTACTGTAGCAGTTACCTGTTTTGCACACTTTGAGATGTGATCATATATGATCTTGCTTTATGATTTAACATATTCTCTCTGCAAGAGTTAGGGCTGCCGTGTACGGTTTTTCTTTTTCCCACAACCCCAGTGACAGGGCTGAAAAAAAAATAGAAGTTTTGTAACTACTTCTTGAGGAATTGAACCAGCTCCCTGACTAGAAATGGAAATAAACTGTAAAGAAAAAGAAATTGGTCTGGTATATTACAACAAGTTCCACTCAGTGTATGTGCTTCTGCAAGGCACTGTTTTTCTCCCGTTCAAGTCTGTTTCTCTAGCCTGCAGCTAAACATTACAACCAACTCAGCTCCCACTACTCTCATCCTATTCAGTGCCAATAGCAGTTTTCCTGAGGATCTTTCTTCAGTTAAAGCCTGCAATTGCCTGCTCCTATTCTAAGTTGATCCTGAGGACAAACTTTTGGCTTTATCATCAACTGTCAGACCTAGTAAGATCAGAATAATTTTTTTTTTCAATGACAACAAAAACAGCCAGCACTTAGTGAGAGCTTACAATGTGGCAGGTGATGAGCTAACTGCTTAAAAATATTTAATAACAATACCTGTTTACATTTTATTATAAGAGACTTGAGGCCGGGTGCAGTGGCTCACGTGTGTAATCCCAGCACTTTGGGAAGCCGAGGGGGGAAGATCACTTGAGGTCAGGAGTTCGAAACCAGCCTGGCCAACATGGTGAAACTCCGTCTCTATTAAAAATACAAAAATTAGCCAGGCATGGTGGCACATGCCTGTAGTCCCAGCTACTAGGGAGCCTGAGGCACGAGAATCGCTTGAACCCAGGAGGTGGAGGTTGCAGTGAGCCGAGATCACACCACTGCACTCCAGCCTAGAGGGAGGTGGCTGAGCAAGACTATGTCTCAAAGAGAGAGAGAGAGAGAGAGAGCGAGAGAGAGAGAGGGAGAGAGATTGAGATTTGAATAGTTCAGAAGTATATAGAAAAAAACATGAAATTCTCACCATTTTTTCTGGATTTAGTCAATTAACCCTTATAATAATAGTGAACTGACATATAGTCAGGCACTATTTTATGCATTTCACATACATTAACTTGTTTTAAGCCCCACAAAAGGTTAACTTGTTTTAACCCCACAAAAAGGTTAACTTGTTTTAACCTTTTGAGGTAGGTGTTCTGTTATCAACCCCATTTCACAGACAAGGAAACTGAGGCACAGAGAGGCATAGAAAGATTCACTAACCTGCCAAAGTGGCAGCGATGGAAGCCACTGAGCCCAGATTCAAATCCAGGGAGTCTGGCTCCAGCATCCATGTTCCTTATCATGATTTTACTTCCTTTGGAGTGGTAATAAGGTTATTCTAATTTTATAGATTTATTTATTCATTCAGCAAATATGTATTGCCAGGTGCAATACGAGGCTCTAGGGCTCTTGTAGAGAATAAGGCAGACTTCACGGAGCTCCTATTCTAGATAAGGAAACACTGGCCCTGGAAGTTAAGTATTTGTGGAGCAAGGGTTGTTTAGCCTATAAACAGCTCTGGGACCCTTGGGTCTGACTCTCAGGCTAATGGTCTTAATCCTAGGCCGTACTGCTTCCCTGAAGAGAGTCCCATATTACAGGTCCGGGAAGACTTTGTAAGGATTCCTGCAGGTGGGCAGGCTGTGGTGACCTGAAGCGCGCCACAGCAATGACCAATGTCATTCTCTCACCTTTCCTTCTCTGCTGTCCCCTCTCCCTTCTTCTCCTTATCACTTTCATGTGCCTTCAAGTGTACAAGGGTAGAATCTGACGGGGGCACTCAGGGCCAGAGAGATTGCTGCGAAGAAAAAGCCCACCCCCACCGCTCTCTCCAAGCATTGCATTGCCTCAGCCATCTTTAAACTACCTGAACTTTTAAAAATGTTGCCAGAAAAAAACTATTTAACAATCCTTTCTTCACGCTCTCCAATTATCTTTCTCCTCTTACCTCCCCACAAAATTCAAGGCCTTCTACAATCCTCGTAAGAGGAAAGTTCTGTCCTGCCCCAGTCTCTCATATCATGTCCTCCTCTGGACTGAGTGGGCACCCTTGTACTTCCTGCCTTTTCGAGAAGGTAAGTTGCCCTGCTTCTCTAAGGGTGCAGCCTAGAGCTGTTTTTCAAACTCATATCCCTTTGGTTGCTTATCTTATTTTACTTTTTTTTTTTTTTTTTTTTGAGACAGGATCTTGCTCTGTCACTCAGGCTGTAATGCAACTTGTAGTTCACTGTAACCATGAATTTCTGGCCTCAAGCAATCCTCCTGCTTCAAGTGACCCTCCCACTTCAGCCTCTCAGAGTGCTGGGATTACAGGCATGGGCCACCATGCCCTGCCCTTTGGTTGCTTTAGATCCTCTCCAAGTTCTTGTTATCACACTTCACTTGTGAGGCATAAAACTCAGCATGATCTATGTTCGGAAAGAGTCAGGACTATTACTAAGATCAGGCCAACTTCTGAGCAGGGCTTCTGGTGAATACACTCTGGGGCTGGGTGGGCTGGTGGTTCTGGGAAGATCCCAGCCCAGTGCTGAGGTCTGAGAACTTAAAGAGGTGGTAGGGATGGGAGTCCCACAAAGGATGTTTCAGGGAGGCTGAGGGTCAGCTTCCTCCCTCCCTGCAGTCCTGGGCCTGGGAATGCAAGAACCCTTTTCAAACTTTCACAGATGTCTGAAGGAACTGGGGAAGGAGAGGAGGGCTTGGCTATGTCACTCTCAGTGAAATGTTCCCTACCACATGGGTGTGAGGCTTCCCATCACTCAGGCTTCAGGGAGCTCTCTAAAGACCCCTGGTGGCTCTAAGAGAAGTCCCCATAGGATTGATCAAATGCGGGAGCCAGTTGTGGGCTTCGGAGGTGTAGTAAAGAGAATCTGCACATTCTCCCTGTGCCATATTGCTCGGCTTTCTCCTATCTCTGGAACAGCTACTTTTCAGGGATATAGGGAAAAAGCAACAAGCCCATTTTTAACTTCATTCCATGTTCCCTCCCAAAAAAGGGCTTGTACAGGTGGTTGAATTGGGGGAGTTACGCTAAGAAGTAGGATTGGGACATTTGGGGTCTGTGAAGGCTGAAAGAAGGAAGAAGGAGAAGCCAATCCATGGTTACTTTATCGGATCGTCACTGTGGGCAACCAGAGCTCAATCCTACTTAGAAGGCTATGAAGCCCCTGTAGAATGCATCTCAGACTTGGCAGCCTGCAGGGTGGAAGAGGGAAGTATTAATCTACCAGCGTCTGCTCCCATTGATCCAGTATTGTCCTTTGGGTGATAACTTCCCCATACTCTCAGGTTTGCATGTGTATCAGAATGGCCAAGCAGGTTCTTGCAGGCAGATGTGGCAAAGAAACCGGGAACAGAAGGTGAACACTGCTCTCTGCATCCAAAGACACGGCGCGGCCAGGTTTCACTTGCTCACAGCTGGTTGCTACAGCAATGGCTGAAACAATAAGGTGGGCCCAAAGGAGGTATGTGGGGCACTGGATTCAGGGGATGAATCCTCTTTCCACCTCCCTCCACCTTCAGATTCAGATCCTGCCAATTCGTCAAAGACTAACTCAGTCCCCTCCTGAGAAGTTCTTCTAAAGGAATCTGACCATAGCCAACTTTTCCCTTTAAACTCTCAGAGCAGTCACTACATAGAACTTATTTTTGCTTGATCTGTATAATATACTACGATCATTTCACTCCTTGGATAATAACTTATGGTCAGAGATTTCATGAACCCCAACCCCAGGAGCTTGTACAGCAGTGGATGCAAAACAGGCCTGTCAGTGTTCATTGCATTGAATGGTATAACAATTATAGATAATAAGAGCTCTGCACTTTTTAAGCATTTGCTTCCTTGTCAGCACCATAAGCTAAGTTATAGGAATGGAAGAAGAGAACCTGAGTGAAGGTTTTATTTGGGGCTCTGGATTTTAAATTTAACCTCCAGAACCATGACACTTTCCTGCTCCTCAAGGTCTTCAAGTTATCTCTGCAGCCTTCTGTTTGAAGACATTGGTGGTGCTGGACTGGCCTTTCCAGCTGGTCATTTCTTCCCAGCCCTTTTTCTCACTTCAGCCTGGCACACCCCCTCCTCATGATGCCTTCCTGGGTCAGATCCACTCAAGTCACTGAATTCAACTCCACATGTATCAACCCAGAGCCTTATGTGGCTAAGTCCAATGATGCACTATCCCTTCTCCTGGGCAAAAATAAAAGCAATAAGATTTTCTTCCCAATGTCCCTCTAGAATTAGTAATGAACTTGCCCTGCTCTATCCAAATCCTTTTGCCATTCTCTGATGTTGACTCATAGGCAAAATGAGTGATTAGGGCAGTGGCCTGTATCAGCGGAACTAAGCTTACTGCCATTTTGAGACAAAGGTAACTGGTCTTTTGGGATTTGAACCAATGACCTGGACCTCATTGGCACAATGCTTTAGCTGACACAGACTAGCCCATCATCTACTTTTTGTTATCTATTCTAAAGAAGGGGTGCACTGGACATGAATAATAGAAGCCGTAGGTAATTCAACTCAACGAAAAGCTAATGAGGGCATATGGTAAGCCAGGCCTTGTGTTACACAGCAGGGTACTCTGAAAAGACCTTCATATTTGGCATCGGAGATCCTGGGTTTGAATCACGGCTCTACCATTTGTTGGCTACGTGATCTTAGGTGAGTCACTTGACTGCTAGGTGTCTCAGTTTTCTCATGGGTGGGATTTTATTGAGGATCAGATGAGATACAATATGTGAAAGCACTTCTAAACAGTTGAGTGTGAGATATTGTTAGTTTTTATGTAAAGAACAGGACCCGATCTCTACCTTTAAGGCTTTTACCTTTTGTCTGAGTCTGATAGGATTGGATTTCTTCCAGAGAGAAAATTTCCTTGAGGAATAAGCTCAGGGCTCCAGTCCACTCGAGCAGAAGGGAACCTTCTTGTGGGAAGAAGTCGTCTTCCCTCCATGTGGTCTAACTTCCCAATCAGGGAGGAGGCTGCTGGTGTCCATCCATCTGAGCAGGTGGCAGCTGACTGCCATAGGTAAGGGCACACAGCCTGGAATATGCATTCATGGATTACAGAGAATTCACAGATCTCTCTGGGTAGACCCCCCAGGTAGGATATATGTAGATATTTTGGAGCAAATTGTTCTAGACAAACGGTTTAAAAATCAAATTTTCCAGGCTGGGCGTGGTGGCTCATGCCTGTAATCCCAGCACTTTGGGAGGCCAAGGTGAGAGGATCACCTGAGGTTGGGAGTTCGAGACCAGCCTGACCAACAAGAAGAAACCCTGTCTCTCCTAAAAATACAAAGTTAGCCGGGCATGGTGGTGCATGCCTGTAATCCCAGCTACTGGGGAGGCTGAGGCAGGAGAATTGTTTGAACCCGGGAGGCTGAGGTTGCAGTGAGCTGAGATGACCCATTGCACTCCAGCCTGGGCAACAAGAGCGAAACTCCGTCTCAAAAAAAAAAAACTAAAAAAAAAAATACGGCCGGGCGTGGTGGCTCACGCCTGTAATCCCAGCACTTTGGGAGGCTGAGGCAGGCAGATCACAAGGTCAGGAGATTGAGACCATCCTGGCTAACATGGTGAAACCCCATCTCTACAAAAAATACAAAAAAAGTTAGCTGGGCGTGGTGGCGGTCGCCTGTAGTCCCAGCTACTCGGGAGGCTGTGGCAGGAGAATGGCATGAACCTGGGAGGCAGAGCTTGCAGTGAGCCGAGATCGCGCCACTGCACTCCAGTCTGGGCGACAGAGCAAGACTCCATCAAAAAAAAAAGAAAAAAAATCAAATTTTCTCCTAATTGACAGAAACCTTCTCCCCATAAGTCCCACTCAATTTGAGAAGATGTGTACATTTTGACCGGTAACCAGTCAGACCTTAAACAACTAATTAAGTTGTAGAAATATTAATGGCCGTGCTCATGTTTGTCTAGAACTTAATGAAGCACATGAGGTGAGAAACTAGAACTAAACGAAGCACATGAGGTGAGAAACTAGAGTTACCCAAGTTTGGAAATCTTATAAAGTGGTTAGTGTTCAGGAAAGGTGGAAGAAAATTGAGAGGCTTTAAAAAAAATCAAGATTGGGAATATTAGAGAATGTAATCCACTAGAAAAATCATTCAGCTGGGAATAAATGAGAAATAGATGAATGAAAAAATTCTCTCATTTCTTTCTTTGGCATGTATTGAGTATGATGTGGTAGGACATGTTCTAGCAGCTGGGGTATGTAGTAGACCCCTGTTGTCTGGTGGAGCACGCATCCCCCAGTTACTAAGGAGTCACAGCTGCACCCTTCTCTGGAGCCCTGCAGCAGGGAAGCACTCCCCCCAGCTATGCCTGGGAGATTATGCTGCCTTCATCCCACACACACACACTCTAGGAGCAGCTTGCAGCCAATGCCCAGTTGTTGGGGATGGGGGTAAAAGCACAGTCCCCTTGTCTCAAGTGGGCTGACTCTGTGATGTTATTCAAGCTCCAAAGTGCCCCCTGGAATCAGGCTGAGGCTAGACCCACAGCTTGACTGATCTCCCCAGCCCTATCCAGTTTCCCTCACTCATATGAATTTCATCCTCAATAAATCACTTGAGTAAGAAGAATTCTCACCTCAGGGTCTTCTTCTAAGGAACCCAAGTTAAGACAATGGGCAATGCTGAATAAATCAGAAGTAGTCTCCCTCTGGGAACTTGTACTGGGGGAGGATACAGACAAATACACAAGCATTTATAATGTAGAGTCACAATGGTAGCTTCAGAAGATTCATGGTGCTCTGGGAACAGGAATGGTCACAGAGTGTTTCTTTAGAGTTGAACATTTCTGAGCTGAGAACTGAAGTATAACTAGGAGCTGGCTGGGTAAAGAGGTGGGGGAAATAAAGAATTTCTCAAGCAGAGGAAAAAGAAGATATGGAGGACGAATGGAAGATACTGCAATATATGCCCCCCAAATCATAAACGGTTCAGTATGACTGAAGCCAAGGGTGACAGTAGCAAGAAAAGACACCAGATACAGATTATGAAGGGCATAGTGAGATATTAACACATTTCTATTGTATCCCTGGGCAAAGGAAAAATAATGAAGAATTTTAAGTGGAGGACACATGATAAGGAGAGGTGAAGCCAGCTGGACTTCCTGTGTCGAGTGGGGGACTTGGAGAAATTTTCTGTCTAGCTAGAAGATTGTAAACACACCAATCAGCACTCTGTAAAAATGGACCAATCAGCACTCTGTAAAATGGACCAATCAGCTCTCTGTAAAATGGACCAATCATCACTCTGTAAAATGGACCAATCAGCTCTCTGTAAAATGGACCAATCAGCAGGATGTGGGCGGGGCAAATAAGGGTATAAAAGCTGGCCACGCGGAGCACCCAGCCAGCTGCTGCAACCCGCTGCCCTCTGGTGTCCTGCTGTGGGAGCTTTGTTCTTTCACTCTCGTAATAAGTCTTGCTGCTGCTCACTCTTTGGGTCCGCACTGTCTCTGTGAGCTGTAACACTCACCGCGAGGTTCTGTGCCTTCGTTCTTTAAGTCAGGGAGACCACGAACCCACCGGGAGGAACAAACAACTGTGATGCGCCATCTTTAAGAGCTGTAACATTCACCGCCGGGGTCTGCGGCTTCATTCCTGGAGTGAGTGAGACCACGAACCCACCAGAAGGAAGAAACTCTGGACCCATCTGAACAGCTGAAGGAACAAACTCCGGACACACCATCTTTAAGAACTGTAACACTCACCGGGAGTCTCCGTGGCTTCATTCTTGAAGACAGCGAGACCAAGAACCCACCAGAAGGAATGAATTCCGCACACAGTAAGATTTCTATTTTTAAAAAATCTCTGGGCTGTAGAACGGGAAAAAAAAGACTTGGAAGGCAAAGCTGATAGTAGGGATACAACACCAGTTAATATTTCAGTTGTTGTATTATAGGTAAGGGCTAGAGTATTGGCATTGGAGAGACGGACTAAATTCTCAGCTCCAACCCTTACCAGCTTGGGTAAGTTATTTATTCTCTTTAAATTTCAATTTCCTTAATGGTAAAATGGGGCTACAGTAATAACCAGAGCAGATACGCACATTCAAGGATCTAATGTATGAAAAGGGTTTTATTATTTTTGCAACAGTTGGCACCCTGGAAGCACCATCAAAATGATCTGTTATTATCCATGTGATCTTAACTTGGGCAACAGTAGTGGAAATGGAAAGACAGATCGCTGGTGCTGTGGCACACACCTGTAGCTCCAGCTTTTCAGGAGGCTGAGATGGGGATCACTTAAGTCTAGCTTGGGCAACATAGCAAGACTCCATCTCTAAAAAAAGTGTAGATGGATTAAAAAATGGTAGGAGGTGGAATTAAAGGGTTGGATGTGGAAGTGGAAATGAAAGAAAGTGAGGTGTCAAGGGTTTCTGGCTTGGGCAGCAGCAGGTAGGTTGCAGCATATTTTCTTGAGATAGGACTTTAGGAGGAGGTAAATATTCTGAATGGAAGCTGTAGAACTGGATGTGCTGCTTTTGAAGAGCCTATGAGATACCCAAAGTGGAATTGTCTGGAAAGTAGTTGTACAAGAGAGGCTGAAGTTGAGGAGAGAGATCTGGGTAGAACATACATAGGTAAGGTAGAGAGAAGAACTCAGACAGTGTGTACTGAGAATAGAGAAGAGGGCGAGGCACCGCACTGGACCTGGGAGACAAAGGTGAGAAGACAAGACACCCACTCTCAGGAAACTCAGTCTGGTTGGGGAAGCAGATAATTAAACAGATAATTAGAATACAGTGGAATACACCCCATAGGTTGTTTTGGACCAAACCTGTGGGGTGGATCCCAGCAGTTGAAGGAACTGAATGAAGATAGAACAAGGACTCTAAAGGTCAGAGCTAAAATTGGAAATACTCAACAGGGTGGGGATGGGGCAAGGAAGGAAAGGGTGGAACAACTTGGAAAAGATTTTGAATGCTCTTAAACCAGAGACAAAGTAATTGACTGGAACATCGCAGCATTAGGAAGAATGTTAGTGCTCTTGGATTCCATGCTTCTCAGACCGTGCTATCTTGGAATCCTCACAGTTCTGAGGGGCCCCTATAATTAGAGGCCACCATAGTGGAGGAGTTGAAACCAAGCAGACACCCTACTAAACCAGAGTTGTTGTCTTGTTTTGCACATTAAAACTGTGTACAAGCTTTGTTTTGAAAAAAAAAGTTGTTATGCCTGAAAAAGAATTGAAAACTACCAACTTAAGTAAATTAATGTACAGATAAAGAATAAGAGGCCCAGAGAAGCTAAGTCACATGCTTAAAATCAAATCATACAGCTCATTAGGGATCAAGTTGGGCCTAGAACCTAAATTTTTTGTTCTCAGGCTGGTGTTCTTTCTTGCTATGTCTGAGACCTCGTACTTCTAATTTGCCTAGTCCATATTCATTTGTATCTTCAGATTTTTCTGAACTGTAGTAAAAGAGATGTGTATTTCAAACATCATGAGAACAAGGCGTGGGAGGGATCTTACAGAGCAGCAGTTAAAATCATTGCTGGCATGTGGTCTTTCACAATAAAATTCTCCCCTTCCTTTTGATTCCTCTAGGCAACAGCACAAAGTTAAACCAGGAAGTCCCTCTGCCTTGCTAGGGATCCAGGTTTGCCTTCCTGTTGAGGTATCCCATTTCATTACAGTTGACCTAAGTTTGAACAAACACTGCCACCTGATGCATGAAAGCTCTACTGTGACCTACGTTAAAAGGTAATTTAAAAAAAAACGAAACATAGAATCATGACTCATACAGATTGAACATGAACATGTGTTAGAGATTTTATTTAACTCAATCTATGAGAGAACTAGGCAGATATTATAACTGGATCAAAAGAGAATACAAAGAACATGTATAGATCAAGAATATTGAATGCACAAAAAAAGGGCAAAACTGACTTCTTCCACAGAGGGAGCGGGAATCAATTGAACCTCTACCAGAAGGGACAAAACTTGAATGTTTACAGAGAATAATTATTTTGCAATGCTATCAGCTAGCTACAGTTTACAAAGTTGTGAAATAGCTCCCATAGAATCCAAATCAGATAAAAGATAGCAGAAGGGTGTGTGATGGACAACACATAGTTTTCCAAATATGTGCAGACATTTTCCTTACAACTGTTAGAAAAGCAGAAGTATCTTTTACAATAAAACATGGGCATCCCAGGTTCCTTTTTCTGTTTTATATACATGCAAAAATATACAAGTGTGTATGTGCATATGTATTTGCATATGCTTTTTAAAATAAAAATTTCACAAAAAAGAACTTAATCCTGTATTCATGCAATGTACCCTGATACTTTTTATTCTATTCTTTGTTAATGCTGGTATCCACACAAATTAATTTCGTGACTCCTTAATGGGTTACTACCCACGAATGGGTCAAGGATTCACAGTTTGTAAACGGGACTAGATCAGTGCTCCTCAAACTGTCTGTTGTGAAGCACCAGTTTTTAAATATTTGACAGTTTTCAGTCCTTCACATACTGACTGATGCTTTTGTAAAACACAATAAAAATAAATTATTAGAAAAATGAAATGAAAAAACTCCCATAGACTTATGAAATGCAAGCTCAACTTTTTATTATTAGATTTAACAGACATAAAATTGGATGCTGGGGCAAGGTCAAATTCCTATTTAAAGATTTCCAAATGCATATTTTGTTTCTATGCTTTGTTTCTGCACACTGGAACAGTGGTGGATTCCACTGGTCCTTGGACCACACTTTGAGTAGCACTGACTAAGTGACCAGCTCTGACAGTATGGTGATTTTTTGTTTTCCAGGAGCTGACACTCCCTCAGGCTACCTTAGTCAGTGGGGGCTTACTGCAGCATACCTGTGGCGATGAGAGAGAGAGGCACATCACAGGAGCATCTGGCACCAGTGGCATCCTGGTGAGTGAAATGTCATATGGACACTGGAAGGATCTAACACTGAGGTGGCCCTTCATCTCTGTGCTGTTCACCACGAGCATGCCTGGGCTGCTCTTCTGTGTTCTTCCTGATGTTTCTCATGATACTGATTGATTTTTGGAATTTCCCAGTTCGTATTCCCAAGAGAACCCATTGCCCTATTTAATCATCACTTCTGTTGCTGCAGAACTTTGTGCAGTACTGGGATTGCTTGCTGCCTTAATGTCAGGAGTTGGCCAGGCATCCAGTCAAAGGGCAGAGTAGGCTCTTGTGGTATCGAAATGGCCACCCTCCTTCAAGGAGCAGCAGGTCCTCTTCCTCAGCACAGAAGGCAATGGTGAGGAAGAGGCTAATTTTCCTTTGAAGAGGATTTTGAGAAAAGGTTGGCCCATCTAAAATATTTTACAATTCTCTGTTCCCAAACCCTGAATAATCCTTGGAGGTCACTCACTGTGCAGGAGGCTGAAGAAGGGTAACACTGTCAAAACTGCAGACACAGACCCTTCTGGCTCCACCTCTATCCTACCCTAGAGCTAGGTTAAAGAGAGACTCTGGAGAACTTACTCATACCCAGTGGGGTACTTCTACATTTCTCTAAAGTCAGGAGACACTTTCCCTTTGTGAATATTTATACTTCTGAAGACATTTGCAAATCTTTAAACTCTTGGTTAAACAATAGTTTATACTGTCCCCCTATAATTCAGAAAAGCATAACTTCAAAAGAATGATGACAAACTTGGCCGGGTGTGGTGGCTGATGCCTGTAATCCCAGCACTTTGGGAGGCCGAGGCGGGCGGATCACCTGAGGTCAGGAGTTTGAGATTAGCCTACCCAACATGGCGAAACCCCGTCTCTACTAAACATATAAAAAATTAGCCAGGCATGGTGGCGGGCACCTGTAATCCCAGCTACTGGGGAGGCTGTGGCAGGAGAATCACTTGAACCTGGGAGGTGGAGCTTGCAGTTAGCCGAGATAACGCCACTGCACTCCAGCCTGGGCGACAAGAGTGAAACTCCGTCTCAAAAAAAAAAAAAAAAAGACAAACTCAATGAAACACATAGAACAATCAAGGTGTACAGAGATGTAGACAGTGGTAGTGAACAATTCTCTACCCAAAGCTGAAGGAGAGTCATTGCCCACCATAAGTCAATCCAAATCTGAGAAAATTACAACTTAACCCCTTTACTTTAAGGGTTGCCCATGAATAGTCATAGCTAGTTATGTCAAATCCTTAAATGCTGGAGTCCGTGTTTACATCTTTACCCATATCCTTTCATCTATTTCATTTCATACCAAAATGAACAGACCCATTACATGTTTAGATTTTCTAGGCTTGTCCACATCTCCCATATAAAAGATGTAATGTGTATAAAGTGCTTAATACAATGTCTGCTGCATAGTAAGCACTCCATAAATGTTAACTCTGACATACATATATATTAAATCTATACTAGCTAGATTGCTTGAATTATTTTTTGTGCATGTGGCTGTATTGATGCCTGCTTAGGTAATAGCCATCTTCATTATTCAATATGATTCTGGTTTCCTCTGAAGTTTAGTGAGGTGTGGTTTTTCTGTGATGTTCTCCTCCACTAGTTTTCAAGCTCATCTTGGAAGGTCTTTTACAACCTCGATAACGCCCTGCAGTTATTAGTATCAAGAATGCTCTGTACACTGTGGGCACCCAGCACATGCTGCTGGCTGGCTGACTGATTTACTATGCCTCCCCCTTGCCCATTATAAGCTTTCATCACTGCAAATGTAAGAACCTTCTTTTCTACATCTCCTGCCATCCAGAACAGTCTTCATAGATCTCCCTGCCTCATTGACTCATCACCTCATTTCACCCTTTCTTCCTTTTTCTGGACCTTCTAACTTTTTCTCCCCAGATTACCATTTTTTTTTTCACTCAGCATGCACACATTATCTAGTTTTGGAAAATACTCCCTATTTGCTCCTATATCTTAATTTGGCTGTCCCCATTTCTATGCTGCCTACTAGTATAAATGAGACAATAGCTCAAAGAACAATTTGTAAAAAATGAAAAACTCTGTGCAGACTTTCAGGGAAATTAAACACATACTTTAGACCAGGAGCTCAATCTATGGGTAAGAAAGCTTCCTTAGCTGTCTTCTCTATGAAGCTGTGATTGGGTGAATGTTTTTAAAGGAACTCTCTGAATATGAAAGGGGGTTGGGGTGGGATGAAGCCTTGGCCATCTGGATGAGAAAGATTCAGATGCTGAAACAGATCTCTGGAGTTAATGAATTTCACAGTCCTTTGCCCTTACTTTGCTTGTCTCAGTCTAGAAACAGACACCTGGTGTAAGCTTGTTAAATGGCAGGAATAAGTAAGAAGTGAAAAAGAGCTAAAGCAAACTTCTTTGCAAACTGCTCTCCTTGTGAAACTAAGCAGGTAGTTCTATGAGTGACGGTAACTCACATAGCCTCTTGGCTTTGTGTTGAACATAGCACCAAAGTTCACAAGCATTTACACACCTGCAGTTTTTTTTCTTTTTTTGTAGATCAGGTCTGGCCTAATTACAGGATTTCATTGTATTTTTATACATATAATAATCTAGTTTCCCCTGTAAATGATTCATTTACAATTCAATTAAACAGCCAAGGAGAACCAAATGTTAAACATGTTTTTAAATAAGATACAATGTGTGTAATTAGACAGAACACATACCCCTATCTTAGTGTTTGATTTGCGTGATAATACAAAATAGGTCATTTGAGGCTATGCCAAATATCAGGGATTAGATGACCTTTAAGTTCCTGTCAAGCTGGAGAGTCTATGATTTTGTGATCTGAGTGAAAAATGAAAAATTTAGTGCATCATCGAAATGTTTACAAGAATCCAGCTGTTTGATGTCAGGTAGACAAAACACCCAGACAACTGACAGAGATGCTTCATTTTCATCCAGATGTTTTTGCATTGCATTGATTTAGCCTGACACACAGCAAAGTTAAGTCACTTACTCAAGATTTCTGACAAAACCTTCTGAATATACTGGCAATAAAGTTGTTGAGAGATTTGCCATTTTAGTATCAGTGGCACGAATGTTTTGCTACTGCTCCATCGACAGCTTCTGAATCCATAAGATTTGAAAATAGTCAATTCAGTTCTCTCCACTCTGCAGCTCTGTGCTCTCCTCACTGTCTCCATTCCCCACACCCCCAAAGGTCTATCTTAACCTGAGCTCTGACCCATGACAAAGTGGTCTCCTCGATCACAGGGCTGTGTATGTGGCCTTTGTCATGGAAGCTGCTTCTGTTCACAGTGATCACTGTGTCTTGGGGACATTGCTGTCTGGGCCAAGGGCTGGCCAAATCAGAATTTCTGGCCATCCTAAAGGTTGATTGCAGCAGGCAGTCATAGCCACCATTCATCCTCCCATTATCATGGTCAATAATACCACTCATCTAGGCTTGGCTGTGATTCAGGGACCTGGCTGAGGTGACTGATGCTGACCAAAAGTCATTTTTTTTTTTTGAGATGGAGTCTCGCTCTGTCACCCAGGCTGGGGTGCAGTGGTATGATCTCGGCTCACTGCAAGCTCCGCCTCCCGGGTTCACACCATTCTCCTGCCTCAGCCTCCCGACTAGCTGGGACTACAGACACCCGACACCACGCCAGGCTAATTTTTTGTATTATTAGTAGAGACGGGGTTTCACTGTGTTAGCCAGGATGGTTTTGATCTCCTGACCTCGTGATCCACCTGCCTCAGCCTCCCAAAGTGCTGGGATTACAGGCATGAGCCACTGCACCCGGCCCTGACCAAAAGTCTTATCCACACACCTGTAAATCTAAACACTGACCTTGGGTTTGCAGCTGTAGCTACTATATGGAGAGCCATATGTGGTTTGCACATCAGTCTCTTTGACTCAGCTTCTTCTGGTTGCCTTGACTCCCATTGAATCCCCCAGTGCCTGATTGCTGCCCATCCCAGGCCCATCTGGTAACCCTCATGCTCCAAATGTTGCAAGCTTGACCACTTAGTTTGAAATTGTGCTTCAAAGGCATCTTCCTCTGTGATCCTTCCCGGCTTCTTTTCCCCAGGCACCCTGCAGCCTCACTTTCTTTATCACTGCCTCTTTCTGGCTCTCTGCACAGGCCCCGTTGCTGCCAGTCAAGCCCTGCCTGAATCTGGATAGTATGGCCTTGCATGCCCAGAGGGCTTTTGCTCCACCAAATCCCCTATGCGACCTTGAGCAAATCACAACACTTCCCTGGGCCCCACTGTCCTAATCTTAACATGAGAATGTTGGACTAAATCAGGTCTGAGGTCCCCTCCAGTTCTAAAATTGTATTATCTCTCTAATACTGTGAGACTGGCTGCCTTCCAAGGTGCCACTGCTCATCATTCTGTCTAGTTGTTATGCAAGGATTTCGGGAGGAAAAAAACATAAGGCTCCAGGAGTAATATCTTGAAAAATTATGAAATATGTCTGCTACCTTTCTCATCTTCATGAGCCCCTTGTTTTACTTTTGTGTTGAATTTAAAACTCAGAGACTTAAACTCACACATTATGACAGTTCTGTCACTTCCTTAAATTACGCAGTAAAAACACACAAAGGTGCAGGTAAGTTTAGCACCTTGAGTGTTTTGTAAGCAATGCTGTGTTGGGCTGAGGATGGGGGTGTGTGGTAGAAAGAGGTGCTGCAACAGAAGCCAGAAGGGAAGAAGAGCCTATAGGGGAGAGAGACATTAAGGGCCTGAGGGAAGGGAAGGTGCCTGAGCTCAGGGACTGTAAAGGAGGACTGTTCACCTTGAATGTCCAATCAGCACTTTCTCTGGAATTTAGATAATGTTAATTCCACATGTGAACATATTGCCTAAAAAAAAGAAAATAAATTTAGCGTATAAACAGTCCTTGGATGCTTCCAGTGGTTAGATTTTTCAGATAAACAATCTCCTATGGTATTAAGAGCTTGTCCTTCTCTGGCAAGGATGGTCCAGGACAGATAACATTGAGTGCTTTCCTCTAACATATTTATATTGGTTACATCAGGTTAATGAACACCCAAGGCATTTTTCAAGAAGTCACAAAGGGGGTGAGTCTGAGGAGCAGGTGTTGAAGTAGAAAGGAAGGCCCGTCTACACACTCTTTATGTGAGTGAATCAGAGGTTTTTGCTGTTGCAATTGTGGTTGTTTTTATAAGTTGAAACCACTAGCTGATACAGTGATTGACTTTCCCAAATATCCCTGGTGATGATTAAAAAAAAAAATCACTGAGATTATCCCCGATTTGGGCCTCTAAACTCAGGGATGGTTCTGGATAAGCAACCCTGTATCCAAGTGTGTCTTAGGTGATGCTGGTTGAGAATGGGACACCCATTCTCTGGGAGCCAGCCAGAGAAGTTACCCTGCTGTTGGAGAGACGGGCTATCACTGAGGAAACAGTGCATCACCAGGGAGGATCGAATTCATGCTCCTCCTCCCCCAACAACTCTCATACCCTCACAGATACTCCTTGTTTCTCCTTGTCTCCCTTTTCTCATACCCACATCAGCTTCCCTCACTCAGTAATCAACTCATTGAGGGTTTGCTTTAAAAATGTATCAACATCGTAATCTTCTCCAAATTAGCTTCTCTATGGCCAGGAGAACCTTAGGTTAGGATGTCCTTCTCTCGTAAAGTTTCTGTAGCAAGTGAAAGCAAGAGGGACCATTGGGGTGGTAGGGCAAGACACTAATCCTCAGTGAAAAGTCTAATCCTCAGTCACTAAGTGTCCTGGCAGATTAGAGGGTAAAGTGAGTGGGGAGAATCAGCTTAAAGAACCAAATTGGATTGGGCCAGAGCAGAGGTATAGGTATGGAAGAGTGGTTTTGTCAGTAGCTGCTGATTGAGCCAAGTTCAGCATGGAACTGACAGAGATGATATGGAAGACAACTTACCTAAGTAGCTCCTGGGTCAGAAAGAAGCCTCAAAGTGAGAGAACCTGGGGGGAATCTCAGCTGGAGTCCCCTTATGGGACTTTGATACATCAAGATCTCTTGGCTATTGAGGAGATAGTGGGTCCAGAAAGGGGATGAAGAATCTGGAAAAGTGTGGGAGATCAACCATGCATAATTCTTTTTATCACTATGGAGTTTGTTCTAGAATTTTACAGTTTACAAAGTATAATCACACATATTATCTCATAATTTCCACAGTTACCTAATGTTACTGAGAAGTAGTTTTAGCTAACTCTATTTTATAATTCATTCATTTGCTCAACATATTTTGAGAGCCTTTTATGCACAAGGCACTGTGCTGGATACTGGAGATACTACAATAGACAAGACTATATCAACAGTTGAAAAGTAATTGCCATTGACAGGATTATGCTTCGGTAAGGGTAGCTGGGCACAGCCAGCAGGAAGATCTGAGGTGGTCTAGGCAAGTATTTTCAAAAGAAGTGACATTTAAGATGAGACCTAGTAAATAAAGATGAGCTTAGGTGAGGGGTAAGAGATGGAAGCATGTTACAGCTAGAGGTACAATTTATTGCAGACCCAGACACGAGAAGGTCAGAGAAAATCAGAGAAAGCAAGCAAGTGAATTTGCCTTACTCTAGGACCCACACTTTGGTGATCACAGCTGGATGAAGAATGTCAGGGGATGAATCGGAAGAAATGAAACTGGAAAGAGGAAGGAACCAAGTCTTGAAGGGTCTTGGAAGCCATGTTAAGAAGGATGAATGAGAGGTAAAGAAGACGACATTGAGCTTTCTCACTTGGGCAGTTGGCGGATGGCAGTTGGTGGATGGCAGTGGGTGGATGACTTTACTGAGGTAGGAAGCCTGAGAGGAAAAGCAGGTTTTGAGGGAGAGTTGACTAATGCAGTTTAAGACATGTCATGTCGGAAACATCATGTATCACACTGTCCAGTAAGTAGTTGAAGACAAAGATCTGGATCTCAGGAGAGGAGCATGGGCTGAAGATGGCAATATGGAACTATTGCTACATGGTTGGTTATTAAAGACAAAGAAGTAGCTGAGATTGCCAGGGAGAGTAGACAGAGGAGAAACAGGCCCAGGATAGAGCTCCAAGGAACTTCAAAAGTAAAAAGAAGAGAAGGAGAACCCATAAAGGAGTTGAAGAAGCATGTTGTTCTGTTGAGAGAGTATATTCTGGCCATATGTCTCTGGGCAAGTTAGGTCACCTCTCTGAGCCATGGTCTTTTCATCTCTAACAAGGACAGTAATAGCACCTACCTTACGGAGCAGTACCTAGAAAGTTTATCGCAATTCTGGCACATAGTAAGCATCAATTAAGGTTAGCTCATGTTTTAGTAAGAAGAATGATAACAATGAAAAAAAACAAGTAGAGTACTCAGAAGAACATGAGATGAAGTTGATGGCATGAGGGAAGAGTGTTGAGACAAGAAAAAACTGGTCAATAAGGACAAATGGGCCAGGTGAAGTGGGTCACGCCTGTAATCCCAGCACTTTGGGAGACTTGAGATGGCAGGATCTCTTGAGCCCAGGAGTTCAAGGCCAGCCTGGGCAACAAAGTGAGACCTTGTCTCTGCAAAAAATAAATACATAAATAAAGACAAATGTACTGAGGTCAAAATAAAAAGGCTGAAAACAGTCTATTGGATTTGGCTGTAGGTAGGACATTGATGACCTTTGCAAGGTATGTTTCAGGAGCATGGTCTGAGATGAGAAGACCTGGAGATAGTAATTTTGGGAGAAATGGATTTTCAGACGAGTTCGGTAGTTAGGCTGAGGACACACAGCCAGTGAACTCTGTTGTCACATAGTGACCCGAACTCAGATTGTCAGACTCCAAATTTTGTTTTCTTTCCACCTATAGGACCCAAGGAAGATAATTTAACAAATAAACCTAACTCCATGATTTCTGCTTAGTTAACTGAGGAGAGGAAGGAATGAAAAAAATAAAAATAGAAAGAAAGGATGGGGTATGGGGAGATAGGAATATATAGCAAGGCACAGAATTTGTCAGGAAGGGTAATTAGGCAGACCCATTCCCAGGAACGGGAGGAAGTTGAATATAAAATCAACAAATGTTTCTTGAATGCCTCTCACGTGTCAAGCCTGTGGGGACTGCAGATGAAACAGAGACATAAGACACGACTCTTGCTTCCAGGAACAAGACATAAACATGAGAAAAATTTAAGTGCTGAACAGTTGTTTAAGGCAACAATGGAAGAGCTGCCACAAAGCAATATATGATTTATTGTCAAATGAATTGTAGCAAACAATGAATGAAAAAACTTCTTCAGAATTTGCCAAGGAAAGCTCACTCAGTTTCAGGTAGATGAACTGGACCCCTAAGCAGCGCCAGGTATGGGGGTCCCTGGGATTTGTGCCAAGAGATGGGGCTGCCCCTGCTAGTGGAGGGTAATAAACCTTGTGGCGTAGGCCCAGAAAAGCTGGGTGCCCTATAACTGGGCTATAGGATGAGAACACTGGTCTCCACCTGGCTCGGTGTGTGTGTGTGTGTGTGTGTGTGTGTGACAAAAATTGGAGAAAGACACATAGAAACAGATACGTACACACAGAGACATGGAAAAGGGTAGATGATGAAAGATAGGGAAAGAATGCCTGGCACATAGCGGCTCATTGGATAAATGAACACACAATCAAAGGAGATTCAAAGCAAAGTGTATGAGAGAGGCTGAGCCACATATTGGGAAATCTTTGAATCAGACTCAATCATGACTCTTTTTACCTGTGTGCATTTAGGCAAGGTTACTTGACATTTCTGGGTTTCCTTTTCTTTGCCAGACAGGAATAACAACATCTACTTTACCAGGCTGTTGTACCAGGACTGAATTGAATAACATGTATATAAATTACCTGGTACACGGTCTGATCCGAAGTCCATGCTCAATAAATGTCAGTTGTCAATGGCAGTTCAAGGTGCTTACAGATTGTCACCTTTCACTGAAGAAGTTTGAGATGCTTTATAAATATTAGCAGATGAAGTCTCACAAGACACTGAAAAAGTGGAAAACAAATGTTATCATCCTTATTTTATGCATGGAGAAGCTTGGCACTGAGAATCAGGGTTTTGCCAGAGGAATAAGCAATTCTGTGGGAGGATGGGGGAGGGAGGGGGATGAAGCAAAGCCTCAACAAAGATTCTCAAACATGGCCTGCCTTCCGTACCCGCCCTCCAGCCAGCTAGCCAGCAGGTGGTAGGGTCAGATTACATTTGCTCTCCCCTGCCTGGTCTCTAGCTCTGACTGGGGCTGGCTGGTGAGTTTGCAATGATGCAGTGTAACCCTGGGCGTTATTTCTCAAAAAATCAGGCAGCATGAAAGAGGATGAGCTCTGATCAGACCCAGCATTGATTCCTTCTGAGAGCAGTCTACGAGTCAGACTCTCTTTGGCAGCCTTTTCCCACCTCCTCCGTGACAACTTGATAATAGTCCGTCCTGGTGGAATTTTCTCCCCCAGGACATTCCTGCAACTGAGTTGCTTCGCCCTTTCAAAACACAAGTGAGCAGAGCCCAGAAACTGAAACAGCCTTCCGGTCTCATTAGCGCGCTATGTTTCTCTGTTGTTCCGATTTGTTATTGTGGTTCCTGGGTGTGAATATGATCACTTGTTAAAGTGGCCTATTTATACGCGTCTTCTCTTTAATTTACCTTCATTTCTCAGCACCCGAGAAATAGAAGGAAATCAGTGCACTGTGTTAATGATTTCTGTGGCCCTGGTTGCTAGGTGCGAGGGCAGAGGCCCAGACCCTAAGGAGGCTTTCAATATCTGAACCAGTGTCACTGTTGCCTCCTCCAACCCATCCTTCAGCGCACACACCAGGGAAGTACATCGGCGTTATGGCTGACTTGGGTATGAGTTTGTGAGTCAGAAATCAGCTCCTGGAGAAGAGCAGGAGAATTAAGGTTGAATGGGGATTGCACGCCCATGTACACAATTATGGTGCTTTAGAAAGGCCAGCTAGGACGTCTGGAATATAAACCAGGTTGTGAGGCCTTGGAGGGTGCTTGGCACACAGTAGGTGCTCAGCGAGTGGGGGCTGAATGTGACAAAGTAGAACCAGAGCTATGGCAAGAATGCCAACAATGCAGCAGGGCGTGGTGGCTCACGCCTGTTACCCCAGCACTTTGGGAGGCCGAGGTGGGCGGATCATCGAGACCATCCTGGCTAACACGGTGAAACCCCATCTCTACTAAAAAATACAAAAAATTAGCCGGGCATGGTGGTGGGCACCTGTAGTCCCAGCTAGTCGGGAGGCTGAGGCAGGAGAATGGTGTGAACCCGGCGGGTGGAGCTTGCAGTGAGCCAAGATCGCGCCACTGCAGTTCAGCCTGGGCAACAGAGCGAGACTCCATCTCAAAAAAAAAAAAAAAAAAAAAAAAGAAAAAGAATGCCAACAATGCTAGGTTCTTAGGCCTGAGGCTTGGAATACTGATTCATTCCAACTCATCCTTGGCCTTAGTTAAGTCCTTATTTCAGTAGGATAAGAATGTATGTAAAGCTCCAAAATATGTTTCTATTTACATTATAAAGCTCCACAAAGTAGCAAACAGGCACCTTTCTTCCTCCTTTAGAACTCTATTCTTAATTTCTTATTAGGACAGTCTTCCCCTCTGTTGGGAAGCAAGCTCATTTCTTCTGGACCTGCCCTTGGAGGAGATGGAGAGCTCCAGTTCGCTGTCTTTTTTTTTTTTTTTTGAGACGGAGTGTCGCTCTGTCACCAGGCTGGAGTGCAGTGGCGTGATCTCGATTCACTTCAACCTTTGACTCCTTAGTTCAAGTGATTCTCCTACCTCAGCCTCCTGAGTAGCTGGGATTACGGGCATGTGCCACCATGCCCAGCTAATTTTTGTATTTTTAGTAGAGACAGTGTTTCACCATGTTGGCCATGATGGTCTCGATTTCCTGACAGCGTGATCTGCCCACCTTGGCCTCCCAAAGTGCTGGGATTACAGGTGTGAGCCACTGTGCCCGGCCTCGCTGGCTTTTTTAAGGAGCCCTTTATGCACCAATCCATGTAATGCCTCAACCCCCTTTGTCTGCAATTCCTAGTCTTATTTCCTTCCATGTTTGTCAGTAATCTCATTAACCAAATATTTACATCATCCTTTTGCCCCTGCCACAACTTCTTTCGAGGAGAAATCAGGCTGGATATGATGAGAAGATACCAATACTGGTGCAATCATTATTTCCTACTTGTCTGTCTCACTCCCACCAATTCAGAATTAATAACAATGCCTAAATTAATAGTGCTCTCACCATGTGCCAGGGCTATACGTATATTATCTCAATTTATCTTTCAGCGACTCTATGATGAAAGTGCTAATAGTATTCCTGAATTATACATAAGGAAAACAAGGTACAGAGAGATTGAGTGACTTGCGCAAGGCCACACTAAAGAGTGGCAGAGTCTGGACTTGAAGTAGTCTGATGCCAGAACTCATGCTCTTGACAACCCTGCCATGAAACCACAGGATCAGTGTCTGTCATTCTTCTTCCTCTGCAGTCCCACTGGGGGTTCTATTATAAACACAGTGTTTACATTCTTTTCTGCTATATTGTATGGCATCAATCTTTAACATCTCTGAGTGAAGATTTTGTTTTTCCTTCACTAGTTATTCCCTTCATACATTCATTTTGTTTAGCATCTATTTCCTGACCACCTACTGGGCATCAGTTCTGTTGTATTAACTCTGCTGCAGTTCCAGTGACACTTTCCAAAGCCCTGGTGGCTTCAGTTTGCTTCTCACCTCTGCTCATCTTTTGTCCTTCCTTACCTTATTCCCATAGAAAATAAAGTTAAGAAGGATTTTCAAGGCTTGAAATTGAAAGAGCCTCATAAGTTATCTACCAACCCACTCGCTTTACCCATAAAGACCCAAATCAACAGAGCTAACTGTGGCAGAGCCTTGTTCTAATTAAAGTTTGTTCTCTTCTCTCTACTCCTTGCTACCTCCTTTTAGGATCAGTTACATAATAGATAATAAGTGTTATTTGGCCATGTGTAGCAACCTGTGAGTCAATTTTTAGTTTGTAAAATGGGAATAGTATTGATATTTATCCCTTAGGGTTCTAGTGAGGCTTAAATGAGTTAATACATGTAAAGAGCTTAGACTAGTGCCTGCATTAATAAATGTTAATGATATGACTTGACTCTGTGTCCCCACCCAAATCTCTGGATTGTAATCTGAATTATAATCCCCAGGTGCAGAGGGAGGGACCTGGTGGGAGGTGATTGGATCATGGGGCAGTTTCCCCCATGCTGTTGTTGTGATAGCGAGTGAATTCTCATGAAATCTGATGGTTCTATAAATGGCAGTTTCCCATTCTTTCCTCCTTCCTGCCGCCTGGTGAAGAAGGTGCCTGCCTCTCCTTCACCTTCTGCCATGATTGTAAGTTTGCTGAGGTCTTCCCAGCCATGTGGAACTGTGAGTCAATTAAACCTCCTTTCTTTATAAATTACCCAGGCTCAGGTGGTATTCTTTATAGCAGTGTGAAAATGGACTAATATAGTTAGTTTATTATTATTTTTTATTCCACCTCAGCATATTTCATTATTCATTTATAAGGCGATATTTCTAAATACTTGTGTTAAGACTTTTTTGTCCTAAGCATGGACTTAAAAAAATGAACTTTTTTTCATCTTATGGTGCTATGAATGAGCTAATAGAAGATATTATGTATAATTTTAAAGGGCAAGTGAAATCTTCCCAGCCCTGCTTCCCTACTCAGGGACTTTGGCAGTCGGGTCATGCATTTTCCTTTGCTTCCAAAATACCCATTGGATCATAACTATTTCCCACTTCTACCCGTACTATGCTGCGGGAAGCTTGAGGGTATAGCTTAGTCCTGTTCATCTTTTTGTTTTTTTATTTTTTTGTTAACTCTTCAGCTAAGACAGAGTAAGAGGTAATTTATCGTATGGCTCTTTCACTCAGCCACAAGTGAACACAGAAATAGTCCAGAATGTCACAGGTCTGGGGCAAAGGACCAACATGGACAGTTTTTGTTATGAGCAAGGTGAGCCTCAGAGGTAGTCTCGGTGATCAGATGACGATGAAGTTCTAGATCCATTGAGAGAAGCTCTAGATCCATGCAGTTCAACAACTTGTACCAGCATTTCCAGCCTCTGCCATTCCATGTTTCTACTCCTGCGGCCTCCACTGGTGCACAGACTAGTGATTTACTTGAACCTTTGCCTCATCTTTCTTTTGCGCTTCAGCCTGCACATTCACTTCTTCCTCCACTTGGCTCTCATGGCACAGAGGTTTCCAAGAAGATGGCGCTAAGGCTGAGACCTCATCTTTTTATTGTCAGTTCTAAGCATTCAGTAGCTGGCACACAGTAAATGTTTCACACTTATTTATTGTTGAATGAGTGAATGTAGCATCTTCAGATTTATGTTCTGTCCTCTCCTACCTACCTGCCCTGTTACCATAATCCCCAACTTCTTTCTACTATTGTGTGTGTATGTGTGTATTTATATACGTGTATATATACGTATATATACGTGTGCATATATGTACACGTATATATATATACGTGTGTATATATGTACACGTATATATATATACGTGTATATATATTTTATTTTTCTGGACTGAGTCTTCATTCTTAACTTTAATAAACCATTGAGTTTAAAACAAACATATAAACTCTCAAATGCAGCCAGACTGGTGGATTACATAGAGACTATAAAAGGAATGAGTAAGCAAAAATTAGAAGTGCTCAATACTACAGAGGGAGAAGGTACTTTTGAGTATAGACACACAGTGCTAACTCTTTAAGTAGCTCTAAACCTACAGAGATGGGACAAAGGGGGCAGTTGAGAGCTTCAGCTTTGTAGGTAGACAAACCTGGAGTTGAATGAGGGTACTGCCCTCTCTAGGCTTCTCCTTCACCACTAGTAAAATGAAAGAGATAACCAGTGCAGGACCAAGTGAGATCATTGTTGTCCAGTGTTTGCCACATTGAGAGGTCCCGATAAGAATTAACTATAGAGTGAGGCTGTGAAGGGTCAACACACACAATCATGTCACTGCAAATAATTACTATTTTATTTTTTCCTTTCCAATTGCAATGCATTTTAATTATTTTTCTGACATTAACAGTATATGGCACAGACCAGTACAATGTTGAATAGAAATGATAACGTTCAGTGTTTTTCCACTTAATATGATTAGTTTTAATTTGTTTGTGGATACTTATTATCAGAGTGAGGACATTCCCTTGTATTCCTAGTGTGCTGTGAGTTTTTATCATAAGAGGGAGCAGTATTTTGTCATATCCATTTTATGCATTGATTGAAATAATCATACTGCTTTTCTCTTCATTCATCTTCACCCCAACGAGGAGAAATGGTTTCTTAAGAACATCCCATGCACTTTATTTCAAATCTGTGATCATAGAGCGTTTGCTCTCATGAGGGGAACTGACAACTAGGAGGAAGTGCCCCATTCCTCAACACCAACTCTGGGAAGTGGTGGGAAATCTCTCCTTGTCTATGTGAATGTGTTTGCCTTCTGGTTTACCAATCATTTTTATAAGACATTTCTTACTTGAGACTTTAACTTGAACTGACTGAGTTCAGGAGGAGACCCTGGACCTGTGGTGACTTTCCCTCACCTCTCCCTCCAAACACACACACAAGATGCAGCCACCTAGGGAGAATTTGTCAGAGACAGCCAAGCATCTCTCGCCGTGTAAAGAGCAACAGCAGTCATTTTCATCATGACCATCATCATCATGATAGGTTAATAGGGCACTTGTGCATTAAGGACAAATGTGAGTCATAAATATAAGAATAATAATTTAAAAGAAATAAGATCATTCATTTTAACTCTATTCTCCACTGTCCTTTGCTTTGCTGAAATTATACAACCCATCAAGCAGCAGACAGACACCCAATTGAATGTGGTTACCAGAAACACTCCCTGCCTTTGCTTTGTGATTGGTTGAGTGTCTCCTGAGGGCCAGGAGCTTTTTAAGCAGCTGGTGCAAATGGATGCCTTTCTGAAATTAACCAGTTGATGAATGTCACAGCCATCAGGCTTCCCTCCAGTGTTGGACCAGACAGTGCTCAAGCTGCTTGCTTCCCTCACAGCCTCCAGGGTCCATGACTGAGGGGAAGATGAATGGTCCAGGGGATGGGTGGGCAACCAGTTCAAAGCCAACTGCAGAATGCTCAGCCTTTGAGGACTGATATTTCTCTCTCTTATGCATCCTTGTATCTATGTGTGGCCTTTGCCATGTCCAAAATTTCTCGATGTTTGTTTAGGACTGAGGTCCTCTGAGGAGGGGTTTATGTATGTGGTATAAAGACCCAGACTTGACCCTGGCTCAGGTGCTTACAAACTGTGGAAACGTGGGCATGTTATTACCCACTCTGAGTTTCACTTTCCTCAACTGTATAAGGAGAAAATAAGACCTGCTTCACATGAGCATTAAATGATACATGAAGCCTGTTTCAGAGCCACTGGAATATATTGGGCACTCAGTAAATGGTAGGTAGGGTATTATTATTACTATCCTTACTACTGTTATGGAAGGAACCAAGAAGGTCAACTGAATCCAGATATCACAGACCATAAATGCTGTTATTAGAGACTTACTTCTTTGGGTTCTTCTCCCGGTGGATCCTCTTTTAAAAAACAGATATGGATTTTGCATATACTGAGGTGTTAGTAACATACATTACTAACCCATCTAAGTACTTTCATCTTGACCTGAAAGAGGCAAGGGGTTATCAGACTACATTTCCTTTCATCGTGATTTTTCCCACAGTTGGACCCATATCCAAAGGCCACTAAGCTGAGTCTAGTAACTGTGAGTTGCTCTAGTTAGCATTGGGAATGGAACCTACACTCACAAATGCTTTATGGTCCTGGTTGTTTCTGTCCTGACAGAGTACTGGGGTGGGACCAGGAGGCTGGGCTGGTCCTAGCTCTGTCACTGTCTAGGTGGCTTTGGCCAGGGTCTCTCTTTGGATGTCAGTCTCTTCATCTGCAAAATGGAAGGGTTGCATTTTATTGGTGATTTCCAAGTGGTGAACAGGGAAACTGCCCTTTGACAAACACCAGGAGTGAGGAAGAAAAGGGGTTAGAAGAGAGACAGAGAAGAGCCAGATCACAGTTGCTGAAGGGGAAAGGGCAGGGGTAGAAAATCTGTTTGAGAAGAGTAATTCCTGCTTCCCAAAGGACCAGCACTTGGGAAACTAGACTAAATATCTCTGAGGCCATGGGAATGTACAGCCCACTTCGGGTTAGGCAAAACTGTATATGTAACCTAAAGAGGCAAGGGTTTACATAAGGCTAAACAGCCACCCAGAAGGGAATTAGATTTCAAAGCCTCTGCGTTCTGGCCCACTGCTTAGCCACATGCTGCACCTGTTTCCCTTTTCCTTTTTACTAACATGGGCTCTCCCTCTAACACCTACTGACCATTAATTAATGGCCAACAAATCAGTTGAGACACTGTACTAAGTACTTACTGTTCACAGTATCAGAATTTATGCAATAAATTGTATTCTTCTTAGGGGTTGTTAGCATATCCGAAGGCCAATTGTGGAGCCTGGCAAGGTGATCTTTTAAGTGTCTGCTTAAAATTCTATCCACAAGGTTCTGTTGCCTAGAAAATTCTTAATGAGAAGAGTTAAATAAGTAGTTGATCAACGCAGGCACAGTTTTAGGAACACTAATGGACATCAGCTGGTTGGTGGACATTAGTTAGGGCAGGTAGGTCCACCTAAGACTCTCCTCGATTTATTCCTTTGGCTCTTGACTCTTGCCATGCTGCAGTTATGAAGTGCTTTGAGCCTCTCCTCGGTCCGATTCCTCTACATGTTGGTCTGTGATGTGAGAGCAGGAGTCATGGAATTAGAAAACCTGGTTCTTGTGCTCACTTGCTGCCTACCTGCTGTGTAATATTGGGCAGCTGTATACTCTCTCTGAGGCTTAGCTGCCTCATCTGCAAAACAGGCAATAACAACAACCTCCCAGACTGGTTGTGACTATCAACCAAGGTCACTGGCAGGAATAAACATATTGCAAACTGTAGGGCTCTGTGAAACTGTGAGCTCCTTGAGGCCTGGTCAGTGACTCTGTTTTTTGTTGTATATAATATTTAATGCAGTAGTTCTCAACTACATAAGAATCATCCAGAGAGCTTTTAAAAAATACAAAGGCCTGGGCTGCACTCCCAGATATTCTTACTTAATTGTTTTAGGGTGGAGCTGCGGCATTGGTATTTTTAAAAGTTCCCAGGTGATTCCAATGTGCAGTCAGAGTCAAAAATTACATTTGGCTCTTTGCTGGAGGCTCAGTTCTGTTGGATGAATGAATGATTCTAATTATGACTTCCTCTCTCCTTTCCCTGGAGGAGTGTGCTTTGTCCTGGATGGAAAGATGTTTCCTGTGTCAGGCTTTATTCAGGCGCCTGGCTATTTCTAGAACTGCTTTGGAAGAGCATCTGGACATTCATGTTCAGAAGATGCTCACAATGACAAACATGCTGGTGGGCAGCACCTCAAGGGGCCAGATGGGGCGGCCCTGCAGTTGCTGAACGTGGCCACTGGGCTAGTTAGTATTTCTAAGTGGCAGTGTGCCAGGCCTTGGGTAGGCGGAAGGGAGCTGGGATTCCCTGGCCTCCCTCCTACTTCCCACCAATTAGGTCAGGTCAGCCTTTGGCTGTGTTAAATGCTTTAGGAAGTTCCTGGACCCTTTCCTATTGTTTACCTTGTGAAGACATTTCAGTCAGAGTTTTTTAATAGAACAGTGGAACATGAAATTAATTTTCTGGGCAAGCTGGTAGTGAGGTATACTGGTGTTACAAATCTAACTTTAGATTTTTTACTTCAGCTTTTGACTGTACTTCCTTTCAGGAAGAATTCTTTTATGGAATTCAACCAGCCCTAACTCTGTGTGTGTGTGTGTGTGTGTGTGTGTGTGTGTTCTCCTTCATCCACCAAACACACCATGTTTTGATGCATCTGATTTACCATATACAGTTGTGGCAGGAATTTCTTCTTCCCACCTCCCCAGGCCAGTGTGAGCTTCCCCTGAAGCCATCTTGGATCCCCTCAGTTAGGGGCCGCTGCTCAGAATTCCCAGCAGCCTTCCTGTTGCAGCACTTCCCACGTCCTCAATCCTTACACCTCCAGGAATAGGGCACAGGCAGTGCTGTGAAAGCTCAGGCAGAGCTGGGCTTAAACTCCAGAGCTTCTCCGTATTTTCTGAAAGACCTTGGACAAGTTATTTAACTTTTCGGAGACTCAATTTTCTCATCTCTAAAATCATGAGGGACTGTTGATGAATCCTTAAGGACTAATAATCACTGGCGTGACTATCGTGAGAATCCAAGAGGTAAGATAAATAAAGTTACAGGGAAAAGCCTGGCATGAAATTGTTGTTTCTTGCTGAGGGTAGGATTCGTGTGTGTCCTCCCCAAATGCCCAGGTCCCTCCTTCAATGGGCACTCAACAAATATCCACTGAATGGGGGTGCATGAAAGGACATGCTGGGAATCTAAACCTTAGGACAGAGCAAGGAAGCCCCTTTCCTTTCCATGCCTCCTTGTTCAACTAAAGCTATATGTACCTCCTATGGTTGTATTTATTTGTTGTGTCTTTTAAAGCAATATAGTTCTCTTTATGTGTACTCCAACATGCAGCAAAGTATTGTAACCAGACTGCATCATTTGAGTTCATTCCTGAAAGTTGCTTCTTGAGGTTGAGCCATCTTAGAGAAGAACCTGGCCTCAGCAGAAAGAGGTGAAGGCCACAGCATTGGCTGAGTGTTCACTAAGTGCCGGGCCCCTCAACTATGACAGTGTACCAACAGAACACATGGCACGGCAGAAGCACTCATCACCCATAAAACAGATCAAGATGCTGAAGTTCAGAGAAGTTAGGAAGTTTCACTGAGCACCCAAGATAAGACACAGCAAAATGGGATTCTTGGCTCTAAAACCCATATACTTTCCATTATATCACACTGAATTTTGCATCAGAGGAACTGTGGTGGAATTGTGACTTTGTCACTAACCAGCCGGGAGGCCTTGGGAGAGCCACTTAATATTTCTGAGGCTCTAATTTCCTCAACCTACAGGGAGGGTTGGACCACTAGGCGATGGCGCGGTTCTCAAATTCGGTTTCAGTGGCTGTCTGTACCAGCCACTGCTAGTGTCTGCAGCCCTCTAGTGGTGCTTTGCAGGAACCAAGTGGTACCTAACCTTTCCAGGGCAGTTATTCACAAAGCGTTGATGCAGACTGCCAGGGCACCTGGGGCCTCAATGCCTGTTCACATTCACTGACCATGAATTAAAGACAAGCAGGGCTCAGAGGAGCCCTGGAGATAGACGTGAGCCTCATTGGTCCTCAGAGGGATTATTATTTTTAAAACTTTGCTTTCTGTTTGTTCTATACCATGCCTAGGACTCTCACTCACCTTTGAATGATAAAGAATGAACCCTCCCCATAGATTAAAATTGTAATTTTAAATTTAGTCATGGTATGTGCATGTACCTGACTTTGTTCATATCCCACAGCCCTAATATAATCAGGCCATCTTGGCGGCAACAGGATTGCTGAAGGGATGCTGTGTTGTGGACCAGCACATCGGGTTTAAGCCCTGGTAATGCTAGGCATTGACACCACTGGGTCTCTCACCTCTCTGCACCCCAAACTTATCATGGGTAAATGAGGGGTTTGGTGGAAGAGGCCTTGCAACTCTGTCTTATGCATGTGCATGGAGCTGATTCTTTAGAATGGCAGAGTTTTACCATTCCATTCAGTCTTTGAGATTTTTGCTGATGGGAACATGCCTTTCAGTGAAGCTGGGACAGAGGGGTTAGGAAAAGATATTATCTAGAGCTTAAGGTAGAGTAAGGTGAACAAGCATGGCCTTAGGAGCCACCTACATGCTGACAATTCTTACACATATGACCTGGGCCTCTTCCCTGAGATCCAGACTTAGTATCTACCTGTCTGCTCCATTTGGAAATCTAACAGCTATTTCAAACTTAACATGGCCAAATAGAGCTATTTATTCCCCATTCCTCCTAGGTCTATTCCCCAACCCTGGCCTTTCCCACCTTAGTGAATGGTACCACTATCTACCTAGTTGCTCTAGGAGCCCTATTTACTTTTCTTCTTTCAGTTATATCCCCATGTCTAGGTCTTCCAAAAACCCCTTCGCTCTACCTATAAAATATATCTCAAAGCTGACAATTTCTTCCATCTCTACTGTCTGCTACTGTAACACCTTACTCTCTTTCCACCTGGATGACATGACAGCCATAGCCTCTTTTTTTTTTTTTTTTTTTTTTTTGAGACCTAGTCTCATTCTGTCACCTAGGCTGGAGTACAGTGGTGCGATCTTGGCTCACTGCAACTTCTGCCTCCCGGGTTCAAGTGATTCTCCTGCCTCAGCCTCCTGAGTAGCTGGGATTACAGGTGTGTGCCACCACGCCCAGCTAATTTTTGTATTTTTAGTAGAGACGGGGTTTCACCATGTTTTCCAGGCTGGTCTAGAACTCCTGACCTTGTGAACCGCCTGCCTCGGCCTCCCAAAGTGTTAGGATTACAGGCGTGAGCCACCACGCCCAGCCAGCCATAGCCTCTTAACAGGTCTTGGACTTCTACTCTTCCCCCTGGAATTCATCCTTCAGAGTGATTATTCAGAAGAGCAGCACAGATTGTGTTGCCCCCTTACTTAAATCCCTCTAGTGGTTTTGCCTTTGCTTACAGAACCAAATCAAATCCCTAATCTATTGGCACTCCTGCTCCAACCCTCCCACGCTCACCAGCCAGTCTTTCTCCACCCACCCCTCCTTCATCTCACATTGCTCTGGCCACCCCGGCCTTCCCGCCTTCCCTGAAGATACCAAAGTCTTTCTCTTCGTGGGGCCTGTGCTGTCATTTTTTTGCCTGAAATGCTCTTCCTTTAGATTTTAACACAGCTGTCTTCCTCATGATCAATATTGCCTCGAGTCCCAAATGTGACCTCCTCTGAGGGGCCATCCCTGCCCCCACTAACGGAAGCAGCGCCTGAGTCATAGCCCCATATTTTATGTATTTTTTATCCCTTACTCCTGCCTGATTTTTAAAAATTTGTTTAGGAGCTTAACAGCACTCTCCACACTAGAATATAACTTCCTTTTGAGCATAGAAGGTATTCTTCTTGCTCACCACTGATTCTCCAGAGCTTTGAATTATGGGTCTTCAAAAATATTTCATGATGAATTAACTGACAGCTGATGATCCCGGCCTGCTTCATTAACTCTTTACACAGGCTCGTCAGTATAGCACACAATTTTGTCATCCAGAAGAAAGAAGAAAGTTATATTTTGTTTGTTTGTTTGTTTGTTTGTTTTATGAGAGGGTCTCACTCTGTCTCCAAGGCTGTAGTGCAGTGGTGCGATCTTGGCTCACTGCAACCTCCACATCCCGGGTTCAAGGGAGTCTTGTGCCTCAGCCTCCCGGGTAGTTAGGATTACAGGTGCATGCCACCATGCTCAGCTAATTTTTGTATTTTTAGTAGAGATGGGGTTTCACCATGTTGGCCAGGCTGGTGTCGAACTCCTGACCTCAGGTGATCCACCTGCTTTGACCTCCCAAAGTGCTGGGATTATAGGTGTGAGCCACCGCACCCGGCCTAGCAGAAAGTTTTTTCAATTACACTATCTTAGTCCTATTCTCTAGTCTTAACTGAACATAGTTCTCAAGATTCAATTCTGGCTATCATAGTAGCATTTCTTCAAAACATGAAGAAATGTCTGCTCTGGGCTAGCAGAGATGGAAGGAATGAAGGAGTGTATGTATGTGTGATCAGTATGTATTTGTATGTGCTTGCGTGTGTATTGAGGGGCTGGGATTTCATTTTATAGTTGAGTGTGGTAAATGATTTTAAGCTGCCTTACCTAGAATTCAGAGTGTAACTTAGTGTAAATAAAGCACCAGGTGGCAGCAGGGGAATATTGCTACACATTTTTTTTTTTTTAAACACTTAAGGTATTTTCCCAGTGGATTAGCTGCTATACAAAATGGACAATTAGACACAGGCCTGCACAAAGAGCTTGCAATCTATAGATGGATCAGTTGTCATTATATAAAGCTCCATATCTTCATTATCAAAAGCAGCTATGCTGAATGCTCTTCTCTGAAAGATTGTAAGCAAGCTCTGCAGAACCTGGGCAGGCCAGGGTGAGCCTTGCTCTGTGGAGATTATAACAGAAAATAAAAAATAAAGGAAATGTAGATGGGCATACCAGCTCTGAACAAGTTAAGGAATGATTATGTATTGCAAATTATTTGTTAACTTGGCTATTTATAGTTTATAGTATAGTGTCTGTCTCTAGACTGAAAGTCCTTCGAAGGCAGGCACCAATCTTTTTCTTCTTTAAATCCGGAAACACTTAGCAGGGAGCCCATCACATGAAAGGGGCTTAATAAACGTTTGTTGAACAACTGAGAAAAAAGTTAAGAAATTAAAAAGTAAAAATGAGAAGAAAAAACTGTGAACACTACTATACAGAAAGGAATTCGGAGCATGCCTTGTATCAAGTATCTGAGTTGCATGCTCTTAGTCCCAGAGTGCAGTTTTATTTATCTTTCCTTCTTTTTTCTTGAAGAAGAGGCAAGGATCCTTCCATGCCTGACTTCAGTGGAATATTGACCTCTTAGAGATTTTCAGATTAGGAAATGCAGGTAAATGAAAGAGGTTACTATCCAGAGAAAACCATTAAGACATATTCCCATTTAGCTGAACCAGAGTTGCCCACTATTTTTTTTGTAGTTAAAGATCATCAGTGTGGACCTGGAGACCACGTTCTGTGTTTTGTAATCTTCAACGTCCTAGTGTGTTTATTATCATCCAAGAGTTGAAAGACAAAAAGCAAGCATGTTATTTCTTAGGAGTTGAGCTTCTCTTTAGATGAGGTGCCTTTCATTTCTTTTTCATGCCAGCCCACCACTTCCCAGTTCCACAGAAGCATGGTCCTAGAGGAATTTCTTCCTCCTTGGGCAGGAAGGGTGAAGGGTGAGGAGGACTAAGGGGGGGCCCCTAGAGGAAACAGGAGAGGCAAGCAGGGAGAAAGCACAAGGCTGGAGACAACTCTGGTACGGGGGACAGGGCACTGTGAAAAAGGAACTTGGGGTGTCTTGTGGCAGATCACACTCCCTACACCTGCAAGTGGAGGTTAGAGTTCAGATTAGATTAGCATTAGCTTAGATTTTATCCCGAACTATAGCTTAAATTCTAAGGAGAAAATCACAGTATATATCTTCTCCAGCCCCAAATCCAGAATCCTCTATCAGTCCAGGGAGTCTGAACTTGAATTCCCTTTAATGAGAGGAAAAGCCTTTCTTCTACAATAATAGATTAAAAAGCCTTACAGCTTCAAATGGAAGAAACACACTGGTGTGAGGAATGTAAAAATATACCTGACAGTTTTCTTTCCTGTGTGTTTTGGGCCGGTGGGTGGGTGGAGAACTGTAGAGGAGAAAAGGGAGTGCTGGAGACTTCGGCTGAGCTGTTTCTCTTCATCCCTGTGCAAAAAAACAGAGGCTGCCAATCCACACTCTCTGCAAAGATCATTATGGACATTTCAGCAGCTCCTCATCTCTATTTTCCCATTATTGGTTCCACTTTTATAATAATTTCTGAAAATAATATAAAAATTTTCTGGGTTATAGATAATTATCTTAAAAACTGAATATGGTCACCCAGTTTTAGTGCCTGAGTTTGCGTCTATTATTATATTTCTGCCAAGTGAAGTCTAAATAATATCCTAGAGTGTCCTGTGAATGAAGGTTTTGCACTAGGTCAAGAAAGTAAAAGCGCTGGGAGAACGACTATCACAACCACGTGACAGAAGAATAGAAATGTCAGACTTTAAAGAATCTGGCCGGGTGCGATGGCTCACGCTTGTAATCCCAGTACTTTGGGAGGCCAAGGCGGGTGGATCAAGAGGTCAGGAGTTTGAGACCACCCTGGCCAACACAGTGAAACCCCATCTCTAGTAAAAATACAAAAATTAGCTGGGTGTGGTGGCAGGCACCTGTAATCCCAGCTACACAAGAGGCTGAGGCAGGAGAATCGCTTGAACCTGGGAGGTGGAGGTTGCAGTGAGCCAAGATGGCTCCACTGCACTCCAGCCTGGGCAACAGAGACCCCGTCTCAAAAAAAAAAAAAAAAAAAGAATCTGTGCATATAGTGAGTACATTCATATGGTATCAATATTTTAAATGTTTTACTTGTATTCTTTGTTCATACCAACTTGATACAGTTCAACAGAAGAAAATAAATATACAATAATTTTTTTGTTCAAAAAGTTTTTTAAAATTATAGTATTTTATTTGGAAGTGAATCCTTAATTGATTGACCTATCCAAAAATAAATTTGTGGTTATGAGTTTCTTTTTAAAAAACTGAAATGATCAGCAATCATATTATTGATTCAAATGCAAGTGTATCATGTACAAAATAAAAAAGAACCGTTAATAATAATATGTTATGTCATTATCAATAAACTCTGCATTGGTGATTTTGTTTAAACAAAGCAATATTACATATCACATTAACTTAATGTGGTCGATTTGAAGTTCATTTGTTTTACTTATATTTATTTTATAAATTGATTTGGTTTTATAGTTATATAGTTGCTTATATAAGAACTATAAGCATAAAGATTGGCGTTAACACCTAGTTTTATGATTGTGCATATTTATGCAACTTTATAATACATGTAATATAAGCCAACATTTTATATGTCATGTGTTAGTTAAGTTTAAGAGACGTTTTTCTGAATGAGTGTTTCCCAAAGATTATTCTGTGGAATGCTAGTTCCAGGAAATGAGCAGCAACAACAACAAAATGTTTTGTTAACAAATACATTTAGGAAATGCACTACAGCTACCTTTTTGGGAATTGATAGTATATGTTAGCTATTTCAACATGAGAAAACTGCAATTTTGACTACAGTTTTTCAAAATTATTTGCTTGTGTTAAACCGTCTTTAAGTGAAACAATCGTTAGAATCTTACAGTGTTCTACAAAACGCAGTAAAGGAAAATTGTTCTAGACTAGAAAAAAGCAGATTATCCACTTTTCTCTGCAGAAAAAAGCAAGGTAACAAAGTCAGACACTTTAACAAGAATGTGGCTCCAGGGGGTGAAAGTATTGAAAAATAGACTTTTTTTTCCTTCTGCAAATGCAAATGATACTGATAAGGAAGGAAAGGTTGGAGGGTGTATTGAAAAGGTTGAGACCGGCTGCACAGAATGCTGTCTGCTCTATAGTCAAACATGAAGAGTGCCGTTTGTAGGAGAGATGGAACCATAGACAAGGATGATTTTTTCAGTGTGGCCCAATGGGTAAGTTTTGGTGAAAGTTACCACAGGGCAAATTTCACTATGAAAGAAGGAAGACCATTCCAGTTATTTGAGATGTCCAAAGATGAAATGACTGCTTTGGGACAGAATATGTGCCCTACCCTAAGCAGCTCAAACAAAGGCCGAATGAGGATGTAGATGAAATTCAGGTTATCAAGTAAGTGGTTGGACTCGATGATTTTTAACCTTTAGTTCTATGAGTCCACTTATTTGTGATCAAAACAGAGATATGTACACAAGATAACAATGTACTCTACAGGACAATAATTAACACTCATTAAGTGATATGTACCAGGCATGTTACCTGTACTAAGATGTTTAATCCTCACATCCTCCAACAACCCGACGGAGAAAGGCACTGATAGCCCCATTTTACAGATGAATAACTGCAGTGGAGAAGCACAATCATGCTTATTCCTCCCATTTTCAATTAATGACCACAAACCTCAAGTGGGCCTAACGCTGCCCGCCTATCATACTATATCTCTCTTCCATTTACTTTCTCACTCTCCAAGATGATTGTATACTCTCTCTCGTCTCCTCAAATCTCCAACACCTCCCCATCCTCACTTTCAGCTGATCCTAGTGCTTCCAACATTGAAGAGAAAATCAAAGTAATCAAAGAACTTACCCAATACTCCTACTAACTGCCATATATTCTGCCTCCCCACCTGGTGTCTGTGCCCCTAACTAGACCAACCTCTCCAAGTATGCGCCATCTCATACACTGTCCTCCACTCAAGGCCATCACTATAGCATTATCCCCTTTCTCCCACATTATCAATTTGTTTCTTTTGACTAATTATTTTTCTCTTGTTATTTATCCTTTGTAAAACTTCTTTTCTAATCTCATTCCCCTTCCAGCTACATCACATTTATTTGCTTCCCTTTAGAGTAAATGCCACAACCAGCTTATTCATTCTTTTTTTTTTTTTTTTTTTTTTGAGTCGGAGTCTTGCTCTGTCGCCAGGCTGGCGTGCAGTGGCGCCATCTCAGCTCACTGCAACCTCCACCTCCCGGGTTCAAGCAATTATCTTGCCTCAGCCTCACAAGTAGCTGGGATTACAGGCATCTGCCACCATGCCTGGCTAATTTTTTAAAAATATTTTTAGTAGAGACAGGGTTTCACCATATTGGCCAGGTTGGTCTCGAACTCCTGACCTCAGGTGATCCATCTGCCTCGGCCTCCCAAAGTGCTGGGATTACAGGCGTGAGCTACGGCACCCAGCAGCTCATTTATTCTTAATACTTCTAATTCCTCTCTTTTCATTCTCTTGTAAACTCACTCCAGTCAGGCTTGCACCCCCACTACTCTACCAAAACTGTTCTTGTCAAGACGGCCAGTGACTTTCACATGTTTAGATCCAATGGTCAAGTCTCAGTCCTCATCTCCCTTGACCTGTCTGCCACATTTGACATCATTGATTGTTCCTCTTTTCTGGAAACACTTTTTGTACTTGGCTTCCTGGTCACCGTACTCTTAGCTTTCTTCCTGCTTCACTGGCTCCTCCTCCTCATTTACCTTAGGTGGCTCCTACTCTTCCTTAACTCTTAACTTTGAAGTGCTCCAAGGTTCAGGTTTTGAACTGCTTCTCTTTGAATTCCCTTGGTGATCTCACGTAGCCTCAAGGTTTTGAAAGTGTCACCCAAATATTGTTGACTGCAACTTTGTCTCTAGCCCAGCCTTTCTCTTGAGCTCCAAGTTCTTATACTCAACTGGCTACTTAACATTTCTAGTTAGATGTTTAATAGGCATTTCAAACATAATAAAGCTAAACTTCAGATCTTTATGTAGTGACTGCTGTGATGTGCTGGCCACATCCCCCTCAGAACTGAGGCAGTTCTCTGCCAGCTCACAGCAAAGTCCCTCTTTAAGAATTGCCCTCAGGGACCTGTCTTGCTTAAGATAACAGTCTTACTTGAGGCACTTCCTCTCCAATGCGTGGTTGATGTGACAGAAAAAAGGCCCAGCCCCATTACCTCAGTTTGAGACAACTCTGAAGAGTCGTTGCAGCTCCATGTCGGATCAGCAGAGGCTTCTGTCACGGCTCCATCACAGTGGAGTGATGCTCGGCGCTGCATCTCTGTCTGCCCAACCCTACCCCTCTCACTGCCTTTACCGTGATGTTCCAGAGATGGGTCTCTGGGAACACCAATCTCTGTCTGACTCTGTTTCCTGAGGAACCTGACTTAAGATAATAAATATTGAGAATAGTCCTAGGAAACAGACTCTAAAAAGGATTTTGGAACTGGATCACCAGCCCATTGCTGGGAATGAAAGATCCACTACTGGTTGGTAGCTGGAATACTCACAGCCTTTGGTGTTCTGTAGTAGTTTTTAAAGCTATCATCACCTGTTTTTCTATCAGCGATTAAAAAGGATGTTGAAATTGCTATTATGATTATGGATTTATCTGTTTCTTCATTCAGGTCTGTCAGTTTTTGATGCTCTTTAAAGTACATAAACATTTAGGCTTAGGTATAACTTCTCGAAGAATTGACCTTTCTATCCTTATAAATACCCTTCTTTATTCCTGGTTATATGTTTTATTCTGAAGTATACTTTGTTTCCCTTTTGCTAGTTTACTGATGTGAGTCAATATATTTCATTTTCAGCCTCCGTCATATTTACGTTTCTTTTGTCCTTTGTTCAAGGCCCCTTTAGAAACATCTTCTCTATGAAACTTCTCAAGACAGAACTTGTTATTATTTGTAGTGTTTGTGCTAAGCATGGAGTCCACTGGGTGCAAATTGCTTGTGTTTGTTTTCATTTTACTAAGCATGGATTACATGTGTTTGCTTTAATTATGGATTGACTGCTCTTGGGTCAGACACACATCTACTGTCCAAAATATGTGGTGGGGGATGAAGGGTCATGTGATATAATATGGTTGTTTAGAGCTACCTCTTTGTTAGTGCCTATAGATGTGCCATTTCTTTAATTGAAAATAGAGAACTTTATATGCTGTATACCATTGGTGAAAAAATATAAGGTGAACCGGAAGTATCACATGATCTCTCTTAATGTTTGTAAAATTTATCTATATTTTTTGCATGTAGCTTTAGTTTGTTCACATCTTATTTAATATTGCATTGTATGAATATACCACAATTTATGTATTTTTCCGTAGATATCCATATGGAACACTGTTACTTTAAAATGATATTTAAAGTGATCTTTAAAATGCTTGTTTATACTATCAGTTTATACTAACAGTTAAAATTGTGAGGTCATGTTTCTAGGAAAAATGACCAAGTCTATAAATTATTCTGTCTTTCACCATTTCAATCTGGATATTTCTTGGATATTCAAATATTATTATTTGTTTAATGTTATTTAAAGACAAGCATCTCCCATCAAAAGTACTTGGCAGTTCAGAATATGGTAACAGTGTTCTGTAACATGAGAAACTTTGCAAATATCTGTCTTTTCTGAGTGACAATGTTGCAAGAGAAATGAAAAATGTGTCCCCCAAAACACACAAATGTTTATTGTAGTTTTATTTGTAATTGTCCCAAACTGGAAATGACCCAAATTTCTATCAAAAAAGGTGAATGGATAAAAATAGTGTGGCTTATTTATACAATGGAATACTAATCAGCATTAAAAAGTAACAAATTATTGATAAACAGATTCTCAAAATCATTTGGTCGTGTTTGGAAGATCTATATTTACATGTTCATCTTCATGATAGTGAAGGCCAAGCAAGGCATTAGGAGGAGTGGTATGGGGGAGGGGGTGGCTATATTAAAATGGCAAAGGCAACCTCTTTGAGAAAGGAGTATTTGAGATTAATCTTAAGAATGAGAATGAGCCGGCTATAGGAAGAGCTAGGAGAAAGCACTCCAGGCTGAAGGAACATCAAGTGCCAAGTCCTTGAAGCAAGAAAGGCCTTGCTTTGTCAAAAAAGAGCGACCCCCTGTAACTGAAACAGAGCAAAGAGAAGACCAGTATGAGATAGATGGAGAGTGGCAGGAGACAGGAGTGGTTGGAGACAGAGGCAGGAGCCAGATTATATAGAACCCCTACAACCTAAGGTAAGAAGCATACTTTTAAAATCAACTTTATTGGGGCTACATTATTATAATAAGATATATATATTACATATGTTGTATTTTATATATACGTAGACACATACACACACACACATACACACACACACACACTCTCTCTCTCTCTCTCTCTCACACTTCCATTGCCCAAAAAGCTCCCTCCTTTCTCTTTCTAATCAATCTTCCCCATTCTCAGCCCTGGCCTTTCTTATTTCTTTCACTATGGATTGGAATGCACACAAAAAGGAAGGAAGCTGGAGCTCTGATTGGTGGAATGCAGGTACCTCGACCATTTATAATAAGGAATTATCTCCCTGGCTTGAGAGGCTTGCAGGTACCAGACAGGAGGAACAATAATCTCAGGAATCATCTGGAGTCCCCCCAGAGCCAGAACATAGCTCAGTTACAATCATGCTAAATTTCACTAACTTAACCTTGTGAGATAATAAGGCTACTAACAGTCTAAGTGCTTCTGAACTTCATCTCCAGGACAGAGCCCATATGCGTAAGTATGGACATCCAAATGCCTTCTATGAGAGCTCATAATAAATTCACAAACTTATTATTGACGAGTACATGAGATGATTTGGGGGAAGTGCTTTCAAAGTATTTGGCTCATTAAATTACAGCTAATAGTGCTGTATTTTAATATTATAAAAATGGGAATATTTTAAAGTAAAGAAATTCAAAAATGTTATGAGGCTCTAGACACATAAGATTGTATTGTTTTCTTATTTACTCACTAAAAAAAAATCTGCTGGCTCTATTGTAAGAGAGAAGGAGAGTTTGCAGAACTTCAGGCTTAGTAGGCTACAATACTTCACATACGTGATTTCACCCAATTATGCATGTTCTGGCCCTAAAACCAAGAATATGTAATAAAGTTCCAAGTAAAACTCACTACAGCTGCATTTTTTTTTGAGGCAGAGTCTTGCTCTGTTGCCCAGGCTGGAGTGCAGTGGCACGACCTCAGCTCACTGCAACCTCTGCCTCCCGGGTTCAAGTGATTCTCCTGTCTCAGCCTGCCTAGTAGCTGGGATTACAGGTACAAGCCACCACGCCCAGCTAATTTTCGTATTTTTTTGTAGAGATGGGGTTTCGCCATGTTGGCCAGGCTGGTCTTGAACTCCTGATCTCAGGTGATTCGCCTGCTTCGGCCTCCCAAAGTGCTTAATGTTTTCACTGGATGTAGATTTCTGGGCTGACCATTTCCCCTCAGAACTTTATATCACTCCATTGCCTACTGGCTTGCATTGTTTCTGACAAGAACTCTGTGATAATTCTTATCTTCGTTCCTCTGTATATAATGTCTTTTCCTATGATTGCTTTCAATACTTTGTTTATCAGAGGTTTTTCTTTTTAAGCAATTTGATTATAATGTACCTTGGTGGCGTTGGTGTTGGTGTTGATGTTGGTGATGTGATTTCCGGTTGATATTCTTGAAATATCATTTTGGCTATCTTGTAGAAAATGAATTACAATGACGTAAGAGTGGAATCAGAAAAACCTATGAGGGGAATATATATATGTGTGTGTATATATATATGTGTGTGTGTGTGTATATGTATATATACACACATTATATATACATACACACACACACATATATATCTCTCTCTCTATATATATATTTTTCAAGACAGAGTCTCACTCTTGTTGCCCAGGCTGAAGTGCAGTGGTACAATCTTGGCTCACTGCAACCTCTGCCTCCTGGGTTCAAACAATTCTCCTGTCTCAGCCTCCCAAGTATCTGGGATTACAGGTGCCCACCACCACACCTGGCTAACTTTTATATTTTTAGTAGAGATGGGATTTCCCTATGTTGGCCAGGCTTGTCTCAAACTCCTGATGTCAGGTGATCCTGCCCGCCTTGTCCTCCCAAAGTTCTGGGATTACAGACCACTGCGCCTGACCACCATGGGAAAAATATTACAGGAATCTGAGCAAAGACTGTTAGTGGCTTGCCCAGGTTTGTGGTAGGGTAGAAGGGATAGTCTTCAGAAATACAGCATTAGGTCACGGATTGCATGCTGAATATAGTTTGAGAATTGGTGGAAGATGAATAGGGGATCAAATAAAGAGCAGGGAAAACCAAAAACTTCATTTCGAACATAATAAATTTGTAATGCCTACTAGACATTCAGGAGGAGATGTCAAGGAGGCAGTCAAATCTCTAAGTCTTAAGCCGAGGAGAGATGTATAGACTGGAAAAATAAATTTGAGAGTTGCAGACATAAGAGTTTTAAAGTTATAAGAATGGATAAAGCACTCCTAAAAGGGTGACTGAAGTACTAAAAGTTGACATCCCCTCTTGTAGGGCATGTGGTACACTTCTTAGTTTTATTTGTAAATCTCTAACCCTGTAATATTAAAGAAGGTGAAGCAGATATTGACCTTATATATGTGGAATATTCAATGCAGACTGGGTCAGTGGTGCACATACAGAAGATGTCTAAGAACCTCAGGTTGCTGGGGAAATAACCCATTGCAGTGTGGAGGACAGGACTGACCCTGGTGGCTGTTATTACAGTGGCTACCAGGGTCAGTCTTGTCCTATTATGGCTGTTCCCCAGAAGAGTAGTCAGGTAAATGACCAGGAAGACCAAGAAGAACAAGCCCTATAGGTTGGATGTTGGCAAATCCCAAGAAGACAAATTTGTTGACATGTGATTGATTGTTTACTCAAATGGCATCACACCTACAAAACAATGAGAAAAAATAAACCATAATGAAAATGTACAGAGAGCATCTTAAGTGAGTTTTGTAAACTTGTAGGGTTATGCCAAATGACTTTAGGAGCAAAGCAGCCTGGACTGTGGAGAAAAGCAAGCAGGGCTGCCTTCAGGAAGACCACCACTTCTCCTGACAGGATGGACCTTGCCATCTCAGGCTCAGGCAGCTCCCATGTTTGTATGACTGCACTAGTTCAAACCTGTGTGAATCTGTGTGTTAGAGTGAGCTCACTTTCCAAAGGCTACATAAACCTCCCTCTTAGCATTGCTTTCACTATATTATTTAAATTTATTTATATAAAGGTCTCATTATGAATATAATAGATGTTTATGAATAAAAATTATACAAAAAGATGCTTAACATCTTCCGAATTAATGTTTCACTTCAATGTATTTTGCTATGTTCTCATTCTCTTTTCCTCTCGCCCTCTCTTCTCTCCTATTCTCTTTCTGTGTCTCTGTCTTCATTTATATCTGTATATGTGTCCATATCTTCACAAAATAGATACTTTTATATTTAATTTTTGTATCTTTTAAAAACTAGTATCTTCATCCTCAGCACAGTGGGCAGCACGCCAATCTCATCATAAAAAACTAATATTGTAGCACAAACATTTTCCATAGCTTTCAGTATATTTGAATGTACAATTTCCAATGGCTGTGTAATATTCCATTATATGGAAATATATATAAATTGTATTTAATTATTCCACATTGTTCAATATTTAGGTTGTGTTCATGATTTTTCTTTTATAGAAGTATTGTGATGAGCATTTTTTATATTATATGCCATCTTTTGCTAATTTCCTTAAGATAAATGTTTGAGTTCGGTGGTTTTTTGTTTGTTTGTTTGTTTGTTTGTTTAGAGGGAGTTTCATTCTTGTTGCCCAGGCTGGACTGCAATGGCGCAATCTTGGCTCACTGCAACCTCCGCCTCCTGGGTTCAAGTGATTCTCCTGCCTCAGCCTCCCAAGTAGCTGGGATTAACAGGCATGCACCACCAGCCCAGCTAATTTTGTATTTTTAGTAGAAATGGGATTTTACCATGTTGGCCAGGCTGGTCTCGAACTCATGACCTCAGGTCGTCCGCCCACCTTGGCCTCCCAAAGTGCTGGAATTACTGGGGTGACCCCAGCGAGTTCTGTGTTTTTTAAAAGGTTTCTTGAGAATTTTTTTGAGAGAACTTTTTTTCTTTTGTATAGACTTCATTTTTCCTAATAATATGATTTCTCTTTTCAGAGTGCATAAGTTCTTAGAAATTTTAATCAGCCAATTAATTTTATGCCAATTTCTTCTGGAATATTTTCTCATTGATATAAACTGTTACTAACCCCAGACATCCTCTGTTAAATATTTTCTCTTTCCTAACAGAGCAGTCAATACGACCACCAATTTTCTACTAGTTTATTAACTTAAACTTTGAACCCATGCTGGGTTATTTTGCAGTGTATCTGTTCTAGAATTGGAGTCAGTGTAACTATGATGGAAAGGGTGGGCTTTGGTGCCAGGTAGATTTCAGTCCTGGCTTTGTCTCTGTGTGTTCTAGAAACTGTCGTCCCTGAGTATCAGTTTATTCATCTGAATGATAAAGATCATAGTATCTAACTCATATGTGTTTTAGAAGGATTAAATTAGATTACATATCAGTCCATGTAAAAAGCTTTTAAAATACAATAGTCTCATCAGAAAGCACTCTCTTCTGAGTGCTTTCCACCTGTTTTCTCACCAGCTCTGCTGCTAACACCCTAGTCCAATCTACCATCTTCTTTCCCCTGGACTATCCAATAGCCTCTCCACTGATCTCCTACCCTCTATCCTTACCTCTATTAGTCTTTTCTTCTCATAGCAGCCAGGGTGTTTCTTTATAGATGTAAATATTTTTATTTCATACCTGTGCTCAGTTTTTCAATACATTCTCATCACCTGTAGAAAAAAAATCTTTCACCTACTGGCAATAGTCTGCTGTTTTCTATTATTTCACCTTTGTTCTATCCCCATGCTTCCCATAGATTGGAAAGGGGAGTTCTTGGCTAAAAACCATTTAGTAGCTTTCCACATCAAGCAGAGTAAAGTCCAAGTCCTCAGATATTCATGGCTGCTCTTTGACCTCATTTTAAACCATTCTACCTTTTGCTCACTCTGTTGCAACTGCACCAATCTACTTTCTGCTCTTACACGTGTCTAGCACACTGGGCCCACCTACCAAATCAGGTATTAAATTTTATCCAGGTTAGCTTTTGTACTAAATAAGCCGAGGAGAGACTAGGATTCACCTGGGGAAGGTATATGGTCCTACCAGTGAGACCGTGCATAGTCAGAGCAAGGTTTAGTCACAGCAGAGAGAAATATGACAAAACACTGCATCATCTTCCACCTATTAAAAAATCACCTTTCTCAAAGGGGTCAGTATTGGAGATGTCAGGGTGAAAAAGCAGAAAGTGAGCTGACGATAGTAACTGGGAAACCTAGATATCTTTAACACTCTTAGTAACAGAAATAAGGGAAGGCTTTTACCCTAAAAAGACTGCCACCTTGTTCACTATGGTAGACATAATAAGCATTCCCAAACCTGTGAATGCAAAAGGGACTTTTTAGGTGTGATTCAATTAAGAATTTTGAAATGAGGACGCTATCCTGGATTAAGCAGGTAGACCCAATGTAATCACAAGGATCCTTACAAGAGGGAGATGGGTGGGTCAAAGTTAGAGGAAGAACATGTAATGATGGAAGCAGAGATTGGAATGATGGACTTTGAAGAGTAAAGAAGGGGCCATTGAGTCAGGGGATACAGCCAGCCTCTGGAAACTGGAAAAGGCAAGGAAACAGATTCGGTCCCAGAGCCTTCACAAGGAACGCAGCCCTAATGATATCTTCACTTTAGGATTTCTGACTTCCAGAACTGGAAGACAATATATTTGTGTTATTTTAACCCTTAAGTATGTGGTAATTTGTTATAGTAGCAAGAGGAAGCTAATACATTCACTATCACATAGACTGCATGGCTAATGATACTGTGTCCAGAATCTTTAAATGCTCTTACAATTGATTTGGGGGCAGTTCTGAAATCGGTAATTAAGTGCTGCCCAGGGGTCCATGAGATGTCAGCGTAGGAGAAGATATTAGCATGTGTTTTAAGTACTAATAGATCCTACTCCAAGGCCACTCAAAATGCTACTTATCATGTAAGGACATTGGTTGGTATGTTGCAGAGCCCAGAGGATGTCACGGTGAACTCACACTGATAAAGACATATCTGGAAGGCTGTCTTCCACTCCCTGGATGAAGATGAGGTTAAAGCTATTCCAGACATCTTATTTCATGAAGAATGGTATGACAGAGAAGGCCCTAAAGCCTGGTGCTCAGAGAAACTGGTAATGGCCCCAAAGGATGACTACACTGTGGCCAGTGATGCATGGCAGAGATTTGACTGTTGGAGGCCAAAAGATTGAGGGTCGTGATTAACTTAGTATACCACTGGAGGCTATATGAGTAAACAGCAAACTGTTCTCATAAATGCGGAATGTTGGCAAACTGACAAACTGTGTATGCCACCCAGAAGTAGTGCTGAGGGCAGTCACACCCCAAGTGCAACGTTTCTTGTGATTAGGTACATCTGAAGCCTCTTGGTAATAATATGAACCTGTGATCAATTAAGCAGCCGACCAATTGTTACTGCCGCCTCCTTGCTCTTGTTACCCAATAAATACAAAGGGCTGTAGAAGCTCCGGGAGGAGGGGGCTGCCCTTGCTCACTAGAAGCAGGGAGCTCTCTTCTTCTTCCCCTGGCCCTTTCTTTAAAACAGATTTCTTTTGTCTTAAGTTTTCATTTCTGCGTTTGTCCCTTTGTTCAGTCTTGTAATGACAGTCTCAAGTAGTGACAGTAGTAACTGTCATAATGACGGTCTCAGGTAGTAACAGTAGAAACTGTCACAGTGATGGTCTCAAGTAGTAACTGTGGCAGTCTGCCACATTTGACCATCATTATTTTTCTTTATGAATAACAGTAGGGTGCCCATGTGTATACGTAAGGACTGATATCTCTTTCAAAAGCGAGAGTCAATAATTTGTTTTGAGTAGTGAATCTGTTTGGTGAGTCAACGGTCCATAGACTACAGATGGATTGCAAAGCATAATGCAGTTCAAGGACTAAGAAAAATGAACTTACCTACATTCATGGCATTTTGCATGTAATTTCAAGAAGGAACTTCAGAATTACAAAACCTGTTGAGTTTTCATAGCAGTCAATAGATCCTGGGGTTCAAAATTCCTCATTTAGACCAGGAAGTGGGTAGACCTAGAACCATATTTAAAGAGAATGGTCTGGGCCGGGTGCAGTGGCTCATGCCTGTAATCCCAGCACTTTGAGAGGCCGAGGCAGGAGGATCATGCGGTGAAGAGATCAAGACCATCCTGGCCAACATGGTGAAACCCCGTCTCTACTAAAAATACAAAAATGAGCTGGGCGTGGTGGTGTGCACCTGTAGTCCCAGCTACGCGGGAGGCTGAGGCAGGGGAATCGCTTGAACCCAGGAGGCAGAGGCTGCAGTGAGCCAAGATCACACCACTGCACTCCTCTGTCTCAAAAAAAACCAAACAAACAAACAAAAAAATAGAATGGTCTGTGATGTGAAGATAGAGGTTTTGGAGTTTGAAGAGAGTCCTTGAAGGTATAGTTCAGTGCATGGAAGCCATTTTTTGAACATCCTAGAGTCCATGGGTGGGTATGAATTTGTTGAGCCAATTTGGACAGTCTAGGAGTGTCATTAAATGATAGTGGGAATTATTGAGAAAGAACAGGTGTTGGAAAGAAGATAATGAATGCATTTTGGAAATTTAAAGTGCTGTGGGACTCCAGGAGGAAGTGCCCAGTCAATAATGGAAAATATAGGATTGGTACTCAGGAGAAAGGCTGAAGATATCAGTTTAAGAGTCATTGGCATGAAAGTGAGTGTTGAAGCCCTTGACTGTGTATGAAATGTACCAGGGAGAGTACTTACAAAAAGAAGTTGAGGATGGGGTCTTCATATATTTAAAAGGTAGAAAAAGTTGTCAAGGAAGATCTGTGATGGGTTTCCAGATACCTCAATCTCCAGAGTCGGCTGCAGGCACTGAAATCCCCAAGGCTTAGGCATTCATTTTTTAGCAAATACACCCCTTAAATGGGTTAGGAATCTGAGTATACCTGTTACAAATTTCTCTGTAATGAGGGTGCTGCTTTTTGTGGTTTTTATCATCTCTGATGATAAACCTCAAGTTCCTCCTCCCTTGGGAGCTGGTATATTACTTTATCTCATGATATAGAAAATCCTAAATAAATATTCCAACTTGATGTAGGTGTATTTATAGAAGGAAAAGAAAAAAGGACACTTTCTATAGTTTCTCTGAGAGACACTTGCCTTGTTTTGAATAACCAAATTAACAAAAAGGATACAGATATTCAGGGTCAAAATTGGTTGTCTTTGGAATTAGTCTCATTGCTTATTTTAAATATCTTGATATGTGACTTTTATTTACTTGAAGGTAGGCCCTGAAAAATAATAGTAGATATAATAGTAGTAAACCCTTATATGGAGTTCACTGCTCTAAATATCTTATGTATATTAATTCAGTTATCTTTACCATAACATTAGAAGATAGATACTATTATGAACTTCATTTTACAACTGAGAAAAATGAGACACAGAAAGTTTAAATAAGGTGCCCAAGTTCACTCAGCTAAGTGTCAGAAGTGAGATATAAATCCAGCTTATAAGACTCTAGAGTCTATGCCATCAATGCTGTGCTATGTATCCTCTATCCTGACTTGTCACCTCTAGATTGAGTTCATTATAAACTGACAAATACGCAAATAAAATCTAGGCTATTAATTTGAAAACATGCATTTTTCACATGCCTGAACTTAACTAGGATGTTCCAAATCGTGTTGTGTATGGATACATATTAGGCAGTATTATAATAATAACATATTGAAAACTTACTAGATGCCAGAATTTGTTGAAATTGGTTTACGTGTATTAGCTATTTAATCCTTACAACACTGAGGTCATACCGTTATTCTCATTTTGTAGATGAGAAATTCAAGGCGTAGAGGGGTTAAGTGGCTATAATAATGTTATGAATTATTAGATAATATGCCATATTATATACTTATGAAATGATATGTTTTAAAAATACTTTGAAATATTTAAAGCACATGAAAAATAATGCACGCTACTTATTCTTTATTCCAAGCATTCAAGACACATGATTAATAGGCAAACGTAGCTTTTATTAAAAATTCCAAATCTCAGAGTCTCCAGGATCTTTTGAAGTATTTATTATTCAATAGAAACTTGATACTGAAGTTAAAATGCAACAATTCCTAAAGCTAAATTTAAATGGTAGAAATATAATAAGCCTAGAAGGTCCAAAGAAATACAGGCATACCTCAACAGCGTTGCAGGTTTGGTTTCAGACCACTGCAACAAAGCAAATATTTCAATAAAATGAGTCATACGAATTTTTTGGTTTTCCAGTGCATATGAAAGTTATGTTTACACTATACTGTGGTCTGTTAAGTGTGCAGTAGCATTATGTATAAAAACAATGTACATACCTTAATTTATTGCTAAAAATACTAATCTTCTGAGCCTTCAGCAAGTCTTAATATTTTTGCTAGTGAAGAGTCTTGCCTCGGTGTTGGCTACTGATTGATCAGGGTGGTGGTTGCTAAAGGTTAAGGTGGCTGTGGCAATTTGGTAACATAAGAGACCAATAAAGTTTGCTACATTGATGGATTCTTCCTTTCACAAAAGATTTTTCTGTAGCATATGATGCCATTTGATAGCATTTTACCCACAGGAGAAGGCCTTTCAAAATTGGAGTCAATCCTCTGAAACCCTATTGCTGCTTTATTAACTAAGCTTATGTAACATTCTAAGTCCTTTGATTACAGTTAAACAATGTTCATAGTATCCTCACCAGGAGTAGATTCCATCTCAAGAAACTGCTTTCTTTGCTTATCCGTAAGAACCAACTTTTTGTCCATTCAAATTTTATCATGACATTGAAGCAATTTGGTTACATCTTCAGTTTCTACTCCTAATTCTAGTTCTCTTGCTACATCCACCATATTCGCAGTTACTTCCTCCATCAAAGTCTTGAACCCTCCAAAGTCATCCATGAGAGTTAGAATTAACTTCTTCCAAAATCCTGTTCACTTTGACATTTTTGACCTCCTAAGAATCACAAATGTTCTTAATAGCGTCTAGAATAGTGAATCCTTTCCAGAGGACTTACAATTTATTTTGCCCAGATCCATCAGAGGAGTCACTATCTACGGCAACTAGAGCTTTACAAACTGTATTTCTTAAATAATAAGACTTGAAGGCAAAATTACTCCCTGGTACATGGGCTGTAAAATGGTGGTCGTGTTAGCAGGCATGACAACAACACTGATCTCATTATATATCTCTATCAGGCTCTTGGATGGCCATGTGAATTGTCAATGAGTAATATTTTGGAATAGATTTTTTTTTAAGCAGTAAGTCTCAACGGTGGGCTTAAAATGTTCAGTAAATCACACCGTCAACAAATGTGCCATTATCCAGGCTTTATTGTTGTATTTACAGGGCACAGGCAGGGCAGGTTTAGCATAATTCTTTTTTTTTTTGAAATGGAGTCTTGCTCTGTCACCCAGGCTGGAGTGCAGTGGTGCGATCTCAGCTCACTGCAAGCTCCGCCTCCTGGGTTCACGCCATTCTCCTACCTCAGCTTCCTGAGTAGCTGGGACTACAGGCGCCCGCCACCACGCCCAGCTAATTTTTTTGTATTTTTAGTAGAGACGGGGTTTCACCGCATTAGCCAGGATGGTCTCGATCTTCTAACCTCGTGATCCTCCCGCCTTGGCCTCCCAAAGTGCTAGGATTACAGGCTTGAGCCACTGCACCTGGCCAGGTTTAGCATAATTCTTAAGAGCCCTAGGATTTGCAGAATGGTAAATGAGCATTGGCTTCAGCTTAAAGTTACCAGCTGCAGTAGACTATCAGCACGGCCTTTGAAGCTTTGAAGCCAGGCATTGACTTCTCTCTAGCTATGAAAGTCCTAGATGACATGTTCTTCCATCTTCATCAATGTGGGTGAAGGTTGTTTCATCTACATTGAAAATTTGTTGTTTAGTGTAGCCACCTTCCTCAATTATCTTAGCTAAATCTTGACAACTTGCTGCAGCTTCCACATCAGCACTGGCTGCTTCACTTTGTACTTTTATGTTATAAACACCAAACTCTGATAGCTTCAAACTTTTCTTTTGCAGCTTTCTCACCTCTCTTAGCCTTCATAGAACTGAAGGGAGTAAGGGCCTTCCTCTGGGTTAGGCTTTGGCTTAAGGGAATGTTGTGGCTGGTTTGATCTTCCACCCAGACCACTAAAACTTTCTCCATATTAACAATGAGGTTATGACATTTTCTTCTTATTCACATGTTCACTGGAGTAGTGCTTTTAGTTTCCTTTGAGAACTTTTCCTTTGCATTCACTACCTGGCTAACTATTTGGTGCAAGAGGCATAGATTTTGGCTTATCTCAGCTTTTGACATGCTTAATCATTTACTAGTTACTTAGCTTAATCATTTCTAGCTTTTGATTTAAGATGAGAGACATGTGACACTTCCTTTTACTTGAACACTTAGAGGCCATTGGAGAGTTATTATTGGCCTAATTTCAATATTGGTGTGTCTTAGGAAATAAGGAGGCCTTTGGAGAGGGGGAGAGATGAACAGGGGAATGGTGAGTTGGTAGAACAGTCAGAACACACACAACATTAATCGATTAGGTTTGCCATCTTATAAGAGTGTGGTTTTTGCACCTCAAACAATTAAAATAGTCACACCAAAGATCAATAATCACAGATTAACATAGCAGACAAAATAATAATGGAAAAATTTGAACTATTATGAGAATTACGAAAATATGACGGAGACATGAAGTGAGCACATGCTGCTGGAATGGAGCCGATAGAATTGCTTGATACTTTGCCAATAGACTTGCTTGAAACTTTCATTTTGTAAAAAATGCAATCTCTGTGAAGTGCAGTAAAGTGAAGCACAATGAGTATGCCTGTCAATAATTTGCTTTGACAACATATGAAATATCTGTTGAGTAACTTAGAAGTTTAAACTTTCTCCCCATATTAAATGTCAGGATGTTCAGGTTTCAACTCGGAACTTACTTTCTTTACTTGTAAATCCACAAGTTTTCCCAGAGAATGTGTGATTAGCATTTGGAGAAGCTGGTAAGTTGGTAGTGAATTGTAATAATCTCATTCTCGTGTTTAATTGAGGCAAGTATGTGTTGTCATAGAGGCTTGGTTTTTAAAATTTGTCTTTGTTGTTGTTAGTATATTTGTTTTTGCTTTTCAATTCCTTGTTTTATTAATTGAACAAGCATTTTATAGCTTTTAGGGAGTAATGAGCTCCTCATGACTGAACTGGACTGCTACATCCAGTGAGATCACTCTTAACAGCTCCTACCAATCATGAGTTTTTATTGTCATGCTCAGACACTTATGTAATATAAATATGATATTATTTATAATACCGTAAGAGTCCAAACATTTCTTCTCAGTGGATTAAATCAGTTAGTTCTGATGAGCAGTAGACAGTCCCTGAGACTAGGGTGTTCCTGACACTGGTTCAAATCATCCTCTGGTCTGTTATTTTCAGGGTTGAGAATTCTCTGATTAAATCCTTACATTTGCAAGGAACACAGGAATTTTTTTGTGTTGGTCATCCCACACACCCAGTGAACAGATTAGCTCTCCATCTCAGCTCCCCTGAAGCTCTCTTTTATGCTGTAAGAGGGCAGAGATAGCAAAAATATGCTACTCTCCATAATTTAAGTTTCAAATCAGACTCTCTGTGAATGGCTGATTGTTGAAGCTCGTTAGTATAACTTCGGTCAGGCCACCTAAATTGTCATCGTTTCTTGACTCTTTTCCTAATTTATGCAAACTTGCACCTTACTGCATTTTCTCTTTGTCTTAACCACTGTGTTTCTGACTATTGGGTATTGAGAGTGAGTACTCTTCAGTGGACCAAAGTCAGCTCACCCCATAAGCTATGGTCTCCAACTTTAATCATCTACAGAGTCCTTCCCCTCTCTAGAGAATTGTGCATACCCAACAACCTTAGACATCCACAAAAACAACTAAGGCTAGGAGCAGACAACTTCAATCCTATTAGAAACATTCATGTATTCATTAATTCCACAGCACGTACTGAGCACTTGTTTTATCTCCGGTCCATTTTAGACACTGGAGTAACAAATGAAAAGACACAATTCCCAGCCTTAAGAAGCTCACAGCCGTAATGCTGGTTATGCTGCTCTGGGGTTCTATGATCCAAATTTCTGTTTCTTGCTTTTTTTGAACTCCGCTCCTTACCTGTTTCCCTCAAGGCCAGTCTGAGTACCCTCCATGTTCTTCCCATGGTTATACATGCTAGCAGACCTCACTATCTCAGTCTCTCTCTCTCGCTCTCTCTTTTGAGGCAAAGTCTGGCCCTATGATCCAGACTGGAGTGCAGTGGCACAATCTCACTGCAACCTCTGCCTCCCGGGCTCAAGTCATCCTCCCATCTCAGCTTCTCAAATAGCTGAGACTACAGGCATGCACCACCATGCCTGGCTAAGGGTATTTTTTGTAGACATGGGGTTTTGCCATGTTGCCGAGGCTGGTCTTGAACTTGTGAGCTAAAGCGATTCACCTGCCTTGGCCTCCCAAAGCTGGGATTACACAAACCTCTCTGATGTATTTATTGCCTGGATTTCAGTATACCAACCATAGCCCATGTACTTACTTAGACTTCACACATGGACTTTTTCCTCCATTTGGGCTGGTGTCCTTGGACACAGACCTTCTTGGACTCCATATCACACCTTCCCTTTCTTTTGACTTACCAACCTACACTGACCTGTGCTTTGGCACCAAAGGTATGGTTCTAACAATACACCACTTTCTTAGTACCAACCCATGCTCTGATTGAAAATGCTTTCCTAAGTGCTGTGCCTTCTGGCGTCCCCCCAGCTTCCTGCAGTTCATGGGTCCCCTGATGTTCTGCTTGCCATTTCCCAAGACCTGGTACTAACAGCAATTGCCTCCGGAATACAAGAAAAGAAAAAGAAAACAAGCAGCTCTTCAGGGCAAAGTTATGCCTCCAGGTCAGAGGGAAGGCAGTAGGCTTGAATAATCTTGCAATATTTCGCTGCAACAAAACTAGGACAAAAACATCTGACAGTGTCAGATTTATATATCAAAAATGCAGACATCATTAGTAATTTATGTTATTTCTACTCACTAAGGAGCAATATTGCTTATTAGGAGACCTTAGAAATGTCATAATACAGACATGTAAATTTTATGAAATCTGGGCATAGCCAACAGGCATACAAAATAGGAATGTTGTAGCGAGATTTAACTTTTGTAGCCCAGCTGCCTATTTTTTAAAAAGTGCCCGCACCCGAATGAATGGTCCATTTTACTAATACACGTTTACCAATAGATTTTGTGAAGAACAACCCTCCTTGCCTACTTCCCAAAACAAAAGCACCAAGGCAGTTGTTTGACATATTTCTATTCATCACAATTAATGTCAAGGTGAAATCTTATGTTATTCAAAAGGTCATGTGTTATAGGCAGTTCCCAGTTCACAAATGATTTTTGTTTACAAAATACCATTTGTAGGATTTATAAGTAATATACACAAAATTAACTCAGAATGGATAATAGACCTAAATGTATGAGCTACAACTATGCAATTCTTAGGAAAAAAAAAAAAGAAAACTAGCCTAGCAGTTCTTCAGGGCAAAGTTGTGCCTCCAGGTCAGAGGGAAGGCTCCTGGGTATCTGAAAGTGACTGAGTGGCTGCTCTGCCAAGACTCCACTTAGCTCTGTGTGTCAGACAGAGATTTATTGGAAATAAAACTTTATGACCTTGGGTTTGGCATTGGTTTTTTAGGTGTAACACAAAAAACACATACAACAAGAGAACAAATGAATACATTAGGCTTCATAAAATTAAAATATTTTGTGCTTTAAAGGACAACACCAAGGAATTGAAAAAGCAGTCAACAGAATGGGAGATTATATTTACAAACGTATATATGGTAATGGATTTGTATCTAGACTATATAAACAATTGTTACAACTCAATAATAAAAGGTCAAATTTTTCTATTTAAAAATGAGCAAAGTTCTAAGTAGACATGTCACCAAAGAAGACACACACATTGGGGAGGTGGCCAAGATGGCCAACTAGAAGCAGCTAGTGTGCATGGCTCTCATGGAGAGGAATGGAAGGGGCAAGTAAATACAGCACCTTCAACTGAAACATCTAAGTACTAGCACTGGGACTAATCAAGGAAACAACTTGACTCATGGAGAATGGAGAAGGCAAGAGGGTGGCCCACCCAAGAGGGACATAGAGCCAAGAGAACCTTCCCTACCCAGGGAAGTAATGAGTGAATGTGTGACCCTGGGAACCCACACTTCTCCCATGGATCTTTGCAGCCCTTAGGTCAGGAGATCCCCTTATGAACCCACTCCACCAGGCCCTTCAGTCTGACACATAGAGTTACATGGAGTCTTGTCAGAGCAGCCAGTCAGCACTTCCAGAGACCTGGAAGCCCTAGATTCTCAGGCTATCTGGGCTTCCTAGGAAAAGTAGCTGAAACTCAGGCAAAGCGGGAGGATAGACCCCATATATACCCCTAGGAAAGAGACTGAATCCAGGGGGCTGATGAGCTACAGTCTGCAGGCCCCGCATCCACGGCCATCTCACAGGATAAGACCCACTGGCTTGGAATTCCAGCCAGCCACCAATAGTAGCTTTGCACCTTCCTGGGACGGAGCTCCCCAGGGAAGGGGTAGGCCACCATTTTTGCTGTTTGAGTAACTTAGCCTTTCCAGCCTTTGGGCTTTGGAGAGTCCAAGCTGACCCGAGTCTGAAGTGGACCTCTAACACAACACAGCTTCCCTACAAAAACATGGCAAGACTACATTTTCCAGCAGGTCTCCAATCCCATTCCCCGTCACTTGGTGAGGCCTCCCAACCAGGGTCTCCAGCTACCCTCACCAGTGTTTCCTGGCTGACAGAGATTCAAACCTCACTGGGATGGAGTTTCCAGAGGAAGGGTGGACCACTGTCTTTGCTGTTTGGGTGGTTTTGGAGTGTCTGAGGTGACTGGGAGCTGAAGCAGAGCCCCAGCACAGCACAGATGCTCTATGAAAACATGGCCAGTGTGCTTTTTAAAGTAGGTTCCTGATCCTCTTCCTCCTCAGTAGGTGGGACCTCCTAACCAGGGTCTCCAGCCACCTCCTACAGGCACTTTTGGGCTGGCAACAGGCCCATACCTTCCTGGGATGGAGCTTCCAGAGGGAGGGGCAGGCTACTGTCTTTGCTGTATTGCAGCCTTTACTGATGATATCTCCACTTACTGGAAAATTCAAGGCAACTAGGAACTGCAGAGGGACCCCAGCATACCACAGCAGCCCTATGGAAAACTGGCCAGAACAAATGGGTGCCTATTCCCACATCTCCTCACTGGGCAGGTTCTCCAGGGCTTCCAGCCACCCACTGCCAGAGCTATTGAGCCAGTAGCAACTCAGCAACTCCCTGGACAGAGCCTCCAGGGGCAACTGAAAGCTTCCCTGCCACTGCCTCTGCAGTAGAACTGCCCTTGCTGCCCTCAGACTAATGAAGGAACAAAGGCTTTAAGTGCTTTATCCATACCTCCAACAGGCTGCAGTCAGTTTAAGAAGAGGAGGTCAGTCCATCTTCCATCTTTCGGGTGGAGCCCTCAGGAGACAAGCAAAAGACCCTTGGTCAAAACCACTACTAAGGTCCCTTCCTCTGCTGCCTCTGAGATGGGGAAGAATCATAAATGCTGAGATCATCCCAGAGCTACAGTGGGCAGTCCAGGAGTGACAAGCCGTGATCTACAGTCAGCACTTAAGGGGGAGAGGAAGCCACGTTCCCAGAGGATTGAGAGGAAATATAGCTGCCACTGTGGGGAACCATAGGGGAGCTACACAACTGAGTGAGTCTACCAACTGACCCGTAAGCCTAAATGCCACCTACTGGATCACACCACAAAGCTTCAACTTAAAAAAATGCCTCACTAACATACCCCCCTGTGAAACCAGAGACAAGAAATCAGCTTCAGATAGAGACCCTGCACAAGGCCTCAGCCAGGTGAAAACATCCAGAAGTCTATTGACTGTAATCAATCTATACTACAGTTAAAGGAACACCCATATGCAGAAATGAGAAAGAACGAATGCAAGAACTCTGGTAACTCAAATGACCAGAGTTTTGTATGGCCTCAAAATGACTGTACCAGTTCTCCAATAAGAACTGGCTGGGATAACAAATAAAATTTAGAATATGGATAGGAATGAAGATCATTGAGATTCAGGAGAACAGCGAAACCCAATCCAAGGAAAATAAGAATCACAATAAAGCAATATAGGAGCTGAAGGACGAAGTAGGTGGTATAAAAAAGAACCTAACAGGTCTGACAGAGCTGATCAACACAATGCAATAATTTCACAATGCAGTCACAAGTATTAACAGCAGAATAAACCAAACTGAAGAAAGAATCTCAGAATTTGAAGACTAGTTCTCTGAAGTAAGACAGACAAAAATAAAGAAAAAGGAATAAAAATGAAAGAACAAACCCTCTAAGAAGTATGGGATTACGTAAAGAGGCCAGATCTACACAAATCATTGGCATCCCTGAAAAGGAGAGGGAGAAAGCAAATAACTTGGAAAACATTTCAGGATATCATTCACGAAAACTTCCCCAACCTTGCTAGAGAGGCCAATAGTCAGATTCAGGAAATACAGAGAATTTCTGCAAGACTCTATACAAGATTATCTCGAAGACACATAATTGTCAGATTTTCCAAGATTAAAATGCCAGAAAGAATGTTAAAGGCAGCTAGAGAGAAAGGGCAAGTTACCAACAAAGAGAACACTATCAGGCTAACAGTAGATCTTTCAGCTAAAGCCCTGTAAGCCAGACAAGATTGGGGAGCCTATATTCAACATTTTTAAAGAAAAAAATCTTCAACCAAAAATTTCATGTCTAGCCAAACTAAGCTTCCTAAGCAAAGGAGAAATATCCTTTTCAGATAAGCATATGTTGAAAAAGTTCATTACCACCAGACCTGCATTACAAGAGATTTTGAAAGGAGCATTTAACATAGGAAGGAAAGATTGCTACCAACTAATACAAAAACAGTCTTAAACACATAGACCAACGTCACTGTAAAGCAACCACACAAACAAGTCAACACAATAACCAGCTAACAACACAATGACAGGATCAGATTCACATCTGTCAGTAATAACCTTCAATGTAAATGAGCTAACCGCCCCCACTTAAAAGGCACAGAGTGGCAACCTGGATAAAAAAGCAAAACCCAATGGTATGCTGTCTTCAAGAGACACATTTCACACGAAATGACACCCATAGGCTCAAAATTGAAGGATGGAGGAAATCATTTGCTTAGTAAGGTTGTAATTTGATTACTAAGGTTGTAATTTGATTAAAGGTTGTAATCCTAATTTCAGGCAAAACAGACTTCAAATCAACAAAGATGAAAAAAAGACAAGGACATTACATAATGGTAAAGGGTTCAATTCAACGAGAAGATCTAACTATTCTAAATACATATGCACCCAACACAGGAGCACCTGGATTCATAAAGGAAGTTCTTAGAGACCTACGAAGAGACATAGACTTCAACACAGTATCAGTGGGAGACTTCAACACTCCACTGACAGTATTAGACAGATCATTGAGTGTATTGACTGTAATAGGCAGAAAATTAACAAACACATTCAAGACCTGAACTCAACATTGGACCAGATGGATCTGACCTCTATACAACTCTCCACCCCAAAACAAGAGAATATACATTCTTCTCATTGCCACATGGCACATACTCTAAAATTGACCACTTACTTGGACATAGAACAATCCTCAGCAAATGCAAAAGAACTGAAATCATACCAAACACACTCTTGGACCACTGTGCAATAAAAATAGAAGTCAAGACTAAGAAAATTACTCAAAACCATGCAATTACATGGAAATTAAGCAGCATGCTCCCGAATGACTTTTGGGTAAATAACACAATTAAGGCAGAAATCAAGAAGTTATTTGAAACTAATGAGAATGAAGACACAATATACCAGAATCTCTGGGACACAGCTAGGGCAGTATTAAGAGAGAAATTCATTGCACTAAATGCCTACATCAAAACTTAGAAATATCTCAAATTAACAACTTAACATTAAAACAGAAAGATTTAGAGAATCAAAACCAAATCAACCCCAAAGCTAGCAGAAGACAAGAAAAAACCAAAGTCAAAACTGAACTGAAGGAAATTGAGACATGAAAAGCCATTCAGAAGATCAGTGAATCCAGGAGTTGTTTTTTTTTTCAAAAAACATAAAAAACTATGAAAAACAAATGAAATGAAAAAAACTAATAAAATGAAACTAATAGAAAACAGTGAAAAAACTAATAGAAGATTCAAACAAACACAATTAGAAATAATGAAGTGAATGTTACTACTGATCCCTCAGAAATAGAAATAACCATTAGAAACTACTATGAACACCTCTATGCACACAAACTAGAAAATATAGAAAAGATGCGTCAATTCCTGGACATATGCACCCTCCCAAGAGTGAACCTGGAAAGAATTCATTTTCTAAATAGACCAATAACACTCACTGAAATTGAATCAGTAATAAATAGCCTGCCAACCAAAAAAAGCCCAGAACCAGATGGATTCACAGCCAAATTCTACCAGATGTACAAAGAAGAGCTGGTAGCATTCTTACAGAAAAATTGAGGACGGGGGACTCCTCCTCAATCCATTCTATGAGGCCAGAATCATCCTGATACCAAAACCTGGCAGAGACACAACAAAAAATAAAACCTCAGGCCATTATCCTCAATGAACATTGATGCCAAAATCCTCAACAAAACACTTGCAAACTGAATCCAGCAGCACATCAAAAATAAATCCATCACAATCAAGTAGGCTTCATCTCTGGGATGCAAGGTTTGTTCAGCATACACAAATCAATAAACGTGATTCATCACATAAACAGAAATAAAGACAAAAACTGTGATTATATCAATAGACACATAAAAGGCTTTCAATAAAATTCAACACCCTTTTATGTTTAAAGCTCTCAAGAAACTAGGTATTGAAGGAACTTAACTCAAAATAATAAAAACCATCTATGGCAAACCCACAGCCAGCATCATACTGAATGGGCAAAAGCTGGAAGCATTTCCCTTGAAAACCAGTACAAGACAAGGATGTTCCTCTCTCACCATTTCTATTCAACATAGGAAATCCTAGCCAGAACAATCAGGCAAGAGAAAGAAATAAAGGGCATCCAAGTTGGAAGAGAGGAAGTCAAGCTATTGCTATCTGCAGACAACATGATTATATATCTAAAAAACCCAGTCTCTGCCCAGAAGCTCCTTCAGCTGATAAACAGCTTCAGCAAAGTTTCAGAATACAAAATCAATGTACATAAATTACTAGCATTCCTGTACATCAAAAACAGCCATGCTGACAGCCAAATCAGAAAGGCAATCTCATTCACAATTGCAACAAAAAGAATAAAATAGGAATACAGCTAACCAGGGAGGTGAAAGATCGCTATAATGAGATTTACAAAACACGGTTCAAAGAAATCAGAGAAGACACAAACAAATGGAAAAACATTTTATGCTCATGGATATTAAGAAAAAATATCAGTAAAATGGCCATACTGCCCAAAGCAATTTACAGATTCAATGTTATTCCTATCAAACTACCAAAAACATTCTTCACAAAACTAGAAAAAACAATTTAAAAATTTATATGGAACCAAAAAAGAGCCCAAATAGCCAAGGAAATCCTAAGCAAAAAGAACAAAACTGGAGGCATCACATTACCTGAATTCAAACTATACTACAGGGCTACAGTAATCAAAACAGCATGATAATAGCACGAAAATAGACACATAGACCAATGGAACAGAATAGAGAGCCCAGAAATAAGGTTGCACACCTATGACCACCTGATCTTTGACAAAGCTAACAAAAACAAATAATGCAGAAAAAACTTATCTCTAGTCAATAATTGGTGCTGGGATAACTGGCTAGCCATTTGCAGAAGACAAGCTGGATCCCTTTCTTACACTGTATACAAAAATCAACTCAAGATGGATTAAAGACTTAAATGTAAAACCCCAAACCATAAAAACCCTGGAAGACAACCTAGGCAATAATATCCTGGACATAGGAATGGGCAAATATTTCATGACAAAGATACCAAGAGCAATCTCAACAAAAGCAAAAATTGACAAATAGGATCTAATTAAATTTAAGAGCTTCTGCATAGAAAAAGAAACTATCAACAGAGTAAACAGACATCTTACACAATGGGAGAAAATTTTGCAAAGTATGCATCTGACAAAGGTCTGATATCCAGCATGTATGAGAAACTTAAACATCTCTACGAGAGAAAAACAAACAACCCCATTGAAAAGTGGGCAAAGGACATGAGCAGATACTTTTCAAAAGAAGACATAGTTTGTGGCCAACAAGCATATGAAAAAAAGCTCAGTATCACTCATCATTAGAGAAATTCAAAACCACAATGAGACACTATCTCACACTAGTCAGAATGACTATTATTAAAAAGTCAAAAAATAATAGATGCTGGCGAGGTTACAGAGAAAAGGAAATACTTATACACTGTTGGTAGGACTGTAAATTAGCTCAACCATTGTGGAAAGCAGTGGTTTTCTCAAAGAGCTAAAAGCACAACTACTATTTGACCCTGCAGTCCCATTACTGAGTATATACTCAGAGGAATAGAAATCATTCTACCATTACTATAAAGACACATGCACATGAATGTTTACTGTGGCATTAGTCACAATAGCAAAGACGTGACTCAACCTAAATGCCCATCAATGACAGACTGTATAAAGAAAATGTGGTACATATACACCATGGAATACTATGTAGCCATACAAAAGAATGAGATCATGTCTTTTGGGGGAACATGGATGGAGCTGGAGGCCATTATCCTCAGCAAACTAGTGCGGAAACAGGAAAAACAAATACTGCAAGTTCTTTCTTTTAATAATTGGGAGCTAAATGATGAGAACTTATGAACACAAAGAAGGAAACAACAGACTCTGGGGTCTACTTGAGGGTGAAGGGTGGGAGGAGAGAGGAGCAGAAAAGATAATGATTGTGTACTAGGCTTAATTCCTGGGCAATAAAATAATCTAAACAGCAAACCCCCATGACATGAGTTTACCTATCTAATGAACCTTCACATGAACCCCCAAACCTAAAATAAAAGTTAAAAAGAAGATACATAAATGGCGAATAAGCACATGAAAACATGCCCAACATCCTTAGTCATCAGAGAAATGCAAAACAAAACCACAATGAAATATCCCTTCATACATAGTAGGATAGCTATGATATAAAAGAGAGCTAATTAACATTGGTAAGGATGGGAAGGAATTGGAATCCTCATGCATTGTTGTTGGGGGTGCAAAATGGTATAGCTGCTTTGGAAAATGGCCTGGCAGTTCTTCAAAAGGAAATGACCCAGAAATTCCACCCCCAGGTATGTTCCTAAGAGAAATGAAAACATGTTCAAACAAAAACTGGTACATACATGTTAATAGCAGCATCATTCATACTTCAAAGTGCAAGCAGTCCAAATGTCCAACAGCTGCTGAATGGATAAATAAAATGAGGTGTACACATACAATGGAATATTATTGGGCAATAAAAAGGAATTAAGTACTGATACATACTACAGTGTGGATGAACCTTGAAAACATTATGCTAAGTGAAATAAGCCAGACACAAAAGGACACATTATATGATTCAATTTACATGAATTGTCCAGAATATGAAATTTACAGACACAGAACGTGGATTAGTGGTTGCTTGGAGCTGGAAATAGAAATGGGGACTGATTGCAAGTGGAAATTAGAAATCTTTTTGAACTGATGAAAATGTTGGTAATGTTGGGTTTGGTGATATTTGTACAGCTCTATAAATTTATTAAAAAGCATTGAATTATACAATTTAAAAGGGTGAATTTTATTGTGTGAGTTATGTCTCAGTAAAACTTTAAAAATCACATCAAGTAATATAGATTCTACTAAAAATATGATACTGACTAACACATCCTTTAAAACTTGAACTCTTTAAAATATAAATATGGGACTGTATTTAAGAAATGTGTATGCACCTAATAACCTAGTTTCAAACTACATGAAGCAAAAATTAATAGACTAAAAGGAGATATAGACAAACCCATAATTTTAGTTGAAGATTCAGCAATGCAACCTACCTCTGTTAATTGATATTTATAGAGTGTGACACTGAATAACTATGGGATAAACAATTGTTTTGAATGCACATAGCACTATAGGAATTTTTCACTGAATCTAAGAAGTTAAAGAAAAAAAGACAAGAAGAATGAGTGGGAAAATATTTTCTTTTTTTTATTATTATTATGCTTTAAGTTTTAGGGTACATGTGCACGTTGTGCAGGTTAGTTACATATGTATACATGTGCCATGCTGGTGCGCTGCACCCACTAATGTGTCATCTAGCATTAGGTATATCTCCCAATGCTATCCCTCCCCCCTCCCCCCACCCCACAACAGTCCCCAGAGTGTGATGTTCCCCTTCCTGTGTCCATGTGTTCTCATTGTTCAATTCCCACCTATGAGTGAGAATATGTGGTGTTTGGTTTTTTGTTCTTGCGATAGTTTACTGAGAATGATGATTTCCAATTTCATCCATGTCCCTACAAAGGACATGAACTCATCATTTTTTATGGCTGCATAGTATTCCATGGTGTATATGTGCCACATTTTCTTAATCCAGTCTATCATTGTTGGACATTTGGGTTGGTTCCAAGACTTTGGTATTGTGAATAATGCCGCAATAAACATACGTCTGCATGTGTCTTTATAGCAGCATGATTTATAGTCCTTTGGGTGTATACCCAGTAATGGGATGGATGGGTCAAATGGTATTACCAGTTCTAGATCCCTGAGGAATCGCCACACTGACTTCCACAAGGGTTGAACTAGTTTACAGTCCCACCAACAGTGTAAAAGTGTTCCTATTTCTCCACATCCTCTCCAGCACCTGTTGTTTCCTGACTTTTTAATGATTGCCATTCTAACTGGTGTGAGATGGTATCTCATTGTGGTTTTGATTTGCATTTCTCTGATGGCCAGTGATGATGAGCATTTTTTCATGTGTTTTTTGGCTGCATAAATGTCTTCTTTTGAGAAGTGTCTGTTCATGTCCTTCACCCACTTTTTGATGGGGTTGTTTGTTTTTTTCTTGTAAATTTGAGTTCATTGTAGATTCTGGATATTAGCCCTTTGTCAGATGAGTAGGTTGTGGAAATTTTCTCCCATTTTGTAGGTTGCCTGTTCACTCTGATGGTAGTTTCTTTTGCTGTACAGAAGCTCTTTAGTTTAAATAGATCCCATTTGTCAATTTTGTCTTTTGTTGCCATTGCTTTTGGTGTTTTAGACATGAAGTCCTTGCCCATGCCTATGTCCTGAATGGTAATGCCTAGGTTTTCTTCTAGGGTTTTTATAGTTTTAGGTCTAACGTTTAAGTCTTTAATCCATCTTGAATTAATTTTTGTATAAGGTGTAAGGAAGGGATCAAGTTTCAGCTTTGTACATATGGCTAGCCAGTTTTCTCAGCACCATTTATTAAATAGGGAATCTTTTCCCCATTGCTTGTTTTTCTCAGGTTTGTCAAAGATCAGATAGTTGTAGATATGTGGCATTATTTCTGAGGGCTCTGTTCTGTTCCATTGATCTATATCTCTGTTTTGGTACCAGTACCATGCTGTTTTGGTTACTGTAGCCTTGTAGTATAGTTTGAAGTCAGGTAGCATGATGCCTCCAGCTTTGTTCTTTTGGCTTAGGATTGACTTGGTGATGCAGGCTCTTTTTTGGTTCCATATGAACTTTAAAGTAGTTTTTTCCAATTCTGTGAAGAAAGTCATTGGTAGCTTGATGGGGATGGCATTGAATCTATAAATTACCTTGGGCAGTATGGCCATTTTCACAATATTGATTCTTCCTACCCATGAGCATGGAATGTTCTTCCATTTCTTTGTATCATCTTTTATTTCATTGAGCAATGGTTTGTAGTTCTCCTTGAAGAGGTCCTTCATGTCCCTTGTAAGTTGGATTCCTAGGTATTTTATTCTCTTTGAAGCAATTGTGAATGGGAGTTCACTCATGATTTGGCTGTTTGTGTGTTATTGGTGTATAAGAATGCTTATGATTTTTGTACATTGATTTTGTATCCTGAGACTTTGCTGAATTTGCTTATCAGCTTAAGAAGATTTTGGGCTGAGACAATGGGGTTTTCTAGATATACAATCATGTCATCTGCAAACAGGGACAATTTGACTTCCTTTTTTCCTAATTGAATACCCTTTATTTCCTTCTCCTGCCTGATTGCCCTGGCCAGAACTTCCAACACTATGTTGAATAATGTAGGGTCAGTATTGATTGCTCTTGTTTTATTCCTGATATTTATAATTTGTGTCTTCTGTCTTTTTTTCTTAGTCAGCCTGCCTAGATGTTTATCAATCTTATTGCTCTTTTTAAAGAACTAGTTTATTTTCACAGATTTTTCTCTACTGTTTCAATTTCATTGATTTTTTTCTCACATCTTTATTGTTTCTTTACTTTTATTTGATTTGGGTTTAATATACTCTTTCTCTAAGGCAGAAGTATAGGTTAATGATTATAGATACAAGCTTTTGTAATATACACATTAAGTGGTGTATATTTCTGTCTAAACCCTGCTTTAGCTGTATTTCAGAATTTTTGATTTATTGTTTTTATTTTCATTCAGTTCAAAATACTTAAAAATTTCCTTTGAGACTTTTTTGCTTCATAAGTTATTTTAAAATGTATTGTTTAATAGCCAATATTTAGGAATATTCTAGATATCTTTCTAATATTCTATTATGGCCAAAGAATATGCTCTGCTTGATATTTATTGTTGATGAGAAAGGTGTGTTGCAGTCTCCAACTGTAATTGTGCATTTGTCTATTTTTCCTTTCAGATCTGTCAGGTTTGGCCTCATGTAATTTGAAGTTCTTTTTCAGGTACAATGTCTTCTTGGAGATGTGATTTATCCTTGTGCAATATTCCTTTTAATCCCTGGTGATCTTCCTTCATTCTGAAGTCTATTTTGTCTAAAATTAATATATCCTTTGTCCACTTTTACTATGCAACATATGCATAGTATATCTTTCTCTCTTCTTTTACTTTCAACTCTCCCCTCTCTTTGTATTTACAGTGGGTTTCTTTTAGACAGTATATAGTTGGATATTGCCTTTTAAAACCCAGTTTGAAGGCTCTAGGGAAGAATACCTTTGTGTCTCTTCCTAACAGCTAGTGGTTCTTGACAATCCCTGTTGTTCCTTGGCTTGTAGCTGCATCACTCCAATCTTTGCCTCTATTTTTGCATGGCACTCTCATTTGTGTGTGCCTTTATTTGTCCTCTCCTTTTCTTATAATGATGCCACTAATTGTGTTTAGGCCCCACCTTAATCCAGTATAATCTCATCTTAAATAATTACACCTTCGAAGGCCCTATTTCCAAATAATATCACATTCTGGTTAGATATTAATGCTAGGGGAACACTATTCAACCCAATATATTTATCTTAATTTAATTCATTTCTAACATTCTCCATTTCTTTGTATAGATCCAAGTTTCTGACTTACAGTATATTTCTTATACCTGAAAAACTTTCATTAACATTTGTTTAGAGTATATTGTTGGCAACGCATTCCTTCAGTTTTTATTTGTCTGAGAGAATACTTATTTCTCTCAATATTTGAATGATGTCTTCAGGTTAACAGGTTATTTTTTTCTTTTTTCCCATTTAGCACTTTAAAGAGGTCACACCACTTCATTTAGCAACTGTGTAGTTTGTGATGTGAAGTCTGCTGTAATTCTTATTTGTGATGCTGTATTGGTTTTTTTTTTCTCCTACTACTTGTCTCTTCCTTCTCAAATTCCAACTTTGTATATGTTAGACAGTTTGGTACTGTACCATATCTCTTGGATACTCTGGCTTAAAAATTGTTTTTAACTCTTTTTTTCTCCTTGTGTTTGATTTGTGTAATTTCTATTGACCTATTTCCTTCTTCCTTTTGTTTAATTTTTGAGATGAAGTCTCACTCTGTCACTGAGGCTGGAGGGCAGTGGCATGATCTTGGCTCACCACAGCCTCTGCCTCCCAGTTTCAAGAGATTCTTCTGCCTCAGCCTCCTGAGTAGCTGAGATTATAGGTGTCCACCACTGCATCTAGCTATTTTTTTTTTTTTTTGTAATTTTTCATAGAACGTGGTTTCCTTTTTTCTTCTTTTTTTTTTTTTTTTGAGATGGAGTCTCGCTCTGTCACCCAAGCTGGAGTGCAGTGGCACAATCTAGGCTCACTGCAGGCTCCCCCTCCTGGGTTCACGCCATTCTCCTGCCTCAGCCTCTTGAGTAGCTGGGACTACAGGCACCCCCCACCACGCCCGGCTAATTTTGTTTTTGTATTTTTACTAGAGACATGGTTTCACCGTGTTTGCCAGGATGGTCTTGATCTCCTGACCTTGTGATCCACCTGCCTTGGCCTCCCAAAGTGCTGGGATTACAGGCATGAGCCACCATGCCTGGCCTGAGATGGGGGTTTCACCATGTTGGCCTGGCTGGCCTCGAACTCCTGACCTCAAGCGATCCACTCACCTTGGCCTCCTAAAGTGTTGGGATTACAGGTGTGAGCCACTGCGCCCGGCCTCTGTTGACCTATTTTCAAGTTCACCAATTCTTTCTTCAGCTGTATCAAGTTTATTGAAGAGCCTGTTAAATGAATTCTTGATTTTTGTTACCATGTTTTTCATTTATTGCACTTCCATTTGATCTTTTCTTATAGCTTTCACCTCTCTGCTGAAATCAACTATGTGATCTTGCAGATTGGTTACTTTTTCCATTAGGGCTTTTAAGCTATTAATCATTATAATTTTAAATTCCTTGTCTGATAGTTTAAAAATATTTCTCATATTTGAGTTTGGTTTTGATGTTTGTATTGTCTCTTCAGGCTGTATTTTTTCCTACCTTTATTTTTAAGATGGGGTCTCACTCTGTTGCCCAGGCTGGAGTGCAGTGGTGTGATCATGGCTTACTGCAGCCTGAAACTCCTGGGCTCAAGCAATCCTCATGCCATAGCCTCATAAGTAACTGGGACTATAGGCATACACCACCATGCTGGGCCAATTAAAAAAGTATTTTTCAGAGATGTGGGTCTTGCTATGTGTCTGCCTGGAAGCCAGGCTTTGGTGTAAGAATGAGCAAGAAGAGTTGCAGAGTCTGCCTGTTGTTGATAGTCCATGTGCCTCAGGTTAAAACACTTCTGTTTGGTCCCAAAGTGTAGTTTGAGTGCTAAAAACAGATTAAAATGAAATGGTTTATAGCCAAAGATGTTTTGGAGCTTGGAGAAAATCACTGCAGTATTGGTTCACAGAGAGGAAGCCATGTTTGAAGCACTTTAAAGTCTATGTGTGGTGAGGACATGTGAGGATATGGAGTCAATTTGGGCAGGCAGGCTGGATGGTGGAATCATTAATTAAGGCAGGAAATACATGAGATAGAGCAGGTTTAGCGGGAGGAGATAGTGGATTAGATTCAAATAATGTTGAATGTTAGGTAACTGTGGGATCTCCATGCAGAAATTCCTAATAGGTGGTTCAAAATACAGGATTTGGTCTCAGGAGACAGGCTAGAACTGCAGATATTAATTTGGGAGTCATCCTGAAGACAACTGTTGCAGCAACAGGTGTACATAAATTCCATCAAGGAGAATAGATACAGTGAGAGGAGAGGAAGGCTAAGGTGGGAATCTTGTGCTTCTCAATGTTTACAGGAAATGTGGTGAAGAGGTATCCAGGAAGGATTTGAAAATACCACCCTATCTAGGTCAGCTGTAGGCATTGCTTTTCCTAAGTAATTTCCCTAAATAATAAGCATTTCCCTTATTAGTTTCTTATTAGCAATGATTTACAATAAATCAGCACTGGAACTGAGCTGGGAATCTGCATGTACTCCTGGAAATTTCTTATGTGCGTGTTTTATTCTGTCTTCTCTGTTAACTGCATAAACTTCGAGTCATTTGAAAATCAGTGACATGGTTTTTTTTAACTCCTCATATCAAAAAGGTAGATATGAAAATCTCTTTTATAGGTAGCTGTCTAGATGTATTCACAGGAAGAAATGAAATTCCTCATGGAAGGTGGTTCTGTAAGAGTTTACTTTGGGAAACTGATCCAAACACCACCCAGTCTATGGATATCTAAATTAGAAAAGTGAATATAAATTTTCAGGGATTTTCTAAAATAGGGTTTCTGAGGTTGCACACACTACTTATTATAAGCGCCTTGAAATGTGACTTCATATTAGTTGAAGTCAGTTCCTGAGGAACATATTCATGGGGCATTAAAAAAAATCTCTCTATATATGTCTACCTATAACTTTTTTTCCTTAGTTTGACTGGCTAATCTAATTTCTTGTGGGCCAGGGGGATAAGATGGGATAAGTAGTAATGTGAATCTATTTTTTCTTATTCTTTCTTTCTTTTTTTTTTTTTCCCAGACAGGGTTTTGCTCTGTTGGCTCTGTTGCCTGGGCTAGAGTGCAGTGGTGCAATCTTGGCTCTCTGCAGCTTCAACCTCCCAGGCTGTCAGTCCTCCCACTTCAGCCTCCTGAGTGGCTGGGACCACAGGCATGCACCACCACACCTGGCTAATTTTTTGTATTTTTTGCAGAGACGGGATTTGGACATGTTTCCCAGGCCGATCACAAACTCCTGGGTTCAAGTGGTCTGCCAACCTCAGCCTCCCAAAGTGTTGGGATTACAGGGTGAGCCACTGTGCCCAGCCTTATTTTTTCTTATTACTCATCATCCCTGATATAGTTTGGATATTTCACCCTCCAGATTTCATGTTGAAATTTGATCCCAGATGTTATAAGCGGGGCCTAGTGGGAGGTTTGGCTCATGGGGGCAAATCTGTCATGAACAGCTTGGTGCCATCCTTGCAGTAATGAGTGAGTTCTCATTCTATTAGTTCACGTCATGACTGATTGTCAAAAAGCCTGGCATCTCCTCCTCTCTCTCGTTCTTTCTCTCTCGCCACTTTACATGCCAGCTCCACTTCCCTTTCTGTCATGATTGGAAGCTTCCTGAGACCCTCACCAGAAGATGCTGGTGCCATGCTTCTTGTACAGCCTGCAGAACTGTAAGCCAAAAAAAACTCTTTTATTTATGAACTACCCAGCATCAGGTGTTCCTTTAGAGCAATGCAAAAAGGACTGAGACAATCACCACCATCGTCATTAAAATTTATTATTAGCAATCACCACCTATGCATGACACTTTCTGTAATATAATATACACTTGTCCCTTAGAATTTAAATTCGTATTCCTAGGAATAGGTAGCCTCATTGTAAACCCTCTCCTGTACAATAATGACTTTATTCTCCATGATCACATGGAGATAGATAGATTTCATAGAAAAAAATAATTTGAGGGTGATTTTTCTTAGACTGATTCTGTACCAAAAAATTGGCTTTAAAAGAATCTTGCTTAGGCCGGGCGTGGTGGCTCACGCCTGTAATCCCAGCACTTTGGGAGGCCGAGGAGGGCAGATCACGAGGTCAGGAGTTGGAGACCAGCCTGGACAACATGGTGAAATCCTGTCTCTACTAAAAATACAAAAATTGGCTGGGCGTGGTGGCACACGCCTGTAATCCTAGCTACTCAGGAGACTGAGGCAGAAGAATTGCTTGAACCTGGCGGGCGGAGGTTGCAATGAGCCGAGATCACACCACTGCACTCCAGCCTGGGCAACAGGGTAAGGCTCCATCTCAGAAAAAAAAAAATCTTGCTTAATAGTTTCAAAGTATGTTTTTCTTTAATGATTAAATTGATTTTAGTATAATGCATCCAATCAAAACCCAATGAGTTGCTTTGAAAAGATGCAACATTTTTACATACTTGAATTCAAACAGTATTTTTCAAACTGGGTAATGGATAGAAACAAACGTTAGATAATGATAGCCAGCACTAGTTAAATTTATATTATGTGCTAACTTTTTACATGTATTACATCTAAGCTTTTTACATGTATTAACTTATTTGATTCACATAATAACCTATAAGACAACCTACCACACCCATTTTGGAGATAAATAAACTGAAGCACAGAGGGTTTAAGTCATATAATAATTATTAATAGTGATACCTGATAATATCTTATATTTGCAAACTGCTCTATAGTCTGGAAAGCCAATGCATTCTTATCTTTGATTCTGAGAATTCAAGGCATGTGATTAATATGCCAGTACAGCTTTCATTAAAAATTCCAAATCTCAGGGGCTTCAGGAGCTTAAAGTATTTAAATTTCAATAGAAAGTTGGTACTGAAGTTAAGCATAAATAATTTTAAAATGTAAGTATAAACTCTGGAAAATAAGCATGGGGGTCTTAAAAGAGGAATTTTTTTTTTTTTTGCTTTGGCAATAAATGAAATGTTTTGTTGACTAACCTTAAGGGGTTTGTTTCCTCAAAAGAAACAAAATGGGCATAAACTAGAGTAACTGATGTGCTTTTGAAAGTCCTTACAGCACATCAGGGAAACATCTACTTATATTTAATTTCAATAACACAAAGCAATGATTAAAATTTTTAAATCAAATGTTCATGTTGCCCAGTAAATTGCTGATCTACTTAAACCACACACACGCACACGTGCATGCATGCTCTCACACACACACTCAGAATACCAGTATGTAGGACAATTTCTCTAAAAGAAAACCAAATTATTTCAGGTGCTTGTGGTGAAGTTAATTTATTGCCATGAATATATGAATTATTTTCACCTGGCCTAGATTTCTATTTGTAAGCTCTCCCATAATATGAGTGCCTAGAACCAGATGGCATATTCAGAGGTCATTGTGCAGGCCAGTGTGTTCCCAAACTTGAACGTGCATGTAAATAACCTGCAGTTCCAGTAAGTTCCCAGGCAACACCAATGCTGCTGACCCAGGGACCACACTTGAGCGACAAGTGTAAGCTCTTTCCACCTGACAGAGCTACGTTTACCTCTAAAATTAGTAGGTTAAGTCTTGTCTTAATAATTATTTGTCAAGAAAAATTCTCCATTGCATCTCAGAAATTTATTCTAGCATTTAATATTTCTTTCATTGCTTTATATCTCACCTGCACTTCTCCTAGTGTAAAGGAAAAAGGAAAGACAAATTGCTACCTCTTATGACATGTAAGTGCCTTCTAGCTATAAAATTCTTCAAGCTAAGAAATTCTTACTTTCAGCATTTTCCAATAATCTTTCTTTGGTAGTGGCTAGTTTTCAATTCAAACCAATTTAGTTCCTCCATAGGGTCTAGTACAGCTCTGTAACAGGTATTATAAAGAGACCCAAAGGGGAGTAAGACCTAATTCCTGTCTTCAGTAAACAAACAATCTAATGGGAAGGTAAACTACAATATGAGGCAGAGAGCTTTGTGACATTTTGTTTACTTTTAAAATTATTATTATTTTTTTTCTTTACTAATCTTTGGTCAGATAGCCCCTGGCTGAACACTTGTAGGAATAGAACACTCAGTGCTTGCTCAAAGCCCCCAGTTCCATCTTAAATACACATACCTTGAAGTTACAGTCTGAGCCTTTCAATTCTATATGAAAATGTAGCCTGGAGCCTCATGTACAAGCATGCGTTCAATAAATGTTTGATGAGTATAGAAGCACGGTAAAGAACGTCTATGGGATTAGAGATATCAAAAGCTTTTTAAAGACGTAGCACTGTGATGGACCTTAAAGGACTTAAACAGGCAGAAATATGGGGATAATCATTTGAGGTAAAGAGAGCAGAGAAGCAAAGCCATGGAGGCTGGTGCCCAGGATTGGCTCTTTCCTTCTGAGTTGCTCCAACTTTTGGCCCCCTCCTGTTTGTCTCAAATCACATATTCTTTAAAAATTATGAAGGGAGTAACCTAGAGATTTACTTCTGTTAGAGTATGATTTAGGCTTCTGTTTCATTGTTTCCTAAACAAAGATCCAGACTGGTTGACCTCTGAGGTCCCTTCTATCTCAGCAGCCTATGGCGATGATAAAAAGATGACCTTGTTGTTCTCACCTATTCAGCACTGGACAGCTTTCTGGAAAATATGTGATTAGCCAGTCAAGGCCACCTCAAAGTAAGGCACTGTGTTTTCCTATCCTCTTGTACATATTACTAATACCAACACTGTTCATCTTATTAAATACTTGTTGAGCATGTGCTATGTGCCAGCCAGTGTTCATGGATTATCCCATTTATTCTCAAAACAACTAAAAAGTGTAAATACTGTTATTAACCCCATTTTGCAGATAAGAAAACTGAGACTTTAAGAGTTTCTCCTGGTATTCTGAATTCAGTCACATTTTTGACTAATGAGCAACACCCCCTTTTTATAACAGTGTGTGAATATTCAGTTACATGCTTACAACTCTACTTACTTGCTTCATTCCAAGAATTTCTCAGTAATCCACTTGGCATATTGAATTGAAATCTCCACCTTTCTACTTAATTGAAGTGTGTAAATATAAGTATAGAGACCTGATAACTATTCTTTCTTTTTTTTGGTAACATTGCAACTTCTTGTCTCATTAATTGAATTTAGGCTACTTAAGCAAGCATTTTATAATATATAGAGAGTAATGAGATACCTTTACTGGAGATATTCAAATAGAGGCTGGATTGCTGCATCTCCTGCAAAGAAGATTAACTCATGTCTCAAGTGAAGATCTTTTGAGTTGATTCTTATAGTCCTTTTTAGCTCCCATTGTTCTGTCAATGTGAAAACATAGCATTTTTATGACCACGAAAATTTCATATTTCATTAGATCAGATCAGACCAAGTGCATCAGTCGTCTCTTAGCATTCACCTACCTTGTGGAAATCCACTTTTGGTGTTTATGAACATCTTCCAGGAAGGTAAACATTTCGCATGACCAGAAGCCTCCTTGGCTCCAATATTATGTAATATATATGTGTATCCCTTATTTTATGTTATTTATCAAATAGAGATTTTAAAATTTTTTATTTTGGAACAATTATAGAATCACAGGAAAAGTTAAGGAACTATACAGGGAGTCTTGTACTTACATTTCATTTTTTAAATAAAAACTATATAGGAATTTTAAATTTCTAAAGTAGCACATGCTCACTGAAAAATTTCACATAAGTGAAAAATACATAAAATGTAAATGGAATGTCTTCCCTTTCACAGAACACTCTGCTCAGCATCACTGTTCACAGTGTGTTATTTGTGTATGATTGACCAAATAACAGAAACCGGCTTAACAAACAATCCCAGCTTCCTTTCCATCCCTACATAACCCTGTGATTGACAGTAATGATAGCCCCAAATATAATGGTGGCTACTGCTTATTAAGTACTTACGAGGTACCAGGAACTGTACTGGGTGCTTTGTACACACAGTCCCATGTATGTATCACAACAACCTTATATAGTAGGTGTTGATTAAGATTTGTAAGTAAGGAAACTGATGCTTTTTTTTAAAATATACTTTAAGTTCTAGGGTACATGTGCACAACATGCAGGTTTGTTACATATGTATACATGTGCCATGTTGGTGTGCTGCACCCATTAACTCGTCATTTATGTTAGGTATATCTCCTAATGCTATCCCTGTCACCCCACGACAGGCCCCAGTGTGTGGTGTTCCCCACCCTGTGTCCAAGTGTTCTCATTGTTCAGTTCCCACCTGTGAGTGAGAACATGTGGTGTTTGGTTTTCTGTCCTTGCGATAGTTTGCTCAGAATGATGGTTTCCAGCTTCATCCATGTCCCTACAAAGGACATGAACTCATCCTTTTTTATGGCTGCATAGTATTCCATGGTGTATATGTGCCACATTTTCTTAATCAGTCTATCATTGATGGACATTTGGGTTGGTTCCAAGTCTTTGCTATTGTGAATAGTGCCACAGTAAACATACGTGTGCCTGTGTCTTTATAGCAGCAAGATTTATAATCCTTTGGGTATATACTCAGTAATGGATGGCTGGGTCAAATGTTATTTTTAGTTCTAGATCCTTGAGGAATCACCACACTGTCTTTCACAATGGTTGAACTAGTTTACAGTCCCACCAACAGTGTAAAAGTGTTCCTATTTCTCCACATCCTCTCCAGCACCTGTTGTTTCCTGACTTTTTAATGATGGCCATTCTAACTGGTGTGAGATGGTATCTCACTGTGGTTTTGATTTGCATTTCTCTGACGGCCAGTGATGATGAGCATTTTTTCATGTGTCTGTTGGCTGCGTAAATGTCTTCTTTTGAGAAGTGTCTGTTCATATTCTTCACCCAGTTTTTGATGGGGTTGTTTGATTTTTTTCTTGTAAATTTGTTTCAGTTCCTTGTAGATTCTGGATATTAGCCCTTTGTCAGATGGGTAGATTGCAAAAATTTTCTCCCCTTCTGTAGGTTGCCTGTTCACTCTGATGGTAGGGAAACTGATGCTTCAAGTTACCTGGCTACTATATTAGGGACTGGGATTTAACCCATGTCCATCTGACTCTAAAGGCCATACTCTTTCCAATTCCCTGTTCTGCATTCCATAGTTCCATAAAATAAAGAGAGAGAGAAAGGTCCAAATAAGAAAAATACCTACCTCTTTTCAATCTCCTGAGAATTGGTTCAATCAGCAGCAACAACGAAACAAAACAAGTCAAAACTAAAGTTAATGCTAACACTGATCAAATGAATTTCTTGGAATTAAAAAAGGATGAAATTATTGACTTATTTTTCTACCAATTATATTTACCCTATCAGTCTCATGATGAGACCATATAGTATTTATTGGGCACATATTTCTCAATATCTGTGTCTGCCTGAAACATGACATAGATTTGCATTTTTTAACCTGTGTTAACTTTGACAAGAGGGTAACTCTATGGAGATCTCACAGAAAATTGCACTCCTCCCAAGCCTATGCCAGAGGTAGCATAGAGCCACTGGCAAATTCTGAGCCCCCTCTCATGAACACATATGTCAGAGTGGAGAAAGACTGGCCTGCAATGCCCTACCTATGAGGTGCCTTAGGTCCTTGACCCTGGTATCACAGAGCCTGATACTCCCAGTGGCATCCAAGCTGAACGGGGACCCAAAGCTTGGGGCTCAAAGACTGTTCACGAACAACTCAGGTGGAAGTCAGGGGAACAGGAAAGATATAAAATCCAGCAGTTTAGTCAGACCTACAGAGAAAGGTTAAGAAGGGACATCTCAGCTGACCTCTGGAGGACATTTCTGTTCAACCGTTCTGGTGCAAACATCTTAGACACCTGAGGAAAAGAACAGCCTGTTGGGGCATAAATGTGGCGCCATGGCCCTGTAAGAGCAATGGTCCCAATGGAGACCATGTGGCACGTTCTGCTCAGTTCCCAGCCAGAGAGCAGCAATCCTGCTTCTTTCTTTCCCAATCAGTAATCTCTAAGGCAAATGATTGGGGATGAAATTATTTACAAATAACTTTAAATGTATATTTATAATAAAAAGAATCACAGGTAAAGTAAATCATTCGCAAGCTTCAAGCCTTTATTATAGTCAATAAATTGCTTGCAACACACCTCTCCCAAACATCAATGTGTTGCCACATAAAGATGAGAACCCCTGGTTAGCGAATAAATGTTTCCAAATATATGTTTTGTATGAATTTAATCAAATTTCTTTAAACAATTATTTTGTCTGCACCTATTGTTGTACTGTAATGTGTAATAGTGGAAATATATCCCTATGCTTTCTCCCAAAAAATTATTCCTTTCTGTCCTGCTTGTCAAAAATAGAATACTAATACTTTGCATTTTGTATTATGTCATAAAAATTTTTTCACTTATATTATCTCACTTAAATAACTCAGGCATTCCTTAGGTTCTGGAGTGGATAATTTCTAAAGTAAGTTCTACTCTAATTCTATAAGTTGTACTGTTGAAATTTATACACACAGAAAAGATGTTAAAAATACGTCATTACATAAATGTTACCAAAATGGTAATAAAAATATGCACAATATACAGTATGTTATTAAGCGGTAGGTATATCCTGACATTGGGCAGTTTTTCTCAATTGTGATGATAAATAACCTACGTACCACTGAGTCTCACTGAAAGGCTTGGATTTCTGGCTTTGGGGGTGGGGCTTGTACTCCCCACACTACTATGGAAAGAATACTCTTTGGTACAACTGGCTATTGAACTCCATGCATCATGAGGGGGACCTGCCACTCCAGGAGCTGCCTGCAGCGTAGTCATTGCCTAACACAGGAACCAAAAATCCTCTTTGATCACTCTATGATTCCTTCTTCTAGGATGGCCATGTATAAGTGCCTGTGGACTGTCCTTTGGGGACTATCCATCTAATCTCTCTCTAAGTAGATGTTCTGGGACTCCTCCAAGTACAAACACAACTCAAGGGCAGCAGCTTGATTAGAAAGTGTAGAAATGAAGAGCAATTAGTTCTCTCTTGGAATCATTAAGGTCATGGCAGTCATCTTTTCCCAGCATGCAATGAAGAGGTCAGCTTTTTAGCTCTTTGGAGACACTCTGAATGGAATTTGGTACTGGATTTGTTGTCAGGAGTTGTGGTGGCTAAAGCCTGAAAGACAGCCTTGTCCTCCTCCTCGTTAGTGAGTGAAGGGGTATGCATGGATGTGGGCTTATTTGGTTGGATTTTACAACACATGAGGGAGTGTTTTCTGTTTGTTCTGGTGGCCACGGCCATGGGCTTTGCTTGGACCTAGCCTCTTCATGCCACATGCCCCACCAGAGGGATGTGTATCTGGAGCCATGGTACTACAGCACGTCTGCTGTCTCAGCTTCAAGCAGCTCCTAGTTAGGGCTGCCCCCTGCATGCAGTGCATCCCTTATTTCCCACCAGCACCCCTTAGACCTTTGTGGCCCCTGATTTCTGGTCCTGCCATTGCTCATAACCTGGTGATGGCACTGCTTGCTGTGGAGTTCTGAAGGGGAAAAAGGCAGAGCCATCAAATAGCTCTGTAGGGCCTAGATATGGAGAAGGTATAAGTCTGAAAACTTTGCAGTATTTTCCTGCACCGAATTAAGATAAAAACATTAGACAGTGTTAAGAGTTAAGTCACTAAAGCTCAAAAATCCCATAGCAACGGGTTTTCCCATGTGTGAAGAAGTAGCACAGAAATGGAGGTTCTTAAAACCCTTAGGGTCATTATCCTTCAGGGAAATGTAAATCAAAATCGTATTTGATGTAGTGCTTCATACATACCAGGATGGTTATAATAAAAGGCAGACATAACAATAAGTATTGGTGAGGATTTAGAGAAATTAGAAACCCCATCCACTGTTTTTAGTAATGTAAAACAGTGCCACTGCTTTGAAAACTGTCTGGAAGTTCTTTAAAAAGTTAAACATAGATTTACCATATGATCCAACACTTCTTTTCCTAGCTGTACACCCAGGATATATAAAAATATTTGTCTACCAAAAATTCGTACATAAATTTTTATAGGAGCATTATTCATAAAAAGTTAAAATAACCAAAATGTCTATCGAGTGATAAATGGGTTAATAAAATCTGGTATATCTATATGATGGAAATTATTTAGCAGTAGGAAGGAATGAAGTACTGATACATGCTGTCATGTTGATGAAACTTGAAAACATTATATCAAGTGAGAGACGCTAGACATACCCGGCACATATTATATGATTTCCTTTATATGAAACATCCAGAATAGCAATATCCAAAAACACAGAAACAGATTAGTGGTTGTTTAGAGCTACAAAATTGGGGGCAAATAGGGAGTGACTGCTATTTTTTGGGACTGGATAATTAAAATGGGATGACACAGAGAAAGTGGCTGATTGGGTTGGGTTTACACAGAATGAATGTGGCTGTCAGTGCTGTGTGTGTCCCAGAATTGACCAGCCCACACATCCAAAACCCAGTCACCAAACAGAACTTTTCACTCATTAGGAGCTTATATTGAAGAGGGTGGCAAATGGCCACACAGTGGTCATAAGCCATGGCAGCCAGCAAGACACCCTCAGTGCTGGCTCATGATGCAAGGAAAAAGATCTGGGAAAGGCAGCCTTCGTAGGAGATGATCTTCTTCTCCTGGAAGAAGTTCACCAGCATGACCAGGATGATGGTAGACATGTAGCAGATATCCAGGAAGCTCAGGTTACTGAGGAGATAATACAGTGGAATGTGGAGGGCTAAATCTGGTGGCCACCATTATGAGCATATTCTCCCAGAGTGTCAGGTAAATGACCAGAAAGACCAGGAAGAACAAACCTTGTAGGTTGGAGTGGTTGGAAAATACCCAAAAGATGAATTTGGTGACATATGTTTGATTGCTTATTTCAAGTGGTGTCACAGCTACAAAACAAAGAAGAAAGAAACCATACAGAGCCTTGCTCTGTCGCCAGGCTGGAGTGCAGTGGCACAATCTCGGCTCACTGCAACCTCCGCCTCCCAGGTTCAAGCAATTCTCCTGCATCAGCCTCCCGAGTAGCTGGGACTACAGGCGCGTGCCACCATGCCTGGCTAATTTTTGTATTTTTAGTAGAGATGAGGCTTCACCATTTTGGCCAGGATGGTCTCGATCTCCTGACCTTGTGATCTGCCTGCCTTGGCCTCCCAAAGTGCTGGGATTACAGGCATGAGCCACTGTGCCTGGCAAGTAATAAAACAAATTTTATTACAAAAATTTAAGAACATGCAGAAAGCTATAAATAATTCAGTCATCTGCAGAATCAGTCAATACTACCTTTCAGTGTATTTCATTGTAGTTTTTTTTGTTTTACGTAAATCTTGATCTCTATAGCTTTAAAATATTAACAATTTTTCCAGATTGGAAAAGAAGAACTAAAACTACCTCTATACAAGTATGGCATGATCATATATAGAGAAAATATCAAATAATCTTCTGGAAAACTACTAGCCCTAATAAGCAAATTCAGCAAAGTTGCTCACACAACAATCAGTTGTGTGTTTGTATACTAGCAATAGCAATTCAAAAAAGAAATTAAGACACCAATTCTACTTACAGTACACAAAAGAATTAGGTAGTTAGAATAAATCTTACGAAGGAGGTGAAGAACTTGTACTCTGAAAACTACGAAACATTGTTGAAATAAATTAAAGAAAAACCTAAATAAATGGAAATATGTCTTAAGTTCATTGATAGAAAGACTTAACTTTGTTATCACTACTACCCAAAGTGATCTACAGATTCAATGAAATCCATATCATATTCCAGCAGCCATTTTCATAGAAATGTAAAAGCCCCTCCTCAAATTTGTATGGAATTGCAAGGGGCCCTGGATAGCCAAAATAACCTTGAAAAGGAAGAATAAAGTTAGAGGACTCATACTTCCTGGCTTTGAAACTTACAATAACGATACACTAAACTGAAACAGTATGGTACTGTAATAAGAACAGTCATAGACTGATGGGATAGACCAGAGAGCTCAGAAATCAACCTCCACATATATGGTTAATTGATTTTCTTATTTATTTATTTATTTATTATACTTTAAGTTGTAGGGTACATGTGCACAACATGCAGGTTTGTTACATATGTATACATTTGCCATGTTGGTGCGCTGCACCCATCAACTCACCATTTACATTAGGTATATCTCCTAATGCTATCCCTCCCTCCTTCCCCTACCTCACAACAGGCCCCAGAGTGTGATGTTCCCCTTCCTGTGTCCAAGTGTTCTCATTGTTCCATTCCCACCTATGAGTGAGAACGTGGTGTTTGGTTTTTTGTCCTTGTGATAATTTGCTGAGAATGATAGTTTCCAGCTTCATCCATGTCCCTACAAAGGACATGAACTCATCATTTTTTATGGCTGCATAGTATTCCATGGTGTATATATGCCACATTTTCTTAATCCAGTCTATCATTGATGAACATTTGGGTTGGTTCCAAGTCTTTGCTATTGTGAATAGTGCTGCAATAAATGTACATGTGTCTTTAGAGCAGCATGATTTATAATCCTTTGGGTATATACCCAGTAATGGGATGTCTGGGTCCAGTGGTATTTCTAGTTCTAGATCCTTGAGGAATCACCGCACTGACTTCCACAATGGTTGAACTAGTTTACAGTCCCACCAACAGTGTAAAAGTGTTCCTATTTCTCCACATCCTCTCCAGCACCTGTTCTTTCCTGACTTTTTAATGATCGCCATTCTAACTGGTGTGAGATGGTATCTCATTGTGGTTTTGATTTGCATTTCTCTGATGGCCAGTGATGATGAGCATTTTTTCATGTGTCTGTTGGCTGCATAAATGTCTTGAGAAGTGTCTGTTCATATCCTTCGTCCACTTGTTGATGGGGTTGTTTTTTTCTTGTAAATTTGTTTGAGTTCTTTGTAGATTCTGGATATTAGCCCTTTGTCAGATGAGTAGCTTGCAAAAATTTTCTCCCATTTTTTAGGTTGCCTGTTCACACTGATGGTAGTTTCTTTTGCTGTGCAGAAGCTCTTTAGTTTAATTAGATCTCATTTGTCAATTTTGGCTTTTGTTGCCATTGCTTTTGGTGTTTTAGACATGAAGTCCTTGCCCATGCCTATGTCCTGAATGGTATTGCCTAGGTTTTCTTCTAGGATTTTTATAGTTTTAGGTCTAACATTTAAGTCTTTAATCCATTGTGAATTGAGTTTTGTATAAGGTGTAAGGAAGGGATCCAGTTTCAGCTTTCTACATATGGCTAGCCAGTTTTCCCAGCACCATTTATTGAGTAGGGAATCCTTTCTCCATTTCTTGTTTTTGTCAGGTTTTCAAAGATCAGATGGTTTTAAATGTGTGGTATTATTTCTGAGTGCTCTGTTCTGTTCCATTGGTCTGTATCTCTGTTTTGGTACCAGTACCATGCTGTTTTGGTTACTGTAGCCTTGTAGTATAGTTTGAAGTCAGGTAGCGTGATGCCTCCAGCTTTGTTCTTTTGGCTTAGGATTGACTTGGCAATGTGGGCTCTTTTTTGGTTCCATATAAACTTTAAAATAGTTTTTTCCAATTCTGTGAAGAAAGTCATTGGTAGCTTGATGGGGATGGCATTGAATTTATAAATTACCTTGGGCAGTATGGCCATTTTCACGATATTGATTCTTCCTATCCAGGAGCATGGAATGTTCTTCCGTTTGTTTGTGTCCTCTTTTATTTCGTTGAGCAGTGGTTTGTAGTTATCCTTGAAGAGGTCCTTCACATCCCTTGGTTAATTGATTTTAAACATGCATGTCAAGTCTATTCAATGGGGAAAGAACAGTTTTTCCAGAAAATGGTCCTAAGAAAACTATATATCCACATGCAAGAGAATGAAGTGGGGCCCTTAACTTACACTATATACAAAATTAACTCAAAATTGATCAAAGACCTAAATATAAGAGCTAAAACTGTCAAAGTCTCAGAAAAAAATTGGGGACAATCTTCATGTCATTGGATTTGAATTTGGATTATTATTTCATAGAAATAACACCAAAAGTACAGACAACAAAAGAAAAAGTAGGTAACATTTACTTCGTTGAAATTAAGAAAGTGTCATCCAAAGGATGCCATCAATAAAGTGAAAAGACAATCTGTAGAATGGAAGAAAATATCTGCAAATCAGAAATCTAGTAATGCATTAATATTCATAATATAAAGAACTCCTACAACTCAACAACAGTAATAAAAACCAACCAATTCAAATGTGGACACTGGACATAGACATTTCTCCTGAGAAGATATACAAATAAGGGCCTGAAAAGATGCTCAACACCATTAGTCATTAGGAAAATGCAAGTCAACACTACAATGAGATACTAGTTTTTATTTACTAAAATGGCTATAATAAAGAAAATGGAAAATAACAAATGTTGGCAACAATGTGGAGAAATTTTAACCCTCGTGAATTGCTGATGTTAATATAAGATGGTGCAGCTGCTTTAGAAAACATTTTGACAGTTCCTCAAAAAGTTAAACATAGAACTACCATATGATCCAGCAATTCTACTCCTAGGAATACATCTGAAAGAATTGAAAGCAGGTACTCAAACAGATGTTTGTACATCCCAGTTCATAGCATCCTTGTTCACAATTGCCAGAAATAACCCCAGTGTCCATCAGCAGATATAAAATGTGTATACATACAACGAATTGTTATTTAGCCATAAAAAGGAATGAAATTTTGATATATACTACAACGTGGATAGACCTTGAAGATATTATGCTAAGTAAAATAAGCCAGATATAGAAAGATAAATATTGTATTTGTACTCCACTTACATGAAATACCTGGAACACGCAAATTAATGGAGACGGAAAATAGAATAGAGGTTACCAGGGGCTTGAAGGTGAGTTGAAATGGGGAGTTACCGTTTAATAGGTACAGAGTTTATGTTGAGGACGATGAAAGAGTTTTGGTTATAGATAACAGTGATGGTTATACAATATTGTGAATGTATTTCATGCCATAAAATTGTACACTTATAAATGGTCAACTAATAAACATATGTATTTTACCACAATTAAAAATAAATGACAAAAAGTTATGAGCTTCATTTCTTAGGGATGCATTGTATTTCATTATATGAAATAAACTTCATATCTCCTTTTTGGTTAAACATTCAGGTTGTCTCCATTCCCTATGAATGCTGTAATTTCGCACATAAATGTGAGCATCTCTGATTATCTCTTCAGAATAAAAATTTAAGACTCTGTTTTGAAATATACTAATTTTTAAAAATCACTTGGGTCATTTATCTTTTCAGAGTTTAAAAGGTATAACAATTTTAAACATATGTACTTAGATATGTTACCTTATTAAATTGTATTAATCCAAGATTTATCCTCAGCCCAACATTACATATTTCTTGAAAAAAATTGATAGAATTACCCACTTTCTATTAAGCTATCCATTCTAATAAGCTCACAACCATTTTTATGAACTGTAATTTTCTCATCTTTTTCAATCTTAGAGAGGAGGTGATATGTTGGAAAGAGTGGGCTCTTGAATCAGATAGATGGGGATTTTTAAATCCTACTTCTACTGCTTACTAGGTGTAGATGGTGGATAAGTTAGCTGACTTCCTGGTTCTTCAGTTTGTTCATTGTATTCTGATATTATTCATGCCTATATCAGAGTTGTTGGAAGAAGTAATGTGATATAAAATAAATAATGTACCTGGTACTTCAGAGGTATTCAATCAACTGAAGCTGTCAATGCTATTATTTTGTAGTCCATGTAAAATATTTCAGGATAAAATATTTTGTTCGACTCTACCTTCCAAATTTTACAAATACTGTCATTTCTCACCACCATCACTAGTGATACCCCAGTCCAAGTCACCATTTTGTCTTGCCCAGACTCCTGCAACAGACATGAACAGGGACTTCACAAAATAATATATTTAAATGCCAATAACTTAGGAAAAGATGCATCAACATCAGGTAAATGCAAATTTAAACAATGTGAAATAGGAGCACTTAGGATATCCTTACCTCATTCCTGATCTCAGGGGAAAGCATTCAGTATTTTACTATTTTACTAGCTGTAGAGTTCTGTTCAGATGTTATTTTATTTTATTTTTTAAGTTTAACTTTTATTTTAAGTTCAGGGATACATGTGCAGGTTTGTTACATAGGTAAACTTGTGTCATGGGGGCTTGTTGTAGAGAGTATTTTGTCACCCAGGTATTAAGCCTAGTATCCTTTAGTACGGATCCTCTTTTTTCCTGATCTTCTTTCTCTTCCCACCCTCCACTCTCCAGTAGGCCCCAGTGTCTGTTGTTCCCATCTATGTGTCCATGTGTCCTCATCATTTAGCTCTCACTTAGAAGTGAGAACATGTGGTATTTGGTTTTCTGTTCCTGTGTTAGTTTGCTAAGGATAATGGCCTCCAGCTCCATCCATGTTCCTGCAAAGAACATGATCTCATTCTTTTTATAGTTTCATAGTATTCCATGGTGAATATGGATCACATTTTCTTTATGCAGTCTATTATTGATGGGCATTTAGGTTGATTTTATGTCTTTGCTATTGTGAATAGTGCTGCAATGAACATATGCATGCATGTGTCTTTATAATATAATGATTTCTATTCCTTTGGGTATATACCCAGTAATGGGATTGCTGGGTTAAATGGTATTTCTGTTTTATATGCGGCCAACAACCATGAAAAAAAGGCTCGACATCCCTAATCATTAGAGAAATGCAAACCAAAACCACAGTGAGATACCATCTCACACCAGTCAGAATGGCTGTTATTAAAAAGTCAAAAAATAACAGATGCTGGCAAGGTTGTAGAGAAAAACAAACACTATTGGTGGGATTGTAAATTAATTCATCCATTGTGGAAGACAGTGTGGCGATTCCTCAAAGACCTAGATGTTCCTTAAAAGTTAAAGAAGTTACTATCTATCTCTTCTTTACTAAGAGTTTTTATCGTGAATAGGTATTAAATTTTGTTAAGTGATTTTTCTGGATCTTTTGAGATGTATTTTCTTATAATCCTACTTCTGGGACTCAACTTGTGTATGTGTTAGATATTGTACAATAGCTGTCTGATACTCTGGGATTTTCTTTTTGTTTTTTTTTTACTATTATTTGTCTTTGTGTTTTGGTCTGATGATTTCTTTAACATATTTTCAAGTTTACTGATTCTTTTTTTAGCTGATGAACCCATAAAAGGTGTTCATCTTTATTTCTGTTTTTTTTTATTATTTTAGCATTTTCATTTGATCTTTCTCATTGTTTCCATCTCTCTGCTGAAATTACCTGTCTGATCTTGCATGTTGCTTACTTTTCCTCCACATTCCTTAACCTGTTAATCATAGTAATTTAAAATTCCCTGTCTCATAGTTTTCATCTCTCTTTAACATCTTAGTCTGGTCTGATGTTTGCTTTGTCTCTTCAGACTGTTATTTTCTTACCTTTTTGTATGCTTCATAACTTTTTGCTGAAATTACAAATGTTATATAGGACAGTAGAGAATTAGGTAAAAACATTTTTTTTTTTCGCTTAGAGATGAGTATGTCTCTTCTTCTGCTAGACCTCTAATGTTGGAGCATGTGCTAATCTAGTCAGGGGGTGGGCTGAATTTGGAGTTTGTGTTGAGGTGTTTACCCTCAGTGCGCTGCAGACTTCAAATTTCTCCAGTGATACCTTGTGCTTAGGCCATAGGAAAGTTTGCCAGAGGTTTTTGTTTGTTTTAATTTCTACTCCCTGTTTGTCTTTGGGTCTTCCCTTCACATGGCTAACCCCAGAGATAACACTTTTCTTAAACATTTCGAGATGTATTCCACTATTAATTTTACTCATCGCTTGTTAGCCTGGCTACCAGGGAGGAGGGGGAAGGTGTTCTGTTGTGTTCTGGGTAAGCGTCAGTCTTAGGTATTGTGACTGGGCCTTGGGGCATGATTTTCACAGTGATCCTGCCCTTCTTCCAGCTGTAGTGTGGGCCTAGCACTCATTTCTGCCCCTCCCTGATGGGTCAGACTTTTTGGTCCCTGTCCCTTTCCCAGCTAGAATGAGTTTCCACAGTGTCCTGAGGTGACAGCTTTCTGGTTTTGCTCTGCGGATTGTGGCTTTTGTTCTGCAGGAAAAATATGGGAAATGGGTCACGGAGAAGTTTTGGCAGTGACTGCTCCTCCCCCACCCTTCCCACACTGCAGCATTAGGGAAGCTTTCTCAGAATACTGCTTGGTCTTCACTGTGAGCATCTGGAGGAGTTCATGGTGGAAAAGCAAAAGGGTGCAAACCTTATGTCTGTGGCCCCCAGGGACTTTGCTCACTCCTTAGCAATTAATTAAATTCACAAAAAAGCTATGAGTCTTCTTACCAGTTCTATGGCATCTGATGGCTACTACCTCGGGTTACAAAATGTTTAGGCCGTTTCTCCCTACATGCTTCTAATCTCCCCAGTTTTCTATTTAGTCATTTGCCTTGCAATCTCACTTCCCTGATGGGTTCAAGAAAAGTCATGAATTCACATTATGTCCAGCTTTGTTGCTATAATGCTGGGAGCAACATTCTTCCAGCTATCTAAACCTACGAGTCAAAACTGGAAATCAATTCAGCCTCTTTTGAAAATTATTTGGCAGTTTCAAAGAGTCAAACATAGTTACTCTGTGATTCAGAAATTCCACTTCTAGGTATATACCCAAGAAAAGTAAGTGTATATGCATACAAAATGACTTGTATAAAACTGTTCAAAACAAATTTCTTCATAAAGCACAAACTAGAAATCAGTGGTATGCTTATCAATAGGAGAATGGATACAAAAGTATGGTATATACATATGGAAATACTATACGGTTAATTAAAATATTGATACATCTGAAAACATTGATAAATCTGTGATCTAAGACACCAAAATAGATGCCCCTTTATCAATTAGGATGACCCAAGGGTTAGGAAAACAAAGTTAGTTTCCTTACTAGTCAAGCTCTGGGCCTGGCTGGCCTCACAAATTTCTAAATTCTTACAGCTAAACTCTCTAACAAATCAGAGCAATCAGCTCTGATTTACAGCCCAGACCACTACAACTCCGATTGGATAGAAAACTGGCCTTAACAAACGTTCTTCTCTGATAAGCAATTGCAGGCCCAAAGCCAATTTCACCCAGCTTATAGAGGCTGCACACAGACTGCCTTTGTGCCCTACAGTTTACCTTTCGATGTAGAGTCAAATTTCATCTCATTTTAATGCTAAAGCCCTGCCCCCAAAGTGAACATGGGGTGTATGTTGCATGTATATTTATCCATTATGCATGCACTCAAGTCCCATCATAAATATGTATAACTTTTCTTCCAAACCTGCTGAATATCTATGACAGAGGCCCTGTAAGGCATAAAACCCAACCTGTCCCTACCCTCTTTGGAGAGAGAGACCTTCAGTCCACGATGGAGACTTTCTCTTCCCAGCTTGCAAACAATTACTACCAATAAAGCTCTCCTTTCTACTGTTTAGTCATCCTGGTGGTGTTTTGGATAGCAAACCTAAAATATATTCTTTTAAATGAAAGAAGTTAGACATAAAAGAATTTGTACTGTAGTTTCTATTTAAAGGAAGTTCAAAAATAGGCAAAATTAATCTCTGGTGATAAAGCAAGCATAGTAGTGTTAACACGAAAACCAAACTCTCTAAAATACGTAAGGAGGTTTATTTTGAGCCCATATGAGTGACCATGGGCCAGGGATTGTAGGTAAAATCATAAATCAATACATGAAAGATGTACTGGTTCAGCCTAAAGAGGCAGGATATCTTGAAGTTGGGGCTTATAGGTAATAGGTGGGTTCAAAGAGTTTCTAATTGGTAATTGGTTGAAAGAGGTAAGTTTTGACTGAAGACTTGAAGACAGTAGAAAGAAATGCTTGAGTTAAGGGGGAGGGGCTTTGTGGAGACCAAGGTTCTTGTTATATAGATGAAGCCTCCAGGCAGCAGCATTCAGAGAGAATAGATGGCAAATGTCTCTTTTCAGACCTTAAAAGGTGTCAGACTCTTAATCAATCTTTCCTAGATCCATGAAAGGCCTGGCTGCGGTAATGGAGATTCTCTAAGAATGCATTTTTTTCCCCACAAAAGATGGCTTTGCAGGGTCATTTCAAAATATTTCAAAGAAATATATTTTGCAGTAAAATATTTTGATTTCCTTCAGGGACTGTTATCTGTCACATGATGCTGTCCCAGAGTCATGTTGGAATTTGGTATCTTATAGCAATAAAGAGTCTATTTTGTCAGTCTTATGATCTCCATCTTAATGATAATGCTGGTCAGTTGTGCCTAAACTCCAAAAAGGAGGGAGTATAATGAGATGTGTCCAACCTCCCTTCCCATAATGGCTGGGAATTCAGTTTTTCATGTTCTATGGGATCCCCTTGGCCCAGAGGGTGTCTGTTCAGTTGGTTGGGGACTTAGGATTTTGTTTTTGGTTTATAGTAATTACCCTTCTGAATGACATTGTTTGAAAAGGAGCCTGAAGAAATTTTCTAAACTGACAGAAATGTTCTATATCTTCATTTGGGTAGTGGTTACATTGTTGCATATATAGGTAAAAATTCATCAGCTTGTACACTGAAGATTTTTGCATTTTACTATATGTTAAATAGAATTCACTTTTTAAAAATAAAATAAGGAGGAAGATAAAAGCAAGAGGTGTTTTTCACACAATGATTATTTTAGGATTGGTCAGACCTAAGTCCAGTAAATTACGGGACCTCCTAAATATTTTTCCCTTTTTCTCATCTTTCTACTTCCTCTCTACCAGAATTATAGTTCAATACTTTATCACCTTTTATCTGAGTTATTGCAACTGCCTTTAAATTGTTTCCCTGCCTACAGCCTTGCCCCTTCATGCATATGCAAATACAATTCATTCTCCTCATAATGATTAATTTGGGAGAGTCAGCCTGGTTGGTGGTCCTATGAACCCTGGAACACAGATGAAAAGCCATGCTCACAATGTGTGTGTGTGTGTGTGTGTGGATGTGTGTTTTATTGTGGAGGTAAGCATGTGTGAAAACTCTTTTCCATAAGCAAAAAGATGGCAGGTCAGCATCCCAGGCAATATTGGTGGCAGAAATTTCAAATAAAATAGGCATCTGTCCAGCCAAGGGCAAGAAAACTCAAAAGACTCATGTTGTTCTCATGTTTGTAGGAGAAAGCATCCAGTAGGCCTCAAGATCCTAGTGAACTTTGCTGAGAGCTTTGTTTCTATTAGAGGAAGGAAAACTGCAGAGTTCTGAGCTTTGCTGGCAACCCCGTCACCTACAGCTGTGTCCCCAGTCCCTGGAGATTTCTGCTAGTTGCAGAGAGCTAGTAGGTCAGCCCTGGGTGGTTCCACCAAACCCCATGACTAATCCTAAAGAGCCTGATTATTTTCATTTCAAGCACAAGCTCATTAGCTACCCCAGAAGAGGTAGCAGAGAATCAGCTGCCTTTGGGGAATAACACTGAGATGTGAGGGCTATGTCAGGTCTGCCCTCTGAGCAAAGTCCTTAGAAAAAAAACAGCTGAGTAGTCCTTCAACAGGGGCTTCAGAAAATAATCCCTCCCCTCATGAGGCAGCAGGAAGCCAGGCTTTGGTGTGAGAATGGACCAGGATGACTGCAGAGTATCAGTGATGGCCCGTAAATTACATTTTAGGTAAGGGCAGATTAGAAGCAGGGAGTATATGGAGGTAGATGCCTGGGTTTTAGAAAATCAGTAGCTCTGAGAAACTGATAAGAATCTACAGATCCAGAAATGCATGTGTACCCATGCACAGAATCTTCAATGTGCAGATGGTGCCTGACGTATAATGGCTTGATTCAGAATTTTTTGACTTTGTGATGGCGCAAAAGCTGTATGCATTCAGTAAAAACCATATTTTGTGTACCCATACATACAGCCATTCTGTTTTTCACTTTCAGTACAGTGTTCAATAAATTACATGAGATATTCAGCACTTTATTATAGAATAAGCTTTGTGTTAGATGATTTTACTCAACTGTAAGCTAATGTAAGTGTTCCGAGCATGTTTAAGGTAGGCTAGGCTAAGCTATGATGTTCAGTAGGTTAGGTATGTTAAATGCATGTTTGACTTACGGTATTTACTGCTTTTGAGGGGTTTATTGGGATGTAACCCCATTATAAGTCGAGGAGTATCTGTGATTTCAAAGGGGTCATATAATAAGTCCCTTATAGTCCATGTTCCTCAGGTTAAAACGTCTTTGTTTAGTTCAAGAGAGTAGTTTGAGAGCTAAAACCAGATCAAGTAAAATGGTCTGTAATTGAAGATGTACAGACGTAAAGATGGCTTTGGAGCTTGGAGAAAACCACTAAAGCAATAGTTTGTGGAAAAGGGGCCAAGTTTGAAGCACATTAAAGTCTATGGGTGGTGACGACACCAAATCAGTTTGGGCAGCCTGAGTGGATGGTGGGATCATTAATTAAAACAGGAAATAAATGAGGTGCAACAGTTTTGGGATAGAAGATAGTGGAGATTTAAGTAATGTTGAGTGTTAGGTACCTATGGGATATCCATGTGGAGAGTCTCAACAGGCAGTCAAAAATCCAGGACTTGTCCTCAGGAGACAGGATATACCTATTCTAGGTATAGATTTGAGAGTCATTGCCTTAAAGGTGTCATTGCCTTAAAGGCTGTTGAAGCCATAGATGTACATGGAATCCACCAAGGAGAATAATGGAGTGAGAAGAGAGGGCTAAGGTGGGACTTGTGATCCTTGAAGTTTATAGGAAGTATGGTGTAAGATGCATCCAAGAAGTAGGTTTACTGATACTCAGCACTTCTCTAGGTTAGCTGTAGGCATTGCTTAACAGTAAAGCAACATTCTGTTCGGGCTGGGAATCTGCATGTCCTCTCAGAAAATTTGTATGTAATGTGTGTACTATTGTTTGTTTTCTCCATCAATTACACGGTGACATGCATTTAACTCATGATATGGAAAAGGTTGACACAACAATCTCTTTTATAGGGAGATGTCTAGATTTATTCATAGAAAGAAATAAAATTCTTCATGAAAGGTAGCCACACAAAAAGAAAACAAGGACTGATCTGTGTATAACCAAATTGTAAAAGTGATTTTTAAATGTTTAGGGATTTTTAAAAATATGGTTTCTGAAGCTGCACACACTGCTTATTTTACATGTTTTAAATATGACTTGAAGCCCATTCCTGAGAAACATACTCGTAGAATATAATATATATATTATGTAGAATCAGAACTGTACTAAACTTTTTTCTTCTGATTGGCTAGTCTTTTTGTGGGCCAGGAGGATGAGTGAGGAGTGATGTCTATTTTATTTTCCATATTTTTCATGCTCATACTGTTTGCATAGGACAACAATGGTGAATTATCACCATCATCATCATCATCAAAATCCATTATTAACAAGTGCCACTTATACATAATAGCTTATGTGATACTCTAGATTCTTGCCTCTTGGGATTTATACATACTGTATATGAATAGGCAACCTCAATCTCAAACCCTCTGCCTTATAGTAATGATCTTTTTTCCCACTGATGAGTGAGGATAGATTTCATAGGAAAAATAGATGGAGAATAAGTTTTCTTTGACTGATTCTATACACAAAATTGTCTAGCTTGAAAGAAATCTTGCTGAATTTAGTTTAAAGGAAGTGTTTTTCTTTAAAGATGAAGATAGCTTTATGATAACCTATCCAATCAAAAAACAAAACAAAACAAAACTCAATGAGTTACTTTGAAAAGAAACAACATTTTTACATACCTCAATTCAATTGGGATTTTTCAAACTAAATAATAAATAGAAATACACATTATATAATAAAAGCTAACCTTTAGGGAATGTTTTGTTGACTAACCTTAGTAATTTACTCTCTTAAAGGAAACAGGATGGGCATAAAATAAACCAGGGTAGTTGATGTAATTATGAAAATCCTGGGAACACATAAGAAAAACAGCATATCTATTCTTATTTGATTTCAGTAATACAAGGCAATAATTAAAAAATTTAAATCTAATTTTCATGTAGCCTAGTAAATTGCCTATATACTTAAAACATGGACACACACACAGACACACACACACACACACACACACACACACAAACAAACACTGTCTCTCTTTCTCTCTCTCTCTCAACAATTAATAATAGCATTCAGGAGAATTTTTCTAATAGCAAGTCCAGAAGATTTGAGGTGTTTGTGGCAAAGTTAATCTGTGGCTATGGAATATAAGCTCTTCTTTGCCCCAGGTTACTATTTGTACACTTCCACATAATATGGGCATGAAGGACCACATGAAATATTCAGAGGTTATCAAATAGACGTGTATTTCTCAAACCTTGATGTGTGTGCAAATCAAGAGTATTTTCGTGAAGTGAGATGGATTGAGGTCCCTTTCATCTCAAACAGTCTATACTAATGACGTTAAAGTTTACCTTGTTCTCACCCATTCAGCTTTGGAAAACTTCCTACAAAATTTGTGATTACCCAGTCAAGGCCGCCTAAAAGTAGGGCACTGTGTTCTCCTATCCACCTGCACATATTGCTAACGCCATCACTGTGCCTCCTATTTAATACTTGATGAACATGATGTATGTGCCAGGAACTCTTCATGGATTGCCCCATTCATTCTCAGAGAAACTTGATAGGGTTAGTACTGTTATTAGTCCTGTTTTGCAGATAAGAAAACCGAGGCTTCAAGAGGATGCACTGGTAGCCTAAATTCAGAGCCTTGATTTTGACCACTGAGCAATACCACCTCCCACTTCCTGCTGTATGAATATCAGGTTACCTGCTCACAACTCTACATACTTGTTTCATTCCAAGTACTTCTTGGAAATTCACTTGGCCAAATTGTCAAAAATCAACTTGAACTGAAATTTCCCTTGGGCCTAATTGGCCTGATATCTATTCTTCTTTTGTCTTTTTTAGCCTTGAAACTTCTGGTTCACTAACTGAATGTAAGCTAGATAAGCAAGCATTTTACAATATTGAGAGAGTAATGGGAGTCCATTACTGCAGTTGCTCAAATGTTAGCTAGATCACCTACCAAAAAGACTGACTCAAGTCTCAAGTGAAGATCATTTGAGTTAATTCTTACTGTTTTTTTTTTCAGCCCTGCGATTCAATCCATTGTTCTATCCATGTCATTACACAGGCAAAAACTTGGCATTATTAAGATCATGAAAATTTCATGTTTCATATGACTGGATCAAACCTAACATATAAATGCACTCCTTTGTATTCATCCAACTTGAGAAAATCCCTTTTTAGTATCTATGAACATCTTCTGGAATGGTAAATATTTCACATGACTGAAAGCCTCCTTGGCTTTGGGAGGTCGAGGCAGGCAGATCACTTGAGGCCAGAAGCTCGAGACCAGCCTTGCCAATATGGTGAAACCCTGTCTCTACCAAAAATGCAAAAATTAGCCAAGCATGGTGGTGGGCGCCTGTCATCACAGCTACTCGACAGGCTGAGGCATGAGAATTTCTTGAACCGGGGAGGCTGAAGCTGCAGTGAGCCAAGATCATGCCAGGGTGACAAAGTGAGACTCTGTCTCTCACACACACACACACACACACACACACACACACACACACAAGCCGCCTTGGTCTGTCACAGATAGATAAATACATAGATTCAACATTTTATTTATCATTTACATTTTAGAAAATTTTGAAATACTTATAGATTCACAGGAAGTTATAAAGAAATATATAGGGAAGTTCCCTCATATTTTTAAAATGAAAATTGTTATGGGGTTTAAACATTTTTAAATAGCACATACTCACTGAAAAATTTATCTGAGTCAAAGACATATCAAATGAAAATGAAGTATCTTCACCATCATACCAAAATCTGCCCAGCACCACTATTCACAGTTTGGTGTATGTCCATTCAGTACTTCGTTTACATGCATTTATGACAAAGCAAATAAAAAAAGCCAGCTTCACCAACACTTCCAACATTCTTTGCATCCTTTCATAGCCCTCTTCAAAAGCCCTGGGATTCATGATAACAATAGCCCAAGTATAACGGTAGCTGCTGTTTATTGATGCTGGCTGCTTTGAACACATTATCTCTTATCTATCATAATATAGATTTTATTAGGGTTAGCAAGTGAGGAATTTGATGCTTAAGGCTGTACAACTGCAATTACAAGATGCTAGAATTTAATCCTGTCCATCTGACATTGAAGAACATAATTTTTCCAGTTCACTGTCCTGCAAAAAAAATGTTTTGTGGAATAAGAAATAAAGAGAGGAGCAAATCAGGGAAATATCTACAACTTTTTAATTTCCTAAAAGTTCAAGCAAATTCGCACCAAAAAAGCCACACACTATGAAAAGAAATTACTCATAAGATCAGTTAAACCAAGTTCTTGGATTTATAATTATAAAAATGATTTAAATGATTAGCTATTTTATTTTTCCACCAATTGCCCCTACCCCAAGGGAGCCCCAGCATCATAGTATGTAGTGTTTATCAGGCACGGATTTCTCAACATCTGTCTCTGCCTCGAACATGACATAGATTGGCGTTTCTTAACCTGCGTACTTAGTCTCAGCTTGGAGAGGAGGGTAACTCTATAGGGGTCTCACAGAAAATTGCACTTCTTCTCCAGCCTGTGACCTTGACAGCATAGAACCACTGTCAAATTCTGAGCCCCTTCTCATGAACATGTATGTCAGAGTGGAGAAGGACTGGCCTCCAACGCCCTACCTATGAGAGGTGCCTCACATCCTTGACCCTGGCATCACAGAGCTTGATACTCCTAATGGCATCCAGACTCCCTGTCTACTGAAGCTGAATAGAGACCCAAAGCTTGAGGCACAAACGCTGTTCACAAACAAGTCAAGTGGAAGTCAGGGGAACAGGAAAGATAAAATAATCCAGCACTTTAGTCAGACCTGCAGAGAAAGAAAATTAAGAAGGAACATCTCAGCTGACCTCTGAAGGGCATTTCTGTTCAGCAGTTCTGGTGAAAACATCTTAGAGACCTGAGGAAAAGATGAGCCTGCTGGGGCATAAATGTGGCACCATGGCCCTGTAAGAGCAATGGTTGCAATGGAGACCATGTGGCACGTTCTGCTCAGTTCCCAGCCAGAGAGCAGCAATCCTGCCTCTTTCCCAATCAATCAATAATCTCTAAGGCAAATGATTGGGAATAAAATTATTTAGGAATAACCTCAAGGTTTCTTTTATTTTTTATTTTATTTTATTATTGTTTTTATTACACTTTAAGTTTTAGGGTACATATGCACATTGTGCAGGTTAGTCACATATGTATACATGTGCCATGCTGGTGCGCTGTACCCACTAACTCGTCATCTAGCATTCGGTATATCTCCCAATGCTATCCCTCTCCCCTTCCCCCACCCCACAACAGTCCCCAGAGTGTGATATTCCCCTTCCTGTGTCCATGTGATCTCATTGTTCAATTCCCACCTATGAGTGAGAATATGTGGTGTTTGGTTTTTTGTTCTTGCGATAGTTTACTGAGAATCATGATTTCCAATTTCATCCATGTCCCTACAAAGGACATGAACTCGTCATTTTTTATGGCTGCATAGTATTCCATGGTGTATATGTGCCACATTTTCTTAATCCAGTCTATCATTGTTGGACATTTGGGTTGGTTCCAAGTCTTTGCTATTGTGAATAATGCCGCAATAAACATACGTCTGCATGTGTCTTTATAGCAGCATGATTTATAGTCCTTTGGGTATATACCCAGTAATGGGATGGATGGGTCAAATGGTATTTCTAGTTCTAGATCCCTGAGGAATCACCGCACTGACTTCCACAATGGTTGAACTAGTTTACAGTCCTACCAACAGTGTAAAGGTGTTCCTATTTCTCCACATCCTCTCCAGTACCTGTTCTTTCCTGACTTTTTAATGATTGCCATTCTAACTGGTGTGAGATGGTATCTCATTGTGGTTTTGATTTGCATTTCTCTGATGGCCAGTGATGATGAGCATTTTTTCATGTGTTTTTTGGCTGCATAAATGTCATCTTTTGAGAAGTGTCTGTTCATGTCCTTCGCCCACTTTTTGATGGCGTTGTTTGTTTTTTTCTTTTAAATTTGTTTGAGTTCATTGTAGATTCTGGATATTAGCCCTTTGTCAGATGAGTAGGTTGCGAAAATTTTCTCCCATTTTGTAGGTTGCCTGTTCACTCTAATGGTAGTTTCTTTTGCTGTGCAGAAGCTCTTTAGTTTAATTAGATCCCATTTGTCAATTTTGGCTTTTGTTGCCATTGCTTTTGGTGTTTTAGACATGAAGTCCTTGCCCATGCCTATGTCCTGAATGGTAGTGCCTAGGTTTTCTTCTAGGGTTTTTATGGTTTTAGGTCTAACATGTCAGTCTTTAATCCATCTTGAATTGATTTTTGTATAAGGTGTAAGGAAGGGATCCAGTTTCAGCTTTGTACATATGGCTAGCCAGTTTTCCCAGCACCATTTATTAAATAGGGAATCCTTTCCCCATTGCTTGTTTTTCTCAGGTTTGTCAAAGATCAGATAGTTGTAGATATGCGGCGTTATTTCTGAGGGCTCTGTTCTGTTCCATTGATCTATATCTCTGTTTTGGTACCAGTACCATGCTGTTTTGGTTATTGTAGCCTTGTAGGATAGTTTGATGCCAGGTAGCGTGATGCCTCCAGCTTTGTTCTTTTGGCTTAGGATTGACTTGGTGATGCAGGCTCTTTTTTGGTTCCATATGAACTTTAAAGTAGTTTTTTCCAATTCTGTGAAGAAAGTCATTGGTAGCTTGATGGGGATGGCATTGAATCTGTAAATTACCTTGGGCAGTATGGCCATTTTCATGATATTGATTCTTCCTACCCATGAGCATGGAATATTCTTCCATTTGTTTGTATCCTCTTTTATTTCCTTGAGCAGTGGTTTGTAGTTCTCTTTGAAGAGGTCCTTCACATCCCTTGTAAGTTGGATTCCTAGGTATTTTATTCTCTTTGAAGCAATTGTGAATGGGAGTTCACTCATGATTTGGCTTTCTGTTTGTCTGTTGTTGGTGTATAAGAAGGCTTGTGATTTTTGTACATTGATTTTGTATCCTGAGACTTTGCTGAAGTTGCTTATCAGCTTAAGGAGATTTTGGGCTGAGACAATGGGGTTTTCTAGATATACAATCATGTCATCTGCAAACCGGGACAATTTGACTTCCTCTTTTCCTAATTGAATACCCTTTATTTCCTTCTCCTGCCTAATTGCCCTGGCCAGAACTTCCAACACTATGTTGAATAGGAGTGGTGAGAGAGGGCATCCCTGTCTTGTGCCAGTTTTCAAAGGGAATACTTCCAGTTTTTGCCCATTCAGTATGATATTGGCTGTGGGTTTGTCATAGATAGCTCTTATTATTTTGAAATATGTCCCATCAATACCTAATTTATTGAGAGTTTTTAGCATGAAGAGTTGTTGAATTTTGTCAAAGGCTTTTTCTGCATCTATTGAGATAATCATGTGGTTTTTGTCTTTGGCTCTGTTTATATGCTGGATTACATTTATTGATTTGAGTATATTGAACCAGCCTTGCATCCCAGGGATGAATCCCACTTGATCATGGTGGATAAGCTTTTTGATGTGCTGCTGGATTCGTTTTGCCAGTATTTTATTGAGGATTTTTGCATGAATGTTTATCAAGGATATTGGTCTAAAATTCTCTTTTTTGGTTGTGTCTCTGCCCGGCTTTGGTATCAGGATGATGCTGGCCTCATAAAATGAGTTAGGGAGGATTCCCTCTTTTTCTATTGATTGGAATAGTTTCAGAAGGAATGGTACCAGTTCCTCCTTGTACCTCTAGTAGAATTCGGCTGTGAATCCATCTGGTCCTGGACTCTTTTTGGTTGGTAAGCTATTGATTATTGCCACAATTTCAGATCCTGTTATTGGTCTATTCAGAGATTCAACTTCTTCCTGGTTTAGTCTTGGGACAGTGTATGTGTCGAGGAATTTATCCATTTCTTCTAGATTTTCTAGTTTATTTGCATAGAGGTGTTCGTAGTATTCTCTGATGGCAGTTTGTATTTCTGTGGGATCGGTGGTGATATCCCCTTTATCATTTTTTATTGCGTGTATTTGATTCTTCTCTTTTTTTCTTTATTAGTCTTGCTAGCAGTCTATCAATTTTGTTGATCCTTTCAAAAAAGCAGCTCCTGGATTCATTAATTTTTTGAAGGGTTTTTTGTGTCTCTATTTCCTTCAGTTCTGCTCTGATTTTAGTTATTTCTTGCCTTCTGCTAGCTTTTGAATGTGTTTGCTCTTGCTTTTCTAGTTCTTTTAATTGTGATGTTAGGGTGTCAATTTTGGATCTTTCCTGCTTTCTCTTATGGGCATTTAGTGCTATAAATTTCCCTCTACACACTGCTTTGAATGCGTCCCAGAGATTCTGGTATGTTGTGTCTTTGTTCTCGTTGGTTTCAAAGAACATCTTTATTTCTGCCTTCATTTCGTTATGTACCCAGTAGTCATTCAGGAGCAGGTTGTTCAGTTTCCATGTAGTTGAGCGGTTTTGAGTGAGATTCTTAATCCTGAGTTCTAGTTTGATTGCACTGTGGTCTGAGAGATAGTTTGTTATAATCTCTGTTCTTTTACATTTGCTGAGGAGAGCTTTACTTCCAAGTATGTGGTCAATTTTGGAATAGGTGTGGTGTGGTGCTGAAAAAAGTGTATATTCTGTTGATTTGGGGTGGAGAGTTCTGTAGATGTCTATTAGGTCCGCTTGGTGCAGAGCTGAGTTCAATTCCTGGGTATCCTTGTTAACTTTCTGTCTTGTCGATCTGTCTAATGTTGACAGTGGGGTGTTAAAGTCTCCCATTATTATTGTGTGGGAGTCTAAGTCTCTTTGTAGGTCACTAAGGACTTGCTTTATGAATCTGGGTGCTTCTGTATTGGGTGCATATATATTTAGGATAGTTAGCTCTTCTTGTTAAATTGATCCCTTTACCATTATGTAATGGCCGCCTTTGTCTCTTTTGATCTTTGTTGGTTTAAAGTCTGTTTTATCAGAGACTAGGATTGCAACCCCTGCCTTTTTTTGTTTTTGATTTGCTTGGTAGATCTTCCTCCATCCTTTTATTTTGAGCCTATGTGTGTCTCTGCACATGAGATGGGTTTCCTGAATACAGCACACTGATAGGTCTTGACTCTTTATCCAATTTGCCAGTCTGTGTCTTTTAATTGGAGCATTTAGTCCATTTACATTTAAAGTTAATATTGTTATGTGTGAATTTGATCCTGTCATTATGTTGTTAGCTGGTTATTTTGCTCATTAGTTGATGCAGTTTCTTCCTAGTCTTGATGGTCTTTACATTTTGGCATGTTTTTGCAGCGGCTGGTACCGGTTGTTCCTTTCCATGTTTAGCGCTTCCTTCAGGAGCTCTTTTAGGGCAGGCCTGGTGGTGACAAAATCTCTCAGCATTTGCTTGTCTGTAACGTATTTTATTTCTCCTTCGCTTATGAAGCTTAGTTTGGCTGGATATGAAATTCTGGGTTGAAAATTCCTTTCTTTAAGAATGTTGAATATTGGCCCCCACTCTCTTCTGGCTTGTAGGGTTCCTGCTGAGAGATCAGCTGTTAGTCTGATGGGCTTCCCTTTGAGGGTAACCCGACCTTTCTCTCTGGCTGCCCTTAACATTTTTTCCTTCATTTCAACTTTGGTGAATCTGACAATTATATGTGTCTTGGAGTTGCTCTTCTCGAGGAGTATCTTTGTGGCGTTCTCTGTATTTCCTGAATCTGAATGTTGGCCTGCCTTGCTAGATTGGGGAAGTTCTCCTGGATAATATCCTGCAGAGTGTTTTCCAACTTGGTTCCATTCTCCCCGTCACTTTCAGGTACACCAATCAGACATAGATTTGGTCTTTTCACATAGTCCCATATTTCTTGGAGGCTTTGCTGATTTCTTTTTATTCTTTTTTCTCTAAACTTCCCTTCTCACTTCATTTCATTCATTTCATCTTCCATTGCTGATACCCTTTCTTCCAGTTGATCGCATCGGCTCCTGAGGCTTCTGCATTCTTCACGTAGTTCTCGAGCCTTGGTTTTCAGCTCCATCAGCTCCTTTAAGCACTTCTCTGTATTGGTTATTCTAGTTATACATTCTTCTAAATTTTTTTCAAAGTTTTCAACTTCTTTGCCTTTGGTTTGAATGTCCTCCCGTAGCTCAGAGTAATTTGATCGTCTGAAGCCTTCTTCTCTCAGCTCGTCAAAGTCATTCTCCATCCAGCTTTGTTCTGTTGCTGGTGAGGAACTGCGTCCCTTTGGAGGAGGAGAGGCACTCTGCTTTTTAGAGTTTCCAGTTTTTCTGTTCTGTTTTTTCCCCATCTTTGTGGTTGTATCTACTTTTGGTCTTTGATGATGGTGATGTACAGATGGGTTTTTGGTGTGGATGTCCTTTCTGTTTGTTTTCCTTCTAACAGAGAGGACCCTCAGCTGCAGGTCTGTTGGAATACCCTGCCATGTGAGGTGTCAGTGTGCCCCTGTTGGGGGGTGCCTCCCAGTTAGGCTGCTCGGGAGTCAGGGGTCAGGGACCTATTTGAGGAGGCAGTCTGCCCGTTCTCAGATCTCCAGCTGCGTGCTGGGAGAACCACTGCTCTCTTCAAGGCTGTCAGACAGGGACATTTAAGTCTGCAGAGGTTACTGCTGTCTTTTTGTTTGTCTGTGCCTTGCCCCCAGAGGTGGAGCCTACAGAGGCAGGCAGGCCTCCTTGAGCTGTGGTGGGCTCCACCCAGTTCGAGCTGCCTGGCTGCTTTGTTTACCTAAGCAAGCCTGGGCAATGGCCGGCGCCCCTCCCCCAGCCTCGCTGCTGCCTTGCAGTTTGATCTCAGACTGCTGTGCTAGCAATCAGCGAGACTCCGTGGGCGTAGGACCCTCCGAGCCAGGTGGGGGATATAATCTCGTGGTGGGCCGTTTTTTAAGCTGGTCGGAAAAGCGCAGTATTCGGGTGGGAGTGACCCGATTTTCCGGGTGCCTCCGTCACCCCTTTCTTTGACTAGGAAAGGGAACTCCCTGACCCCTTGCGCTTCCCAAGTGAGGCAATGCCTCACCCTGCTTCGGCTCGCGCACGGTGCACGCACCCACTGACCTGCGCCCACTGTCTGGCACTCCCTAGTGAGATGAACCCGGTACCTCATATGGAAATGTAGAAATCACCCGTCTTCTGCGTCGCTCACGCTGGGAGCTGTAGACCGGAGCTGTTCCTATTCGGCCATCTTGGCTCCTCCCCCAAGGTTTCTTTTAAAAGGGATTGTGAGAGAAGTAAATCATTCACAAACTTCAGAGCTTGATTATTCCAAAGTGGCTTGTAACACACCTGGCAAGCACTGAGGTGTTACAACGTAAAGATAAGAACCCCTAGTAGAGTGAACAAAGTATCCAAATAAAAGTGTTAGGAAAATTTAATTACATTTTCTTTAAACAAATTTTTGTGTGCCCCTGCTGTCATACTACAATGTATCAAAGGAGAAATGTAACCCTGTGCTTTTTCCCTGAAAGCTATTGCTACTATCCTGATTGTCAAAATTAGAGTAGGAGTAATATTTTATATTATACTGCATATTATTAACTGTAAATATATTTTCCACTCACACCACTTGAGGAATTCAGGCATCTATCAGGCTTTCAAGTAGATAATCTCTAAGGTCATTTCAACTCTGGTTTTATCATTACTACTTCAGAAATGAATAATGCAGGAAATGATGGTAAGCCTATGTCATTACATAAGTGGTAATAAATGGTAATAAAGTTATGCACAATATCTTATGCTTTTAAGGGGTAGATATACTCTGATACTGGATACAGTTTTTCTCAATTGTGAGAAATAAATAAATGATTGGTAAATAAAGTTACCATACATTTATTTATGGTAATAAACTATTACCACTGAGTCTCACTGAAAGGCTTTAATTTCTGTCTTTGGGGGTGGGGCTTGTGCTTCCCACACTACTATGGAAAGCATACTCTTTGGTACAACTGGCTATTGAACTCTATGCATTGTGAGGGGGACCTGCCATTCCAGGAGCTGCCTACGGCGTAGTCATTGCTTAATGCAGGAACCAAAAATCCCCTTTGATCACTCCATGATTCCTTCTTCTAGGATGGCCATGTATAAACGCCTGTGGACTGTCCTTTGGGGAGTATCCATCTAATCTCTCTCTAAGCAGATGTTCTGGGACTCCTCCAAATACAAACACAACTCAAGGTCAACAGCTTGATTAGAAAGTGTAGAAATGAAGAGCAATTAGTTCTCTCGGATTCATTAAGGTCGTGGCAATCATCTTTTCCCAGCACGCAATGAGGAGATCAGCTTTCTATCTCTTTGGGGACATTTGTGAATGGAGTTTGGCACTGGATTTGTTGTCAGGAGTTGTGGAGGCTAAAGCCTGAAGGACAGCATTGTCCTCCTCCTAGTTAGTGAGTGAAGGCGTATGCATGGATGTGGGCTTATTTGGTTGGATTTTACAACACGTGAGGGAGTTTTCTCTGTTTGTTCTGGTGGCCATGGCCATGGGCTTTGCTTGGACCTAGCCTCTTCATGCCACATGCCCCACCAGAGGGACGTGTATCTGGAGCCACGGTACTACAGCACGTCTGCTGTCTCGGCTCCAAGCGGTTCCTACTTAGGGCTGCCCCCTGCATGCAGTGCTTCCCTTTTTTCCCACAAGCACCCCTTAGACTTTCGTGGCCCCTGATTTCTGGTCCTGCCATTGCTCATGACCTGCTGATGGCACTGCTTGCTGTGGAGTTACTGAAGGGGAAAAAGGCAGAGCCATCAAACAGCTCTGTAGGGCCCAGATGTGGAGAACGTATAAGTCTGAAAATCTTGCAGTATTTTCCTGCACCAAAATTAAGATAAAAACATTACATAATGTTAAGAGTTATGTGTTTAAAGCTCAAAAATCCCTTAGCAACATGGGTTTTTCCAGATGTGAAGAAGCCCAAAGATGGTGCCTGTTAAAGGCCTTGGAATCAGCAGCTATCCAGGAAATACAAATCAAAAACAATGAGATACCACTTTACTCACTAGGATGGCTATTATGAAAAAGACAGATACCAAATATTGACGAGAATGTGAAAAAATTGGAAGTTGCCATATGACCCAGCAATTCAACTCCGAGGTACGTATCCCAAAGAAATGAAAATATAAGTCCACTAAGAACTTGTACACAAGTATTCTTGGCAACATTATTCATAATATACAAAAAGTGGAAACACCAGCTCCCAAAAGGACAGTCCCCAAGTGTTTATAGATGGCCCTAAAAGAATGAATTGTGGAGTGATTTTGCGTTAGGCAATGACTACGCCGTAGGCAGCTCCTGGAAGGGCAGGTCTGCCTCATGATGCATGGAGGTCAATAGCCAGTTGTTTCAAAGAGTATTCTTTCCATAGGAGTTTGGGGAGCACAAGCCCCACCCCCCAAAGCCAGAAATCCAAGCCTTTCAGTGAGACTTTGTGGTAAGTAGTTTATTTATTTACCATGAATAAATGTATGGTAACTTTATTTACCAGTAGTTTATTTCTCACAATTGAGAAGAACTGTACCCAGTGTCAGGATATATCTACCCCTTAAAAGCATATGATGGCTGGGCACAGTGGCTCACAGCTGTAATTCCAGCACTTTGGGAGGCCAAGGTAGATGGAACACCTGAGGCCAGGAGTTCAAGGCCATCCTGGCCAACATGGCCAAACCCTGTCTCTACTAAAAATACAAAAAATTAGCCAGGCATGGTGGCACGCGCCTGTAGTCCCAGCTACTCAGGAGGCTGAGGAAGGAAAATCACTTGAACCTGGGAGGCAGAGGTTGCAGTGAGCCAAGATCATGCCGCTGCACTCCAGCCTGGCAACGGAGCGAGACTCTGTCTCAAAAATAAAAAAAAGTTTGATAACATATTGTACGTATTTTTATTTGTCCACTAACTGATGAACTGACAAATAAAATTTGGTATACTCATAAAATGAAATCCTATTTGGCATTAAAAGGAATGAAGTACTGATAACATGCTGCTACATGGGTGAAACTTGAAAACACTAAGCTAAGTGAAAGAAGCCAGTCTTAAAAAGACACCACATTGTATATTTCCATTTATGTTAAATGTTCAGAACAGGCAAATCCATGAGACATAAAGTACATTAATAGTTGCCTAATGGCTGTTCCAATTGCAGTGGTGTTTATAACTACTTGATCACAACCAGGTAGAGATTTCTTTGTTCCTTCTCCACTCCCACTGTTTCACTTGACTCTTCTTAAGAAATATAGTCGCCTAAAGTTGGAGGTTTCTAGGGAAAATTATTAGTGGCTGCTAATGGGTATGGGGCTTCTTTTGTGGATGATGAAATGTTCTAAAATATCAGTTCACTGGAGAGAACACAATGTACATGAGATCGCAATGTGTGAAATTCTCAGCGCAGATACAATTGTTTGTCCTGGTGGGATGGGGCACCAAAATTGTCAAGAGATGCTATACGGAGTGCAACCTCTTATAATAGTCACTGGAATGTTCATGTTTTTCTCTAATTAAGAAATTTTCCAGAATGGGAAACATTATCTAGTCAGTGACCTCACTAGAGAATTCATGTTTTCCTGTCAGCCTCATCACTGCACCCTTGATCTCCTTGTTTCTCAGGCTGTAGGTGATGGGGTTCAACACTGGGGTCACAACACAAAAGAGCACAGAGACCAGGATGTCTGTGTCCAGGGAGCACCCTTCTGTGGGCCTGTCATAGTTGAAGTGGTCTGTTCCAAAGATGGTAGAGATGATGAATATATAGGACATTGCCATAAACAGGCAGGGGCTCAGGCCAGTGGTGGCCCTCACCACATGGAGCACAGACTCACTGACAGGTGTCTGAGCAGGAGAGCTTCAGGAGCAATGGGATGGCACAGAGAAAGCAGCTGATGGGGTTGGGTTCACGCAGTGAGTGTGGCTGTCAGTGCTGTGTGTGTCCCAGAATTGAGTAGCCCACACATCCAAAACCCAGTCACCAAACAAACATAGACCTTTCCACTCATTAGGAGCCTATATTGAAGATGGTGGCAAATAGCCACACAGTGGTCATAAGCTATGGCAGCCAGCAAAACCCCCTCAGTGCTGGCTCATAATGCAAGGAAGAAGATCTGGGAAAGGCAGCCCTCATAAGAGATGGTCTTACTCTCCTGGAAGAAGTTCACCAGCATGACCAGGATGGTGGTAGACATGTAGCAGATATCCAGGAAGCTTAAGTGGCTAAGAAAATAACCCACTGGAGTATAGAAGGCAGGACTGACCCTGACTGCATTTCCCAGAAGAGAGATCAGGTAAATGACCAAGGAGAACAGGAAGAAAACCATTTGTAATGCAGGGTGCTTGGAAAAATTTAAAAAGATGAATTCAGTGACCACCATTTGATTTTCTACTTTGAATTCTTTCTCAACTGAAATGAATATTGGGAGATAAATAAAATAATAATGTGATATGATAACAGACATCAGGAGAGCTGATTAACTTTTACTCATCCTTTAGTTCTTGGATTAGATGACATCTCTTCTGGATTGTGTAGCTTGACTCTGAGAATAGGGTTTTGTATTGCCCTCATTCTCTTGATTCTCTGCCCCGTCTTCTTGTCATGCATATCACTATTGTCTATTAACTTGTTTGCCCGCGCTTCACCTCCACCAGAAAAATTCTCTTAGACAGGAATTTTTCTCTCTCCTTAGTCCATATGCTCTCCAGAAATTTTTTTTCAGATGTAAGGAAGGAAATCTAGTCAGCATTGATGTTGCAAAAACAACAGTTGGTGAATTATACCAGAGCCCCAAACTTTTTCTCCCAGCTTCTCTCTTCCGTGAGAAAAGTCACAATACCAAATTCTACCTTACCAAGTGTGTGGTAGCCTCAATGATCTTTACCCTCTAGTGTTATTCAAATACATGACAGAAAGAAATTGCAGTTGTAACTCAAGTTACTAGTCACATGACTTTAAAATACAGAGATTATCTTGGCTTATTTGACTGGCTTTCTTTTTTCTTTTTCTTTTTTTTTTTTTGAGACGGAGTCTCGCTCTGTTGCCCAAGCTGGAGTGCAATGGCATGATCTAGGCTCACTGCAACCTCCACCTCCCGGGTTCAAGCAATTCTCCTGCTTCAGCCTACCGAGTAGCTGGGATTACAGGCATGTGCCACCAGGCCTGGCTAATTTTTGTATTTTTAGTAGAGACAGGGTTTCACTATGTTGGCCAGGCTGGTCTCAAACTCCTTGACTGGCCCTTTTAAGGGATAATCACATAAGCCCTTAAAAGCAGAGATCTTTCTTGGGCTGAAGATAAAGTCAGAGTTTCAAATCACAAGTAGAACTTGACATGTCATTGTTGGCTTAAAGATGGAGGGGGCCACTGTTAAAGAAAAGGTAACCTTGGTCCTACAATCACAAGAAACTGAATTTTGCCAGGAACTTGAATAAACTTGGAAGTAGAATCTTCTGCAAAGTCTCACTCTATCCTACCCAGCTGACACCTTGTTTTCAGCAGAGGACCCAGCTGAGCCATGCCACACCTGACCTTCTGAACCACAGAATGGTGAGATAATTAATGGTTGTTTAAACTGCTAAGTTTGTGGTAATTGGTTATGGTAGCAATAGAAAACAAATACACCGAGCATCCCATTTTGTGTAAGAAACTTCTGATCATTTGGGGTAATTATGACAGAACACCACTCTAGAAGCATCAGAAGTGAATTCATCCTATACCCTCTCAAATCTTTGAGCATCCGTCTCTTCGTCTTTGCTCTCTTTTCCTTTGTGCTGCCAGTGGCTTCTTCTATCCCTCAGAGAACAAATAGAATACAAAAGAAAACATCAAACTTATACTATTCAGTTTCCCAGTAAGTAGCTCCAGTAAAAGGTTGGGGGAAAGACAAATTTGGAACTGAGTAGAGTGATATTTCTGGATTATTTAAAAATTTTAATTCATCTCTTTCCCCCTCTTTACCAGAAACAACAAACATATGCTAGACTGTGCCATAACAATCCCAAATTCTAGGAATCTTGAGAGCTCATTCATTTGCATCTGATATTATTTTCTTGGTGGATTGTCCTTAAACGAAGCTTTGTGTATCTTGGATTCCCAATTTTCTTTAGAAACTGCTAAGCTGTCTTTTTTCCTGAGTGTAAACCAGTGGTCAGCAGTAAAATCCAGCACTCCACCTATTTTTATAAATAAAGTTTTACTGGAACACAGCCACACCCTTTCATTCATGTATCGTCTATAACTGCTTTCATACTACAACGGCCGAATTGAGTAGCTGATAAAGAGAACATATGACCCGCAAAGCCTGAACTATTTACTTTATGTTCTTTTACAGAAAAAGTTTACTAACCCCTGGTGTAAGCAATTGGGTTTGGGAGTTTGACAGACTTGGGTTTAAATCATGCCTTTGTCACTTGTCAGCTTTGACCTTGAGCAAGTTATTTAGCTTTTATATGCCTTAGTTTGACCATGTGCAATATGGAATGTTTGGATTACAGAGGTTTTGTTTGGATTAAATAAGTAATATGTAAGAGAGCAGTGAACATAGTTAATCTACAACACACATTCTCCCCATTATGCCACTGCTCCCATTTCAAGTTTCCCTTTAAATTTCAAGTTTCATGCAAATTCGTGAAGCTTTCCATATTTTTTTAATTTTAAAATAAATTAAGAACAACAACAACAAAAATGTTATTTCCCCTGCATATTTCTTCATATTGACTCAAATGCTATTTATGATAAGAATATGACGTTATTTTCTATTTATGGGCTTGCCTTCTCTAATTCTTTTTCACCAACTTTACCAGATCCACTTTTAAGCAACTGGTATATAATTGAATTCACATATTTCTCATAAAATAAGTACTATGGTCTACCCTTACAGTTGTATCTGCTTTTTTTTTTGTTTTATAATTACATTTTTGAACATATTTTTACAGGAATTCTGTAAGGAAGTATATTTTGTCAATACTTTTAGATAAAATTTCCTCTGAAACTAAAAATTAAAATAGCTGAATATCATGAGGATGCAAATAACACCAAGTGTTTGATAAAATTACCAAGTGTTTGATAAAAATAACAACAAGTGGTTGATAAAATTACCTACTGCCTCTAAACTTCCTTCTCACAATATTCCCTAACTCCTGGTCAGAAACCTGGGAGTCATCTTTGAGTCCTTCCTTCCTTCATCCCCTGCCTATATCTATTTTTTCAGCAAATCCTGTTGATTCTCTGTCTCAAGTATATTTCAAATGTATGTATTTATTTCCCTCTCCATCGTCAAACACATGAACATTCTCTACATGGCTTATTCCTTCTCATTCTTTGTGTCTCAGCTTGAATATTATATCTCAGAGAAACCTTGTGACCACTAATCTAGCATAGTTGTTTTTTTAATTAAATCTCTTGCAGCATCCTATTATTTTCCTTCAAAGAATTTAAAGTAATATTTATTTTTGTGTTTGTTTATTCATTGGCTACCAGTTTCTCCCTGGTGAATAAGCTGAGTGAACAAGAATCATGACTACTTTGTTCACTGCCTGACCGATAATTGACACTCAATAAACATTGGTTTTATGAATGAATGAATTACCAGATTTATTAAAATGGAAAATAAATATTGTATTACTTTATCACCTTAAAATAAAAGTTCAGTCATGGTAGCATAGATTTTCTCACCTATCTAAATGTTCAAATCAGTCAAGCAGAAAGCATCATGTTGGAAAAAGTGGTGACATAACATAAAACCTCAAATTCACAATTGCTTGGACTAAATTATTAACCAATCAATTCAGTCAAAAGAAGGGGTCTATGTGTTGATGCAGCTTTGACCTTTAGAATAATAATATAATAATAACAATGATAATAATAGCTGGTATTTTCAGTACTTACTAAATGCCAAGTACAGTTACTGTACTACATGCTTCCTTTACGTATATTTATTTCCTTTAATGCTTAAAACACCTTTAAGAAGTACCATTATTATCCTTAATTTTATATGAGTAAACTGAAGTTTAGAGAGGGTAGGTAAATGCCCATAGTCATGTAATTAATAAAACCACATATTGGCAAAGATATGGAGATCCAGAATAAATGTTCAGCTCTATTAGCTCATCAGAGAATCTTTCTGTCTCTGGACATGAATTTCTTCATCTGTAAAACAGAGCTAGACTAGAAGATTGACGACATTCCTTCCACCTCTGATATTCTGTGATGATATTTGGTATTTACATATTTCCCAGTCTCCAAAATGAAACCATGTAACAGAGCAAGGGTAAAAAGTCAAAGATCTCCCAGGGATACTATAGTTGTTTATTCATTTGTCTTCATGGGATATAAAGGTCAAGGATAAGATGGGGATTTTATCCTGTACACTGATGTGGTGGACTAAATAATTCTACCACCACCCCCTCCAATGCCCAGAGAGGTCTATGCCCCAAACCCTGGATCCTGAGAACGTTTTATGTTAAGTGGACTTTGCAAATGTACTCAAGACTTTGGACCTTGATATGGGGAGATTATTCTGGGTTATGTGGGTCAGCCAAATCTAATCACTTGAGCATTTAAAAGTGACACATTTTCCCAACTAGAGTGAGAAGACATACAGCAAAAGAGATGAAACAGAAGAAGCAGAGTCAGAGAGATCCAAAACACGAAGGACACAATGTGCCATTGCTGTCTTTGAAGGGAGCCATGAGCTGGGGAATCCTGGCAGCCTCTGGAGGCTGAGAATGACCTATGATTGACAGCCAGAAAAGCAAGTGGGGCTCATGTCCTTCTGCTACATAGAACTAAATTCTCCTGACAACCTGAATGAGCCTAGAAAAAGATTCTCTTCTAGAGCCTTCAGAAGGAAACGCAATCCTGCTAATACCTTAATTGTAGTCTTTTGAGAAACCAAGCCAAGGAATAAGTCAAGCCATGCTGTACTTGGATTTCTGACCTGGAGAACTGTGAGATAATAAAATTTGTGGTGTTTAAAGCTGCTAAATTTGTGATAATTTGTTATAGTTTCTCAGCTGGGGTACTCAGGACATATTTAGTCTCTATCATACATGAGACATATTTGAGTTCTATCTATATTCCCTACTGCTTGGACTTCTGAACATTACATCTGGATGGACGGTTGAATCTTAAATCCTCATTTGATTTAAAGAGCAACAAACAATGTTCCTGGCCCTTCTTTACTTTCCTGTAATTGAAGCCCCTTGAATGCCAATCCAAGCGTTCAACTGTCCATTTTAAGAATTAGGTTTTTGCCGGGTGCAGTGGCTCCCACCTGTAATTCCAGCACTTTGGGAGGCCAAGGCAGGCAGATCACTTGGGGCCGGGAGTTCAAGGCCAGGCTAGCCAACATGGTGAAACCCCGTTTCTACTAAAAATATAAAGATTAGCTGGGCATGGTGGCATGTGGCTGTAATCCCAGCTACTTGGGGGGCTGAGGCAAGAGAATTGTTTGAACCCAGGAAGCGGAGGTGGCAGTGAGCCAAGATCATGTCACTGCATTCCTGCCTGGGTGACAGAATGAGATACCTTCTCAAAAAAATAAATAAATAAATAAATAAATAAATAAATAAATAAATAATCAGGTTTTGGAACTTCTTCCATAATGGAATAAAAGTAACCAGATTTGCTTTTCTGTCTTAATAACTAAAAACTTGGGGGAAAAGATAAAACAAAATGTGTTTTCAGATATTAAACAATGAGTGGAATGGGACAGAGAGTACTGAGACAAGGGAAACAAATGAGGTAAACCCTATGAATGCACCAGCTCACTGCATGGAGAGGGTGTCCAGGCCACAGCACAAGGAGGGGGTACATAAGTGGAGCCCAGTAGTCTCCCTTTATTAATAAGAGAAAATTCAGAGTTTGGGGGAGATCAAGGTACCTAGAATTTGCGTGGCAGAGCCCTGGAGAGGAGATGCACATAAAAAGAGAGTCTCAGAGATCCACAGAATTCCCTCTTCAGCAGAATGCTAATCAGCACATGAGAGCCAAGGAAAAGATTAGAGAGGATCAGTTGGAATAATCTGGAGAGCTCACGCAGGGCTGGGAATAGTTAGTCTTTGCACCAATCAGTGCGCAAAGAAATCCTAACACATACAAAGTAGACTCATTAGATGCCTTAGTAGAGAGGCAAAATTGACACTAGGCAAAAGGCTATTCTAAGCTCACCTAACAAAGCTTAAAAGCTAGTCTTAAAAGGATCAAATTATTTCTGAGTAATTTAACTGTGTCCAAGAACAAAGTCCAAAAATCCTTAAAGGAATACTAAAACTTCTTCATTTAGCTATGTAAAATTCACAGTGTCTGGCGTCAATCCAAAATTTTCAGGCATACAAAGAAGCAGGAAGGGAATACAACCTATATTAAAAAGAAAATATAATTTAAAAGACTCAGTAATGACACAGATTATAGACTTATAAAGCAATGATGTTAAAATAGCTACTATAAATACATTTATATGTTCAAGAAAGTAGAGGAAATTATGTATATGACAAGGAGAGACATTGAAGATATTAAAATATTGAAATTCTAAAGTAAAAATATAATGTTTGAGATACAGTATACACAGGATGAGATTAACAGCAAATTAGATATAGAAAAAGGTTAGTGAATGTGAAGTCATACTAATAGAAAATATCCAAAATGAAATAAGAGGTTGGGCACATTGGCTCATGCCTGTAATCTCAGCTCTTTGAGAGGCTGAGGTGGGAAGATTGCTCAAACCTAGGAGTTTGAGACCATCCTGGGCAACATGGAAAGACTCTTATCTGTACAAAAAAATATGAAAATTAACCAGCCACGTGCCTGTGCCTGTAGTTCCAGCTACTTGGGTGGCTGAGGTAGGAGGATAGCTTGAGCCCTGGAGGTCAAGGCTGCAGTGAGCTGTGATCACGCCATTGCACCCCAGGCTGGACAACAGAGTGAGATTCTGTCTCAAAAAATAAAAAAATAAAAGAAAAAAGGGACTGAAGAGAAATGAGCAGAACATCAGTGAGCTTGGGGACAGCAAGTGCCTTAATATGCATTGGAGCCCAAGAAAGAGAAGGGAACAAAAAATGTGGAAAAACAGTAGCCAAAATTTCCAATTTTATGAAATTTTTAAGCCCCCAAATTCAAGAAGCTTAACAAACCCCAAACAAGGCACAGAAAGAAAACTACACCATGCAAATCATAATCAAATTGGTCAAAACTAGTGATAGAAAATTTTAAAAGCAACTAGGAAAAAACGCACATTACATGCAGAAGAATAGAGATGAGAATGACAGCTGACTTCTCATCCAAGCAATGCAAGCCAAAAGACTGTATTGTTTATTTGTTTCCTTCCAATGTTTTAAGGAGCAACAGCTTGAAAGGAAACAAACTTGTCAACCTAAAAGTCTAACCAACATAAATATATTTCAAAAACAAGGTTAGGGACAACACTTTCAGAATGTCAGGGTGAGGACCTCAGTGAATCCTCTTCCCACAAAAGCAACAAAAATACTGGCAAAACACCAATAGAAACCAACCATTTTAAAACTATGAAAATTAACCAAAGGCACAGAACACACTGAAAAGCATTCACTCAAATATAACTGCCGAGCTTCATAAGAACAGTGGGGTCTATGGTGCTTTAACTTGGAACTATTCCCACGTACCCAACCCCTAGTACCAGGGTGGTAGCTGTGAAGAGCTGGCAGCCAGTGAAGAAGTTTGACCTGTTTTGAGCTTTGTGAAAACCCCCATCCTCAGAGCACTGTCAATATTTTTATAATATTTCTCCTTGACTTGTACATGGCCATTCTGTCCGTCTTCACATTGTCCTCCCTGTGTGCATATCTGTGTACAAATTTCATTTTCCTGTAAGATTACCAGTCACATTGGATTAGAATTCACTCTAATGACTTCATTTTAACTTAATTACCTTTTTTAAAACCCTGTTTCCAAAAACAGCCATGTTCTAAGACAGTGGGGGTGAGGACTTCACCATTTTGAGGGGAACACAATTCAGCCCATAACAAAAAAGAGCCTGGCCAAAAATCTAAAAGGATGACTTGGGGAACAAGTCATATGATAACAGAGGACTTTGTAAAGCTCTGACATATTCCTGGAGATCCAGAAGGCTACACATGCTGCACAGGACCAAGTGCATGGCCAGGGAAAACCAGAGAGGGATCCAGTAACTTACATTTGGGCAAACTTGCAGCCCTGTGCAAGCAAGAAGTAAATGTTAATGCTGACTTATAAACCCCTTTAGATTTGAAGATGTGCCTTCACATACAAATCTCCTTGGCAAAACGTTGAAGACACTGGATCAAAGCATTAAGAAAATCTTCTGACCAATCATTGGATAATTACCCAACTATGTTGACCTAGAGGTGACCCCTAAAAAGACAGGCTTGAAAGTAAAAATGAGAATTTTTAAAAAGTAATCAGAAAACTCAGTGGCTGTACACTCCAGGAAATACAAAATCTACAGAATTGGTTTAGAAAAGTCATGGAAAAAAACAAGCATCAAGCAGGATTTTATTTTTTAAAATTAGCTTGATTGAGCCATTTTATGTCATACACATATTTTAAAACATCATGTTGTCCATGATAAATATATATACTCTTTGTCAATTAAAAAACCCCAAAGCAATAACAACAAAATTGGAAGATAGAAGGAGGATCTGAATCTAAAGTTGCTACAATATCTTCTCCTCTAAAATGTCCAGTTTTAACAAAAACAAAAAATCAGACATGCAAAGAAATAAGGAAGTATGGCCCACACATAGGAAAAACACTGCATTTGATTGGAAAGGTTCTTGAGGGGGACAAGCTGTTGGATTTAGTAGACAAAGACTTTAAAGCAGCTATTAAAAATAAGTTAAAAAAGAAAATACTATGTTAAAATAGCTAAAGGAAAGTGTAAAAATTATGTTTCACCAAATAGAGCGTATCTATAAAGAGATAAAAGTTATAAAAATCACCAAATAGAATTTTTGGAGTTGAAAAGTACAATAACGAAAATGAAAAATTCACTATATGAGTTAAACCAGTAGTTTTAGCAGAGACAAGTGTAACCACCCAATGAGTTCTTCTGGCCTGCTAAACAGAAAAGCCAACTCACTGAGACAGTGGTATTGCAGCAGTAAAAATGTAATTATCACAGGACCAGCCAAATGAGAAGACAGGAGATAATCTCAAATCTGCCTCCCCAAAAGCTCAGAGGCTAGGGTTTTTAAAGATAATTTGGTAGGCAGGGTTCTAGGGAATGGGTACTGCTGATTGGTTGGAGATGAAATCATAGGAGTGTACAAACTATCTTCACATGCTGAATCAGTTTCTGGGTGGGGGCTCACATGACTAGTTGAGCCAGTTCCTTGTTGTAAGTCATGGGTCTGGGTGGAATCAGTTTGTCACCAGAATACGCAGTCTGAAAAATATTTCAAACACTAATTTTAGGTTTTGGCAATAGTCATGTTATCTACAGGAACAATTGGAGAAGTTACAAATCTTGTGATCTCCAGAGCAGTAAACAACTATATAGAAAGGCAAGCTAGGGAACAATGGCTTGTTATCATTAACTATGTGTATATTTTAGCAGAATTCAAGCTACTCCCATAGTCCTAATTCTGTGGCCTTTCGTTAGTCATACAAAAGTGGTTTTTGTCCCTTAGCAAGGAAGGAGTTAGTTTCAGGAAGGGACTGTTAACATCTTTATTTTAAAGTTAACAGAGGCAATTAGCTTGTGAGGTTAGAAGCAAGATGGAGTCAGATTAGATTTTTCTCACTGCTAAAATTTTTGCAAAGGCAGTTTCAGAAGAATGTTCAGGAAACTTGAAACTAGGCCAATAGATATTATGCAGTCTGAGGAATAGAAAGAATAAAGAATGAGAAAAAATGAACAGAGCCTCAGAGACCTGTGGAACACTACAAAAATAACAAATTTGCATAATGAAAGTACCAAAAAGAGAATATATAGAAATGGATGCAAAAATTACATGCCTACATAAAAATATTTTTATTGGTATACAATAGTTGTACATATTTTGAGTACATGTGATATTTGATACCAGTATACTATATGTAATGATCAGATCAGGGTAACTGGTGTATCCATCACCTCTAACATTAATCATTTCTTTGCACTGGAAACATTACACTTGTTCTATTCTATTTTGACATATACAGTCAGTTATTATTTTTTTTTGAATTTTTAAATTATTTTAATGATATAAATATAACATCAGCACCTAATCCTGGTAATGGTAGCACAAAAAAGAAAAGTATAGAGCAATATCATTTATGACAATTGATGCAAAAATCTGAAATACAATTTAGAAATAGATTCCCAAGCAACATTCAAAAAAAACACCACACCATGACTTGATATTTATACGAAGAATGCAAGAACCTGTTAGCATTCTGTTAGGAAACCTACTATTAGAGTGCACAATACTAATAGGAGTAAGAAAAAAAATCACACGGTTACCTCCACAGATGCTTAAAAAGCCTTTGAAAAAATTCAACTTACGTCCTACTAAAAAAAAGAAAATTGCAATGAATTGGTTCTTAACATGTGGAAATAAACACTCTCATACAATGCTTGTGGGAATAAAAAATGACACAATTCCATGTACCTACAAGACATCCCAGCCATTCCACTCCTAGTTATTCAAGAGACTTGAATAACTCTGTATTAGGCCTTTTTTGCATTACTATAAGGGAATATCTGAGACTGGGTAATTTATAAAGAAAAGAGGTTTAATTGGCTTATGGTTCTGCAGGCTGTATAAACGTGGCACCAACATCTGCTCAGCTCCTGATGAGGGCCTCAGAAAGTTCACAGTCATGGCAGAAGGTGAAGGGGAGCCAGCATGTCACATGGTGAGAGCAAGAGCAAGAGAGTGAGAATGGGGAGGTCCCAGATTCTTTTTATTTTTTTAATTTTATTATTATTATACTTTAAGTTTTAGGGTACATGTGCACAACGTGCAGGTTTGTTACATATGTATACTTGTGCCATGTGGGTGTGCCGCACCCATTAACTTGTCATTTAGCATTAGGTGTATCTCCTAATGCTATTCCCTCCCCCCTCCCCCCACCCCACGACAGGCCCCAGTGTGTGATGTTCCCCTTCCTGTGTCCATGTGTTCTCATTGTTCAATTCCCACCTGTGAGTGAGAATGTGGTGTTTGGTTTTTTGTCCTTGTGATAGTTTGCTGAGAATGATGGTTTCCAGTTTCATCCATGTCCCTACAAAGGACATGAACTCATCATTTTTTATGGCTGCATAGTATTCCATGGTGTATATGTGCCACATTTTCTTAATCCAGTCTATCGTTGTTGGACATTTGGGTTGGTTCCAAGTCTTTGCTACTGTGAATAGTGCCGCAATAAACATACGTGTGTATATGTCTTTATAGCAGCATGATTTATAATCCTTTGGGTATATACCCAGTAATGGCATGGCTGGGTCAAATGGTATTTCTAGTTCTAGATCCCTGAGGAATCGCCCCACTGACTTCCACAATGGTTGAACTAGTTTACAGTCCCACCAACAGTGTAAAAGTGTTCCTATTTCTCCACATCCTCTCCAGCACCTGTTGTTTCCTGACTTTTTAATGATCACCATTCCAACTGGTGTGAGATGGTATCTCATTGTAGTTTTGATTTGCATTTCTCTGATGGCCAGTGATGATGAGCATTTTTTCATGTGTTTTTTGGCTGCATAAATGTCTTCTTTTGAGAAGAGTCTGTTCATATCCTTTGCCCACTTTCTGATGGGGTTGTTTGTTTTTTTCTTGTAAATTTGTTTGAGTTCATTGTAGATTCTGGATATTAGCCCTTTGTCAGATGAGTAGGTTGCGAAAATTTTCTCCCATTCTGTAGGTTGCCTGTTCACACTGATGGTAGTTTCTTTTGCTGTGCAGAAGCTCTTTAGTTTAATTAGATCCCATTTGTCAATTTTGTCTTTTGTTGCCATTGCTTTTGGTGTTTTAGACATGAAGTCCTTGCCCATGACTATGTCCTGAATGGTATTGCCTAGGTTTTCTTCTAGGGTTTTTATGGTTTTAGGTCTAACATGTAAGTCTTTAATCCATCTTGAATTAATTTTTGTATAAGGTGTAAGGAAGGGATCCAGTTTCAGCTTTGTACATATGGCTAGCCAGTTTTCCCAGCACCATTTATTAAATAGGGAATCCTTTCCCCATTGCTTGTTTTTGTCAGGTTTGTCAAAGATCAGATAGTTGTAGATATGCGGCATTATTTCTGAGTGCTCTGTTCTGTTCTATTGGTCTATATCTCTGTTTTGGTACCAGTACCATGCTGTTTTGGTTATTGTAGCCTTGTGGTATAGTTTGATGCCAGGTAGCGTGATGCCTCCAGCTTTGTTCTTTTGGCTTAGGATTGACTTGGTGATGCGGGCTCTTTTTTGGTTCCATATGAACTTTAAAGCAGTTCTTCCCAATTCTGTGAAGAAAGTCATTGGTAGCTTGATGAGGATGGCATTGAATCTATAAATTACCTTGGGCAGTATGGCCATTTTCACGATATTGATTCTTCCTACCCATGAGCATGGAATGTTCTTCCATTTGTTTGTATCCTCTTTTATTTCCTTGAGCAGTGGTTTGTAGTTCTCCTTGAGGAGGTCGTTCACATCCCTTGTAAGTTGGATTCCTAGGTATTTTATTCTCTTTGAAGCAATTGTGAATGGGAGTTCACTCATGATTTGGCTTTCTGTTTGTCTGTTGTTGGTGTATAAGAATGCTTGTGATTTTTGTACATTGATTTTGTATCCTGAGACTTTGCTGAAGTTGCTTATCAGCTTAAGGAGATTTTGGGCTGAGACGATGGGGTTTTCTAGATATACAATCATGTCATGTGCAAACAGGGACAATTTGACTTCCTCTTTTCCTAATTGAATACCCTTTATTTCCTTCTCCTGCCTAATTGCCCTGGCCAGAACTTCCAACACTATGTTGAATAGGAGTGGTGAGAGAGGGCATCCCTGTCTTGTGCCAGTTTTCAAAGGGAATGCTTCCAGTTTTTGCCCATTCAGTATGATATTGGCTGTGGGTTTGTCATAGATCGCTCTTATTATTTTGAAATATGTCCCATCAATACCTAATTTACTGAGAGTTTTTAGTATGAAGGGTTGTAGAATTTTGTCAAAGGCCTTTTCTGCATCTATTGAGATAATCATGTGGTTTTTGTCTTTGGTTCTGTTTATATGCTGGATTACATTTATTGATTTGAGTATATTGAACCAGCCTTGAATCCCAGGGATGAAGCCCACTTGATCATGCTGGATAAGCTTTTTGATGTGCTGCTAGATTCAGTTTGCCAGTGTTTTATTGAGGATTTTTGCATCAATGTTTATCAAGGATATTGGTCTAAAATTCTCTTTTTTGGTTGTCTCTCTGCTGGCTTTGGTATCAGGATGATGCTGGCCTCATAAAATGAGTTAGGGAGGATTCCCTCTTTTTCTATTGATTGGAATAGTTTCAGAAGGAATGGTACCAGTTCCTCCTTGTACCTCTGGTAGAATTCGGCTGTGAATCCATCTGGTCCTGGACTCTTTTTGGTTGGTAAACTATTGATTATTGCCACAATTTCAGAGCGTGTTATTGGTCTGTTCAGAGATTCAACTTCTTCCTGGTTTAGTCTTGGGAGAGTGTATGTGTCGAGGAATTTATCCATTTCTTCTAGATTTTCTAGTTTATTTGCATAGAGGTGTTTGTAGTATTCTCTGATGGCAGTTTGTATTTCTGTGGGATCGGTGGTGATATCCCCTTTATCATTTTTTATTGCATCTATTTGATTCTTCTCTCTTTTTTTCTTTATTAGTCTTGCTAGCAGTTTATCAATTTTGTTGATCCTTTCAAAAAACCAGCTCCTGGATTCACTAATTTATTGAAGGGTTTTTTGTGTCTCTATTTCCTTCAGTTCTGCTCTGATTTTAGTTATTTCTTGCCTTCTGCTAGCTTTTGAATGTGTTTGCTCTTGCTTTTCTAGTTCTTTTAATTGTGATGTTAGGGTGTCAATTTTAGATCTTTCCTGCTTTCTCTTGTGGGCATTTAGTGCTATAAATTTCCCTCTACACAGTGCTTTCAATGCGACCCAGAGATTCTGGTATGTTGTGTCTTTGTTCTCGTTGGTTTCAAAGAACCTCTTTATTTCTGCCTTCATTTCGTTATGTACCCAGTAGTCATTCAGGAGCAGGTTGTTCAGTTTCCATGTAGTTGAGCGGTTTTGAGTGAGATTCTTAATCCTAAGTTGTAGTTTGATTGCACTGTGGTCTGAGAGACAGTTTGTTATAATTTCTATTCTTTTACATTTGCTGAGGAGTGCTTTACTTCCAACTATGCGGTCAGTTTTGGAGTAGGTGTGGTGTGGTGCTGAAAAGAATGTATATTCTGTTGATTTGTGGTGGAGAGTTCTGTAGATGTCTGTTAGGTCCGCTTGGTGCAGAGCTGAGTTCAATTCCTGCGTATCCTTGTTAACTTTCTGTCTCGATCTGTCTAATGTTGACAGTGGGGTGTTAAAGTCTCCCATTATTATTGTTTGGGAGTCTAAGTCTCTTTGTAGGTCACTATGGACTTGCTTTATGAATCTGGGTGCTCCTGTATTGGGTGCATATATATTTAGGATAGTTAGCTCTTCTTGTTGAATTGATCCCTTTACCATTATGTAATGGCCTTCTTTGTCTCTTTTGATCTTTGTTGGTTTAAAGTCTGTTGTATCAGAGACTAGGATTGCAACCCCTGCCTTTCTTTGTTTTCCATTTGCTTGGTAGATCTTCCTCCATCCCTTTATTTTGAGCCTATGTGTGTCTCTGCACGTGAGTTGGGTTTCCTGAATACAGCACACTGATAGGTCTTGACTCTGTATCCGATTTGCCAGTCTGTGTCTTTTAATTGGAGCATTTATACCATTTACATTTAATGTTAATATTGTTATGTGTGAATTTGATCCTGTCATTATGATGTTAGCTGGTTATTTTGTTAATTAGTTGATGCAATTTCTTCCTAGCCTTGACGGTCTTTACAATTTGGCATGTTTTTGCAGTGGCTGGTACCAGTGGTTCCTTTTCATGTTTAGTGCTTCCTTCAGGAGCTCTTCTAGGGCAGGCCTGGTGGTGACAAAATCTCTCAGCATTTGCTTGTCTGTAACATATTTTATTTCTCCTTCACTGATGAAGCTTAGTTTGGCTGGATATGAAATTCTGGGTTGAAAATTCTTTTCTTTAAGAATGTTGAATATTGCTCCCCACTCTCTTCTGGCTTGTAGAGTTTCTGCCGAGAGATCAGCTGTTAGTCTGATGGGCTTCCCTTCGTGGGTAACCCAGCCTTTCTCTCTGGCTACCCTTAACATTTTTTCCTTCATTTCCACTTTGGTGAATCTGATAGTTATGTGTCTTGGAGTTGCTCTTCTCGAGGAGTATCTTTGTGGCGTTCTCTGTATTTCCTGAATTTGAGTGTTGGCCTGCCTTGCTAGATTGGGGAAGTTCTCCTGGATAATATCCTGCAGAGTGTTTTCCAACTTGATTCCATTCTCCCCATCACTTTCAGGTACACCAATCAGATGTAGATTTGGTCTTTTCACATAGTCCCATATTTCTTGGAGGCTTTGTTTCTTGTCATTCTTTTTTCTCTAAACTTCTCTTCTCCCTTCATTTCATTCCTTTCGTCTTCCATCACTATACCCTTTCTTCCAGTTGATCGCTCGGCTACTGAGGCTTCTGCATTCGTCACTTAGCTCTCGTGCCTTGGTTTTCAGCTCCATGAGGTCCTTTAAGGACTTCTCTGCACTGGTTATTCTAGTTATCCATTCATCTAATTTTTTTTAAAGCTTTTAACTTCTTTGCCATTGGTTTGAATTTCCTCCTGTAGCTCGGAGTAGTTTGATCGTCTGAAGCCTTCTTCTCTCAACTCGTCAAAGTCATTCTCCATCCAGCTTTGTTCCATTGCTGGTGAGGAGCTGTGTTCCTTTGGAGGAGGAGAGGTGCTCTGATTTTTAGAGTTTCCAGTTTTTCTGCTCTGTTTTTCTCCCATCTTTGTGGTTTTATCTACCTTTGGTCTTTGATGATGGTGATGTACAGATGGGTTTTTGGTACGGATGTGCTTTCTGTTTGTTAGTTTTCCTTCTAGCAGACAGGACCCTGAGCTGCAGGTCTGCTGGAGTTTGCTAGAGGTCCACTCCAGACCCTGTTTGCCTGGGTATCAGCAGCGGTGGCTGCAGAACAGAGTATACTGGTGAACTGCAAATGCTGTTGCCTGATCGTTCCTCTGGAAGTTTTGTCTCAGAGGAGTACCCGGACATGTGAGGTGTCAGTCCGCCCCTGCTGGGGGTGCCTCCCAGTTAGGCTTCTCGGGGGTCAGGGACCCACTTAATGAGGCAGTCTGCCTGCTCTCAGATCTCAAGCTGCGTGCTGGGAGAACCACTACTCTCTTCAAAGCTGTGAGAGAGGGACATTTAAGTCTGCAGAGGTTAGTGCTGTCTTTTCGTTTGTCTGTGCCCTGCCCCCAGAGGTGGAGCCTACAGAGGCAGACCTGCCTCCTTGAGCTGTGGTGGGCTCCACCCAGTTTGAGCTTCCTGGCCGCTTTGTTTACCTAATCAAACAACTAACTCGGCAGTGGCGGGCGCCCCTCCCCCAGCCTCTCTGCCACCTTGCAGTTTGATCTCGGACTGCTGTGCTAGAAATGAGTGAGACTCCATGGGCATAGGACCCTCCAAGGCAGGTGCAGGATATAATCTCCTCGTGTGCCATTTTTTAAGCCCGTTGGAAAAGCACAGTATTAGGGTGGGAGTGACCCGATTTTCCAGGTGCCGTCTGTCACCCCTTTCTTTGACTAGGAAAGGGAATTCCCTGACCCCTTGCACTTCCCGGGTGAGGTGATGCCTCACCCTGCTTCGGCTCGTGCACGGTGCGCTCCACCCACTGTCCTGCACCTACTGTCTGGCACTCCCCAGTGAGATGAACCCAGTACCTCAGTTGGAAATGCAGAAATCACCTGTTTTCTGCGTCGCTCACGCTGGGAGCTGTAGACCAGAGCTGTTCCTATTCGACCATCTTGGCTCCTCCCCCCGAGGTCCCCAGTCTGTGATTATTAACTATAATTTCCTTATTGTACTATCCAATATTAGAACATGTTCCTTCAATCTATAATAGGTGTATTTTTGTACCGTTCAACCAACTTCTCCTTATCCCTCCACCCAGTTGAAAGACATAAAAATATTTTAACCCAAAATATATTTATTTAGCATATTTTGAGATGGCTGTCAAAAAGCCAGCAAACATAAGTAGTCCTGCAAATCTGTCTTTTGTGGAGAAAATTTATATCTGTGGAGAATCTGCATTGATGCAGCCAGGACTTCCCTTGTCTGGAGCTAGAAAATATTAACTGATGGTCTGACACACTCTAAATGTCTGAAAGTAACATTTACCATCTAGTATCTCTGAGGGCTGCTGCTTGTGAGGTTTCATTTATATAATAAGATCATCTTTGCTAGCCAAGTATCTTCTTTTCCTCCCATAACCAGATGCTGCTATAACCTGATTTATCACCAAACCCTGATTTTGGCCATACTCTGAGTCCCCATTCTTTCTGTAACCTCCAGATGTTATATAAACTTCTGCACCCCCTTGGAGGTGGGAAGACATCCTGTGGTTCTCTCTGTGCACATGTTAATAAGGTTATATGCTTTTTCTCTTACTAATCTGCCTTTTCTTGAGTTGATTTTTCCACCTTCAAATAAATATTTTAAAACTTCCCAAATTTGATTTTAAAAAACATTTGATACTGTGGTTAGGGAGAACAGTGACCCTTCAAAGATGTTCATATTCTAATCATCAAAACTTGTGAATATGTTACCAGAAGAAACTGCAGATATAATTGTTAGAGATCTTGAGATGAGAAGGTTATCCTAGATTATCTGCATGAGCCCAGTGTAATCACAAGGGCCTTTATAAGACAGAGGAAGGAGTATCAAGGAAGTGCTGTATGATTAAGACTTGAGAGGCAATTGCTAGACTTGAAAATGTTGGAAGAGGCCACAAGCCAAGAAATATAGTCAGTCTTTTAAAGCTTGAAAAAGCAAGAAAATAATTCTTTTCTAAAGCCTCTAGAAGGAATGTGGCCCTTTTGACACCTTGATTTTAGCCCAGTGAACACGTTAGACTTCTGACCTCCAGAGCTATTTTAAATCACTATTTGTCGTAATTTACTATGGCAGCAGTAGGAAATTAACACATACATATCCAAAAAGCTCAAAAAACCCCAATGAAAAGAAAATTTAGAAGATCCATACCTCAATATGTCATTGTCAAACTGTAAAAAGCCAAAGACAAAGAGAAAAACATAAAAGTAGCAAGAGAAAATGACTCATCACATACAGGTTCTTATAAAAAATATCTACAATTGACTTTTCATCAGAAACTATCGAGGTCAGAAGGCAGTGGGATAACATGGTCAGTGTGCTGAAAGAAAAAGAATGTCAATCAAGAAATCTGTATAAAACAATAAGAATCCCATCTTCTAAATGAAAGAGAGAGGTATTTCTTCTTCTGAAAGATAGAGTAGAAATGCTTTTCTCTATGCCTTCCTCTAACTAAAGCTCAAAACTCTGGACATTCTATATTAGAAAACATGAGAAAACTCTGAAAGGTGGAGTGAAGAAGGCAGACGAGTCAGGGACCTTGGAACTTTGGATGCATGGAAAAACATGGTAGTGAGTTAGCTGTTTTAATTTTGTCTTATATATCTACATGCTGGCAACCCAGAAATACCAATGGGTACAGACAAAGGGGGAAAACGCCTGCTGTCTTCAGCCACAGGATCAGAAAGGTGGCAGCATAGCAAGACAGAAAAACATTTAGACAATAGCTGCTCTACTTTAGCCAAACACCACAGAAAAAAACAAGCTCCAAATCCACACCTGTTAACAAAGGCCAAGTGGGGAGAATAGATATCCCCAAGTGAGACTATTCCTCACCATATTCCCTGCAGTATCAGTGAAGACCACATGAGGAGCTTGGACATCCACCCCCACTCAACGGTAATGAGACTTTCCCATTCTTGTTGGGGTGGTGTTAGGGAAGGCCAAGTCAGGACTATCACCATCACCCAGCAGTAAAAAGGTCACCCACCACCGTGCCAGGGAAGTTCATGTGAAGAGCAGTTCTGGGGCATGCCTGCCTTTCCCAGCCAGGGTGGTATCAATGGAAGTCTAGTAGGGAGCCAGATTTTCCATTCCCACCAACAGTAATGAAGATTCTCCTCTCCATAACCAGGTGTTAGTGGATGTCAAGTGAGAAATCTGGACTTCCACCCCTACCTGGCAGTAATAAGGCAGTGCCATCCCCCATCCTTTGCGGGGGTGGTGTAAGAGGAGCCTTGTAGAAGCAGAAGGTTTAAAAAAGATCTAGAGTCTCATAATACTCAAATGTCCAGATTTTAATAAAAAGTTCAGTTATACCAAAATATAGGAAGATCTCAATTTTAATGATAAAAGGCAGTCAATAAAAACCAAAACCAACATGACATATATGCTAAAATTTTATGGCAAGTATTTTAAAGTAGCCACCATATAACTGCTTCAACAAATTATAAAATGCTCAAAACAAATGAAAATAATAGTGTCTCAGCAGAGAAAGAGAAGACTTAAAAAAGGTGGAAATTTAAAAAAATATAATAACCAAAATGAAAAAAATCAGTGGATGTGTTAAAAAGCTGAATAAAGGGTACAGAGGAAAGCATCAGAGGACATGTAAATAAAATAATAGAAATTAAATAATCTGTACACCAGAGAGAAAACAGATTGAAAACAAATGAACAGAGACTCAGGGACCTGTGGAATTATAACAAAAGATCTAGCATTCATATTGTAGTCTCAGGGGAGGAGAGAGAGGGTGGGGCTAAAAATATTCAAAGAAATAATAGCTGAAAATCTCTCAAATCTGGCAAAAGACATAAACCTATCAATCAAGATGTGCAAAGCCAAAGTAGGATAAGCTCATTGAAATCCATGCCAAGAGTCAATAGACAAACTACGGAAAACGAAAGAGAAAAAAGTCTTGAAAGCAGTGAAAGAAAATGATATCTTGACAAGAGGGAAAAAGAAAACTTCACTGATAGTGGATTTCTCATCAGAAACCATGGAGGCCAGAAGGAAGTGGTACAACATTTTTCAAGTGCAGAAAGAAAAGAACTGTAACTCTAACTCCAGTGAATAGATCCAGCAAAAATAACCCTTTAGGAATGAAGAAAAAATTAAGATATTCTCAGATGAAGGAACACCAAAAGACTGTCACCGGAAGATCTACTATTAAAAAACTTTTAAAACAACACTTCTCTGAAGAGAAAGGAAATGATGAAAGAAGAAATGTTGAAACATCAGGAAGGAAGAAAGAGCAATGAAAAGAGTATAAATATGGGTAAATACAATAGACTTTCCTTTTCCCCTGGAGTTTTCTAAGTTTTATGATTAAGGCAAAATTATAACACTGTCTCATGTATCACTCAGTGTATGTAGAGCAAATATTTAATAAATGATTTAATAAATGGGAGAGAGTAAAAAGATGTAAAAGGAGGTAAATTTTCTACACATCCCTTGAATTGAAAAAATGTTTATAGAGGTAGACTGTATAATACCTAGAACAGCCACTTAAAAATATTCCATTGAGATAAACTCAAAAGACTACAAATAAATCAAAGTAGAATTTATTAAATGTTCAGGTAACCTCCAGGAAGGCAGGGAAAAAATACTACAGAGAAGTGAACAGCAGAAAGAGCTATTTGTTCTAGACGACAAAAATAAAACAGCAGACCTAAACCCTAATATATCAATAAGCGTATTACATGTAAATGGTCTAAGCATGTCAAGTAGAAGACAGAGATTGGTAGATTTTAAAAAACAAACCACCACCAGCACCACCAAAAACCACAAAATGGCCCACTAACTATATATATCTACAAGAAATTTACATTAAATAAAACAATAAAGGTATACTGAAAGTAAAAGCCTGAAAAAAAGTACAGCAGGAGTGGGTATATTAATATCATATTTAAAAACAGAGAATTGAGAGGAACTTTAGTGATAAGAGTCAATCCACCAAGAAGACCAAGTAATTCTAAATGTATAAACACCAAAAAACAGAGCTTTGAAACGTGTTAAATAAAAGTTGAGGGAGCTAAAAGGAAAAATTGACAAATCAAAAATTATATAAGAATTAAAATTATCAGAGTATATTATCTGATTATAATAGAATCACACTAGAAATCAGTATAGGAAGATAACAGTTAAGTCTCCAAACACTTGGAAACCAAACAACTTTTAAATAGTCCGTGAGTGAAAGAAAGAGCCTTAAGGGAAATTGATAAGTACATTGAATGGGATGAAAATAAAAATACAACATATCAAAATTTTTGGAATATAGCTAACCCAGTGCTGAGAGGAAAATTTAAAGCACTAAATTACATTAAGAAAGAGGAAGAGTTTAGAATTCTTAGTCTAAACTCTCACCACACACAGACGTACACACACACACAAACGCACACACACACATAGAAAAAAGAGAAAAATAAGCAAGGAGAGAAGGAAGGAAAATGATGCAGAAATCAATGAAATTGAAAACAGGAAATAATAGAGAAAATTTATGAAAAAAATCTGGTTCTTTGAAAATATCAGTAAGATTGATAGACATCTGGTAAGACTGACAAAGAGAGATGACACAAATACTGATATCAGTATGAACAGGGGATATCGTTAGAGACCCTGCCAATATCAAATGGATAGTAAGAAAATACAACAAATAATTCTACACATGTAAACTTGACAACTTAGATGAAATGGACCAATTTCTTGAAAAGCACAAACTGTCACAACTTACCTAATATAAAATAGATAATTTGAATAGCCCTATCCATAACTATTAAGAAAATCAACTTTTTCATTTTAAAAATTCAGTATAAGAAACTTCCAGGCCCAGATGGGTCCACTGGAGAATTCCACCAAACTTTTAAAGAATTAACATCAATTTTACATAATCTCTTCCAAAAAATACAAGAAAAAGGAAAACTTCCCAAATCATTTTATGAAGTGAATATTACTCCAATACCAAAATTAGACAAAGACATCAAAAGGAAGGAAAACTATAAATCATTATTATTCATAAGTGTAGGTACAAAAATTCTTAACCAATCAGCATATAGAATTCAGCAATATGTAATAAGAATTATACACCACTACCATATGGGATTTATTCCAGGAATGCAAGACTGGTTCAATATTAAGAACTAATTAATGTGATTTGGCATATTAATAGGCTAAAGAAGAAAAGTCACATGATTATATTAATTAATTGTATTACATCATTTTTTGTGTTACTGTAAATAAATGCCTGAGGCTGGGTAATTTATAAAGAAGAGAGGTTTAATTGGATCATAGCTCTGTAGTCTGTACCTGAAGCATAGTACTGGCATCTGCTTCTGGTGAGGGCTTCAGGAAGCTTCCAATCACAGTGAAAGAAAAAGGGGGAGCCAGTACATCATGTGATGAGAGTGGGAGCAAGAGAGAGAGACAGGTAGTGCCACACACTTTTAAACAACCAGATCTCTTGTGAACTCACCCACTATCATGAGGATAGCCCAAGCCATTCATGAAGGATGTGCCCCCATGACCCAAACACCTCCCAGCAGGGCCCACCTCCAACCCTGGGGATTACATTTCACCATAAGATTTGGAGGGGCCAAACATCCGAATGGTATTATCAATGCAGAAAAAGCATTTGACGAAATCCAATACACAACCATGGCAAAACTCTTAGAAAAATAGGAATAGAGGGGGTTGTTCTCAACTTGATAAAGGGAGTCTGCAAGAAAAACCCACATCTAACATTGCATTTAGTGGTAAAAGATCAGGAACAAGACAAGGATGTCTGCTCTGACTACTCTTAATTCAGTGTAGTGCTGTAAGTTCTAGGCAGTGCAATAAGGCAGGAAAATTTTTTAAAGGCAGGTAGATCAGGAAAAAAGAAATAAAACTGTTCTTATTTGCAGATGATATAATGGTCTATGTGGAAAATGCTAAGATGCCTACAAAAAAAATCATAGAACCAGTAAATGAGTACAGCAAGGTCACAGGTTAGCAAACAAAATATCAACTGTACATGTATATTCTATTAATGAGAACGTGTGAAGTAGGAGACAGGACTTGATTTTGGAGGTGGGATTCAACTCTGGAAGTGGGGCTCAGACACCAGAGCAAATTGAGGACTAACTAAAACAGGGATGGGGTGGGAGCACCTTCCCCTAAGACATGCCCACCAGTGTGCCACCTGTTTACCAGTGGCATGGGAACACCTGGAAGTTACCACCATTTTTCTTAAAAATTTTCATAATCTGCCTAATTTGCATATAATTAAAAGTGGATATAAATGTGATGGCAGAACTGCCCTGAGCTACTACTCAGGGCTCACTGCCTGTTGGGCAGCCCTGCCCTGCAAGGAGTAGTACCTCTACTGCTGGTGTACACTGCTGCTTCAATAAAAATTGATGCCTGACACCACCAGCTTGCCCTTGAATTATTTCCAGGGTTAAGCTAAGAACCCTCCTGGGCTAAGCCCCAGTTGTGGGGCTCAGCTATCTTGCATCATGTGGAAACCAAAAATTTTAAATACAATACCATTTACAATTGTTAAAAAAAATGCTTAGGTATAAATGTAATGGGACATACACACAACTTGCACACTGAAAACTACAAAATGCTCATGAAAGAAATCAAAGAAGATCTAAAAATAAGTGGAAGAGCATATGTGTTCATGGATTGATTAATATAGTCATATCAGTTCTCTCCAAATTGATATTTACAGGTTTAATACATTTTCCATCAAAATCCCAGTAAGATTTTTTAACAGATATAGACAAGATTATTCCAAAATTTAAATGAAAAGGTAAAGGAACTAGAATAGCTAAAGCAATTATGTTTTAAAAAAATAAAATGGGAAAAAGTACTGTACCTTACAACAAGACTGTGTAGTATTAGTGTAAGGATAAGACACTTGGATCAATGGAACAGAATAAACAACCTAGAAGTAGACTCAATGCGGCATGGGTAACTAATTTAAGATGAAAGTGTAAAATCAATTTAGTCTTTCAAATAAATGGTGATGAAGAATTTAGATATCCATATTAAAAAAACTAAACCTCAACCTTACAGTTTATACTAAAATTAACTCAAAATGCATCATATATTTAAACTTAAACCATAAAACTATAAAACTTTTATGGAAAAGCATAGGAGTAAATTTTGTGGACCAGTGATTTGGTGAACACATTTTAGACATAATGCCAAAGGCTTGATCCATAAAAGGAAAAAAATAGTAAATTGACATCACCAAAATTTAAAACTTTTTCTCTGTGGAAGATCAGAGGACAAAAAAACAAGATACAGATCTGGAGAAAATATTTTCAAACCATATATCTGACAGAGGACTCATCTAGAATTATAAAGAACTCTCAAACTTAACAATAAAAAATCAAATTAGAAAATTGTCAATATACACAAGGAGACATTTCATAAAATAAGTTATATAGATAACAATGATATTCAGTATCACTAGCCATTAGGGAAAAGCAACAGAAGACCATGATGAGATACAACATAATCATTAGAATAGCTCAAATAAAGATAAATAGTACTAAATATTGGCAAGGACATGGAGAAACTGGATCTCTGTCACAATGCTAATGGGAATATAAAATAATACAAGTACTCTGGGAAATAGTTTGATAGTTTCTTTACAAACTAAATGTGCATCTGCTATACAATCCATCAACTTTTCACCAGGCCATTTATCCCTGAGAAATAAATGTTGACATCCATACTAAAGCTTGTACATGATTGTTCAGATGAGCATTATTACATATAATAAATTATATAGTGGTATATAAGCTATATTTTATATAACTATATATATATAACATTTTATTATATAGCCCCAAACTGGAAACAATCAGTATGTCCTCCAGTTAATGAATAGTTAAACAAACTATGGTACATCCATCATGGAATACTACTCAGCAATAACAAATAATGAACTACCAGCAGTCCTGCCCTATAAGAAATACTAAAGGGTATTACCTCAGGCTTGAAAGAAAGAACATTAGAGAGTAATCCAAAAGTACATGAAAAAATTAAAGAACACAAGTAAAAGTAATTAAGTGAAGTAAATATAAAAGTCATTACCAACTTATATTTTAAATTTTTCTTCTCTTAACTGATTTTAAAGACTACTGTTTAAAATAATACTTATGGCTGGGCGCAGTGGCTCACATCTGTAATCCCAGCACTTTGGGAGGCCAAGGCAGATGGATCACCTGAGGTGAGGAGTTCAAGACCAGCCTGGCCAACATGGTGAAACCCCATCTCTACTAAAAATACAAAAATTAGCCAGGCGGAGTGGTGTGCACCTGTAATCCCACCTACTTGGGAGGCTGAGGCAGAAGAATCGCTTGAACCCAGGAGGCGGAGGTTGCAGTGAGCCGAGATCGTGTCACTGCACTCCAGCCTGGGTGACAAAGTAAGCCTCCATCCCCACTGCCCAAAAAAAAATCAAATAAAAAAATGTTTTAAAGATAAAATAATACTTACAAATTTGTGTTAATGAGTTTATAATGGGAAGGGAGTTATATAGAAGCAAAGTTTTTATAAACTACTGGAATTAATATTAATCTGAACCTTTTAGGTTTAGATTAAGACACAGATTTCATGCAATACCCATTGCAAACACTTAAAAATACTTTAAAATATATAGTAGAAAAACATTAGTATATGGGAAATCTCTGTACCTTCTGTACAATTTTGCTGTAAACCTAAAAATGCTCTAAAAAATAAAGTCTATTTTTATTTATTTATTTCAGGATGGAGTCTTATTCTGTCACCCAGGCTGGAGTGCAGTGGCATGATCTCGGCGCACTGCAATCTCTGCCTCCCGGGTTTAAGTGATTCTCCTACCTCAGCCTCCTGAGCAGCTGGCATTACAGGCATGTGCTGCCGTGCCTGGCTAACTTTTATATTTTTAGTAGAGACAGGATTTTGCCATGTTGGCCAAGCTGGTCTCAAACTACTGGCCTCAAGAAATCTGCCTGCCTTGGCCGGGCACGGTGGCTCACGCCTGTAATCCCAGCACTTTGGGAGGCCAAGGCGGGCGGATCACGAGGTCAGGAGATCGAGACCATCCCGGCTAAAACGGTGAAACCCCGTCTCTACTAAAAATACAAAAAATTAGCCGGGCGTAGTGGGGCGGGCGCCTGTAGTCCCAGCTACTTGGGAGGCTGAGGCAGGAGAATGGCGTGAACCCGGGAGGCGGAGCTTGCAGTGAGCCGAGATCCCGCCACTGCACTCCAGCCTGGGCGACAGAGCGAGACTCCGTCTACAAAAAAAAAAAAAAAAAAAAAAAAAAAGAAATCTGCCTGCCTTGGCCTCCCAAAGTGCTGGGATTACAGGGGTGAGCCACCACACCCGGCTTAAAGTCTGTGTTTAAACATGAGTCACCAAAACAATAAAAAACTAATAAGGGAGTTTAAATGCTACAATTGAAAATCTCTATATAACATAAAAGATAGCAGTAGTAGAGGAACAAAAATACATAAAATATATAGAAAACAAATTGCAAAACAGCAGATGTAACTCCTATTATTTCAATAACTACATTAAACGTAGGTGGATTAAACACTACAAATAAAAGGCAGGGATTCAGATTGGATTAAAAAGCAGGATCCAGGCCAGGCACAGTGGCTCACGCCTGTAATCCCAGCACTTTGGGAGGCCAAGTCAGGCAGATCACCTGAGGTGAGGAGTTTGAGACCAGCCTGGCCAACATGGTGAAACCCTGTCTCTACTAAAAATACAAAAATTAGCTGGGCATGATAGTGGGTGCCTGTAATTTCAGCTACTTGGGAGGCTGAGGCAGGAGAAATCAGTTGAACCCAGGAGGCAGAGGCTGCAGTGAGCCGAGATCATGCCACTGCACTCCAGCCTGGGTGACAGTGAGACTCCACCTCAAAAAAAAAAAAGGCAGGATCCAATGATATGATAAGTGTTTCTTTAAAAGACATACTTTCAATTCAAAAATACAAATACATTGAAAGTAAAAGGATGGAAAATATACACTGTGCAAGCAGTAAAGGAGCTGGAATGACCATATTAATATCAGAAAAAAATAGACTTTGAGACAAAAAAGCTTACTTCGGACAAAGAGGGAGATTTTGTAATGACATAAAGGTCAATTCAGAAGGAGGCTTTAATTATTACAAACATATATGCATTTAAGAACAAAGATCCAAAGATATGAAACAAAAACTGACAAAATTGAAGGGTGAAATAGATAATACAATAATAATTGGATGTTTCAATACTCCACTGTCAATAATGGATAGAATAGACAGAAAACCAGCAAAGATATAAAAGACTTTAAGACACTATTAACCAACTTCATCTAACAGACCTCTATCAAATACTCCATCCAACAGTAGAATACACATTCTTTTCAAGCACATGTGGAATATTCTCCAGCATAGATCACATACTGGACCACAAAGCAATAATGAATTTAAAGGGTTTATTTATTTTTATTTTAAAAAAAATTTCAGCATTTACTTTAGATTCAAGGGGTACATGTGCAGGTTTGTTACACGGGCATATTCTATGATGCTGAGGTTTGGTGTATGATTGATCTCATCACTCCAGCCTGGGTGACAAAGTAAGCCTCCATCCCCACTGCTCCCCCCCCAAAAAAAAAATCAAATAAAAAATGTTTTAAAGATAAAACAATACTTACAAATTTGTGTTAATGAGTTTATAATGGGAATTAAGTTGATATTAATCTGAACTTTTTAGATTTAGATTAAGACACAGATTTCATGCAATACCCATAGCAAACACTCAGGTAATGACCATAGTATCCGATAGTTTTTCAACTCTTGCCTCCCTTCTTACCTCCCGACTGTAGTAGTCTCCAGTGTCTATTATTCCCATCTTTATGTCCATGAGTCCCAGTGTTTAGTGCTCACTTAGAACATGCAGTGTTTGGTCTTCTGTTTCTGTGTTAATTCACTTAGGATGATGACCTACAGTTGCATCCTTTTTGCTGCTAAGGACAGGATTTCATTCTTTTTTATGGCTGTGTAGTATTCCGTGGTGTGTATGTACCATATTTTTTTTATCCAATCCTCCACGGATGGGTACCTACGTTGATTCCGTGTCTTTGCTATTGTAAAGTGATGTGACGAACATCCGAGTGCATGTGTCTTTTTTTTGTAGAATGATTTATTTTCTTTTGGGTATATAACCAGTAATGGGATTGCTGGGTTAAGTGGTCGTTTTTTGTTTTTTGTTTTTTTTTAAGTTTTTTGAGAAATCTTCAAACTGCTTTTCACAGAGGACAAACTAATTTACATTCCCACCAACAGTGTATAAGCATCCTCTTTTCTCCACAGCCTCACCAGCATTTGTTACTTTTTGGCTTTTTAATAATAGCCATTCTGACTAGTGTGAGATGGTACCTTGTTGTGGTTTTGATTTGCATTTCTCTGATGATTACTGATGTTGAGCATTTTTTCATATGTTTTTTGGCCACTTTTATGTCTTCTTTTGAGAAGTATCTGTTCATATCCTTTGCCCACTATTTAATGGAGTTTTTTCTTTTTTGCTGGTTGAGTTGTTGAGGTATGAAATTCTTTTCTCAGCTTGGTTTGCTCTGTTGTTAAGGCTTTCCATTGTATTTTGAAATTCCTGTAGTGAATTTTTCAATTTCAGAGGCTCAGTTTGATTCTTTTTTAAAATAGCTATGTTGTCTTTCAACTCTTGGATCATTTTACTGCCTTTCTTAGTTTGGGTTTCAACTTTCTCTTGAATCTCATTGAGCTTCCTTGTTATTCAGATTCTAAATTCTATGTCTGTCATTTCAGAAATGTCAGTCTGGTTAGGACACGTTGTTGGGGAGCTAGGGCGATACTTTGTAGGTAAGGAAACACTCTGACTTTTTGAATTGCTGGAGTTCTTGCACTGATTCCTTCTCATCTGAGAGGGCTGGTGTCTCTTTGTCTTTTTAAAGTTGCTGTTGATTGAGTGGGGCTTTTTGTTTTTATATTCTTTTTTTCCCCTTGAGGTTTTGACTGTGGTGTATGTTGTGTATAGTCGATTGGCTTCATTTCTGGGTGCTTTCAAAGGGTAAAGGGTCTGTGGGCATTCCTTAATTGTGGCTAGTTTCCTGCACTGGGTTTCACAGGCTTTGCCTGCCCAACAAATTTACTTTTGGTTGGTGGTGTAATTCATGTCATGATCCAGTAGATGGCACTTAAGAGTAAGAGCCAGCAGATATGCTGTTAGCTATGTGCATTAGCAGCAGTGCTTAGGGGAAGAGGGAGAGGGGAGGGCAAGAGATGTCTCCCTCGTGGTATCTGCTCCTGGGCCTTGAGGGACCCCCCTCCAATCACTAGCACTGTGTCTATGTTCCTTAGTTCCAGTGGGGGTCCTGGTGGCCTGCACTCCCACCTCCGTTAGGGGCAGTCAGATCCACAGGTTGGGTCAACAAGAGACCCACCACTCCAGGGAACCTGCTGATTCTCTGTGTTTGGCAGAGCCAGAGAGGGTTGTGGGCTATGTCTGCGTTGGCCTGGTGATGCAGTGGATCATGGGCGGAGGATCCCTGGGCAGGGTGGTAGTGCCACGAGTGTGCAGCTGGTGTGGCGTCCACGGCCTGGGTTTTTTATTTTTGCCCAGGAGATGGCTATGGGGTCTACTGAGCTTGCAGTCCCCCAACTGAGCCTCCCTCAGATGTTTGCCCCAGGAGGAGGCCTGACCAGCTAGATTTGTCTCAAGCATTCTGCATCCAGATCGCTGGGTTGTTCCAGGTGTTCCAAGCCTTGGGGCCCTCTTGGGCAGAAGCTGCAGCTGGTCAACAGGCTAGGCTCTTCCCAGGCCAGCTTTGCATAGGAAGAGATGCTCAAGTCCCACGCCAGCACATGCCCACAAACTCACGCCTCACTCTTCTCAGTGTTCTGAGAGTGGAGGCTTTTCCCTTGCTTGAGGTCAGGTCACAGATCTCAGCTTGATGCCCCTGGGCAGTGTGCACAATCCCTGGGGGTTGGGGACCAGGCCCATGGCTTTGCCCTCTGGCCTCTTGGGGTTGAGCACTGGCTGTGTTCCGGGGAGCCAAACTGCTGCCAGGCGATTGGCAAAAATACTCAGGTGGAGCAGTGGAGGCTGGAGGCTGTGCTCTGTGCTCCCTGTTGCAGGAGCAGCCAGGCATGTGGCCTTGGGAGGAGCTGGTGTACAAGGGCCATGTGTATCAGATGTGCCCCTGTCCCACGGGAAAGGTAGCTCTGCTCTCTCCCAGCCCGGCAGTCAGCAGGGGCTAGAGCCACACAGAACAAAATGGAGAGCCTTGGGGAATGGGAGCCTATGCTCACATTTTTGCTGTAGCTCTGGACTCCATGCAGGTTCCAGTTCTGCTTCAAGGCAGTTTCCTCTATCAGTTCAAATGCCTGTGGGGGTCATGGGATCTCTTGTAGTCTGGATCCCAGAGGTGTGTGGCGGGAGTGTGGTGCCTGGGAGTTCCTTCACTCACTGCTTCCCTAGGACCTGCTCAGGATCAGGAGCTGGTCTTGTCACTCTGAGTGACTCCATGCAGGCGCCTAGCTTCCTCCTTCTTCACCCTCAGTGTCTCTGTCACCTCTCTATCAACTTTTTGTGTTTTCTCTCAAATGATCTGTTTGAACTATGATGTTTTACTTGAAATCCTGGATTCTCTTTGTGGGAGAGGCATTTCCTGGCTGTGTCTAGTCAGCCATTTTGTCCCTTTCCATGAAAGTATTTAAATAATACAAAGTATGTTCCCCAGCCACAATGGAATTAAATTAGAAACCAACAACAAAATGAAATTTGGAAACTCCACAAATATTTGGAAATTAAGCAATATATTTCTGAATGAATTATATTATGAATGAATCAGGAGAAATTACCAAAAATTTAGAAAGTATTTTAAATTGTATCACTATGAAAACCACACATATTACAATTTATGGGATGCAGCTAAAGCAACACAGAGAAAAATTCATATGACTTTAAATGCCTATATTAGAAAAGAAAAAGAATATTTCAAATTAAATGAAAAGCATCATAAGGGAATATTATGAGGAACTTTATGCCAACAAATTAGACAACTTAGGTGAAATAGTCAAATTCTTAAAAAACCCCATAAACTACCAAAACTAACTCAAGAAGAAATGAAACATCTGAATAGATCCAAAATCTGTAAAGAAATTTGTAGTTAAAACCTTCTCACAAATACAAACTCAGACTTACATGACTTTGCAAGTGAATTCCATCAAACACTTAACAAAGACATAAGACTGCTGCTCCACAAGCTCTTCCAGGAAATAGAGGCAGAAGGAACAGTTTCCAACTCATTCTATGAGGCCATATTATCCTCATACCAAAGTAAGATAAGCATATTACAAGAAAAGAAAACTATAGACCAACATCTCTTCTGAATATAAATGGAAATATTAGAAAATGAAATCTAAGAATATGAAAAAGAATTATACACCATGACTAGGTAAGATGCATCCCAGGAGTGCAACGCTGTTTAACATCCAAAAAACAATTAATGAAATACATCATATTAAAATAATATAGGACAAAAACCACATGATAATTTCAATATATGCAGAAAAATATTTGACAAAATTCAATACCTATTTATGATTTTAAAAAATCTCAAAAGACTTGGAATAAAAGATAGCTTTCTCAGTCTGGTGAAAGCCATCTACAAAAAAACCTATGGCAAACATCAGTCTTAATGATAAAAGGCTGAAGACTTTCCATCTAAGATTGGGTAAAAGGCAAGGATGTTCACTCTAACCTCTTCGATTCATTCTAACCTCTATGGGAGGTTGTAGCCCATGCAAAAAGAAAATAAAAGGAAAGAAAAGACATATGGATCAAAAGGAAAAAAAAAACAATTATACCTATGTGCAGATGACACAGTGGTCCATGTAGAAAACCCTAGGGAGTCTACGCAAGAAACAACAATAACAACAAAACAAATCCTAGAATTAATAAGGGAATTTAGCAAGGTCACAAGATATGTGATCAATATACAAAAATCAGTTGTATTTCTGTCTACCTGCTATAAACAATCTGAAAAGGGAATTATGAATTTATAAAAGCATTAAAAAGAATACCACATGTAGGAATACATTTAATAGACGGTATGCAAGTCTTGTACATGGAAAGTTTCAAAACATTGTAGAGTCAGCATCATGCAATATACCTTCGTATAATAACAAACCTGCACATGTACTTCCTGATTCTAAAATAAAAGTTGAAAAAAGAAAAAAAAAGACCTTGTAGAGATAATTTTTTAACTCTAAGTAAATGTACAAACTTTCAATGTTTTTGGATTGGAAAACTCAATATTGTTTAAGATGGCAATTTTTTCCAAATTGATCTATGGGTTTGGTGCCATTCAAAATTCCAGTAGATTTTGTGTGGAGACAAACAAGCAGATTCTAAAAATTCTGTGAAAACTCAAAAGACTCAGAATAGCAGAAACTATTTTAAAAAAACAAAGCTGGGAATTTGTTCATGTATAGGAAGACTCCATATTAACATGTTACTTATCTCCAAATTGTTCTATAGATTCTATATAATACCATTCAAAATAATAGCAGGGTTTTTCTCTTTTTTTAAAAAAAGATGACAATTTGATACTAAAATTTATGTGGAAATTTGAAAAACCTAGAATAGCTAATGAAATTTCTGTGTACTACATAGTCTTGTAATCAATCATAGACCTAAATATAAAATCTAAAACTATTAAAGTTCTACAAAAATATAGGAGAAATTTTAATGACATTGGTGAGGCAAAGATTTCATAGATAAGACACTAAAAGCATGAGATAGAAAATACTCATATATTTGCCATCATCAAAATTTAAAAACTTTTGCTCTTCAAGAAGATACTCTAATGGAAGTGAAAAGCAAAGCCACAGATTGGGAGAAAATATCTGCTAACAGATATCCAAAAAAGGACTTGTATCTAGTACAAAAAAATGTACAGTTCAACTATAAGACAAACAACCAAATTTAAAAATAGTTAAATTTGAACAGACATTTCACCAAAGAAGATGTATAAGTAGCAAATAAGTATATGAAATATGCTCAACATCATTATTCATTAGGGTCACACAAATTAAAATAAGATACCAGTAAACTTCCTCTAGAATGGCTAAAATTTAAAGGGCCAAACCAAGTGTTGCCAAAGATATGGAACAACTGAAACTTTCATATGTTGTTATTAGGAATGTAAAATAACAAATCTCTTTAGAAAACAGTTTGGCGGCAGCTTAAAAAGTTAAACACATACCTACCATATGACCTAGTAAACCCACTTGTAGGTTCATTGCATCACTGTTCACAATAGCAAATACATGGAATCAACCAAAATGCCCATTAATGATAGACTGGATAAAGAAAATGTGGTACATATATACCATGGGATACTATGTAGCCATAAACAGGAATGAGATCATTTCCTTTGCAGGGACATGGATGGAACTGGAAGCCATTATGCCCAGCAAACTAACACAGGAACAGAAAACCAAATACCATTTGTTCTCACTTATGAGTGGAAGCTGAACAGTGAGAACACATGGACACATAGAGGGGAACAATATACACTGGGGCTTGTAGGGCAGTGATGGGGAAGGTGGAGGGAAAGCATCAGGAAAAATAGCTCATGCATGCTGGACTTAATACCTAGGTGATGGTTTGATAGGTGCAGCAAACCACCATGGCACATGTTTACCTATGTACATAACAAACCTCCACATCCTGCACATGTACCCCAGAACTTTAAAAAAAAATAAAAGTGAGTCAAGGAAGGAAAATCAGGCATCAAAGACACATCTTCACAAGTTTACATAGGCCTGATCATCCATATGTAAAAGGTGTAGCAAACCCCTAGGAAGCTACACACCAACTGCAACACAAGCTGCTCAACATTAGTCTGGATTTTCTCTTTCCAAAGGTTTTCAGAGATTACAGCCCTTTTTTTTTTGAAGTATTGGGAAAAGATGATTTCTTGTAAATGGATGATTTTTGGAAACATCCCAAAGTTATTTGAAATAAGCTGTTTTTGGAACAAATTCATTGAAGTACATGAGCAGTAAGTTGGGTAGTACCATCTGGGCATATATGGGTCTGAGACTTGTATTATTGTATGGCTAGGAAGTTGGCTTGAAGGGAAACAGGGCCAGAGCTTGGCTTGTCTTAGGACCTCCTGACTGAGATTGTAGTTCCACTCCTTCACACGATCTTTGTCCCACAGTGACCCAGTTGCTGGGTGAATTTTCTGAGAAGGGATGGGTGTTTCATGATTTCCTTCGTTGGAGTGAGTAATTGAAAGTGGAGAGTGGTATGTTAGTGCTTCCTTGAAGGATGTAATTAGGTAATATCATGCAAGAAGGAAACTGTCATAAAGCTAGTAAAATGCAAATGAGAAGGAACTGCAGCATTGCTCATCTGCATCATCTCCTTTGCAGAATTTAAGATGAAACAATAGAGAAAGAACCAAGAAGTTACATACATTCATCAGAATTGCTGGAGAGTCCTGACCTCTGGCCATCGATCAAAGGGAAGCGTTCACTACTGAAGGTTTGTCTTCACTGTACTGGGTATTCAACTTCCTTGAAATTAAAAGGAAGAAGGATAAAAAGTGGTATGCTGAATGGATTAAAGGTAATATTTTGATTATATCAATAGTTTTCAAACTTTTATAACTCATGAGCTGTTTGGGAATATTTGAGCATATGGTCAATCCACATCTGAATTATCCTGCCCACAAAAATGTCAAGGAAATACTTCTACTGCCCCTTCTGAAGCCATCTTAATTCCAGGAGTTGAATCAATTTCAAAGTCATTGATAACTGCATCAGCCAAAATTTGTCCAAATGTTTTGAAATGCATTTCTATTTCCTGTCACACCTACCTCTTTGGCTAATGCATTCATTTTATGAGTTTCAAAAATTACCATCTCCCTGTCCCAGGTCTTTAAAGTTGTTGAATAAGCAAATCTCTGTTCACTTTATTTGTACTATTTATGGTTATATAGATTTAATTACTTCTAATTAGATTTCCATATTGGAAGTACAAATCTAACCTTAAACAAAAAATTCTTTTTATAATTCTCAATATCTCCAATTATTTTGAGCTTGTGCTCTCTGGATCTTTTCAAGTTATGGCAAACTTGGTTTTGAGGCATAGCAGCAAGAACTACATAAATCTTTTCAAACAGAGATATACCAGTATAAAGCTTGCTTTCCAGTATAGTCCTTAATGATTTTCTTCATTTTCTAGGTCTTTTTGCCTGATGCAGAATATTGGTACATATGCTGGGGTCAACATTTAATGACTCTGGGTCTTTTTCTTGAGCAGAATCTAAGGGATAGTCTTTCATTTTATAGATGTGTTTTAGATTACTCATAAATTCATTACTTTTTCCTCACACACATTATAACATCTCTTAAGGCTCTGCCCATTGACACGAATCTCAGGATTATTCTATAATGTCTCTCTTCTCTGGGGTGTCTTCTTTCTGGGGAGATTTGTATATCTTGGAGTCTGAGACTTCACTATGTACTCCTTCCTTATCATCATTTATAAACCTATTCAACAGACTCTGCCCCAGAATGGATTCTTGAGCAATCTTGAATAATTACACGAGTATCCAAAGATACTGATTTTAGGAGAACAAGGTTGTTGGGTACAGGTAGTTAATTATTCCTAAAACTGAATATGTCCAATACCTATGTCTTGAGAAGCTCTAAGAGAGTAACAGAAGAGCAACAATGGAATGTGACAATTGCCTGCACTGTCTTTCTAGGTTGAAAATCCAAGAAATTTACATGCACTGAATTTTATTTCCTTTATTTGCCTATTTATTCACACCAAGAATTCAGGGTCCATGTTGCTGTAGTGGAAATTGGTTATTTCTGTTTTAGTCTTGAATTGTCTAATTTTGTTCAACTTGCCTGGTACGGAGGGGAGATTCACCAGTGGGCCTCACCTGTAAGTGAGGGTCACATCTGTAATTCTCTGATCTCGTGATGCAGAAGTAGGCCACATCTTCCATTTTCATCCTTGGATTCCTGTGGAATTTACAGATGCACAGATAGAAGTCATTTAGTCTTAGATAGATACCTTCATCTGCTTTGTCAATTGATGATGAATAAGACTGAGTTGAATGTATTTAGAATGTCTTGGCTATAAATTCCTCCATATAGCTTAACCCACTGTTTCCTGCAGTATGCACCCCTTTACCAAGAGAGAGAAAGAGAGAAAGAATTTCATGTTTCTGTGGGTTTTAGAAGGCTATAGGAAGGGATTTTTGTTTGCTCATTTTCAGAACTTATTAATAGACAGTTATTGAATACCTACCTTGGGCACAGAAATAATCACATTCTCTCCTGAGAATTTTCAACCCACAGCCAAGTACAGGTGTGGAAATTTGATGATAGAATTAATACCAATGGAAAAAGGGGCCCACAGAACTGAAAAAGTGGCCACTGGTGATGACAGTGACCTGGGAGGGAGCGAGGCAACCTAGAGAGACAATGTGGGGAATCATCACGTTCCATTACAGCGCCCTTCTCTTACTCTCTTGGAGCTTCTCAAGCCACAGGTGTCAGTCATATTGGTTTTAGAGATTATTAGTAACTACCCAAACCCAACAATTTTGTTTTCCTGAAACTAGAAATGTCCTGTTTCCAACTTTATATTTTCATCAACTTCTTTTTCTATGATGTGTGAGAAACTAGAATATTCAGTGTGCTTTCTTGAATACCAGCCTTGTTTCAACTCTTTAATGAGTGGACTATTCTCTGAAGCTGGCCCTCAGTCTTACTCTGGGTTCATCAACCAAGGTCAAGATCTGTCCACATGCACGTAACAGGAGCACTTTTCCGAGAATTGTAAAGGAGCCACGGTGCAAAGCCTTCTGGACCTGGGTCTCATGTGAAAACTCAGCAATGAGCCTCCTGGCCTGAGATGAGCCTGCGGAGCACCTTGTTACAGCACGCATATGATGTATATAAAAAATGAACACATGTATTCCAATTACACTGATTTGATCTTTACAAACTATATGGATGTATTAAATTGTCACATGTACCCTCAAAATATGTACATCTATTATGTATCAATAAAATAATTAACATATTTTTAACTTGTTTTTGGTAGAGCCGTAACATCTGGGGAGCAATTAATTGCAGAAGCAATTAATCTGGCTATTGACTGATATTTACTCAGGACAAGGAAAACTATCATTACTAAGTAAGATGTGCAAGAAAGATTAATTCACAGTAAGCAAGATTTTTGTAGCTTGTACTGCTATAAATTTGTATTACTGACTGACATTGGGACCATCTACATGTAAATCCTACAAATCAGGACAGAACAGTGACCTCCTCAAGTGCTCATCATACTTATCTCAGTTTCCAGAAGTCAGCAATCAATCTGAAAAGGTAACTAAAATGGCACTTATAAGAACCATAGATTGGTAAAGTTAATTATCCATATTTGTTAATAATACAAATAATAGTTAATATTTATAATGCCCCTACCATGTACCAGGCTTCATGCTAAGTACTTTATATTTTTAAATTTTTATTTCAATAGCTCTTGGGGTACAAGTGGTTTTTTGTGGCATGGATGAATTATACGGTGGTGAATTTGAAGATTTTAGTGCACCTGTCACCCAAGTAGTGTACATTGTACCTAATGGGTAGTTTTTTTTATCCTGAGAACCTCTTCCAACCTCCCACTTCTGATTCTCCAAAGTCCATTATATCACTCTGTATGCCTTTGTGTACTCATATATGCTTTATATCACTTAATCCTAACAACAATACTATGAGGTAGATACTATTATTTTCCCCAATATATAGTGATGCACCACATAGTTTCAGTCAGTGATGGACTGCATTTAAGACAGTAGTCCCATAAGATTATAGTGGAGCTGAGAAGTTTCTATCATCTGTAATGTTGTAGCCATCATAATGTTGTAGCACAACCCATTACTCATGTTTGTGGTGATGATATAAACAAATCTCCTGCATTGCCAGTCACATAAAAGCATAACACATACAATTATGAACAGTACCTAATACTTGATAATGGTAACAAATGACTATGTTACTGCTTTATATATAATATTTACTATACTATAGTTTTTTACTGTTATTTTAGAGTGTACTCCTTTTACTTATGAAAAAAAGGTCACTGTGGCCGGGCGCAGTGGCTCATACCTGTAATCCCAGCACTTTGGGAGGCCGAGGCAGGTGGATCACGGGGTCAGGAGTTCAAGACCAGCCTGGCCAAGATGGTGAAACCCCATCTCTAATAAAAATACAAAAATTAGCCAGGCATGGTGGCGTGTGCCTATAATCCCAGCTACTCGGGAGGCTGAAGAAGAGAATTGCTTGAACCCGGGAGGTGGAGGTTGCAGTGAGCCGAAGTCATGCCACTGCACTCCAGCCTGGGCGACAGAGCAAGACTCCGTTTACAAAAAAAAAAAAAGAAAAGAAAAAAGGTTATTGTAACACAGCTTCAGGCAGGTCCTTCAGGAGGTATTTCAGAAGAAGGCATTGTTATTCTAGGAGATGACAGCTACATGCGTGTTATTGCCCCTGAAGACCTCCCAGTGGGACAAGATACGTTCTGTGTCTTAGTTTTCAACAAAAAATTTTAAAAAGTAAAAAATAAAAATAAAAAATTTCTAAAATAGAAAAAAACTTGTAGAATAAGGATATAAATAAAAATTTTTGTAGAGCCATATTGCATGTTCAGCTATGTTATTACAGAAAAGCCAACAAGTTAAAAAATTAAAATTTATAAAGTAAAAAAGATACAGTAAGATAAGTTTAATTTATTATTGAAGAAAAAAATTTTAATAAATTTAGTGGAGCTCAAGTATACAGTATTTACGAAGTCTACAATAGTGTACAGTAATGTACTAGGCCTTCACATTCATTCACCACTCACTCAGGGACCCACCCAGAGCAACTTGCAGTCCTGTAAGTTCTATTTATAGTAAGTGCCCTATACAGGTGAATTTTAATTTTAAATACCATATTATTACTGTACCTTTTCTATGTTTAGATATGTTTAGATATACCAATGCTATTGTGTCATAACTGCCTATAGTATTCATAACAGTGACATGCTGTACAGGGTTGTAGCCTAGAAGCAACAGATGATATCATATAGCGTAGGTGTGTAGTAGGCCATACCTTCTGGGTTTGTGTGATTATACTCTATGATGTTATCATAGCGCACAATCGCCTAACAATGCATTTCTCAGAATCATCCCTGTTGTTAAGAAATGCAGGGCTGTATATAGATAAGGAAATTGAGGATCAAAGAATTTAAAGAACTTCATAAGAGCACACAACTAGTAAGTGGTAAAGCCAACATTCAAATTTAGTTCTAAGTGTCTTCTAGGCCTAAGGTTTTCTAGGTCCAATTGCATCAAGTAAGAAAGAGGAGGAGCAGAAGGAGGAAGAGAACTGACTAGAATTCAGTACAATTGAACCAGAAACTTTGAATCAGGTTGTGCAAAATGTCAAAAGCTGTGACTTTTTGTAAGAAAGCAATCAAGTCTCCTCTGACTTTCCTTAGGGCATCACCAGTTTTCGAGTTGTCTTGAGTTGCCTCTTCTATAAAAGGGTTCCCTATTTAAGTTTCCTGTCAACATGTTTGTGGCATAATAAGAAATATATTTGATATTTGTCCCAGATTCCTAGCACAGAGCTCCTAAAACCCCGGAATTTCCTGAGTGATAGAAATGTCTTTTGTTACTCATAATGACGTAGTTTTGATCATACCTGAGTTTATGCTAATAAGATGACTTAGGTGGGGTCATAGAGTTTACGCGAAAAAGATAGACTCAGGATGGGAATGGTCGTTAGAAAGATTAAGAAATTAGAAGGTTGAAATTTTCACCTCCATCTACCAACCTCCTGAAAGTAGGTGGTGGAGCTAATGATCAAGCTCTATAAAAACTCTTGACGAATGAGACTTGATGAGCTTCTGCATTGGTCAACTCATCAAGGTGCTCAGGGGTGGCACACTGGAGAAGCTCCCCTGCATACCTTGCCCTATGATCTCTTCCATCTAGCTGTTCCTGAGTTGTATTCTTTATAATATATTGGTTAACATAATATACTAGTTAACATATATAACTCATATAACAAAATTGAGAAAAGAAGTATTTTTTAAAAAGACAATGAAAACACCAAACCACCACAATCACCTCACCCCCCACCAAAGAAATACAATAAAGAGTTTCCCTGAGTTCTGTGAGCTATTCTAGCAAATTATTGAACCCAAGGAGGGGATTGTGGGAACTCCTGAATTATAGCTAGGCTTGAGATTGGCGTCTGAAGTGGGGGTAGATTTGTGGGACAGCCCTTAACTTGTGAGATCTGATGCTAACTCCAGGTAGAGAGTGTTGGAATTTAATTGAATTGCAGGACACCCATTTGGTGTCAGAAAATTGGTTGGGTGTCCTGTGTGAAAGTGTAGCTTTGTGTGTCTTCCAGAATGGTGTATTTGCAAAGTTGTACAGTCAGCGAAGGTCATAATGTATGGTTAGTCCTAATCCTGTTATCATGTAAGCAAATAGTACTGGCTGTTTTGACCAAGAGTTACAGTGAAAATTACTTTTTAGAGCCCTGATATATATACAAATTGCCTGAGTGATCTTTCTGAGTGAAATAAATATTATATCACATTTACTTATATATTTTTCCTTCTGTATTTCTGAATGCTATTTTTCATGTGAGTGTTTTTACTCCCATTAAATTCCTCCCTAGACTGAATCTGTGATGGCAGCAATATTTATTCTAAATATTTGGGTCAGAGTAATTAAACAGAAAGGACCTTTTTGATGAAAGTAGATGTATGAAAAGAGACATTAAAAGTGATTAACTGCTCTGTGTTAATTTGGCAGTAAATTATCTGAAAGTAAGTCTCTCAAAATTCACTGTCACCGAATTTGTTATGACTTAATGTTAACCCAGCTTCTCAGTGCGTACAACAGAATGAGGAAAAACATATAGGGTTATAGACAAAACAACTAGGTGAGGTAATTCCTGCTTTTAAGCTCATCAGATGAAGCCATAGAAATAGGGCTTTTGTTTGTTTTGTTTTTCAGTCCAAGCTGCAAGCCAAGCTGGTCATCTTTGCCCCTGAGTTTAGGTTATCCACACTGATGTTGCTATTGTTACTACATGACAGAGCTGAATTTCTACCCTTTCCTAACTCTGCTTATCTTTAAGAAACAGGATGCCTTCGATAGAAAGTTCCCTTTGTAACCAGACCAGCTGAGTCTGGCTAGAACCAAGATAGCTGACCAAACAACTTCAGAAAGATCTCGGGCTTCATTATAATCTCATTTCCATGCTAAATGACACTCCCAGCAGTGCTATGACAGTTGACAATTACATGACAATGACCAGAAGAAGCCATAAAAGGACAAAAAGAAAGGCAGCAGTCCAGCTCCAGAAAGTTCACTACACATTTCTGGAAAAGAAAGGAATATTCCTCTCCTTGTTTTTAATATCCAACCCCTTCATTAGAGAAATCCTATATTTTAACCTCCTCACCCATCACTTGTTGAGAAGTTGATGTATGAGCTGTGTTCCCACTTCTCCATTCCATGGCCATGAAATGAAGCCCGAACTGCTTGACAATTCATTTTCAGTTTTGTGTATTGGCTTCATGACACTGAACAGAAAAAGACCCCATCTTTTGGGAGACCAGCTTTGTCACTAACACTGTGTATTCATTTTTAACCATAGTATTACTAAGAAAGAGACTTGGCCACACTTCTGTGGCTCTTGGAGGAAGAAGGTTTTATGTTTGGCAGCTCAGCCCAGGACTGAACTCCCAGAAAGCAAACAGTGGCCCATGTAGGATGTGCATTTTGTTTGTGGAGGTCACATGTTTCTGTAGAAAGCACTCAAACCTAGCGGTCAGATAGGACTGGATTTGAATGCCAGCTTATCTTCCTTACAACTGCATTATTCATACAAAAATTAGAGGGAACCTTCCCTCTAATCATCCTCTGACTGACATTGTGTGTGTCCTAGCATAGGCATCTCCCCTGCAGCCTCATCTACGGCAGTGGTCTCTGTTAGAATACACAGCTTGTGCCTATTCCTGACAAGTCAATGTTACCCTTAAAAAGACATCTGGAAATCACTAGAAAAATCATTCCACTCATGACACTGTGTTTCTTTAGCTTCTCTAAGGTGTACCTCAAGTTTTTTCCCCTTTTGTAGCAAGCTATAAAAGATACAATATATATAATATGTACAAGACATATGTACCATGTATATGTATTGTACATCCCACTCACAGCTGGATTTCTTTAATCACTTTTCTTGTGATAAAAAAGAAACAGAAATATCATAGAATCTCAATTACATTTTATTTCTCTGGTGATCAGCTTCCCAGCCTCATATATCCATAACAAAATTGAGAAAAGAAGTATTTTTTAAAAAGACAATGAGGCCGGGCGCAGTGGCTCATGCCTGTAATCCCAGCACTTTGGGTGGCCGAGGTGGGCGGATCATGAGGTCAGGAGATCGAGACCATCCTAGCTAACATGGTGAAACCCCATCTTTACAAACAACACAAAAAATTAGCCGGGCATTGTGGCAGGCGCCTGTAGTCCCAGCTACTCGGGAGGCTGAGGCAGGAGAATGGCGTGAACCCGGGAGGCGGAGCTTGCAGTGAGCTGAGATCACGCCACTGCACTCCAGCCTGGGCGACAGAGCGAGACCCTGTCTACAAAAAAAAAAAAAGAAAAAAGACAATGAAATTACCAAACCACCACAGTCACCCCACGCGCCCCCCCCCCACCAACAAAGAAATGATGCTAAGAGCTGACATGAAATGCAGAACTCTGCTGGTTGCCAGTACACACACAGACACAGCGATAGCTGACAGCATGACAACAAAGTAAGAGCAAAAAAACTTTAAAAACTGAGGACAACTATTTCAAAATGTAGAGCAATATGAGCCACTCGGCAAAGGACCAAACTTTTTTATATATTTTTTATTTTTATTTTATTATTATTATACTTTAAGTTTTAGGGTACATGTGCACAACCTGCAGGTTTGTTACATATGTATACATGTGCCATGCTGGTGTGCTGCACCCATTAACTCGTCATCTAGCATTAGATATATCTCCTAATGCTGTCCCTCCCCGCTCCCCCCACCCCACAACAGTCCCCAGAGTGTGACGTTCCCCTTCCTGTGTCCATGTGTTCTCATTGTTCAGTTCCCACCTATGAGTGAGAACATGCTGTGTTTGGTTTTTTGTCCTTGCGATAGTTTACTGAGAATGATGATTTCCAATTTCATCCATGTCCCTACAAAGTACATGAACTCATCATTTTTTATGGCTGCATAGTATTCCATGGTGTATATGTGCCACGTTTTCTTAATCCAGTCTATCATTGTTGGACATTTGGGTTGGTTCCAAGTCTTTGCTATTGTGAATAGTGCCACAATAAACATACGTGTGCATGTGTGTTTATAGCAGCATGATTTATAGTCCTTTGGGTATATACCCAGTAATGGGATGACTGGGTCAAATGGTATTTCTAGTTCTAGATCCCTGAGGAATCGCCACACTGACTTCCACAATTGTTGAACTAGTTTACAGTCCCACCAACAGTGTAAAAGTGTTCCTATTTCTCCACATCCTCTCCAGCACCTGTTGTTTCCTGACTTTTTAAAGATCGCCATTCTAACTGGTGTGAAATGGTATCTCATTGTAGTTTTGATTTGCATTTCTCTGATGGCCAGTGACGGTGAGCATTTTTTCTTGTATTTTTTGGCTGCATAAATGTCTTCTTTTGAGAAGTGTCTGTTCATGTCCTTTGCCCACTTTTTGATGGGGTTGTTTGTTTTTTTCTTGTAAATTTGTTTGAGTACATTGTAGATTCTGGATATTAGCCCTTTGTCAGATGAGCAGGTTGCAAAAATTTTCTCCCATTCTGTAGGTTGCCTGTTCACTCTGATGGTAGTTTCTTTTCACTGTGCAGAAGCTCTTTAGTTTAATTAGATCCCATTTGTCAATTTTGGCTTTTGTTGCCATTGCTTTTGGTGTTTTAGACATGAAGTCCTTGCCCATGCCTATGTCCCGAATGGTAATGTCTAGGTTTTCTTCTAGGGTTTTTATGGTTTCAGGTCTAACGTTGGAAGCATTCCCTTTGAAAACTGGCACAAGACAGGGATGCCCTCTCTCACCACTCCTATTCAACATAGTGTTGGAAGTTCTGGCCAGGGCAATTAGGCAGGAGAAGGAAATAAAGGGTATTCAATTAGGAAAAGAGGAAGTCAAATTGTCCCTGTTTGCAGATGACATGATTGTATATCTAGAAAACCCCATCGTCTCAGCCCAAAATCTCCTCAAGCTGATAAGCAACTTCAGCAAAGTCTCAGGATACAAAACCAATGTACAAAAATCACAAGCATTCTTATACACCAACAACAGACAAACAGAGAGCCAAATCATGAGTGAACTCCCATTCACAATTGCTTCAAAGAGAATAAAATACCTAGGAATCCAACTTACAAGGGATGTGAAGGACCTCTTCAAGGAGAACTACAAACCACTGCTCAGTGAAATAAAAGAGGATACAAAGAAATGGAAGAACATTCCATGCTCATGGGTAGGAAGAATCAATATCGTGAAAATGGCCATACTGCCCAAGGTAATTTATAGATTCAATGCCATCCCCATCAAGCTACCAATGACTTTCTTCACAGAATTGGGAAAAACTACTTTAAAGTTCATATGGAACCTAAGAAGAGCCCGCATTGCCAAGTCAATCCTCAGCCAAAAGAACAAAGCTGGAGGCATCACGCTACCTGACTTCAAACTATACTACAAGGCTACAGTAACCCAAACAGCATGGTACTGTTACCAAAACAGAGATACAGATCAATGGAACAGAACAGAGCCCTCAGAAATAATGCCGCATATCTACAACTATCTGATCTTTGACAAACCTGAGAAAAACAAGCAATGGGGAAAGGATTCCCTATTTAATAAATGGTGCTGGGAAAACTGGCTAACCATATGTACGAAGCTGAAACTGGATCCCTTCCTTACACCTTATACAAAAATTAATTCAAGATGGATTAAAGGACCAAACTTTTCACACCTCAACAGTGGTTATGGAGATCACTGTATTATAAAAGGATACATTTTTTTTCCAAAAAGATAATTCTTAGCTATCAATAAATTATTAAATTGTATTTAACCTACTTTTTTAAAGAAAGCAGTGAAATATCTAAGACTATTTTAGAAGATCTTTCAGAAAAATATTAGAAATTTAAAATAAAAATTTTAAATTTTTAAATTAGTTTTAAGTTTAAAAATATTTTTTGTTTATTTTTATTTTTTAAGTTTAAAAAATAATTTATGTTGACCAGTTCATTCCGGGGTAATACAGTTATCTCTGTCTTTGATAAACTCTACCAGTAAATCTCACATTTTTAGGAGCTCACATTTTAATGTGAGCTTTTCTTCCTCCTAAAATATGCATGTGGCTAGTTATATTTGAGCTTGCAATTCTGAATACTATTGAGAAGGCTATGAGGGCTACCGAGTGTTTGTTCTTGTTCTTGTTCTAACTACCCGAAGGGTTAGTTGGTCTTCATTATTTTGCATGTAGATATCCAGTTTTTCTAACATCATTTATTGGAAAAAACATCTTCCCCCCTATTAAATGGTCTTGGAACACTTATTAAAAATAATTTGACCATATCTGCAAGGATTTAGTTCTAGGCTCTCTATTTTATTGCATTGCTCCATATGTCTGTCCTTATTCCAGGATCACACTGTCTTGATTACTGTAGCTTTGTAGTAAATTTTGAAATGAGAAAGTATGAGTCCTCTAACTTTGTTGTTTTTTCCAGATTGTTTTGGCTATTTGGGACACGTCACAATTTGACATGAATTTCAGGACTGGTTTTTCTATTTCTGAAAAAAATACCATTGGGATTTTGATAGGAACTGCTTTGAACCTATAGATCACTTTGGGTAATATTTCCTCCCTTCTGCTAGATTTGGGTTTAGTTTGCTATTTTTCTTAGTTTCCTGAGATGCACAGTTAGGTTATTGATTTGATATATTTCTTCTTTTTAAGCGTATTCATTTACAGCTATAAATTTTTCTCTTAGCATTGCTTTTGCTGCATCCCATAAATTTTGGAATCTCATGTTTTCAGTCTCTTTCATCTCAAGGTATTTTCTAATATTCCTTGTGATTTCTTTTTTGATCCATTGGTTGTTTGAATGTGTTAATTTCCATATTTTTGTGGCAGTGAGAATGGTCCAACCTGGTGATATGCAGTGAGGGGCTATATTAACTACAGATAATTTAAAGCAGTGATAAAATTAGTGGACATGCATCTGCTTTTTATTATTGTTGTGTGTTAGGAATTGTAAAAAATGCCAGTGATAAAATACTCTTTCCTGAAAAAAAAAACCTTTGTGCATCTAATAATCTAAATAATCACTGTAATTACTACTGAGTTTTCATAATATATATTAACCTCCAGTTAACATGTTTTTATCCTTTCATAAACATTATCTTCTACATAACAGTTAATTCAAAGAACTCCTAGTTATACACACAGGTTCTTTCAGCGAGGAAGAACTCAAGTTCTATTTTTCTGTCATTACAATGATAGAGCAACTATTATTTATTTAGGTTCTACAGTTTATATGCGGGGAATATATAATGCCACAGGGGTTGGAGATACAAACTGCACCCCATAGGAACTTGAAAATCCCAAGCCACCACAAATTTTTAAAGTTTTCACCAAAAACAATTAAAATGTATGACAAATTTTCTGAAGAAATTTAGTGAAAAAATTTTGACTGCAGACATGTTTGAAAACCCCTTGCAAATTACTCTGAAGAAACAATGACATGGAGAACATTGCAATTTCTGGAATTTTTGTGATACGGTTTTTTAAAATGAAACTCTGATAAACTTTGTTTAAACTTTTCCTATCTGTATATATGTTTCATATGAAAGCAACTTTTCAATATTAAAAGTAATGAGAAGTGTGTACTACCCATTTCCTTACTGTTAAATAAGTACATATGTAATCCAAAATCATTAGCTAGTACAGTAAGTCTTCATTGATGATACATTATCTATACATTTCTGCCATTTAAGGAAGTTACAGTATATACTCAATGTAAGTATAATTTCTAGGTGATTTTTAAATTTCTAGAGCCTTGTGTTATAACTTATAAAGTAAGTAATACTTGATTCATAATGCTGCTAAAAATGTTTATGGCAGCATGTTTCTTTGATCCTTTCAAATCTGCTATCAGCAAGTTCTTTTTACTTCAGAAAGTGGGATAGATGGGGTGTCACGTATTTTGACCTATTTAAGTGGTCTGCAAATAAAAATTTTTGAATGCTATTGATATAAAAGGACCAGAAAATAGATTATTCTAGATCACAACTCCTCACATCTATGAATTTGTTGAAATTTCTCACCTGCTAATGCCAATTCCATCACTACCACCCTGGGCTCTTCCAGTTTCTTTTCTTTAGTGTATGTCAGTTAGAGAGAAATAAATTTAAAAGGGTTAAACAAAGCAGTGTATGTTAATTGTAGTAAATAAAATGTAGTAAAATGCAAAGAGAAAAATCTTCTTATTCCATATCCAGAGAGGAATAACTACTGGAAGATATATATACCACCCTGCAGTGTACAATCTGACTTTTTCCACTAATGCAAACATTTCCTCATTTAATTAAATTTTTCAACACCATGACTCTAAATGGCACATATGATAATTAGTTCAACAAAACTGCTGTTGAGTTTTTAAACTGCTTCTAATTTTCCCCTACTATGAATATTGCTGTGATGGACATCCCTGTAAAATAGGCATACATACAAGCACATATACTAGATTATTTCCTAAGGATACAGTTCAACAGTTCAAACTGACAAACCAAATTCCACATCCATTTCTAAAGCCTTTGATTCCTATTACTAACTTGCCTTACAGAAAGGAAATGCCAATTTAAACTACCTGCAACAAATCATGAGAGTGCCTCCTTCCCCACACCGTTTTTCCAATTTTAATATGGCACAGACTTGGGCTTTCTAAATGCTGAGTGGAAAAACCCACTAGAGTTGTGATAATTGGAGGTAACAGAGAGGGGGAAGAATAATTGATGAGCAGAGTTCCTGAGAAAGACAAGAAGTGGTGAAATTTGGAGCACAGGAGGAGGAGTCAGTCTTAGACAGGAAGGACCACTGTCCCTTGGAGTGTTGATGTAGTCAAGAGGATGGCAGGCAGGGGCATGAAGTTGAAGAAATCTCTCATTAATACCCTCTAGTTTCTCTTTGAAGTAGGAAGCAAGGCTTAGCAAGATTAGGTAATTACCTCTGGATCATGTTGTTTATGAGAGATCAAGCCAAGATTGATATCACCTCTCCCAACTCAGTGATACACTAGTAATTTTAGGTAGTTCTCACTAGAACTACTTTAAAATTTACTTAAGATAATTTTCTCTCAGCCAAAGATGATCATGACAGATACATATATATTCAGGAAAGGAGTAGTGGTCCTCATATATATATTTTTCCCCCTTAAATAATTTTGAAAATATGTACCACACCATCTACATTTTTAAATAATAGCTAAAATTTTTCATTATGGCTTCAAAAGGCTGCAAAAATATAATTTTTGTGGCTATAATACCTATTGGCATGTTTAATTAAGATACGTATATCACTAGTTTAAATTTATTAGGGAATCTAAATGATAATTTAACAAGACCATCACCCATTTTTAAAACTACATGAACATGCTCTTCTTAAAGAGTTAGAAATTTACATCATTTAATTTTTTTATTGTACGTTTCAAGAATTGTATCCAAGTATATGTTTTATAATATAAAATTATAGGCTGGGCGTGGTGGCTCATGCCTGTAATCCCAGCGCTTTGGGAGGCCGAGGTGGGTGGATCATGAGGTCAGGATATTGAGACCATCCTGACTAATGTGGTGAAACCCCATCTCTATTAAAAATACAAAAAAGTAGCCAGGCATTGTGGCGGGTGCCTGTAGTCCCAGCTACTCAGGAGGCTGAGGCAGGAGAATCGCTTGAATCCGGGAGGCAGAGGTTGCAGTGAGCCGAGATTGCACCACTACACTCCAGCCTGGGTGACAGAGCAAGACTCTGTCTCAAAAATAAATAAATAAATAAATAATTTATATAATATAAAATTATAAATAATAACTAATAAACTGAAATTAAATATTTAAAATTTCCCATTAACATAAAGCTCTGAATATTAAAAATTTCTCCTGGATTGAGTTATTAACACAAACAATAATGGTACACAATTGGTCAAAACCATGTAAATTAACTTTAAATCTTGAAAAATATTGGTTTTTTTCGGTGACTAGTTTGTTGAGGGTTCTTATGTTGGATTTTATCAAAAGCTTTCTCTGTATCTATTGATAATCATATAGTTTTTCTTTTAATTTCTCTGTATGTGGTGAATTACATCTGTGGATTTGCATATGTTGAACCAACCTTGCATCCTAGGAATAAGGCCTACTTGATGGTGGTGAATTAACTTTTTAATGTGCTGCTGGATTTGGTTTGCTAGTATTTTGTTGAGGATTTTAAAATCTATGTTCATTGGGGATATTGGACTGTAGTTTTCTTTTTCTGTTGTGTCTTTGCCAGATTTTGATATCAGAGTGATGCTGGCTTCATAGAATCAGGGAGGAGTCCCTTCTCTTTAATTTTTTGGACTAGTTTCAATAAAATTGGTACCAGCTCTTCTCTGTACTTCTGGTAATTCAGCTGTGAATCCATCTGGTCCAGCACTTTTTTCGGTTGGTAGGTTTTTTATGGTTGATTCAATTTCAGACCTCATTATTGGTCTGTTCAAGGTTTCGATTTCCTGATTCAATCTTGGGAAGTTCTGTGTTTCCAGGAATTTATCCATTTCAAAACAAGGATGACACTCTTACTTCTCCTATTTCACATAGTACTGGAAGTCCTAGCTAGAGCCATCAGGCAAGAGAAATAATTAAAAGTCATCAAAATAGAAAAGAAGATGCCAAATTACCTCATTTCACTGATGATAGGTATTTTTTTTTTTTTTTTTTTTTGAGACAAAGTCTTGCTCTCTCACCCAGGTTGGAGCGCAGTGGCACAATCTTGGCTCACTGCAGCCTCTGTCTCCCAGGTTCAAGTGATTCTCCTGCCTCAGCCTTCTGAGTAGCTGGGACCACAGGTGTGTGCCACCATGCCTGGATAATTTTTGTACTTTTAGTGGAAACGGGGTTTCACCATGTTGGCCAGGGTGGTCTCAAACTCCTGACCCCAAGTCATCGGCCTGCCTCAGCCTCCAAAAGTACTGGAATTACAGGCATGAGCCACTGCCCCTGGCCATTGATGATATGATTCTATGCCTAGAAAACCTTAAAGACTCTGCCAAAAGGCTCCTAGACCTGATGAATAACTTCAGTAAAGTTTCAGGATATAAAACCAACATATAAAAATCAGTAGCATTTCTATACACCAGTAACATTCCAGCTGACAGCCAAAATAAAAATGCAATCCTGTTCACAATAGCCTCACAAAAAATATCTGGGAATACATCTAAGCAAGGAGATGAAAGATCTCTACAAAGAAGAGAACTACAAAGCACTGGTGAAAGAAATCAGATGATACAAACAAATGGAAAAACATTCCCTACTCATGGATCGAAAGAATCAATATTGTTAAAATGGCCATACTGCCCAAAGCGATCTACAAATTCAACACTATTATCTATTAAACTACCAATGTCATTTCTCACAGGATTTAAAAAACTATTCTAAAAGTAACATGGAATCAAAAAAGAGCCTGGATAGCCAAAAAAGTTTACAGTAAGGCTACAATAATGAAAGCAGCATCGCACTGATACAAAAACAGACACACAGACCAATGAAATATAATAGAGAACTCAGATGTAAAGCTGCATACCTACAACCATCTGATCTTTGACAAAGCTGACAAAACTAAGCAATGGGGAAAGGACTGCCTATTCAATGGATGGTGCCGGGAGAACTGGCTAGCCATATGCAGAAGAATGAAACGGGACCTGCTACTTTTCACTATATACAAAAATTAACTCAAGATGGATTAACGATTTAAATGTAAGACCTCAAGCTATAAAAATCTTAGAAGAAATAGCCTTTGGACATCAGCCTTGACAAAGAATTTATGACTAAGTTGTCAAAAGCAATTGCAACAAAACCAAAAATGGACAAATAGAACCTAATTAAACTAAAGAGCTTCGCACAGCAAAAGAAGTTATCAACAGAGTAAACTGACAACCCAAAGAATGGGAGAAAATATTTGCAAACGATGCATCTGACAAAAGTATAATATCCAGAGTTTATAAGGAACTTAACAAGCCAAAAAGAAGTATCTCCATTAAACAGTGGGCAAAAAACATGGACAGACAATTCTCAAAAGAAGACATACAAGCAGCTAGCAAACATGAAAAAATGCTCAACACCAGTAATCATCAGAGAAATGCAAATCAGAATCACAATGAGATACTATCTCACACCAGCCAGCAAGGCTATTATTAAAAAGTGAAAAAATAACAGAAGTTGGTGAGGCTGTGGAGAAAAGAGAACACTTACACACTGTTGGTGGGAATGTAAATTAGTTCATCTGCTGTGGAAAGCAGCTGGAAGATTTCTTAAAGATCTAAAAACAGAACTATCATTAGAGCCAGCAATCCCACTACAGGGTATACACCCAAAGAAAAATAAATTATTCCACAAAAAAAGACATATGCACTTGTATGTTCATCACAGCACTATTCACAATAGCAAAGACATGGAATCAACCTAGGTGCCCATCAATATAGGATTGGATAAATGTGGTACATATAAACTAAGGAATACTATGCAGCCATAAAAAAGAATAAAATCATGTCCTTTGCAGCAACATGGATGCATCAGGAGGCCATTATCCTAAGTGAATTCAAGTAAGAACAGAAAACCAAATACTGCATGTTCTCACTTATAAGAGGGAGCTAAACATTGGATTACTCATAGACATAAAGATGGAAATAATAGACATTGGGGACTACTAGCTGGGGGAGAGAAGAAGGGGTGGAAAGGTTGGAACACTACTTATTAGGTACTATGCCCACTACCTGGGTGACAGGATCATTCATACCCCAAACCTCAGCATCACCCAGCATACCCATGTAATAAACCTGTACATGTACCTTCTGAATCTAAAATAAAAGTTGAAATTATTTTTTTAATTGCAAACAAGGCAAAGACATAAATACAATTTAGAAATTAAAAAGTTAGTTCGTATATCCAATATTACTTATTGCTAGAATGAAATAGAATTTAGCATCAATTCTTCTACTTTTTTTGTCACTTTCAGTGCTAAGTAACTAAGCTCGAGTAAATAAGTAGCTGAAAATGGAAACAGTTTTGCCACACCACTGTCACTTAAATCTTTTAACTTCTTCTGAGCTATCTGACAAAATCACATAGTATTGTATAATCAATAATATTTAAGTATATCAGCTACTACATAAATTTTGTTGAAGCAAAGAATTGGAAACCACCTGATTTACAAATTGATTTGTTACCTATTCATTACAGTCAAATCACTTTCTCATTTTCTGGGAAGTATCCCAAAAAGGCTTTACCAAGAATTGTCAAACTACCATTATTTATGCCTGTTACTCTTCCACTTAAAGGTACTTACTTTGCTCGGTAGACTCAGAAAGAGTTCAGAAAATCAAATCACTGTTCATTTTAATACATCTTTGCAATGCAATGTTTTCTTGGTAAAATGCTTTTATTTTATTGTATGCTTTTTTCAAAATCTTGAATCTATGACTTGATACCCACCTCATTCAATTTATGGTAAATATCCACTATGTAATCTAATTGACAAAGCCAGCTTTCGTTGTCAAATTCATCAGCGAAATCAGAAAAAAGTGACGTAAAAATATTTAAACATATTATGCATCTCTGTGACAGTTGTCCAACTGCTAATTTTTTATTATAAGATATATAAAGAAATAAATAAATATGCAAAATATAGAGACTTTCCAAGAATGAAATAAGGCCTTGTTGCCTTTGCTCTTTCTTTCTGATGCCATGTTCTGGGTTAGAGAGTAGAAGAAGTGAGATCTTGTCGAAGAAAATCTGTTGTCATTTCTGCTGTTATCTGTAATACATCTGAATTTACAACACCTTACATGGGTCAAAATGACATCATTTCAAGTATCAAGCTTCTCCTTTAACAGAAATATGTGAAAGACTGAGAAGGACAGCCACACTGAGGTTCCTTAAAAATGAGACTTTGCCTAAGCCAATACTGTAACTTGTCTCTTTGGTACCCTGAGGCAGTGGTGAGCTCATTTAGATTTGGTGTGGGTAACAGATGTGCCCCTCCTTGTAAAGTAGAAGACAATTGTCAAAGTGAGGTGAAAGAGGAGAAATGACAGATGGTCTCCAGCCTGGAAAAATTCACCTGGCACAGTGAAAGTCATTTCATAAACTAGGAGGGTTTAAAAGAAAAAGTGCATATGGTACACGATGGGTTAGAGGCCAACAACTGATTTGTAAAGCGCACTACTAATTGCACCAAATCGATAGAGCAAGGCCTGAAATACTAGAAAGATCTGTTCCAAACAGTACCCCTGCAAATACTACCGGTAACCAGGCAGTTTCTGTGCTCAGCAAACACATAATCAGTGATTCCCTAAGCATTCGTTGAAATTAACTAATGAAGCAACTAAAAGACAAATGGAAAAATGGTAAATTTTTTACTAATAATTGCAGATGATCATACCGAACTTCCCCTCAAATGTTTTAATTAAATCATTTCCAGCTCTCTTAAAGGAGAAAGGATGCAAAACAAAACAAATTACTCAGAAAAAGATGATGGAAACTACATCACCATAAAAAGTTGAAAGAGGTTGGACGCAGTGGCTCACACCTGTAATCCCAGCACTTTGGGAGGCCGAGGTGAGCAGATCATTTCAGGCCAGGAGTTCAAGACCAGCCTGGCCAACATGGTGAAATCCTGTCTCTATTAAAATGTTTTTAATACTTTTTCTTTAATTGAAAGAACCCCCAAAATGATTAGTGCAGTGTCCATATTTATAATCAATCAAGTTCTCCAAACCAGAAAGAACTTAAACATTTTTTTTCATTTCTCCATATCCAAAAGTCCTGCCAACATTTATTTATTTATTTATTAGACATGGAGTCTCGCTCTGTGGCCCAGGTTGGAGTGCAGTGGCCTGATCATATCTCACTGCAGCCTCAAACTCCTCAGCTCAGGAGGTCCTCCCACCTCAGCCTCCAAAGTAGCTGGAACTACAGGTGGCTGCCACCATGCATAGCTAATTAAAAAAATTTTTTTTGTAAAGATAGGGGTCTTGCTATGTTGCCCAGGCTGGTCTTGAACTCCTGGGAGCAAGTGATACCTCCTGCCTTGGCCACAAAGCCCTGGGATTATGGGCATAAGCTACCATGCCTGGCCCCCAAATTTACTTTTGACATGTTTGTCTTTGTAATTTTTCTAATCTTCTTTCCTTGATGCTAAGATATCTACTGAATCTGACACTTCACTATTGGTTGATTGAGGAAAACACAGGATCCACCTCTTTTTCAATTTATTTTCTACTCTGTTAATATTGCCTATAATTTCCTGAAAATCAGCTTTTAGTTTCATTACCCACAATTATTCCAAGTCAAATGTAGATTACATAGCAAGATTTTAACATGGGAGGTGCAGTGACTGTCATGTTCTGATATTAGCTGCCAAATCCATTGAAATTTTGAGATTAGGTTTTACTCCAAAATAGTCGGAGAGATAAATCAGGGCTAATGAGACTTGGGCAAGAAAAAGTAAAGGTTAAAGTTTTTAAACCCTAAGTCATATTTTCAGAATTTGTGTTGAAATTATGATGTTCTTTGCTTTTCTGTTCTTGTTTGTGAATTTCTTACAGTCATCTGAGATGAAATAAAGATAAAAAAATAAGTCAGGCAGGTCTTCAAAAATAGATATGGAGCTTTCATGACAAAAGAGTGGGTAGGAGAAAGACCGAGATGAGGGAATTCTGTTCCTTACATGATCTTCATCCAAGACCTCTGCAGTCAGTTCTTTGCAGAACCAAACCATGTCCCCTAACAGCCTGCCTTCGGAAACCTAAACGCTAATCAGTGGCAATTAAAAGTTTCATTGGGCACTGTTAAAACTTTCAAAGTCAATGAGTTGGAGTAGCAGTGCAAATGAGCGGCAATGGGGATTGTTAAATAGTCACTGTTTGCAAGATACATCAGCCATAGGAGCGTACAAATTAAAAGATTTCTCCTGCGACACCAAGTCACTGGGAGACTCATTTAATCACATCCCTAAATAATTAGAAGCTCCGTGCCTTCATTAAGAACCAAAAATAAGTGCTTGCACCATGTTCAGGTAAATGACAGCAGGGACGTGCAAAAGTTGTTTTCTAGTTCAGGCTCAGAAAAATGTGTCATTTTTATTGGGTGAAGAAAAAAATTCCCTATAATAATTTTGTGATTATGCTCTCATTAGGAGCCATGAGAGAGCTCAAGAAGCCCACAGCTCTCATAAAGTCTCCTGTTATTTCCATATCCTCCTCAATAACAGTTTTATGGTAAAACTAACATAATGAGACTTAGTACGCTTAAGCCCTTTTGCCTGGGGATTCTTACTGACATTATACACATTAAGGTTAAGATGAACCTCATACCAAAAATATTAGATGGCAAGAGATCTACACAGTTTACATTGGATAGATTTTTCAAAGAATTATGTCCAAATATGTTTGGAGGGTTGGTTTAGAAAAAAGGAGTGCAGGAGGAATAAGGAAATATGTCACCTTTTAGCCATTCTTTTTTTTTTTTTAAATTTAAGTTCTGGGATCCATGTGCAGAAAGTGCAGGTTTTTTACATAGTGAACATGTGCCATGGTGGTTTGCTGCACCTATCAACTCGTCATCTAGGTATTAAGCCCAGCATGCATCAGCTGTTTGTCCTGATGCTCTCCCTCCCCTCACCCCCCCGACAGGCTCTGGTGTACGATGTTCCCCTCCCTGTGTCCATGTGTTCTCATTGCTCAGCTCCCACTTATGAGTGAGAACAAGTGGTGTTTGGTTTTCTGTTCCTGTTTTAGTTTGCTGAGGATGATGGCTTCTAGCTTTATCCCTGTCCCTGCAAAGGGTATGATCTTATTCCTTTCTATGGCTGCATAGTATTCCATGGTATCTATGTACCACATTTTCTTTATCCAGTCTATCATTGATGGGTATTTGGGTTGGTTCCATGTCTTTGCTATTGTGAATAGTGCTGCAATAAATATATGTGTGCAGGTATCTTTATAATAGAATGATTTATATTCCTTTGGGTATATACCCAATAGTGGGATTGTTGGGTCAAATGGCATTTCGGTTATTGATCCATGAGGAACCGCCACACTGTATTCCACAATGGCTGAACTAATATACATTCCCACCAACAGTGGAAAAGCGTTCCTACTTCTCCACAGCCTCAGCAGCATCTGTTGTTTCTTGACTTTTTAATAATTGCCATTCTTGCTGGCATGAGATGGTATCTCATTGTGGTTTTGATTTGCATTTCTGTAATGATCGGTGATATTGAGCTTTTTTTCATATGTTTGTTGGCCCCATGAATGTCTTTTTTTTATTATTATACTTTAAGTTCTGGGATACATGTGCAGAACATGCAGGTTTGTTACGTACGTGTACATGTGCCATGGTGGTTTGCTGCACCATCAACCCATCATCTACATTAGGCATTTCTCCTAATGCTATCCCTCCCCTAGCCCTCCAACCCCCACACAGTCCCCAGTGTGTGACGTTCCCCTCCCTGTGTCCACGTGTTCTCATTGTTCAACTCCCACTTATGAGTGAGAACATGCGGTGTTTGGTTTTCTCTTCCTCTGTCAAGCTGCTCAGAATGATGGTTTCTAGCTTCATCCATGTCTCTACAAAGGACATGAACTCATCCTTTTTTAAGGCTGCATAGTATTCCATGGTGTATATGTGCCACATTTTCTTTATCCAGTCTATCATTGATGGGCATTTGGGTTGGTTCCAAGTCTTTGCTATTGTGAATAGTGCCGCAATAAACATACGTGTGCATGTGTCTTTATAGCAGAATGATTTATAATCCTTTGGGTGTATACCCAGTAATGGGATGGATGGGTCAAGTGGTATTTCTAGTTCTAGATCCCTGAGGAATCACCACACTGTCTTCCACAATGGTTGAACTAGTTTACAGTCCCACCAACAGTGTAAAAGAGTTCCAATTTCTCTACATCTTCTCCAGCACCTGTTGTTTTCTGACTTTTTAATGATCGCCATTCTAACTGGTGTGAGATGGTATCTCATTGTGATTTTGATTTGCATTTCTCTGATGGCCAGTGATGATGAGCATTTTTTCATGTGTCTTTTGGCTGCATAAACGTCTTCTTTTGAGAAGTGTCTGTTCATATCCTTTGCCCACTTTTTGATGGGGTTGCTTGTTTTTTTCTTGTAAATTTGTTTGAGTTCATTGTTGATTCTGGATATTAGCCCTTTGTCAGATGAGTAGATTGCAAAAATTTTCTCCCATTTTGTAGGTTGCCTGTTCACTCTGATGGTAGTTTCTTTTGCTGTGCAGAAGCCCTTTAGTTTATCTAGATCCCATTTGTCAATTTTGTCTTTTGTTGCCATTGCTTTTGGTGTTTTAGACATGAAGTCCTTGCCCATGCCTATCTCCTGAATGGTATTGCCTAGGTTTTCTTCTAGGGTTTTCATGGTTTTAGGTCTAACATGTAAGTCTTTAATCCATCTTGAATTGATTTTTGTATAAGGTGTAAGGAAGGGATCCAGTTTCAGCTTTCTACACATGGCTAGCCAGTTTTCCCAGCACCATTTACTAAATAGGGAATTCTTTCCCCATTTCTTGTTTTTGTCAGGGTTGTCAAAGATCAGATGGTTGTGGATATGCGGCATTATTTCTGAGTGCTCTGTTCTGTTCCATTGGTCTATATCTCTGTTTTGATAATAGTACCATGCTGTTTTGGTTACTGTAGCCTTGTAGTATAGTTTGAAGTCAGGTAGTGTGATGCCCCCAGCTTTGTTCTTTTGGCCTAGGATTGACTTGGCAATGCAGGCTCTTCTTAGGTTCCATATGAACTTTAAAGTAGTTTTTTCCAATTCTGTGAAGAAAGTCATTGGTAGCTTGATGGGGATGGCATTGAATCTATGAATTACCTTGGGCAGTATGGCCATTTTCACAATATTGATTCTTCCTACCCATGAGCATGGAATGTTCTTCCATTTGTATCCTCTTTTATTTCCTTGAGCAGTGGTTTGTAGTTCTCCTTGAAGAGGTCCTTCACATCCCTTGTAAGTTGGATTCCTAGGTATTTTATTCTCTTTGAAGCAATTGTGAATGGGAGTTCACTCATGATTTGGCTCTCTGTTTGTCTGTTATTGGTGTATAAAAATGCCTGTGATTTTTGCGCACTGATTTTGTATCCTGAGACTTTGCTGAAGTTGCCTATCAGCGTAAGGAGATTTTGGGCTGAGACAATGGGGTTTTCTAGATATACAATCATGTCTTCTGCAAACAGGGACAATTTGACTTCCTCTTTTCCTAATTGAATACCCTTTATTTCCTTCTCCTGCCTGATTGCCCTGGCCAGAACTTCCAACACTATGTTGAATAGGAGTGGTGAGAGAGGGCATCCCTGTCTTGTGCCAGTTTTCAAAGGGAATGCTTCCAGTTTTTGCCCATTCAGTATGATATTGGCTGTGGGTTTGTCATAGATAGCTCTTATTATTTTGAGATACGTCCCATCAATACCTAATTTATTGAGAGTTTTTAGCATGAAGGGTTGTTGAATTTTGTCTAAGGCCTTTTCTGCATCTATTGAGATAATCATGTGGGTTTTGTCATTGGTTCTGTTTATATGCTGGGTTACTTTTACTGATTTTCATATGTTGAACCAGACTTGCATCCCAGGGATGAAGCCCACTTGATCATGGTGGATAAGCTTTTTGATGTGGTGCTGGATTCAGTTTGCCAGTATTTTATTGAGGATTTTTGCATCGATGTTCATCAGGGATATTGGTCTAAAATTCTCTTTTTTTATTGTGTCTCTGCCAGGTTTTGGTATCAGGATGATGCTGGCATCATAAAATGAATTAGGGAGGATTCCCTCTTTTTCTATTGATTGGAATCGTTTCAGAAGGAATGGGCTGGTACCAGTTTTTCATTTCCATATTTAGTGTTTCCATTAGGAGCTCTAGCAAGGCAGTCCTAGTGGTGACAAATTCCCTCAGCATTTGCTTGTCTGAAAAGGATTTAATTTTTCCTTCACTTATGAAGCTTAGTTTAGCTGGATATGAAATTCTGGGTTGGAAATTCTTTTCTTTAAGAATACAGAATATTATTTCACACTATCTTCTGGCTTGTAGGGTTTCTGCTGACACATCCACTGTTAGTCTGATGGACTCCTCTTTGTAGGTGACCTGGCCTTTCTCTCTGGCTGCCCTTAACATTTTTTCCCTCATTTCAACCTTGGAGAATCTGATGATTATTTGTCTTGGGGTTGATCTTCCCATGTAGTGTCTTAGTGGGGTTCTCTGTATTTTCTGAATTTGAATGTTGGCCTGTCTTGCTTTGTTGGGGAATTTCTCTTGGACGATATCCTGAAGTATGTTCTCCAACTTGGTTCCATTTTTCCCATGTCTTTCAGGTACACCAATCAATTGTAGGTTTGGTTTTTTACATAGTCCCATAGTTATTAGAGGTTTTGTTTGTTCCTTTTCATTTATTCTCTAATTTTGTCTGCCTGCCTTATTTCAGCAAGATAGTCTGTGATCTCTGACATTTGTTCTTCCACTTGATCGATTTGGCTGTTGATATTTGTGTGTGCTTCACAAAGTTCTCGTGCTGTGTGTTTCAGCTTCATCAGGTTATTTGTATTCCTCTCTAAACTGGTTATTCTAGTTAGCAGCTCCTGTAACTTTTTATTATGGTTCTTAGCTTCTTTGCATTGGGTTAGAACATGCTCCTTTACCTCAGTGAAGTTTGTTATTACCCACCTTCTGAAGCCTACTTCTGTCAATTCCATTCATCCATTTCATCCTCCATCCAATTCTGTGCCCTTGCTAGAGAGGTGTTGTGATAATTTGGAAGAGAAGAGGCACTCTGGCCTTTTGAATTTTCAGCATTTTTTCATTGATTCTTTCTCATTTTTATGAGTTTGTCTAGTTTTGATATTCGAGGTTGCTGACCCTTAGATGGGGTTTTTGTGGGTACTTTTTTTTGTTGTTGATACTATTGTTGTTGCTTTCTGTTTGTTTTTCTTTGAACAGTCAAGACCCTCTTCTGTAGGGCTGCTGCGGTTTGCTTGGGGTTCACTTCAGGCCCTATTCATCTGGTTCACTCCCATGCCTGGAGATGTCACCCCAGGAGGCTGGAGAAAGCAAAGATGGGTGCCTGCTCCTTCCTCTGGGATCTCTGACCTCGAGGGACATCAACCTGATGCCAGTATGAATGCTCCTGGTGACCCCTGTTGTGAGGTCTCACCCAGTAGGGGGGCACAGAAACAGGACCCATTTAACAAAGCACTTTGGCTATCTCTTAGTGGAGGGAGTGTGCTGCACTGTGGGGAAACCCACTTGTCTGGGCTGCCCAGATACCTCAGAGGTAGCAGAAGGAAAGACTAAGTCTGCTGGTCCACAGAGACTATGGCCACCCCTACCCCTATGGACTCCAGCCCAGGCAGATGAGAGTTCTGTCCCTGAGCCCCTGTCTGGAGTTGTTGGAGGTCCTGCAGGGACACCCCACCCAGTGAGGAGGGATGGGTCAGGGCCTGGCCTAAATAGGCAGTCTGGCCACGGTCTGCCACAGCCAGTGTGCTGTGCTGTGGGGAATACCTCTTGGGACCAAGCCATCCAGCCACCGTGGCTCCAGCAGGGGAAAAAGCACAGCCTGGAGCTATAGTAATGGCTGCCACCCTTCTCCCCGGGGAGCTTAGTGTCTTAGGTAGCTAGCAGCTGCAATGTTGGCTGCCACATCTCCCCCAGGGAGTTCAGATAGCTTAGACATCAGGCAGCAGCAGTGGTGGTGGTCGCCCCTCCCTCAGGGAGCTCTTTTGTCTTAGGCAACTGTGGTGGTGGCTGCCACCACTCCTCCATGGAGCTCAGACAGCTTAGACAGCAGGCAGCAGCAATGGTGATGGCCGCCTCTCCCCTGAGGGAACTCAGTAGACTTAGGCAGATTCCAGCCAAGTGGCCGTTGAGAATCTGCAAGGCTCCATGATGGCATGGGTTCACCAATGGGATCTTCCAATCCATGGGTTGCACAGTTCCATGGAAAAAGCACGGTTTCCCAGGCTGGGTAGGTAACATGCTCACTTACTGCCTCCCTTGGCTGGGGGTAGGGGCTCCCCTGCCCCATGCAGCTCTCAGGTAGGCTGATGCACCACCCTGCTCTTTCCTCCTGTCCGTGGGTCATGCCAGCCACCTAGTCAGTCCTGATGGCAGAACCTGCGTACCTCGGTTGCCAGTGCAGGATTCGCAGGCTGTTTTGGTTCTTTTCAGCGGGAGTCTCCTATCTCAGCTGCTCTAGTTGGCCATCCAGGCCCCACTCCCTAGCCATTCTTTAATGGGAAGCAATATGTCCATTCAGCTACTGGTAACGCTCTCTTGCACTAAGGTGTCACCTCTGTTAGATTAGCCTATGATACAAGTGCTAACTTTGATATTGAGTTTGAGTGGAAACAGGAAGAGGTTACTTATTCCCTTTACAAATATATGCTGAGCTCCTACTGGGCAAAAAGTCCTGGGATAAGAACTGAGGGAGATACAGCATTGAATCACTTGCAGACCCTGAATTCAAGAGTGTATGCATGGATAGAGAAGATCAAGCCAGCTCTTTAGCCCTGATAATTCAAAGTGTAGAGAGAGTAGAGGGGTGTTTCTAAGTGCCTAAAAGATTTCTGGAAGACACTGTTAAAGTTGTTTAGGAAAGGAAGCTGGGAACCAGGAGTCGGACAAAGATTGTCTTTAAAAGATAATATTGACTCTCATAGCTTTTTCTATGTGCCAAGAACTGTTTTAGTTGCTTTATTTCTAGGTGTGTCTAGCTACCATATGTTAGAATATTAATGAGTTTTCTATTTTTTCCTATTAAAAATGTTTTGTCTATAACACATATACACAGAAGTACACAAAATACAGAAGTACACAAAATACCATGAAACAAACACTCCTATAACCATGACTCAGGTTAAAAAACAGAAAATTGCCAGTCTTTCTTGGGCCCTCTCTCAACCACTACTCCCTCCCCTGTTTGATGCACAAGCACTTTTCCAGTCTAACCACAGCCTATGCTTGCTTCCTGCCTAATTTTCCACTATTCTACCCTATACTCCAGCCACGTTGAAATCTTTGCAATCACTCAAACATGATATCCTTTCATAGTTCTCTGCCTTTGTTAGTGCTCGTTCCTTCTTCCTTGAATGTCTTCTCATGCCCTTTCCTCCCTACATCTGAGACTTTTTTCACCTAGTAAACATTTTCACAGATTCAGTTCAAAAGTCATTTCTCATCCGAAGCTACTCCTGGTATGCTCAACTAATACTGCGTAAATTAACAGATTACAGGGCCAGGTGCTGTGGCTCATGCCTGTCATCCCAGCACTTTGGGAAGCCTAGGTTAGAGGACCACTTGAGCCCAGAAGTTTGAAACCAGCCTGGGCAACATGGTAAAACCCCATCTCTACCAAAAACAAAAAACAAGATTACAAATGAGAAATGTGGACAGCCCCCCTTGTTCAGCAATGACTTTATTCAAAGAAATTGAAGAAACTTGATGTCACTGATGTACACTTTTACTAAATAAGCCTTGAGAGTAAGAACTTAAGGAGAATGTTAAAATTCTTTTTAATATGTACCTTTAATTTGGTTTAGGGTCAAAGAGAAGTCAACTCATGAAACTCAAGAAGCTATAGTAACACTTTAATTTCCGAAAAATGACAAGGAACTTCTCTATTTGCATCTCAATTTGGTCTCTATTGGAGCCTCGTAAGTTGAAATAAGTCAAATTTAAGAAAATATTGCAATAAATCTCTTTAAAAACAGGCAATCCAAAATAGATAGACATAATTTTCAAGCTTTACTAGGTTTCAGATAAATTTCTATGCCCTTGTCACAATAGTATTGGTGATAATCAGAAAGACATCATCAAACAAAAGTCAAGAAAGAAGTCCTTTTAATGGGCGCTGGACATGCAGAACGATAAATGAACAGTCCATGCACTGTGGAGATAAAGGGGAATCAGCTAAGGACACAAAGAGGAAAAGAGTAGGAAACATTTTGGAAAAGTGCCTATTATAGAATTCATTGAGAATTTCAGGAAAGCTGAAGATGAGAAGGGGTTCAGAGTGTCATACTTCTGTGTGGGGCAGAAGCAGTCCAGAGAGACAATTTCTCTGTAAATCTTAAAAGCGCAGGACCCTGTGCTAACCTCTAGCAGAAAGAAAGGCAGAGAAGGAGCATGGGATGTGGTTTGACAAAAAGGATGAGGAGAAATTGAATGTTAAGAGTTGATGCCAGATTGCATGATATTGAGAAGTAAATGGGTAAACAGAGGATAAAGTGAAATCCAATTGCATACTAAAAAAAAAATGTGCACACAAAAGAGGAAGAAAAGGAGGCAATGACCAAAATGGGTACCTGTGTGAAAGAAAGTTGTTTGTTATTTTTCTTTTGTTTTGTTTGGAGATGAAAAGAAATGAGCCCTCATGGGGGGAGAGAGAAAGAAAGAGAGAGAGAGAAGATATCAAGAGAGTAGGAATGTATTTATTGCAGCTAGCTTCCTGATAAAGTAGGAGAGTTACAAATTGAGGGGTTAGTGCTTTGAGAAGGTAAAATGGTTACTCTGAAACAGGAAGATGAGAAACTGCTTTTAGGAAATATATTTAGGTAGAAATATTCATGCTTATGATCTCTGTCTGAAGTGGGAGAACATATTATTCATTAAGAGTGAAGACATAGGGTAAAAATGTGAAGTAATTTTTATGGCGACATTTACTAGAATCAATGAGGTATTGCTAATATGAATCAATAGGAATCAGGTTGGATTTCGTAACTCCAAGAGGCCCCGACAAACCACCATAAAGAGCTGAGAAGTTGGGTGGTGGGGATAATGAAGGGCTGGATATTGACAGTGACTATAGGTGAAAATGGTGGCGGAACATGCTGGGAAGGGCATCATTGAAACAATGATCGTGAAGACCCAGAAGGGAAAGCGCAATCCCTAAGAAGACCAAGTGGGAAGAGAGCATTTTCACGATGCCTAAAACGTCTTTCTTAATTAGAGACCCTCAGATGGACATTTTTGCATGAGATGGAAAGTGTGTGGTAGGCAGGGACCACACAAGTATTCCTTTGTCTTACCTCTCATTTGTGGTCTTCCTTGGCCATCCATTTGATATTATTACTGTGGGCCCTGCTACACCACTACCAAATGGTTTCATATGTGCACAGGCTCTTTCTAAACAAACTGTTGCTTTTTTTGTTGTTTGTTTTAGAGACAGGGTCTCACTCTGTTGCCCTGTTACTCAGGCTGGAGTGCAGTGGCATGATCATAGTTCATTGCAACCTCAAACTCCTGGGCTCAAGCAGTCCTCCACCTCAGCCTCTTGAGTAGCTGGGACAATAGGCACACACTATCACACCTGGCTAATTTTTGTATTTTTTGTAGAGATGAGTCTCACTATGTTACCCAGGCTGGTCTCAAACTCCTAGCCTCAAGCATTCCTGCCTTGGCCTTCCAAACAGCTGGGATTACAGGCACAAGCCACCTCACCCAGCCTGTTACCTTCTTGAGGGAACAGATTCTGTTTTTGTAAACATCTGTTTTAGTAGGGATATGCCGTGTGTGTGTGTGTGTGTGTGTGTGTGTGTGTGTGTTTACATTCATGGAATTCTATAAATAAAGAAGGTATTGAGTAAATAGACTCCATATTTGGGTGAATTTGAGAGAAAAGCTGCAGATCATCTGCTAGCTATGCCCTAGTGCTCACCAGTTGTAACATAAAATGTTGCCATTAGACTATATTGACATCTAAAATGGTTTGTATTTCTATAGTGAAGTGCAATTGCCATACAAGAAACAGAATATGTGTTGTTTGTGTCTCTGGTGGAAATAACCAGTGCTGGGACTACTGCTGGGATTATGCTTATTTTTTTAAATGTGGTGTTAATAATAAGATTTCTTTCAAATATTTTTAAAATGTGTTTTTCTGCTGCTTTATAATGAAGCCAAGAGAGAAAATGAGAGTGAGAGGGCAAGAGAAACAATGAAAGACAGGGAAAATGAGAGAGGGGGAGATTAATTCATTCTATGTCTCTCTATGTCTCTGAACCACCTGTTTATTTCAATAAAGAATGATTATTGGATTGTTCTTGAATGTCACTGAAATAAATTTAAAAAGACATAAATAAATGGAAAGACATTCTGTGTTTATGGATTGGAATAATTAATATTGTTAAGATGGCAGTATTATCCAAATTGAACTACAGATTTAACACCTTTATTAAAATACCAGCTGCTTCCCTTTTTTGCAGAAATTGACAAGCTGATCCTAAAATTTACATGAAAAAGCGAAGGACCCAAGATGATACTGAAAAAGAAGAACAAATTGGAAAGCTCACACTTTGTGATTCCAAAACTTATTACAAAGCTACGATAAGCAAGCTATTTAAATCAATGTTAGCAGTGCGTGGGGGTGTGTGCCTGTAGTCCTAGCTACTAGTCCTAGGCTGGGGCAGGAGGATCGCCTGAGCCCAGGAGTTTGAGGCTGCAATGAGCTGTGATTGTACCACTGCACTCCAGCCTGGGTGACAGAGCAAGATCTTGTTCAAAAATCAATCAACCAGTCGATCAGTCAATCCATGGAATAGAATTGAGAATCCAGAAACAAGTTCATACGTTTACGATCAATTGACTTTCAACAAGGGTACTAAGATAATTCAAAGGAGGAAAGAATAGTCTTTTCAACAAATGTTGCTGGAACAACTGAATAGCCACATGCGAAAGAATAAAATTTGACACCTATTTCACAGAATATACAAAAATTAATTTAAAATGGATCCAATTTCATATAATAGACAAAAATTAATTTAAAATGGATGAAATTTCATATAATATACAAAAATTAATTTAAAATGGACCTAGATATAAGAAAACTATACAACTCTTAGAATAAAATATAGATGTAAATCATCATGGCCTTGGATTATACAATGGATTCTCAAATATAACATCAAAAGCAAAGCACAATCAAGAAAAAAATGCATAAATCAGACTTCCTAAAAATTGAAAGCTTTTGTGTTACAAAGAACACTATTAAGAAGCAAGAAGACAACCCACAGGAATGGAGAAAATATTTTCCAATCACATATGTGATAAGAATGAATACATACCTTAAAATTCACAATTAAAGAACAAATAACGCAATTTAAAAATGGACAAAATAGCTGAATAAATATTTCTCTAAAGAAGATATATAGATGGACAATAAGCATATGTAAATCTGTACAACATCATTAGCCATAAGGAAAAAAGTAATTATGAATACAGTCAGTGAGATATCACATCACATCTACTAGGGTGGTTATAACTAACAAGATAATAACAAGTGTTGGTGAAGATGTGGAGAAATTACAACTCTTGTACATTTTGTACATTGCTGTTGGGAATGTAAAATGGTGCAGACACTTTGGAACAATTTGGCAGTTCCTCAAAATGTTAAATATAGAGTTATGACCCAGAAATTCCACTCCTATGAAGATACTCAAGAGAAATGAAACATGTTCACAAAAAAATTGTGCACAAGTGTTTCTAGCAGAATTATTCATAATAGTCCAAAAGTGGAAGCAACCCAAATGTCCATTAACTGATGAATGTATAAAATGTAGTACATCTACACTAAGGGACATTATTCAGGCATAAAAATGATTAAAGTACTGGTACATGCCAAAACATGGATGGACCTTGAAAACACTATGCTAGGTGAAAGAAGACAGACATAAAAGGCCACATATTATATGATTTTATTTATGTAAAATGTCCAGAATAAGCAAATCCAGAGAGATAGAAAGTAGATTGATGGTTGTTAGGGGCTAGGAGGAAGGGAAAAGGCAAGTGACTGCTAATAATATGGATTTCTTTTAGGGGTGATGAAAATGTTCTGGAAATTATATAGTAGTGATGACTACATAACTTTGTGAATATTCTAAAAACCACTGAATTGCTCACTTAAAAAGGGTGAATTTTATGGTATGTGGGTTATATGTCAGTAATTTTTAAAAAGAACAATTAATCCTTAAATTTTGATTAAATGGAGGAAAAATAAAGCAAACCAATTGCTTGATTACATCATCTGGCTATTTGACTGGGTCATATTGTACTAGCATGTTGATTTGGTTTGTCAACCCAACAGCCCCACATAGCTTTAGTCAGAGGTGAAGAGAGAAGGATCATTTTATGTCTTGACTGCCTATTAGCCTGTATGCTACAATGGCTGAGGCTGTCTCTTTTTATTGTACTTGTAAATATGCACTGAGGCTCTTAAATAATGGACAGAGCCAATAAACATAATGAATAGATTAATAATAAAACCAAATCATGAAAGGAAAAGAGCAAATGACTGGCGTGCACTGTTGTCAGAACAAATTCACCGAAGTGAGAAAAACAGCCTGTTGGATTCAGCTGCTAAGGAACAGCAATTTATTTAGAAAGCAGCTGCCTCTCCAGAATGGATTATTTTCTGATAAAAGTGATGAATATGTATGCATGAAAGGAAGAGGGACTGGTTAAAGATTGCATGCAGGATAACTCAATTGATTCCTTTCAGAATAGTGCGACTTGGCAGTGAATCAGTACCATTGGCAGGGCATGTGCTTTTCTGCAGCAGTGTGTATGGAGTTGAAACACACTTTTCTACCTTGCCCTCCATATTGTACTAGCTTATCATGACCCACAAAGTGAGAGAAAAGACTATTTCCATAAGGATTTAGGATTGGGTCATTTTCATGCCACTTCTGTCACTGATATAGTTTATGAATGTAAATAGTCACTACACTCCTTTGAACTGCTCATTCGAAGAAGGGGATTTAAGAGCAGATCGTGTGTCATGAAGAACAGAGTGCCATGCATAAGATTTCTGCAGAACAAACAAACAGAAACAAAACCTCACAAAATTAACAATAAACTTTTACTACCACAACTCGCCAGGAGTGAGTGAAGTTACAAGATGTCACTAAAGCTATGGGCCTTGGGTATGTAGGTGAGAAACCTTTCTATATTCTTATTTCTTTTTGATCTGTAGATAAAAGAACAAAAGCTTCTCTCAGTGGCCAAGAAGTCTCCTCCCCATTCGCAGAGCCTAAACATGATGGGACAGAACCAGGATTCCCACCCTGCCTCTGGCCATATCCTCTTTGGTTGTACCAGCCAGGAGCTTTGAAATAGCTGAGTGGCAATGAAGTAAGGGTCAGATTCCAGGTTATCCCAGTTCTAATAACTATTTGACCTTGGGCACATTACTGACTTTTTAAACCTCAGCTTCCTTATCTGTACGATGGAGATAATTATAGTATCTAATCTACAGAAGTGTCTGGGGATTAATTGAGACAATAAATGGAGCTTTGGACATGGAGTAGTCAGTACATATTAAGCTGTTGTTGATATCCCTCTCTCCTTGCCTAAATATTCCCTCTATATACATGTAAGAGGGGAGAGATTTAGTTACTAGTTTAGAATATCAAATGTGAATATAAGTCACTAGAAAAAGAATGACTCTACCTATAATTTGGGACTGTATTCTGAAATTTTGAAACTCTATTGAATTGTTGAAAAAAATTCTGGAATTCACCTCCTCTGGAATAATTTGGCTCAGCTTAACAACCCACAAGGCAGGTACAGGTGACAGGAAAACCTGGGGATCAACTAACTATTCCACTGCCTCATCCTGTGATACACACAGGAGGTAGAGACACCAAGAATAAAATGTTCAGTGTAGGAGAGTTGGAAGAAGGCAACTTTCCATGTGGTTACTCTGCTCCCCTGAATGATCCTGATTGCAGAGAAAGCTAATCACAGTTTTCCAAGGGTGCATCCAGGATTCATTGATTCAGCAGCTCAACTACTTCTTTTGCTGGCAGCCTTTGGTATTTCTGCAGTTTGGGGTTTAGGGAGAAAAATAACATTAGACTCCAAAAGAAATGAGGTTATGTCATCATGGCACATGAGTGTTCATCTGACTTTTTTCAGGGAGGATTGTGGTAAAATGGAGTTACTGAGTATCCTTATAAAGCATTGCTAAATTTTCAATTTGCACGTGTGTGTGTGTGTGTGTGTGTGTGTGTTTGATGCTTGTCTTATATGACAGGCACATGGTTTCTTTAACTGGAAGGACTTTGTTTCATCAACAGCCTTATAGAGCAACCACTATGCATAAAGCATAACTTTAAGCTTTGCATAAAATTGTTTGTTTTATGCAAACTTAAGGGTTTCCCAGTGAGGAAAAGCTGTTTTAGAAGAGGAGTAGCTACTATTCTTTTTCTGAGGAGGATAAAATATGACCCCCTTATTGTGAAAAAGACACAGAGGTTCATGCTACTGTCACAGACAGCTAACATGAAAAATTGATCATTTTCTCTTTATGTTGTTTGTAAGAAAATAAGTAAAAGCCGCAGCAGCAGCAGTTGAGCCAAGGGGAAGGTGATGCAGGTTCTAGATTTAGTCCTAACAGTTAAGCAGGGTAAAGAATACTTGTGGCTATGACCGAGGGAAGTTGTGGCAGATGGGTAAAGCTTTTCATATTAAGATAGCCTGAAATCCCTGATTTGTCTCAATAAGATGTTTAGGGAGTGTTAACAATATAAGAACTCAAGATGAGTTAGAAAGGAACCTTTGCAAAAACCTAAGGATATAAATCAGGGCTGGATTGAACATTCATAAATAACAATGTGAGAAAGATTGCTGATTTTACCTAAGTGACTTCTTTGAATCTTGTATTTTTCATACATTTGTTATATCATTTTATTTATTGTTTTTGGTGATTTTTTTTATTATACTTTAAGTTCTAGGGTACCTGTGCACAACGTGCAGGTTTGTTACATATGTATACATGTGCTGTGTTGGTGTGTTGCACCCATTAACTTGTCATTTACGTTAGGTATATCTCCTAATGCTATCCCTCCCCCCACCCCTCACCCCACGACGGGCCCTGGTGTGTGATGTTCCCCTTCCTGTGTCCATGTGTTCTCATTGTTCAGTTCCCACCTATGAGTGAGAACATGCTGTGTTTGGTTTTTTGTCCTTGCGATAGTTTGCTGAGAATGATGGTTTCCAGCTTCATCCATGTCCCTACAAACGACGTGAACTCATCCTTTTTTATGGCTGCATAGTATTCCATGGTGTATATATGCCACATTTTCTTAATCCAGTCTATCACTGTTGGACGTTTGGGTTGGTTCCAAGTCTTTGATACTGTGAATAGTGCCGCAATAAACATACGTGTCCCTGTGTCTTTATAGCAGCATGTTTTATAATCCTTTGGGTATATACCCAGTAATGGGATGGCTGGGTCAAATGATATTTCTAGTTCCAGATGCTTGAGGAATCGCCACACTGTCTTCCACAATGGGTGAACCAGTTTGCAGTCCCACCAACAGTGTAAAAGTGTTCCTATTTCTTCACATCCTCTCCAGCACCTGTTGTTTCCTGACTTTTTAATGATCGCCATTCTAACTGGTGTGAGATGGTATCTCATTGTGGTTTTGATTTGCATTTTCTCTAATGGCCAGCGATGATGAGCATTTTTTCATGTGTCTTTTGGCTACATAAATGTCTTCTTTTGAGAAATGTCTGTTCATATCCCTAGCCCACTTTTTGATGGGGTTGTTCATTTTTTTCTTGTAAATTTGCTTGAGTTCATTGTAGATTCTGGATATTAGCCCTTTGTCAGATGAGTAGATTGCAAAAATTTTCTCCCATTCTATTGGTTGCCTGTTCACTCTGATGGTAGTTTCTTTTGCTGTGCAGAAGCTCTTTAGTTTATCTAGATCCCATTTGTCAATTTTGTCTTTTGTTGCCATTGCTTTTGGTGTTTTAGACATGAAGTCCTTGCCCATGCCTATGTCCTGAATGGTATTGCCTAGGTTTTCTCCTAGGGTTTTTATGGTTTTAGGTCTAACATGTAAGTCTTTAATCCATCTTGAATTAATTTTTGTATAACGTGTAAGGAAGGGATCCAGTTTCAGCTTTCTATATATGGCTAGCCAGTTTTCCCGGCACCATTTGTTAAATAGGGAATACTTTCCCCATTTCTTGTTTTTGTCAGGTTTGTCAAAGATCAGATGGTTGTAGATGTGTGATATTGTTTCTGAGGGCTCTGTTCTGTTCCATTGGTCTATATCTCTGTTTTGGTACTAGTACCATGCTGTTTTGGTTACTGTAGCCTTGTAGTATAGTTTGAAGTCAGGTAGTGTGATGCCTCCAGCTTTGTTCTTTTGGCTTAGGATTGACTTGGTGACGTGGGCTCTTTTTTGGTTCCATATGAACTTTAAAGTAGTTTTTTCCAATTCTGTGAAGAAAGTCATTGGTAGCTTGATGGGGATGGCATTGAATCTATAAATTACCTTGGGCAGTATGGCCATTTTCACAATATTGATTCTTCCTACCCATGAGCATGGAATGTTCTTCCATTTGTTTGTGTCCTCTTTTATTTCATTGAGCAGTGGTTTGTAGTTCTCCTTGAAGAGGTCCTTCACATCCTTCACATCCCTTGTAAGTTGGATTCCTAGGTATTTTATTCTCTTTGAAGCAATTGTGAATGGGAGTTCACTCATGATTTGGCTGTTTGTGTGTTATTGGTGTATAAGAATGCTTATGATTTTTGCGCATTGATTTTGTATACTGAGATTTTGCTGAAGTTGCTTATCAGCTTAAGGAGATTTTGGGCTGAGATGATGGGGTTTTCTAGATATACAATCATGTCATGTGCAAACAGGGACAATTTGACTTCCTCTTTTCCTAATTGAATACCCTTTATTTCCTTCTCCTGCCTCATTGCCCTGGCCAGAACTTCCAACAATATGTTGAATAGGAGTGGTGAGAGAGGGCATCCCTGTCTTGTGCCAGTTTTCAAAGGGAATGCTTCCAGTTTTTGCCCATTCAGTGTGATATTGGCTGTGGTTTTGTCATAAATAGCTCTTATTATTTTGAGATATGTCCCATCAGTACTTAATTTATTGAGAGTTTTTAGCATGAAGGGCTGTTGATGTGTCAAAGGCCTTTTCTGCATCTATTGAGATAATCATGTGGTTTTTGTCTTTGGTTCTGTTTGTATGCTGGATTACATTAATTGATTTGCATATGTTGAACCAGCCTTGCATCCCAGGGATAAAGCCCACTTGATCATGGTGGATAAGCTTTTTGATGTGCTGCTGGATTCAGTTTGCCAGTATTTTATTGAGGATTTTTGTGTCGATGTTCATGAGGGCTATTGGTCTAGAATTCTCTTTTTTTCTTGTGTCTCTGCCAGGCTTTGGGTATCAGGATGATCCTGGCCTCATAAAATGAGTTAGGGAGGATTCCTTCTGTTTCTATTGATTGGAATAGTTTCAGAAGGAATGGTCCCAGCTCCTCCTTGTACCTCTGGTAGAATTTGGCTGTGAATCCTCTCATCCTGAACTTTTCTTGGTTGGTAAGCTATTAATTATTGCCTCAATTTCAGAGCCTGTTATTAGTTTATTCAGGGATTCAACTTCTTCCTGGTTTAGTCTTGGGAGGGTGTATGTGTCAAGGAATTTATCCATTTCTTCGAGATTTTCTAGTTAGTTTGTGTAGAGGTGTTTATAGTATTCTCTGATGGTAGTTTGTATTTCTGCGGGATCAGTAGTGATATCCCCCGTATCATTTTTTATTGCGTCTATTTGATTCTTCTCTCTTTTCGTCTTTATTAGTCTTGCTAGCGGTCTATCAGTTTTGTTGATCTTTTCAAAAAACCAACTCCTGGATTCACTGATTTTTTTTGAAGGGTTTTTTTGTGTCTCTATGTCCTTCAGTTCTACTCTGGTCTTAGTTATTTCTTGTCTTCTGTTAGCTTTTGAATGTGTTTGCTCTTGCTTCTCTAGTTCTTTTAATTGTGATGTTAGGGAGTCAATTTTAGATCTTTCCTGCTTTCTCTTGTGGGCATTTAGTGCTATAAATTTCCCTCTACACACTGCTTTAAATGTGTCCCAGAGAATCTGATATGTTGTCTTTGTTCTCATTGGTTTCAAAGAACATCTTTATTTCTGCCTTCATTTTGTTATGCACTTAGTAGTCATTCAGGAGCAGGTTGTTCAGTTTCCATGTAGTTGAGCAGTTTTGAGTGAGTTTCTTAATCCTGAGTTCTAGTTTGATTGCACTGTGGTCTGAGAGATGGTTTCTTATAATTTCTGTTCTTTTACATTTGCTGAGTAGTGCTTTGCTTCCAACTATGTGGTCAATTTTGGAATAAGTGCAATGTGGTGCTGAGAAGAATGTATATTCTGTTCATTTGGGGTGGAGAGTTCTGTAGATGTCTATTAGGTCCACTTGGTGCAGAGCTGAGTTGAATTCCTGGATATCCTTGTTAACTTTCTGTCTCATTGATGTGTCTAATGTTGACAGTGGGGTGTTGTTAATGTCTCCCATTACTATTGTGTGGGAGGCTAAGTCTCCTTGTAGGTCTCTAAAGACTTGCTTTATGAATCTGGGTGCTCCTGTATTGGGTGCATATATATTTAGGATAGTTGGCTCTTCTTGTTGAATTGATCCCTTTACCATTTTGTAATGGCCTTTGTCTCTTTTGATCTTTGTTGGTTTGAAGTCTGTTTTATCAGAGACTAGGATTGCAACTCCTGCTTTTTTTTGTTTTCCGTTTGCTTGGTAGATCTTCCTCCATCCCTTTATTTTGAGCCTATGTGTGCCTCTGCACATGAGATGGGTTTCCTGAATACAGCACACTGATGGGTCTTGACTCTTTCTCCAATTTGCATTTAGCCCATTTACATTTAAGGTTAATATTGTTACGTGTGAATTTGATCCTGTCATTATGATGTTAGCTGGTTATTTTGCTCGTTAGTTGATGCAGTTTCTTCCTAGCATAGGTGGTCTTTACAATTTGGCATGTTTTTGTAGTGGCTGGTACCGGTTGTTCCTTTCCATGTTTAGTGCTTCCTTCAGGAGCTCTTCTAGGGCAGGCCTGGTGGTGACAAAATCTGTCAGCATTTGCTTGTCTGTAAAGGATTTTATTTCTCCTTCACTTATGAAGCTTAGTTTGGCTGGATATGAAATTCTGGGTTGAAAATTCTTTTCTTGAAGAATGTTGAATATTGGCCCCCACTCCCTTCAGACTTGTATAGTTTCTGCCGAGAGATCTGCTGTTAGTCTTTTGGGCTTCGCTTTGTGGGTAACCCGACCTTTCTCTCTGGCTGCCCTTAACATTTGTTCCTTCATTTCCACTTTGGTGAATGTGACAATTATGTGTCTTGGAGTTGCTCTTCTCGAGGAGTGTCTTTGTGGTGTTCTCTGTATTTCGTGAATTTGAATGTTGGCCTGGCTTGCTAGATTGGGGAAATTCTCCTGGATAATATCTTGCAGAGTGTTTTCCAACTTGGTTCCATTCTCCCTGTCACTTTCAGGTACACTGATCAGACGTGGATTTGGTCTTTTCACATAGTCCCATATTTCTTGGAGGCTTTGTTCATTTCTTTTTACTCTTTTTTCTCTAAACTTCTCTTCTTGCTTCATTTCATTCATTTGATCTTCAGTCACTGATACCCTTTCTTCTAGTTGATCAATTTGGCTACTGAAGCTTGTGCATTTGTCACGTAGTTCTCTTGCCATGGTTTTCAGCTCCATCAGGTCCTTTAAGGACTTCTCTACACTGATTATGCTAGTTAGCCATTCGTCTAATCTTTTTTCAATGTTTTTAGCTTCTTTGCAATGGGTTCGAACTTCCTTCTTTAGCTCAGAGAAGTTTGATCATCGGAAGCCTTCTTCTCACAACTTCTCAAAGTCATTCTCCATCCAGCTTTGTTCCATTGATGGCAAGGAGCTGCGTTCCTTTGGAGGAGAGGCGCTCTGATTTTTAGAATTTTCAGCTTTTCTGCTCTGTTTTTTCCCCATCTTTGTGGTTTTATCTATCTTTGGTCTTTGATGATGGTGATGTACAGATGGGAGTTTCATGTGGATGTCCTTTCTGTTTGTTAGTTTTCCTTCTAAGAGTCAGGACCCTCAGCTGCAGGTCTGTTGGAGTTTGCTGGAGGTCCACTCCAGACCCTGTTTGCCTGGGTATCAGCAGTGGAGGCTGCAGAACTGCGAATAATGCTGAACAGCAAATGTTGCTGCCTGATCATTCTTCTGGAAGCTTCGTCTCAGAGGGGTACCCAGCTGTGTGAGGTGTCAGTCTGCCCCTACTGGGGGGTTGCCTCCCAGTTAGGCTACTTTGGGGGTTAGGGACCCACTTGAGGAGGCAGTCTGTCCATTCTCAGATCTCAAACTCCATGCTGGGAGAACCACTACTCTCTTCAAAGCTGTCAGATAGGGACATATAAGTCTGCAGAGGTTTCTGCTGCCTTTTGTTCAGCTATGCCCTGCCCCCAGTGGTGGAGTCTACAGAGGCAGGCAGGCCTCCTTGAGCTGTGGTGAGCTCCACGCTGTTCGAGCTTCCCAGCCACTTTGTTTACCTACTCAAGCCTCAGCAATGGCAGGCGCCCCTCCCTCAGCTTCGCTGCCACCTTACAGCTCGATCTCAGGCTGCTGTGCTAGCAATGAGCGAGGCTCCGTGGGCGTGGTACCCTCCACGCGAGGCGTGGTTATAATTTCCTGGTGTGCCGTTTGCTAAGACCATTGGAAAAGCGCAGTATTAGGGTGGGAGTGACCCGATTTTTCAGATGCCGTCTGTCACAGCTTCCCTTGGCTAGGAAAGGGAATTCCCTGACCCCTTGTGCTTCCTGGGTGAGGTGATGCCTCTCCATGCTTCAGCTCACACTCGGTCAGCTGCACCCACTGTCCTGCACCCACTGTCCAACAAGCCCCAGTGAGATGAACCCGGTACCTCAGTTGGAAATGCAGAAATCACCTGTCTTCTGCATTGCTCACGCTAGGAGCTGTAGACTGGAGCTGTTCCTATTCAGCCATCTTGGAACCATGCCCCTGTTGTATCATTTTAAATGGCTGTGTTTAATGTTGGCTATTTAAATAAGGATTTTGCTTTTGTTTTAAAAATGAAGAATAATGTAAGAGATATCATGGCAATCTTTCTCTTTCAGGTTACCTGGCTGCTTGAATCATGAGAGAGATAATTATTAAATATTAGTATAAAGGAAAATTTAAGAAAGCAATTGACTGTTTTCTCTCTGAAAAGGGCCAACTTTGATTCCCAACACTCTCTAGACAATTTTAGGTATTTGCTTGTTATTATCTTTATTACCTCTTATTTCTCCCTTTTTCTTCCATTTTTCATAGTATTCTAAGGTAGTATCTAACCTAAAGCTTCCTGTTTTAACTACACTTCATTTCTTGTCTAGCATACACAAAAGAAAGAAAAGTCACTAGTGTTTGTCTTGGCGTAAGTAGTGAGAAATGAGGAAGGAAAGAGGAAGGGTATTAAGACTAGAAAACAAAACTAAAAAAACCAGAGAGACATGCTGTCTGCATTCCCCAGCCCCTAGACATGAAGATCCACACAGGAGGAAAAGTAGAGAAAAGCAAGGAGGGAGGTTCATCAGTCTGGATGGCCCAGAGAAGCACAACCATGCTAGCTTCTGTCACACTGCCTGGACATTGGCTGGGTCTGTCAGTGCCTCAGGTCAGAAGGCAGACTCTCACCCAGGAAATTGCCTAAATTCTACAATCAGCTTGTTGTCAAATGATGCATTATATTTCTGTAGCTGCAAAATTTCTCATCTCTATTTTGTTATCTGTCTGAGGTCTCTTTACCTCTCAGGATTTTGAATGTGTCCTCAAATTATGAAAACCTGGTGGTTAATAAAATCTAAGCCCAGCTCAGAAGGAGACTGTTCATTTACCCAACAAATGCTTATAAAATTCCTGCCATTGTTGACCTGGTACTGTTACAGCTACTGGGAATGCAAAGATAAGGAAGGCAGCATGTCCTCTTTCTACCATGTGTGCTGAGAAAGATGCTGTAGAAAAGACTGATACTTAAACAGTACTATTGTAAGATAGATAAACATGAAGATAAGGGACATGCACTGTAATGAAAGAACACAGCAAGGGTGCTTGACTCAGGAGGGGTTGTCAGGGAAAACTTCCCAGGGCAAGAGACATTTTAGGGAGACCTAAAAAGTGTACAGGTATTGGTCTGGTGAAGAAGAAGGTGAAAAGGTTATCAGTCAATAGGAACAGCATATGGACAAGTCCAAAGGTGAAAGAATCTCCACTGTGGCTGGAGAACGGAGTATGTGTGCCCGTGTGTGCCTGTGTGTGCGTGTGTGTGTGCACACTCTCATGGGTGTATGTGATGGGGGGAAGGCGGTAGCAGGAGACATGTCAGACATAAACCATGGTCAACCCAGTAGCCAATCTCCTACTTCTTCCCAGATAAACATGCAGTGGATATTTCTTAACCTCAGGGAAGAGAGCCTCTACCCAGCCTACAGAATAAGTCATGATTGGCCTAACCAGTTTTAGAAATCTCATTGCTGTCCTGAACAATGATTGCTCTATTAGCAAGCATATGAAAAGAACAGTCTCCTCTTGAGAGGGCCACAGGGTACTGCTATCCTCTGAGAAGAACTGGACTTCAATTAAAGCCAGAGGAGAAAGAACAATGAGTTACTGATGGAGAGGAGTTTATCAGTCACAGGACAGATTCCATGAAAAGTTTGGGTGGGAAGGCAACAGTGGGAAATTGAGTCAAAGGCACAGAACACAGAGATGTGAGTGGAAATGTAGGTAACAGGAAAGGATTTCACTGGGTGCTGAGAAAGGAAAAATGGACGTGGCAAAAAGGAGTTAGCTAATTAGGATCCTTCTAGCTGAAAGTAACAGAGTGCTCCTTCAATCAGTATAATATGGTAAAGAAGGATTTGGTAGAAGGATACAAGGGTCTCTCATAGAACCCAAGGGCAAGAGTGCAGCTGGATCTGCAGAAGAAGCTAGAAGCAGGAACGGTTCCCATGTCTTTGCTTCTCTGCCCATTTGCTTCCTTCTTATCTCTACATGCAACTCATTTTTTCTGCTTTTTTGTCCACAGAGTAAACAGAGATCCCAAATTTACATGTTCTATTTCTAACCAACTGAGCAATCAACTTGCTAACTCTCAGATCCAATTCTAAAACCTCAGGAGAGAAAATCTGATTGTCACAGCTTGGGTAGGAATCCATTCCCCTTCCAGTCAGCCACAAAGGTGGAGTCACATGGTACAAACATGACAGCTAGCAGTGAACTGCTATGGAGCAGGAGTGCTGTCCCCAGTTGTGATTCAGGAAGTTAAGTCCAATGCACTCAAGATCATTAATCCTTCAGGTGCTTTTTGGATATAGGAAGCTGGCAATGGTGGAGGCCTTCTCTGATCTCTCAGGAATTAGCTTACTCCTGGGTAGGTTATCTTGCTGAGTCTTTTCAGAGGTTTCATGGCTGTGGAGGCCTCAGTTTTTCTATATGATCTGTACTATGATCCAGAATGGGTAAGGCAGATCAAGGGAGAGACTTAGCTTTCAAGTTAATAGCTTCTAAGGGAGTGACAAGGCATGTAGTAGATTCGTGTCCCTGCAGTAGGGGTGGTGAAATTCCCTCTCTTTCCTCCAAGCAGTAACTACCCTTTGCTCTCCAGGTTACCCTATACTGCAGAGGTTCTTAACCTTTTGTGGACATCAGAATCAATTGGAAAGCTTGTTAATGTTCAGATTCCTGGGTCCAATCTTTAGTAATTATAATTTAGTGGTTTGGGACAATACCTAGTAATCATCTTAAACAAGCACCCCAGGTGATTCTGATGCATAAAGTCTTTGAACTACACTTTGGGAAATTTGACATTACAGGCTTGATAACTTCAGGGCCCAAATAATGCAACCAGCTAAAAGTCACTCCTTATAGCTACGTATAACTCATTTGATATCCCTACATATATCAAATTATTTCATTTGTTAACTCAAATTTGCACTAAATACAAAAACATATCTTTTTGGCATCATGTTTTGTTTATATTTATCAGTCTTACTCCCAGTGTAGAAATTGCCACTTCATCCATTTTTGATGGATGCTTCTGACTATATTTTCTCAGCAAATCTTTTCCTTTTGACAGTCATTCATCTGATGATCTTACTGTTTAGATCGCTTGGATAACATGCTTGTCGAGTAAGGATAAGGAGTGTTTTGCTTTGTGACCTAACTTATTTCTACTCCTTTTTAGTTACAGGCAGAGTTTTTAAAACATGCAACAAATAAAAATGTTAGGTTGAGTAATAAAACAGAATCAGGTGTCCCAAATTACTTGTTTACTGTGAAAAATAATATTTGTTTCTGTTATCCCAGAATACTAGAGGTGTCAGAGAACTTAGAATTCATTATTTAATTCAAATTTGGTTGGCCATAATCACATGAACTACTATTTATTGAGTACCTACTATGTGCATGGTATTTTAGGTGCTTCGCATGCATTGTTTCACGTAATCCTCACAATAACACCAGAGGGAAGGAACATTATTCCTCATGGAACCAGGCTTTTAAAAGCATCTCAATAGCCCTGATAAATGAGGACAATCAATTAAGAAGGATAAATATAATGCCATTTACCTGGTTTCTAAACCCAGCTGCACAAGTCTGGAATGAGTAAGATTGGACTGCACAGTGGTTTACAGGAGACAACATGGGTGCTTCAGTTGACTATTAGTTACATTGGTGTCAGAGGAACCACTGCCAGAAAAGTTAAGTGTCCGTAAGTATATGAACAGAAGCCTTGTCCAGCTCTACTCTGTGTTGGTTTTGCCTCACTGTTGTGTGGGGTTCTTTCCAGGCTCTGCATGTTATGAGAAATTTTGGCTAACCAGACCCCAAGAGAAGAGATGGAGGATCTTGAAAAACATTTATTTGAAGAACACTTAAAGGAATAGACAATATTAGATCCCAAATAACATGAAAGCTGCTTCAAATACTTGAAGGGCTGTGAGATGGACTCATGAAGGAACTATGTGTGGCTCTGAGAGCAGCAAAAGGCACTATGAGTAGACATCACAGGAAAGCAATTTTCTTTCTTTCTCTTTTTCTTTCTTCTTTTTCTTTTTTCTTTTTCTTTTTCTTTTTTTTTCTTTTTTTTTTTTTTTTTTGAGACATAGTGTTGCTGTGTTGCTCCAGTTGATCTGAAACTCCGGGCCTCAAGCCAACCTCCCACCTCAACTTCCTGAGTAGTTGGGATTAGAGGCTTGAGCTATCACACTAGGCTGGCTGAAATCTCAACACGGTACAAAGGAACACTTTCCAGCAATACCAGCTGTCCAACTGTGGGGTGGGCTGCTGTGGGAGGCAGCAGGCTCCCTATCACTGGAGGCACCATGGAGAGGTGGAACACCATTTACCCTGGAGGTTTGGGAGGAAATTCATTCCTGGATATGGGATGGTGTCTTATGATCTTTCGAGTTCCTTTCCAACTTTGAGAATTCGTTATTCTGGGGCAACAAACAGGTATTAGGAAACTACTATGCAAGAAATCCTATATCAGTGCTTCGAAGGACAAAAAAAATGAATAAGGCGTAATTCTTGCCTTCAAATGACTTACCAACTAGTGGATCAACAGGTTAAAAAATAAATACCTTTGGGAGGCTGAGGCAGGCAGATCACGAGGTCAGGGGATTGAGACCATCCAGGCTAACATGGTGAAACCCCATCTCTGCTAAAAATACAAAAAATTAGCCTGGCGTGGTGACACACACCTGTTATCACAGCTACTCGGGAGGCTGAGGCAGGAGAATCACTTGAACCCGGGAGGCAGAGGTTGCAGTGAGCCGAGATTGCGCCACTGCACTCCAGCCTGGGTGACAGAGGGAGACTGTCTAAATAAATAAATAAATAAATAAATAAATAAATGGCCAGGCACAGTGGTTTAAAACTAATTCCAGCATTTTGGGAGTCTGAGGCTGGAGGATCTCTTGAGCCCAAGAGTTCAAGATCAGTCTGGGCAGCATAGTAAGACCCTGACTCTATAAAAAAAATTATCCAGGTGTGGTGGCACACACCTGTAGTCCCAGTTACCTGGGAGGCTGAGGTGGGAGAATCTCTCGAGCCCAAGAGTTCAAGCCTGCAGTGAGCTGATTATGTCACTGCACTCTAGCCTGCATGACAGAAAATAATTTTTAAAATATCAAGACAAGAATTTGCTGAGCTAGACTATGTAACAAGTACTATGTCTCTACTAATAAATCATAAAATGTACCCTCATAGTAACTGTGATTTGGGGATTATTGCACAAATAATAAGAGGTTTTGCTTTCCATCACACTTCAGTTTCACACAAACAAACTTCTGTTCATTCTGTGGCAAACTGTTTTAAACAAAAACTTCTGTGAATGTAGTTCTTCATAATCTGAAGTGTATTTATGTCTCACAAGTGTGCATGATCTACACATATTTCATGTTTCTTCTTTGCCAATTCGATGGTCACTTCTTCTGTCCTCTTCTCTGCTGCCACTCCCAGGCTGCTGAGAATTTCTGTGAAGAACCAGAAAGCCGTGCTCCCAGGGTCCACTCTGATACATGCAATCTTTCCTAGGCTGGACTCTCACTGCTGTTCAGGCAATCACTTTACTCATCTCTTGTTGAGTTGCTGATGCATCTCTCATAGTATCTATTCTAATTTTTTCCATATTCCTTAAGATTCCCCTAACCCCACCCCTTCTCCGGGATCACTTCATTCTTAGCAGATGGTCATTCTTCTAGAATGTAGCTCCCCCATTCCTTCAAATGGATGCTCCCCTGACTTCACTCCAGGGAGACTCAGTCACCATAGCAACCACTGCCGGCTTTGGTTCATTTCCTCAGAAACCCCAACTGGCAGAGATAGCTGAATTGAGGAATTTCTGCAGGAAAATTTTGGGAGCTCTTGATACTGAGGGCTGAAATCTCAAAGGCAGCTTTAAATTTAAATAACCAGAAAATAACAGATCCATAAGCTCAAAGGAGAAGCAAAGGGTGGGTCTAGAAACAGCAATTTCTTGTCCTGCTAGCTTCTTGAGAGAAGTCATAGGTTCTATGAAAACAAAAAGAGGTGGGGATCAGCTGGAGTTTGAGATTCTGATATCAAAAGACATCATTATGTCTTGTTTCATTGTTTCCAATATATGTTGGACGTGCAGACTTTAAAGGAAGAACATGAATATCTAACATTATTTCTCCTTTAATTTCAAAATTGATTTTTGGAGTTATGGGGGTAGCGTGTGATACTGTAAGTCTATTTAGCAAACATTTGTTGCTGTTCTCTTTGTGTCAGACATTGTGCTAGGATATGGAAAAGAATGAATACAATATACAATCTGTCCTAATGGGGGATACATACACACTAAGAGAAATGGAAAAGTTTACAATTAGACCAAAGTCAGCTCTTCCAGAGACATTTCTATCACAAAGTACAAGCATTTGCAAGTCTATGTGGGAACTCCATGAATTTGCAGAATGCTGTTTGATAAAGAAACCACTCAGCCCTTAACAGCATGTCCACGTTACCAAAGCATTTGAATCAGTTCACCATAAGGCAGTAAGCTCTCCTTTAAAAGGCTCATCCTTCACAGTTCTTGGCTGTTTGAATTTTCTCTTTCCTTCGTCACCCTTAAACTTAATTACACAGCAGCTGAAAAAGAAGACCTCTCTTGACCAAAATTTAAGGATAAAAATGTGGGATTATACAACAAATAACTATAATAAAATGTGGTCACTCTAAAATCCACACAAGAATAAAGAACACAGGAAAAAGGGGAAACACAGGAAAAAGGGCAATTTATTTTGTCCTAGGGACTTGGAAGAGGAAGAGTTGGTTAAAGCTTCATAAAAGAGAAAATGTTTCAGCTGTAATTTGTCTTCCTCCTCTATTCCTAAATGATAAATTATATTCTTTTTGGGAAATTAAAAAAATACATTTTTTAATTACAAGAAAAATATATATTTACAGAAATTACAAAAGCACCATAAGAGTTTGGATTCCAGTCCTCCACTCTTCACGGGTGAGCAACCATGAAGCTTCTGAGGACACTCTGTAATCTTGAGTACAGGGGTTTTGGAAACCAAGTGATGAAGACAGCATTTGTTATAATCAGGCCTTTAAAAACAAAACACTGTAAAGAACACTAAATGGGAATGGGAAAGTGGGAAGAGAGGGAAACTGTCCAGCTAATTCATTTGTAACTCTTGCCAGCCTCAGTCCAGACTTGCCAGAGGATCTTTGCTAGGTTATGGATTTTAGGTGTTTTCATTAAGGACTATCTGGAATAGAGCCTCATTCCTCCTCTACCCCAGAAGGCAACAGTCACTGATTCACACTTCATATCCCTTAAGCTTGCATGACTTAATTTCTTTCTTCCCATTAAGTTAGAATTAAAAAAAAACTCTTATTAGTTTCCTCCAAGGGTTTTGGAAAGATAAAGGAAACTGTCAAGTCTTAAGAGTGTCATAAACCTTGGGGACACACATGGCACTCAAATACTAGAGATGATGTCTAATGATACCATTTTCAAAAATGTCTTTCATTATTTTGCCATGTCCTGAAATCCCATAAAAGCATAACAGAAATGAGTTTGGGATTTTACTAAATTAAAATTTGTAAAGAAGGAGGAAAAGGATGATAATGATAATGTCGTTGATTTTCATTATTGTTCATTGCAAATTCCACGAAAAAGTAAAATATTAGTCAAGATGCAAAATTAGATGACCCTGTAGTCAAGAAGGCAAGGTAAGGTGCTTAAAATTTAACGAGACTGATGAAAGCAGAAAGAACATCAATCAAAATCTCAAGTTGTACATTGGCAGCACTTTCTGTGCTATCTCCCAAGTTTTTCTAGGGCTCCACCTATTACACTTGGAATCACCGACATTGCTGAAAGCATTTTAAAGGCATTAATTATCTAACTTACTGTCTTAATTACCTATGCTCATCTCAGGAGAATTGCAAAGGGATAGGCATCAGGAACACTTCTTTGGTGAGAGAAAACCAAGTGACAAAAGAGAAGCGTTTGTCCTAACACATCTAAAAGGCAGGTTGGAAATAACAGGTAGACTCAAGTTTGGTTCAGCCCAAATTAAAAAAAAATGCCATTCTCCTCATGCATTGACACCAAAATATTCACCTTCACCTACAAAATGATATTTTTTTCTGGCATGATTTTTTTCCCTTCGTTCAGCCTCAGAGATAATACTAATGATTACCAGTGATGGTAGTGAAAGCCAAGCTTAATCACCATAATTGACAATTAAGTTGGGTAACAACACAGAGACAGGTGATTTCACACAAGGCTAATGAAAATGGGCTATTAAAATCCACACACGTTTGGCAGCAATTATGAGCTCCTGGAGCCATTTGCTTTGAAATGTGCACATTTCACAGGTGGCTGCCTGCCAACAAGACAACTTTGAGCAGGACCGAGAAAGCAAGAGGAAAAGACAGAGTTGCCGGAGATTTTCTTAAGTGCCATTGCTTTTCAGTGGCTTGCTGAATCCTTATCACTACAGGCCAGATATTTTAAAGCCAAAGAAATATGCAAAGTTCACAGCTGCAGAGAATGACAGACATCCCATTTTCCTATAGAACCACGATGGAATTGGCAGAGGACAAGGGAGTGGGCACTAGCGAATACAGAAGGGCAAAGTAGAGAGGATTCCATGAAATAAGTGCTGGACCATGTAAGAGAGGCCTGGAGCCTGGATGTCTTGTCTGGAGTACACAGAAGATACTTAACAGTTTTCACAAAATGTGAAATGGAAGTAATAATCCCTGCTTCCCAAATATGATAGTATGGTTAAATGAGTTCAGTTCCTTGAAGGGCACTTGAATTCAGAGGCTGAGGTTACTTTGCTGCAGTTTCATGCATCTCCTAGCTCCCTGCTCTTACTCTCTTATATCAGGATGCCACCATTCTGCTCAAAGCCCCTCTCCTTTAAGCTCTTTACTGTCTGAATATGCCAGTTAGTAGGGAAGTTAGTCAACTTTTTTTAATGACAGGAAACCAAATAACAAACAGTGGTGAGAACTTGCCTGAAAATAGACTGGGAATCACATCTGTATTCAAATACAATAGTCGAATCTTGTTTTTTAGCCACTCTGACAATCTTTTAATTGGTACATTTAGACCATTCTCACTTAAAGTGATTATTGATATTGTCGAATCAATATTTACTGTTTGTAACCGTTTTCTATTCATTGTACCAGTTCTTTTTTAAAATCTCTTTTTCTGCATTTTCTGGTTTTATATGATTCCATTTTATCTCTTCTTTTAGCATATCAATTACGCTTTTCAATTTTTTAAGTAGTTGCCCTATGGATTGCCATATACATGTACAGTTAATATTTCTTCCTCTTCATGTGCAGTGAAAGTACCCTATAACAGACTATTTCCAATTTTCCCTCTCATCTCTTATGACATTACTGTCATTCATTTTATTTGTCCATATGAATACAATCACCAATACATTGTCACTCTTATTACCTTAAATAATTATCTTTTCAATCAATTAAGAATAAGAAAAACAAAACATTTTACTTTACTTGTACTTCATTCCCTGACACTTTTCCTTTCCTTTTGTGCATCCAAGTTTCTGACATAGATCATTTTCCTGCTCCGTGAAGAACAACTTTAGTTTTTCTTACAGGGGAAGGTCTGCTGACAATGACCTCTCAATTTTGTTTCTGTGAAATAGTCTTTAGTTCTCCTTCAGTTTTGAAGAATAAATTCACTAGATATAGAATTCAGGTTAGTGGGTTTATTTCTCTCAACACTTTAAATCTTTCACTCCATTCTCTTCCTGCTTGTGTGGTTTCTGATGAGAAGTTATCTGTAATACTCTTCCTTGTTTCTCTGTAAGTAAGTTGTTCTTTCCTCTGGCTTTTTTGAAAGATTTCTCTTTTTCTGAAGTTTGAATATGATATGCCTATGTATAGTGGGTTTTTTTTTACATTTATCCTGCTTGGTGTTCTCTGAGCTAACTGAAACTGCAGTTTCATGTCTGTCATTATTTTGGAAAAGTCTTGGACATTTTTATTTCAAATATATCTTCTGCTCCATTCTTTTTCTTCTCCTGGTATTTCAGTTGTGCGTGCTACACTTACTGAAATTGTTTCACAGTTGGATGTTCTATTGTAATTGCTTCACTCTATTTGGTCTTTACGTTTATGTTGTGGGAGTTTCTATTAATTCATCTTCGAGTTCATGGATTCTTTCTTCAGCCATATTCAGTCTATTGAGACCATCAAAGGCATTCTTTATTTTTGTCACAGTGTTTTTGATTATTTCTTAGAGTTTTCATCTCTCCGTTTACATTACCAATCTGGTCTTACATGTTGTCTACCATTTTCTTTGGAGCCCTTAACAGGTCATAGTTATTTAAAATTTCCAGCCTAGAAAAAACAATTTGTGTCATAGCTGGGTCTGGTTATAATGCTTATATTGTCTTTTTAGACTGCTTGTCTTTTTTCCTGCTTCTTTTTTTTTTTTGACAGAGTCTCACTCTGTCACCCAGGCTGGAGTGCAATGGCAAGATCTCGGCTCACTGCAACCTCTGCCTCCTGGGTTCAAGCGATTCTCCTGCCTCAGCCTCCTGAGTAGCTGGGATTACAGGCAAGTGCCACCATGCCTGGCTAATTTTTTAATTTTTTGTATTTTTAGTAGAGACAGGATTTCACCTTGTTTTTCAGGCTGGTCTCCAACTCCTGACCTTGTGATCTGTCCGCCTCGGCCTCCCAAAGTGCTGGGATTAGAGGCATGAGCCACCGCACCTGGCCTTTTCCTGCATTTTAAGATGACTTGAGTAGTTTTTGTTTTTGTTTTGAAAGCTGTATGTGGTATACTAATAGGAACTGAGGTAAATAGGGCTTTCGTGTAAGGTTTTATGTTTATCTGGCTAGGAGTTATGCAGTATTTAGTATTTGCTGTAGCTATAGGTGTCAGAGCCTTAAATTTCCTCTAGTGTCCTAGTTTTTGTCTACCTTGTCATCCTTGGATTTCCCTAGAAATGGCTTCTTAATTAGACTCTGTCTCTAATGCTCTCAGTTATAATCTACTTTTATTATACTGGAGCCCTATTGTAATAATAAAGTATTGGGGAGGACAGGAAGGGAAACATTCTATAATCATCTGCTTAAATCTTTTTTTTTTTTTTTCAAATGAGCAAAGTCCCTGGGATGTAACTTCCAGAATAATTTCTTAGCCTTTTTTCCCCTTCTTTATGTGAGACAAGATGGGTAGAGTGCACTAGAGTTGTCTAATTGCCCCCATGTTTGATCAGATAAGGCCCTGGTAAAGTAGTTTCTGTTGAGGGCAGGTCTTTGTTATGAAGAATAGAACACTCTGGGCCAATTTCAAAAGGGTTGCTTTCCCCTTTTCCCCTTCCCAAAGCACAAGGAGATGTTTTCTTTCATCTTCACTGTGAGACCCTTGGTTGGGCTTTTAGAAGTAAAATCATAAGTGTGGGGAACCCTACACTGGGTCACTAGGAGTTTTTAATTCTCAAGCTAATTTGCAATCAGTCTGTAGCTATTTGTCAATTACTATTTAAGTGTTCCTATCAGTTACTGATTTCAACAGTTTCTGCTCCTGGTAAGTTGTGATTCACTGTATCTGCCCATCTCTCTGGTTTTCGGAGTGGTAGTTTGCCCTGTGACCTCAATTCTCTGGGAGATCTCAGTTGGTGATTTTTAATTTGTTCAGCTTTTTTCTTGTCATGACAGTTTTTTCTTGTTGGGTTAAATAAAATCATTAAAATTAATTTTACCGGTTTCTTTTTAGATTTTTAATGTGGCTACTAGAAAATTTGAAATTACATATTTGGCTCACATTTTTCCATTTGCCTACACTACTCTTTGGTTTAAAATATGTATCTTTGATTTATTATAATCTACTTTTAAATGTTATAATGATATTTCACAAATAATTTGAAACTCTTAAAGTAGTATTTTATTCCCCATTCTGTCCCTTGTGCTATTGTTGTCATACATTTTATTTCTGCGTGTTATGAACCACATGCTAAATTATTTTGATCTTAGAATTAAATTATCCATTAAAGATCTTAAAAATGAGGGGAATAGTCTTTTTTATGTACCCACATATCTACTATTTGCAGTACTCTTCATTTGTTTGTGTAGATATAAGTTTGCAAGTTACATCATTTTCCTTTTGTCTGGAGAACTTCATTTAACATTTCTTGTAATGTAGACTTGCTTCTGCTTAATTTTCTCAGCTTTTGTTTATCTGAAAAGTTTTGATTTAGTATTCATTTTTTTATTTTGATTTTTATTTTACTTTAAGTTCTGGAAACGTGCAGAACATGCAGATTTGTTGCATAGGTATACCTGTGCCATGGTGGTTTGCTGCACCTATTGACCTGTCCTCTAAGTTCCCTCCCCTCGCCTCCCAACCCCCAACAGGCCCTGGTGTGTGTTGTTCCCCTCCCTGTGTCCATCTGTTCTCATTGTTCAACTCCCACTTATGAGTGAGAACATGTGGTGTTTGGTTTTCTGTTCCTGTGTTAGTTTGCTGAGGATGATAGGTTCCAGGTTCATCCATGTCCCTGTAAAGGACATGATCGCATGCCTTTTTATAACTGCACAGTATTCCACAGTGTATATGTACCACATTTTCTTTATCCAGTCTATCATTGATGGGCATTTGGGGGTTCCATGACTTTGCTATTATAAATAGTGCTGTAATAAACATATGTGTGCATGTATGCTTATAGCAGAATGATTTACATTCCTTTGGGTATATACCCAGTAATGGAATTGCTTGGCCAAATGGTATTTCTGGTTCAAGATCCTTGAGGAATTGCCTTACTATCTTTTACAATGGTTGAACTAATTTACATTCCCACCAAGAGTGTAAAAGTGTTCTTATTTCTACACAGCCTCGCCAGCATCTATTGTTTGTTGACTTTTTAATAATCGTCATTCTGACTGGCATGAGATGGTTCTCATTGTGGTTTTGACTTGCATTACTCTAATGATCAGTATGTTGAACTTTTTTTCACGTGTGTTGGCTGTGTAAGTGTCTTCTTTTGAGAAGTGTCTGTTCATGTACTTGACCTAGTTTTTGATGGAGTTGTTTCTTTCTTGTAAATTTGTTTAAGTTCCTTGTAAATTCTGGATATTAGCCCTTCATCAGATGGGTAGGTTGCAAAAAATTTCACCCATTCTGTAGGTTGCCTGTTCACTCTGGTGATAGTTTCTTTTGCTGTGCAGAAGCTCTTTAGTTTAATTGGATCCCATTTGTCAACTTGGCTTCTGTTGCAATAGCTTTTAGCGTTTTCATCATGAAGTCTTTGCTCAAGCCTATGTCCTGACTGGTATTGCCTAGATTTCTTCTAGGGTTTTTATAATGTGAGGTTTTACATCTAAGTCTTTAATCCATCTTGAGTTAATTTTTGTCCAAGGTGTAAGGAAGGGGTCCAGTTTCAGTTTTCTGTATATGGCTAGCCAGTTTTCCCAGCACCATTTATTGAATAGGAGGCCTTTCCCCATTGCTTGTTTTTGTTAGGTTTGTTGAAGATCAGATGGTTGTAGATGTGTAGCGTTATTTCTGAGGTCTCTATTCTGTTCCATTGGTATATATGACTGTTTTGGTACCAGTACCATGTTGTTTTTGTTACTATCGCTTTGTAGTATAGTTTGAAGTCAGGTAGCATGATGCCTCCAGCTTTGTTCTTTTTGCTTTGGACTGTCTTGGCAAAACGGGGTCTTCATTTATTAAGTTTTTTCTAATTCTGTGAAGAATCTCAAGGATAGTTTGATGGGAATAGCATTGAATCTATAAATTACTTTGGGCAGTATGGCCATTTTCACAATATTGAATATTCCATGAAAATGGAATGTTTTTTTCATTTTTTTGTGTCCTCTCTTATTTCCTTGAGCAGTGGTTTGTAGTTCTCCTTGAAGAGGTCCTCCACATCCTTTATAAGTTATATTCCTAGGTATTTAATTATCTTTGTAGCAATTGTGAATGGGAGTTCATTCATGATTTGGCTCTCTGCTTGTCTGTTGTTGGTGTATAGGAATGCTTGTGACTTTTGCATATCAATTTTGTATCCTGAAACTTTGCTGAAGCTGCTTACTAGGTTAAGGAGTTTTGGGGCTGAGATTATGGGGTTTTCTAAATATAGAATCATATTGTCTGCAAACAAAGACAATTTGACTTCCTCCCTTCCTATTTGAATACGCTTTATTTCTTTCTCTTGCCTGATTGCCCTGGCCAGAACTTTTAATACTGTGTCGAATAGGAGTGGTGACAGAGGGCATCCTTGCCTTGTATCAGTTTTCAAAGGGAATGCTTCCACCTTTTGCCCATTCAGTACAATATCGGCTGTGGGTTTTTCATAAAGAGCTCTTAGTATTTTGAGATATGTTCCATCAATACCTAGGTTATTGAGAGTTTTAAATATAAAGGAATGTTGAATTTTATCAAATGCCTTTTCTGCATCCATTGAGATAATCATGTGGTTTTTGTCTTTGGGTCTGTTTATGTGATGGATCACATTTATTGATTTGTGTATGTTGAGCCAGCCTTGCATTGCATCTCAGCAATGAAGCTGACTTGATCGTGGTGGATAAGTTTTTTGAAGGGCTACTCGATTTGGTTTCTCAGTATTTTATTGAAGATTTTTGCATCGATATTCATCAGGAATATTGGCCTGAAGTTTTCTTTTTTTGTTGTATCTCTGCCAGGCTTTGGTATCAGGATGATGCTGGCCTCATAAAATGAGTTAGGGAGGAGTCCTTCCTTTTCAATTGTTTGGAATAGTTTCAGAAGAAAAGGTACCAGCTCCTACTTGTACCTCTGGTAGAATTTGGCTGTGAATTCATCTGGTCCTGGGCTTTTTTTGGTTGGTAGGCTATTACTGCCTCAATTTCATAAGTTGTTATTGGTCTATTCAAGGGTTTGACCTCTTCCTGCTTATTCTTGGGAGGGTGTATGTGTCGAGGAATTTCTCCATTTCTTCTAGATTTTCTAGTTTGTTTGTGTAGAGGTGTTTATAGTATTCTCTGATGGTAGTTTGTATTTCTGTGGGGTCAGTGGTGATATCACCTTTGTCATTTTTTATTGTGTCTATTTGATTCTTCTCTTTTTTCTTATTTATCAGTCTAGATAGTGGTCTTTTTTTTTTCAAAAAAAAAAAAAAAGGGGGGGAGGAGCCAAGATGGCCGAATAGGAACAGCTCCGGTCTACACCTCCCAGCGTGAGCGACGCAGAAGACGGGTGATTTCTGCATTTCCATATGAGGTACCGGGTTCATCTCACTAGGGAGTGCCAGACAGTGGGCGCAGGTCAGTGGGTGCGTGCACCGTGCACGAGCCAAAGCAGGGCGAGGCATTGCCTCACTCGGGAAGCGCAAGGGGTCAGGGAGTTCCCTTTCCTAGTCAAAGAAAGGGGTGACAGATGGCACCTGGAAAATCGGGTCACTCCCAACCGAATACTGCGCTTTTCCGACGGGCTTAAAAAACGGCACACCAGGAGATTATATCTCGCACGTGGCTCGGAGGGTCCTACGCCCACGGAGTCTCGCTAATTGCTAGCACAGCAGTCTGAGATCAAACTGCAAGGCGGCAGCGAGGCTGGGGGAGGGGCACCTGCCATTGCCCAGGCTTGCTTAGGTAAACAAAGCAGCCGGGAAGCTCGAACTGGGTGGAGCCCACCACAGCTCAAGGAGGCATGCCTGCCTCTATAGGCTCCACCTCTGGGGGCAGGGCACAGACAAACAAAAAGACAGCAGTAACCTCTGCAGACTTAAATGTCCCTGTCTGACAGCTTTGAAAACAGCAGTGGTTCTCCCAGCACGCAGCTGGAGATCTGAGAACAGGCAGACTGCCTCCTCAAGTGGGTCCCTGACCCCTGACCCCCGAGAAGCCTAACTGGGAGGCACACCCCAGCAGGGGCAGACTGACACCTCACACGGCTGGGTACTCCAACAGACCTGCAGCTGAGGGTCCTGTCTGTTAGAAGGAAAACTAACAAACAGAAAGGACATCCACACCAAAAAACCATCTGTACATCACCATCATCAAAGACCAAAAGTAGATAAAACGACAAAGATGGGGAAAAACAGAGCAGAAAAACTGGAAACTCTAAAAAGCAGAACGCCTCTCCTCCTCCAAAGGAACGCAGTTCCTCACCAGCAACGGAACAAAGCTGGACGGAGAATGACTTTGACGAGTTGAGAGAAGAAGGCTTCAGACGATCAAATTACTCCGAGCTATGGGAGGACATTCAAACCAAAGGCAAAGAAGTTGAAAACTTTGAAAAAAATTTAGAAGAATGTATAACTAGAATAACCAATACAGAGAAGTGCTTAAAGGAGCTGATGGGGCTGAAAACCAAGGCTCGAGAACTACGTGAAGAATGCAGAAGCCTCAGGAGCCGATGCAATCAACTGGAAGAAAGGGTATCAGCAATGGAAGATGAAATGAATGAAATGAAGCAAGAAGGGAAGTTTAGAGAAAACAGAATGAAAAGAAACAAGCAAAGGCTCCAAGAAATATGCGACTATGTGAAAAGACCAAATCTACATCTGATTGGTGTACCTGAAAGTGACATGGAGAATGGAACCAAGTTGGAAAACACTCTGCAGGATATTATCCAGGAGAACTTCCCCAATCTAGCAAGGCAGGCCAACATTCAGATTCAGGAAATATAGAGAACGCCACAAAGATACTCCTCGAGAAGAGCAACTCCAAGACACATAATTGTCAGATTCACCAAAGTTGAAATGAAGGAAAAAATGTTAAGGGCAGCCAGAGAGAAAGGTTGGGTTACCCTCAAAGGGAAGCCCATCAGACTAACAGCGGATCTCTCGGCAGAAACTCTACAAGCCAGAAGAGAGTGGGGGCCAATATTCAACATTCTTAAAGAAAAGAATTTTCAACCCAGAATTTCATATCCAGCCAAACTAAGCTTCATAAGTGAAGGAGAAATAAAATACTTTACAGACAAACAAATGCTGAGAGATTTTGTCACCACCGGGCCTGCCCAAAAAGAGCTCCTGAAGGAAGCGCTAAACATGGAAAGGAACAACCGGTACCAGCCACTGCAAAATCATGCCAAAATGTAAAGACCATCGAGACTAGGAAGAAACTGCATCAACTAACGAGCAAAATAACCAGCTAACATCATAATGACAGGATCAAATTCACACATAACAATATTAACTTTAAATGTAAATGGACTAAATGCTCCAATTAAAAGACACAGACTGGCAAATTGGATAAAGAGTCAAGACCCTTCAGTGTGCTGTATTCAGGAAACCCATCTCACGTGCAGAGACACACACAGGCTCAAAATAAAAGGATGGAGGAAGATCTACCAAGCAAATGGAAAACAAAAAAAGGCAGGGGTTGCAATCCTAGTCTCTGATAAAACAGACTTTAAACCAACAAAGATCAAAAGAGACAAAGAAGGCCATTACATAATGGTAAAGGGATCAATTCAACAAGAAGAGCTAACTATCCTAAATATATATGCACCCAATACAGGAGCATCCAGATTCATAAAGCAAGTTCTGAGTGACCTACAAAGACACTTAGACTCCCACACATTAATAATGGGAGACTTTAACACCCCACTGTCAACATTAGACAGATCAACGAGACAGAAAGTCAGCAAGGATACCCAGGAATTGAACTCAGCTCTGCACCAAGCAGACCTAATAGACATCTACAGAACTCTCCACCCCAAATCAACAGAATATACATTTTTTTAGCACCACACCACACCTATTCCAAAATTGACCACATAGTAGGAAGTAAAGCTCTCCTCAGCAAATGTAAAAGAACAGAAATTATAACAAACTGTCTCTCAGACCACAGTGCAATCAAACTAGAACTCAGCATTAAGAATCTCACTCAAAACCGCTCAACTACATGGAAACTGAACAACCTGCTCCTGAAGGACTACTGGGTACATAACGAAATGAAGGCAGAAATAAAGATGTTCTTTGAAACCAACGAGAACTAAGACACAACATACCAGAATCTCTGGGATGCATTCAAAGCAGTGTGTAGAGGGAAACTTATAGCACTAAATGCCCACAAGAGAAAGCAGGAAAGATCCAAAATTGACACCTAACATCACAATTAAAAGAACTAGAAAAGCAAGAGCAAACACATTCAAAAGCTAGCAGAAGGCAAGAAATAACTAAAATCAGAGCAGAACTGCAGGAAGTAGAGACACAAAAACCCCTTCAAAAAATTAGTGAATCCAGGAGCTGGTTTTTTGAAAGGATCAACAAAATTGATAAACTGCTAGCAAGACTAATAAAGAAAAAAAGAGAGAAGAATCAAATAGATGCAATAAAAAATGATAAAGGGGATATCAACACCGATCCCACAGAAATACAAACTATTATTAGAGAATACTACAAACACCTCTACGCAAATAAACTAGAAAATCTAGAAGAAATGGATAAATTCCTCGACACATACACTCTCCCAAGACTAAACCAGGAAGAAGTTGAATCTCTGAATGGACCAATAACACACTCTGAAATTGTGGCAATAATCAATAGCTTACCAACCAAAAAGAGTCCAGGACCAGATGGATTCACAGCCGAATTCTACCAGAGGTACAAGGAGGAACTGGTACCATTCCTTCTGAAACTATTCCAATCAATAGAAAAAGAGGGAATCCTCCCTAACTCATTTTATGAGGCCAGCATCATCCTGATACCAAAGCCGGGCAGAGACACAACCAAAAAAGAGAATTTTAGACCAATATCCTTGATAAACATTGATGCAAAAATCCTCAATAAAATACTGGCAAACTGAATCCAGCAGCACATCAAAAAGCTTATCCACCATGATCAAGTGGGATTCATCCCTGGGATTCAAGGCTGGTTCAATATACTCAAATCAATAAATGTAATCCAGCATATAAACAGAACCAAAGACAAAAACCACATGATTATCTCAATAGATGCAGAAAAGGCCTTTGACAAAATTCAACAACCCTTCATGCTAAAAACTCTCAATAAATTAGGTATTGATGGGACATATTTCAAAATAATAAGAGCTATCTATGACAAACCCACAGCCAATATCATACTGAATGGGCAAAAACCGGAAACATTCCCTTTGAAAACTGGCACAAGACAGGGATGCCCTCTCTCACCACTCCTATTCAACATAGTGTTGGAAGTTCTGGCCAGGGCAATTAGGCAGGAGAAGGAAATAAAGGGTATTCAATTAGGAAAAGAGGAAGTCAAATTGTCCCTGTTTGCGCATGACATGATTGTATATCTCGAAAACCCCATTGTCTCAGCCCAAAATCTCCTTAAGCTGATAAGCAACTTCAGCAAAGTCTCAGGATACAAAATCAATGTACAAAAATCACAAGCATTCTTATACACCAATAACAAACAGAGAGCCAAATCATGAGTGAACTCCCATTCACAATTGCTTCAAAGAGAATAAAATACCTAGGAATCCAACTTACAAGGGATGTGAAGGACCTCTTCAAGAAGAACTACAAACCACTGCTCAGTGAAATAAAAGAGGATACAAAGAAATGGAAGAACATTCCATGCTCATGGGTAGGAAGAATCAATATCGTGAAAATGGCCATACTGCCCAAGGTAATTTACAGATTCAATGCCATCCCCATCAAGCTACCAATGACTTTCTTCACAGAATTGGAAAAAACTACTTTAAAGTTCATATGGAACCAAAAAAGAGCCCGCATCGCCAAGTCAATCCTAAGCCAAAAGAACAAAGCTGGAGGCATCACACTACCTGACTTCAAACTATTCTACAAGGCTACAGTAACCAAAACAGCATGGTACTGGTACCAAAACAGAGATATAGACCAATGGAACAGAACAGAGCCCTCAGAAATAATGCCGCATATCTACAACTATCTGATCTTTGACAAACCTGAGAAAAACAAGCAATGGGGAAAGGATTTCCTATTTAATAAATGGTGCTGGGAAAACTGGCTAGCCATATGTAGAAAGCTGAAACTGGATCCCTTCCTTACACCTTATACAAAAATCAATTCAAGATGAATTAAAGACTTAAACTTTAGACCTAACACCATAAAAACCCTAGAAGAAAACCTAGGCTTTACCATTCAGGACATAGGCATGGGCAAGGACTTCATGTCTAAAACACCAAAAGCCATGGCAACAAAAGCCAAAATTGACAAATGGGATCTAATTAAACTAAAGAGCTTCTGCACAGCTAAAGAAACTACCATCAGAGTGAACAGGCAACCTACAAAATGGGAGAAAATTTTCACAACCTACTCATCTGACAAAGGGCTAATATCCAGAATCTACAATGAACTCAAACAAATTTACAAGAAAAAAACCCCATTAAAAAGTGGGCAAAGGACATGAACAGACACTTCTCAAAAGAAGACGTTTATGCAGCCAAAAAACACATGAAAAAATGCTCACCATCACTGGCCATCAGAGAAATGCAAATCAAAACCACAATGAGATACCATCTCACGCCAGTTAGAATGGCAATCATTAAAAAGTCAGGAAACAACAGGTGCTGGAGAGGATGTGGAGAAATAGGAACACTTTTACACTGTTGGTGGGACTGTAAACTAGTTCAACCATTGTGGAAGTCAGTGTGGCGATTCCTCAGGGATCTAGAACTAGAAATACCATTTGACCCAGCCATCCCATTACTGGGTATATACCCAAAGGACTATAAATCATGCTGCTATAGAGACACATGCACACGTATGTTTATTGTGGCACTATTCACAATAGCAAAGACTTGGAACCAACCCAAATGTCCAACAATGATAGACTGGATTCAGAAAAAGTGGCACATATACACCATGGAATACTATGCAGCCATAAAAAATGATGAGTTCATGTCCTTTGTAGGGACATGAATGAAATTAGAAATCATCATTCTCAGTAAACTACCGCAAGAACAAAAAACCAAACACTGCATATTCTCACTCATAGGTGGGAATTGAACAATGAGAACACATGGACACACGAAGGGGAACATCACACTCTGGGGACTGTTGTGGGGTGGGGGGGAGGGGGGAAGGATAGCTTTAGGAGATATACCTAATGCTAGATGACGAGTTAGTGGGTGCAGCGCACCAGCATGGCACATGTATACATATGTATCTAACCTGCACATTGTGCACATGTACCCTAAAACTTAAAGTATAATAAAAAAAAATTTTTTTTCTTTCATTTAATAGGTTGTCTTTTCACTTTCTGATAGTGTCTGCTACACAAAAGTGCTTATTTTCTTTTTAAGTTTTTAATTTTGTGGGTGCATAGCAGCTATGTATATTGATGGGGTACGTGAGATACTTTGATACAGGCATGCAAGGTGTAGTAATCACATTAGGATAAATAAAGTATCCATCACCTCAAAAAAAAAAAAAAAACCCAGCTCCTGGATTCATTGATTTTTTTTGGAGGGTTTTTCGTGTTTCTATCTCCTTCATTTGTGCTCTGATGTTATTTATTTCTTGTATTCTCCTAGTTTTAAAACTAATTTGCTCTTGTTTCTCTAGCTCTTTTAATGATGAAGTTAGGTTGTCAATTTGAGATTTTTAGCTTTCTGATATGGGCATTTAGTGCTATAAATCTCCCTCTTAACAGTGCTGTAGCTGTGTTCTAGAGATTCCGGTATATTGTCTCTTTGTTCTCATCGGTTTCAAAGAACTTCTGGATTTCTACCTTAATTTCGTCATATATCCAGGAGTCATTCAGGAGAAGGTTGTTCAAGTTGCATGTAATTTTGTGGTTTTGAGTGAATTTCTTAATCCTGAGTTCTAATTAGATTGTACTATATTCTAAGATAATTTTGTTATGATTTCAGTTCTTTTCCATTTGCTGAGGGAGTGTTTTAATTCTAATTATGTGGTCTGTTTTAGAGTAAGTGCTATGTGGTGCTGAGAAGAATGTATATTCTGTTGATTTGAGGTGGAGAGTTCTGTAGACGTCTATTAGGTTCACTTGATCCAGAGCTGAGTTCAAGTCCTGAATATCCTTGTTAATTTTCTGTCACATTGATCTGTCTAATATCGACAGTGGAGTGTTAAAGTCTCCCACTATTATTGTGTGAGAGTCTAAGTCTCTTTGTAGGTCTCTAAGAACTTGTTTTATGAATCTGGGTGCTCCTATATTGGGTTCATGTATATTTAGGACAGTTAGCTTTTCTTGTTGAATTGATCCCTTTACCATTATGTAGTGCCCTTCTTTGTCTTTCTTTTTTTTTAATTTTTATTTTATTTCACGTTCTGGGATGCATGTGCAGAATGTGTAGGTTTGTTTCATAGGTAAACGTACACCATGGTGGTTTGCTGCACCTATCAACCCATTACCTAGGTATTAAGCCCCACAGCATTAGCTATTTATTCTGATGCTCTCCTTCCTCCCACCCCCCATAGGCCCCAGTATGTGTTGTTCCCTTCCCCGTATCCATGTTTTCTCATTGTACAGCTTTCACTTATGAGTGAGAACATGCAGTGTTTGATAAACTTTCAAACTCCAAAGCCATTATTTTCTACCACAACTCAGAAGAAGCTGTAGTGAACAGTGAGGTGGCTGGTTGTTGTTGGCTCTGAAATTTTCATCCTCCATCACTAATTACATACCAGTTAAATGTATTTTATTAGGTAGGTCAAACCCGTTACTAGTACTATTTCTTAGACATTTAACGTAGTACACATTTTTGCTAAATGGTGAAAAACAAGTAATCACCTAAATGGCATTCAGATTCCATGTGTCATTTTTTTTCACGCTTTCACTATTGTTTTTCCAAATTATCTCCTTTCAGCATTCCCATAAATGCAGCTGGCATGTTTTCATATCCTTCAATGATATATTCCTGGTACTGGATTTGACCCTCTGAGACCCATTTCAGCAAGTCCTTTAGAGCTTTTTGGTGGGCATCTCCTGGCCAGCAGGTCACAATGAACCCTTCCATGTGAAGCTCCTGATACATCTAACAATCTCTGGGATTGGGCCTGGGGGAAGTGGGCTGGTACCACCACACCCGGCTAATTTTTGTATTTTTGGTAGAGACGGGGGTTTCACCATGTTGGCCAGGCTGGTCTCAAACTCCTGACCTCAGGTGATCCACCTGCCTCATTCTCCCAAAGTACTGGGATTACAGGTGTTATATGTAGATATGTATATGTTATATATAGAGATAGCTCCACATGTGGCAATTCTTCCAAATTTCTTCATCTGGGAGATAACAGTGTTTGAAAACCATCCACTTACATTACCAAAATAACAATTGTAACCATCAGGAGAGGCTTTCTTCAAAGTTTCTTCAAAGACTCTACTGTCTTGTAGTTAAAGACATCAGATCCAAGCTTTTTAAGGCAGGCAGTCTTTTCGTCAGACCCTACTGCTCCAACCACTTTGCAGCCCTTGAGCTTTGTAATCTGCCCCAAAACAGAGCCCACAGCTCCAGCTGCTGCATTAACCATCACTGTTTCTCCACCCTTCACACCACAGATGTCAAGTAGGCCAAAGTAGGCAGTGAGGCCTGTCATGCTAACTGTCCCCAGAGCCAGAGACAGTGGTACTGTGTCAGGCCATTCTGTTGGCAGGTTTTCCAGATCTTTTCCATGAGCAATGGAGTGTGCTGTCCAGCCTGAAGGAGCCAGTACAATAGTTCTGTTGGTAAGGCTGCGTTTTTACTTTCCACAAATCTGGCCACTTGCTGCCCCATCATTGTATCACCTTCCTTCAGTCTTTTGGCTGCCACTCTCATGTAAGGGTCCCCAGTGAGGAACAAAGCTTCAAGCAGGACCTCTCTATTTTTTAAGGGTGGGAGCTCAGCTGTCTTCAACTCAAAGTCACTATTAGTAGGATTGCCAACAAAGTGCTTCTTCAGGGTCCATCTCAGCATGAATCATCCTGAAGCTCAGGAGCCCAAGGATTCCACTGTCTGGGGTTGGTGGCTGGGACTGCCTTCTTTGTCTTTTCTGATCTTTGTTGGTTTAAAGTCTGTTTTGTCAGAGACTAGGATTGCAACCCCTCCTTTTTTTATTTTTAATTTTTATTTTCTGCTTTCCATTTGGTTAGTAAATTTCCCCCCATCCTTTTATTTTGTGCCAATGTGTGTCTTTGCATGTGAGATGGGTCTCCTAAATACAGCACACCGATCAATGGGTCTTGACTCCTTATCGAATTTGCCAGTCTTTGTCTTTTAATTGGAGCATTTAGCCCATTTGCATTTAAGGTTTTTTTTTTTTTTTTTTTTTGGACAAGGTTTCACTCTTGTTGTCCAGGCTGGAGTGCAATGGCATGATCTCGGCTGACTGTAACCTCTGCCCCCTGGATTCAAGCGATTCTCCTGCCTAAGCCTCCTGAGTAGCTGGGATTACAGGTGCCTGCCACCATACCCAGCTAATTTTTGTATTTTTAGTAGAGACGGGGCTTTCACCATGTTGGCCCAGCTGGTCTCGCACTCCTGACCTTAGGTGATCCACCTGCCTTGGCCTCCCAAAGTGCTGGGATTACAGGCATGAGCCACTGCTCCCGGCCAAGGTTAGTTTTGTTATGTGTGAATTTGATACTGTCATCATGATGCTAGCTGCTTATTTTGCACACTAGTTGATGCAGTTTCTTCATAGTGTCATTGGTATTTATATTTTGGTGTGTTTTTTGCAGTGGTTGGTACCAGTTTTTCCTTTCCATATTTAGTGTCTCCTTCAGGAGCTCCTGCAAGGCAGGCCTGGTGGTGACAAAATCCCTCAGCATTTGCTTTTCTGGAAAGGATTTTATTTCTCCTTCACTTATGAGGCTTAGTTTGGCCAGCTATGAAACTCTGGGTTGGAAATTCTTTTCTTTAAGAATGTTTGATATTGGCTCACAATCTCTTCTGGCTTGTAGGGTTTCTGCTGAAAGGTCTGCTGTTAGTCTGATGGGCTTCCCTTTGTAGGTGACGTGACCTTTTTCTCTGGCTGGCCTTAACATTTTTTCCTTCATTTCACCTTGGTAAATCTGACAATTATGTGTCTTGGGGTTGATCTTCTCATGGAGTATCTTAGTGGTGTTCTCTGTATTTCCTGAATTTGCATGTTGGCCTGTCTTGCTAGGTTGGGGAAGTTCTCCTGGATAATATCCTGAGGTGTTTTCCAGCTTGTTTCCATTCTCCCCGTCTCCTTCAGGTACTCCAATCATAGGTTTGGTCTTTTTACATAGTCCCATATTTCTTGGAGGCTTTGTGTGCTCCTTTTCATTCTTTTTTCTCTAATCTTGTCTGCATGCCTTACTTTAGCAAGGTGGTCTTCAAACTCTGATATCCTTTCTTCCACTTGGTCGATTTGGCTATTGATTCTTGTGTATGCTTCACGAAGTTCTCATGCTGTGTTTTTCAGCTGCATCACGTCATTTATGTTCCTCTTTAAACTGGTTAATCTAGTTAGCTCCTCTAACCTTTTATAAAGGTTCTTAGCTTCTTTGCATTGGCTTAGATCATCATCCTTTAGCTCAGCAGAAGTTTTTTTTATTACTCATCTTCTGAAGCCTACTTCTGTCAATTCTTCCATCTCATCCTCTGTCCAATTCTGTGCCCTTGCTAGAGAGGCGTTGCGATCATTTGAAGAAGGGGCACTTTGGCCTTTTGGGTTTTCAACATTTTTTCGTTGATTTTTTTCTTATCACCATGAGTTTGTCTAGTTTCGATCTTTGAGGCTGCTGACTCTTGGATGGGGTTTTTGTGGGGACTTTTTTTGTTGTTGATGCTGTTGTTGCTTTTCGTTTGTTTTTCTTTCAATAGTCAGGTCCCTCTTCTGTAGGGCTGCTGCAGTTTGCTGGGGTTTCACTTCAGGCCATATTCCTCTGGTTCACTCCTATGCCTGCAGATGTCACTCAAGAAGGCTGGAGAACAGCAAAGGTAAGTTCCTGCTCCTTATTCTGAGATCTCTGACCTCAAGGGGCACCAACCTGATGCCAGTAGTATCACTCCTGTATAGGATGTCTGACAACCCCTTTTTGAGGGTCTCACCTCATTGCATGGCACAGGGAACAGGACCTGTTTAATGAAGCACTTTGTCCCTTGGTGGAGAGGGTGTGCTTCGCTGGGGGAAACCCACTCATCTGGGCTGCTGCAATTACTCAAAACTACCAGGAGGAAAGGCTAAGTCTGCTGGTCGACAGATACTACGGCCACCCCTACCCCAAAAGGGTCAGGCCCAGGGAGATCAGGGTCCTGTCCCGGAGCCTCTGGCTGGAGTTGTTAAGAGTTCCTGCATGGGGGCCCCACCCAGGCCTGAAGAGGCAGTCTGGCCAGTCTGCCACAGCCAGTGTGTTGGGCTGTGGGAGACACCTCTTGTGACCAAGCTGTCCCACCTCATTGGCTCCAGCAGTGGAAAAGTGCAACCTGGAGCTATAGAGATGGATGCCGCCCTTCTCCTGCCCAGGGAGCTTAGTGTGATAAGCAGTTATGAGTCCCAGTGCTGGCTGCTGCCCCTTCCCCAAGGAGCTCAAATGGTGTAGACAGCAGGCAGCTGCAGCTGTGGTGCTGGTCACCCCTCTCCCCTGTAACTTGGCAGGCTTAAGCAAATTCTAGCTGAGAGGCTGTAGAGAATCTGCACAGGTCTGAGGTTGGGACCCTAGGCCCCAGTGGCATGGGATCGCGAGTGGGATCTTCTAATCCATGGATTGCACAGTTCCATGGAAAAAGCACAGTTTCCTCAGCTGGGTAGCACTCTCACTGCCTCCCCTGGCTTGGGGAGTGGGGTTTCCCCTGCTCCATGTGGCTCTTGGGTGTGCAGTCATACCACACTGCTCTTCCTTCCTCTCCATGGATCACACCAGCTGCCTAGTCAGTTCTGGTGAGAGATCCTGGATACCTTGGTTGGTGGTGCAGGATTCACATGCTATTATGGTTCTTTCGATGGGAGCCTCTGATCACTGCTGCTTCTAGTTGGCCATCTTGGCCCCCACCTTAGTATTCATTTCTGAGGGATAATTTCACTGGATAGAAAATTGTGGATAGACAAGGTTTTTTGTTTTGTTTTTGTTTTTGTTTTTTTTTCAGGGGGTTGTTCTGTTTTGTTATTGGTTCTTAAAAGTCACTGTCCCATTGTTTTTAGCTGTAAGTAATTTCTTATAAGAAATCCATACTAATCTTTTTCCTATGTGTGTGCAATGTCTTTTTCTAGTTGTTCCGATATATGTAAAGTATCTTTTTTTAGTCAAACAGTTTTCTAGTTTTCAGTAACTTGATTGTTGTATGCTTTGGAGTGGTTTGGGGTGTGTGTGTATTATGTGTCTCTTTCTTGAAGATCATTGAGATTTTTTATTCTCTGTATTTATAGCTTTCAAAAAAATTAGAAACTGTTGAGCCGTTATTTTTCTGCCCCAGTCTGTCTCATCTCTTTCTGAGACACCAAATATGTATATACCATGTGCTTTAATAGCCCCACAAGTCACTGAGACTTTATCAGTGTTCTTTTTCTCTTTGATGCATTTTGTATATATTCTGTTGCCAAGTCTCTAAGTTTAATATTTCCTTCTACAGTCTCTGACCTGCCATTAGTCCTATACAGTAAATGTTTTATCCTGGTGTTTTATATGTCACCTCTAGGAGTTCTACTGTGTCCATATTTATATCTTCCATTTATCTCATTATGTTCATGTTTATTTTGCATTTTTGAACATATGCACGTATTTATAGAATCTGTTTTAACATCCTTATCTACTAGTTCTATCATCTTTTTCATTTCTGAGTCTGTTTCTATTGTCTGAATGTTCTCCAGGTGATATGGTTTGGCTGTGTCCCTATCCACATCTCATCTTGAATTGTAACTCTTACAATTCCCACGTGTCACAGGAGGATCCTGGTGGGAAGTAATTGAATCATGGGGGTGGGTCTTTCCTGTGCTGTTCTCGTGATAGTGAATAAGTCTAACGAGATCTGATGGTTTTAAAAACGGGAGTTTCCCTGCACAAGCGCTCTTCTCCTGACTGTTACCATGTGAGATGTGTCTTTCACCTTCCACCATGATTATGAGGCCTCCCAAGCCAAGGGAGACTGTAAGTCCAGTAAACCTCTTTCTTTTGTAAATTGCCCAGTCTCGGGTATGTCTTTATCAGCAGTGTGAAAACGGACTAATACACCAGGTTATGGGCCTTATTTTTCTGCCCAATGTTTAACACTTTTTGTTAGAAGCTGGACATTGTAAATTATACATGGCTGGTTGCTGGATTTTTTTTTTTTTTTGCATTAAAAAGAAAAAGATTGTTGGAGTTTGTTCTCTCTAGCAGTTAAATTACTTGTGTTGTTTTATTCTTTTGAAACTTGTTTTTAAGTTCTTTCAGGGTAAGTCTATAGTCTTCTTTATTCTAGGGCTAACTTGGCCCCACTTCCAAGGCATGGCCCTTCTGGGTTCTCTACTAAATGCTCTGTGTACTCAATGTGGTCTCTCTATCTTTCCAGTCTGGCTGCTCTGGGAACTATAATAATCTCTAGCTCAGTGTGATCTCTAGGAATATTTTTGTCTTCTTGCTAGCAGCTGTTTTTTTTTTTTTTTTTCTCCAAGAAGCTGTTCTTGCCCAGCCTCTTGGAGGTTTACCCTACCATTCACAGATTTCCATTACATACTGGAGTGATATTAAAAATAACAGTAAGCAGTATGACACGGAACTCAACCAACCAGAAGTTTTGCTAGTTCAAATAGGACAATATAGAGACAACTATACATATATCTGGAAGTCTTCCTCTCTTTCTCCCTCCTCTTGGTTACTCTATGCCAAAATCCAAGCTCCCTTGAACTATGGTCTCTCTTTTACTTAACAGTTTGTCATGATTTGTCTGGGTTCCCTCCTGGTGCCACAGTCCAAAAATTGTCTGTGAGAGTAAAGCTTTGGTGCCTAAGGCTCACTTTGTTTCTTTCACTTCTTTCAGGTGTTATAGTTCTGAGCTTTCCATTTTCCAATGCTTAAAACCGTTTTTTTCCTTGTTGTTTGTTTGTTTTATTGGTCCAGTTTTCTAATAGTCTATAGTGGAAGCATAATTCTGGACTCAATTACTTCCTCATGGCCAGAAGCAGAAGACGCTTTACAATCTGCAAGCTATTTCACATAAAGCCCACCCAACAATTTTCACCTACCTATCATTAGCTATAACCTAGTGACATGGCCACTGCTAGCAGCAAACATAGCTGGAATGTGTCATTGTTTAACTGGATACATTACACACACACACTAACAAACAGCGTCTTGTTTCATACTGAGGAAGAATAGATATCATGCTGGCAACTAGCACTTTCTGCTACAACTTTCTTTATCTTATTTTTATCCATCACAATCAAACTCCTAAACGGCTACAAAATGTTTTATGTAATATAGATGTACCATCTATTTAACCATTTTTCCTCTGTTAGTGAACATTTAACTTGTCTGAGGTTTTATTTTTTTGCCACTACAAACCATACACTCATACCTACATAGACATATATATCCATTACATACTGGAGTGATACTAAAAATAACAGTAAGCAGTATGACACGGAACTCAACCAACCAGAGGTTTTGCTAGTTCAAATAGGACAATTGTTTACCATCTGTAAACAAATGGCATGGTCATTCTGGTATTTAGTAATGAAAATCAGCTGTTAATACATCTGTGTAAGCATATCATTTACATACTTCTGCTTTTATATCTATGTGATAGAGTTCCAGAATTGGGAACACGTGTTAGAAGGGTATGTGTAGTTTAAATTTTAACAAATATTGTCAGGTGGCTTTTTTAAAAGGCTGTAATACCTCATATTTCTACCAAAAAGGTATGAAAGTAGCCTATCACTGTCAACAGTAGATTTTGTCACTCTAAATTTTGTCAGTTTAATGGTAAGAAGTGTACATTGTTACTTTAATATGCATCCTTGACTGCAAATGAAGCATAGTGACTGTTTACATATTTATTAGCCCTTTCTCCTCCCCCCTCCCTTTCTGCTCCTTTTTGCTCTCTGTTTTTTAAAGTTTATGGCTTCCTCTGGAGTCAATTACATAATCAATTTTTATAAATGTCTCATGGTATATAAAAAAGATGTATATTCTTTTTTAAGGCACGTTAAGTTCTACATATTATCTCTTAAACCAAATTTTATTGTATTGCTCAACTTCTCCAAGTTTTTCTTTATCCATTAGCTGTAGCTAATTCTAAAAGACTTCTTTTTTTTTAATACACTTTAAGTTCTGAGATACATGTGCAGAATGTATACATAGGTATACACGTGCCATGGTGGTTTGCTGCACCCATCAACCTGTCATCTACATTAGGTATTTCTCCTAATGCTATCCCTCCCCTAGCCCCCCACCCCCTGACAGGCCCTGGTGTATGATGTTCCCCTCACTGTGTCCATGTGTTCTTACTGTTCAACTCCCACTTATGAGTGAGAACATGCGGTGTTGCAGTTTCTGTTCCTGTGTTAGTTTGCTGAGAATGATGGTTTCCAGCTTCATCCATGTCCCTGCAAAGGAAATGAACTCATCCGTTTTATTTTGGATGCATAGTATTCCATGGTGTATATGTGCCACATTTTTTTAATCCAGTCTATCATTGATGGGCATTTGGGTTGGTTCCAAGTCTTTGCTATTGTGAACAGTGCTGCAATAAACATACGTGTGCATGAGTCTTTATAGCAGAATGATTTATAATAATTGGGGTATATACCCAGTAATGGGGTTGCTGGATCACATGGTATTTCTTGTTCTAGATCCTTGAGGAATCGCCACACTGTCTTCCACAATGGTCGAACTAATTTACACTCTCACCAACAGTGTAAAAGCATTCCTATTTCTCCACATCCTCTCCAGCATCTGTTGTTTCCTGACTTTTTAATCATTCTAACTGGCGTGAGACAGTATCTCATTGTGGCTTTGATTTGCATTTCTCTGATGGCCAGTGATGATGAGCATTTTTTCCTGTGTCTGTTGGCTGCATAAATGTCTTCTGTTGAAAAGTGTCTGTTCATATCCTTTACCCACTTTTTCATGGGGCTGTTTTTTTCTTGTAAATTTATTTAAGTTCTTTGTAGATTCTAGATGTTAGCCCTCTGTCAGATGGATAGATTGCAAAAATTTTCTCCCACTCTGTAGGTTGCCTGTTCATTCTGATGATAGTTTCTTTTGCTGTTCAGAAGCTCGTTAGTTTAAATAGATCCCATTTGTGAATTTTGGCTTTTGTTGCCATTACTTTTGATGTTTTAGTCATGAAGTCTTTGCCCTTGCCTATGTCCTGAATGGTATTGCCTAGGTTTTCTTTTAGGGTTTTTATGGTTTTAGGTCTTACGTTTAAGTCTTTAATCCATTTTGAGTTAATTTTCGTATGAGGTGTAAGGAAGGGGTCTAGTTTCAGTTTTCTGCATATGGCTAGCCAGTTTTCCCAACACCATTTATTAAATAGGGAAGCATTTCCCCATTGCCTGTTTTTGTCAGGTGTGTCAAAGATCAGATGGTTGTAGATGTGTGGTGTTATTTCTGAGGCCTCTCTTCTGTTCTATTGGTATATATTTGTTTTGATACTATATATTGGTATATATCTGTTTTGATACCAGTACCATGCTGTTTTGGTTACTGTAGTCTTGTAGTATAGTTTGAAGTCAGGTAGCATGATGCCTCCAGCTTTGTTCTTTTTGCTTAGGGTTGTCTTGGCTATACAGGAGACAGGATAGCATTGAATCTATAAATTACTTTGAGCAGTATGGCCATTTTCATGATATTGATTCTTCCTATCCATGAGCATGGAATGTTTTTCCATTTGTTTGTGTTCTCTCTTATTTCCTTGAGCAGTGGTTTGTAGTTCTCCTTGAAGAGGTCCTTCACATATCTTGTAAGTTGTATTGCTGGGTATTTAATTCTCTTTCTAGCAAATGTGAATGGAAGTTCACTCATGATTTGGCTCTCTGTTTGTCTATTATTGATGTATAGGAATGCTTGTGATTTTTGCACATTGATTTTGTATCCTCAGACTTTGCTGAAGTGGCTTATCAGCTTAAGGAGTTCTGGGGCTGAGACGATAGGGTTTTTTCTTTTTTTTTTTTTCCTTTGAGACAGAGTCTCACTCTGTCACCAGGCTGCAGTGCAGTGGCACAATCTCAGCTCACTGCAACCTCTGCCTCCTGGGTTCAAGCGATTCTCCTGCCTCAGCCTCCCGAGTAGCTGGGACTACAGGTGCGCACCACCACACCCAGCTAATGTTTGTTTTTTTAGTAGAGATAGGGTTTCACCATATTGGCCAGTATAGTCTTGATTTCTTGACCTCATGATCCACCCATCTCAGCCTCCCAAAGTGCTGGGATTACAGGCATGAGCCACTGTGCCTGGCCAACAATGGGGTTTTCTAAATACACAATCATGTCAACTGCAAACAGAGACAATTTGACTTCCTCCCTTCCGATTTGAATACCCTTTATTTTTTTTCTGTTGCCTAATTGCCCTGGCCAGAACTTCCAATACTATGTTGAATAGGAGTGGTGAGAGAGGACATCCTTGTGTTGTGCTGGTTTTCAAAAGCTGCTTCCAGCTTTTGCCCATTCAGTATCACATTTATTGGCTGTGGGTGTGTCATAAATAGATCTTATTATTTTGAGATATGTTCCGTCAATACCTAGTTGAGTGTTTTTAGCATGAAGAGGTGTTGAATTTTATCAAAGGCTTTTTTCTGCATCTATTGAGATAATCATGTGGTTTTTGTCATTGCTTCTGTTTATGTGATGGTTTATGATTATTGATTTGCATATGTTGAACCAGCCTTGCATCCTAGGGATGAAGGTGACTTGATCATAGTGGATAAGCTTTTTAATGGGCTGCTGGATTCAGTTTGCCAGTATTTTATTGAGGATTTTTGCATTGATGTTCATCAGGGTATTTCTTTTTTTTGTTGTGTCTCTACCAGGTTTTGGTATCAGCATGACGCTGGCCTCATAAAATGAGAAGGAGGAGTCCCTCTTTTTCTATTGTTTGGAATAGTTACAGAAGGAATGGTATCAGCTCCTCTTTGTACCTCTGGTAGAATTCAGCTGTGAATCCATCTGGACCTGGGCCTTTTTAGGTTGGTAGGCTGTTAATTACTGCCTCAATTTCAGAACTTGTTATTGGTCTGTTCAGGGATTCGACTTCTTCTTGGTTTAGTCTTGGGAGGGTATATAAATCCAGGCATTTATCCATTTCTTCTAGATTTTCTAGTTTATTTGCATAGAGGTGTTTATAGTATTCTCTGATGGTAGTTTGTATTTCCGTGGGATCAGTGGTGATCTCCCCTTTATCATTTTTATTGTGTCTATTTGATTCTTCTCTTTTTTATTATCCTGGCCAGTGGTATTATTTTGTTAATCTTTACAAAAAACCAGCTCCTGGATTCATTGATTTTTTGAAGGGTTTTTTGTGTCTCTGTCTCCTTCAGTTCTGCTCTGATCTTAGTTATTTGTCTTCTGCTAGCTTTTGAATGTGTTTGCTCTTGCTTTTCTAGTTCTTTTAATTATGATGTTAGGGTGTCAATTTTAGAACTTTCCCACGTTCTCCTGTGGGCATTTAGTGCTGTAAATTTCCCTCTAAACACTGCTGTGTCCCAGAGATTCTGTTATGTTGTGTCTTTGTTCTCACTGGTTTCAAAGAACTTATTTATTTCTGCCTTAATTTCGTTATTTACCCAGTAGTCACTTAGGAACAGGTTGTTCAGTTTCCATGTAGTTGTGCAGTTTTGAGTGAGTTTCTTAATCCTGAGTTCTAATTTGATTGCACTGTGGTCTCAGAGACTGTTTGTTATGATTTCCATTCTTCTGCATTTGCTGAGGCATGTTTTACTTCCAATTATGTGGTCAATTTTAGAATAAGTGTGATATGGTGCTGAGAAGAATGTATACTCTGTTGATTTAGGGTGGAGAGTTCTGTAGATATCTATTAGGTCCACTTGGTCCAGAGATGAGTTCAAGTCTTGGATATCCTTGTTAATTTTTGTCTTGTTGATCTAATGTTGACAGTGGGGTGTTAAAGTCTCCCATTATTATTGTTTGGGAGTCTACATCTCTTTGTAGATCTCTAAGAACTTGCTTTATGAATCTAGGTGCTCCTGTATTGTATATATTTAGAATAGTTAGCTCTTCTTGTTGCATTGATCTCTTTACCATTATGTAATGCCCTTCTTTGTCTTTTTTTATCCTTGTTGGTTTAAAGTCTTTTCATTTTATTATTTTTTTATTATTATTATACTTTAAGTTTTAGGGTACATGTGCACAATGTGCAAGTTTCTTACATATGTATACATGTGCCATGTTGGTGTGCTGCACCCATTAACTCGTCATTTAGCATTAGGTATATCTCCTAATGCTATCCCTCCACACTCCCCCCATCCCACAACAGTCCCCGGAGTGTGATGTTCCCCTTCCTGTGTCCATGTGTTCTCATTATTCATTTCCCACCTATGAGTGAGAATATGCTGTGTTTGTTGTTTTGTCCTTGCGATAGTTTGCTGAGAATGATGGCTTCCAGTTTCATCCGTCCCTACAAAGGACATGAACTCATCATTTTTTATGGCTGCATAGTCTTCCATGATGTATATGTGCCACATTTTCTTAATCCAGTCTATCATTGTTGGACATTTGGGTTGGTTCCAAGTCTTTGCTGTTGTGAATAGTGCCGCAATAAACATACATGTGCATGTGTCTTTATAGCAGCATGATTTATAATCCTTTGGGTATATACCTAGTAATGAGATGGCTGGGTCAAATGGTATTTCTAGTTCTAGATTCCTGCGGAATCGCCACACTGACTTCCACAATGGTTGAACTAGTTTACCGTCCCACAAACAGTGTAAAAGTGTTCCTATTTCTCCACATCCTCTCCAGCACCTGTTCTTTCCTGACTTTTTAATGATCGCCATTCTAACTGGTGTGAGATAGTATCTCATTGTGGTTTTTATTTGCATTTCTCTGATGGCCAGTGATGATGGGCATTTTTTCATGTGTTTTTTGGCTGCATAAATGTCTTCTTTTGAGAAGTGTCTGTTCATATCCTTCACCCACTTTTTGATGGGGTTGTTTGGTTTTTTCTTGTAAATTTGCTTGAGTTCATTGTAGATTCTGGATATTAGCCCTTTGTCAGAAGAGTAGGTTGCAAAAATTTCCTCCCATTTTGTAGGTTGCCTGTTCACTCTGATGGTAGTTTCTTTTGCTGTGCAGAAGCTCTTTAGTTTAATTAGATCCCATTTGTCAATTTTGGCTTTTGTTGCTTTAGACATGAAGTCCTTGCCCATGCCTATGTCCTGAATGGTATTGCCTAGGTTTTATTCTAGAGTTTTCATGGTTTTAGGTCTAACATGTAAGTCTTTAATCCATCTTGAATTGATTTTTGTATCAGGTGTAAGGAAGGGATCCAGTTTCAGCTTTCTACATATGGCTAGCCAGTTTTCCCAGCACCATTTATTAAATAGGGAATCCTTTCCCCATTTCTTGTTTTTGTCAGGTTTGTCAAAGATCAGACAGTTGTAGATATACGGCGTTATTTCTGACGGCTCTGTTCTGTTCCATTGATCTATATCTCTGTTTTGGTACCAGTACCATGCTGTTTTGGTTACTGTAGCCCTGTAGTACAGTTTGAAGTCAGGTAGCGTGATGCCTCCAGCTTTGTTCTTTTGGCTTAAGATTGACTTGGCGATGCGGGCTCTTTTTTGGTTCCATGTGAACTTTAAAGTAGTTTTTTCCAATTCTGTGAAGAAAGTCATTGGTAGCTTGATAGGGATGGCATTGAATCTATAAATTACCTTGGGCAGTATGGCCATTTTCACGATATTGATTCTTCCTACCTATGAGCATGGAATGTTCTTCCTATTTGTTTGTATTCTCTTTTATTTCATTGAGCAGTGGTTTGTATTTCTCCTTGAAGAGGTCCTTCACATCCCTTGTAAGTTGGATTCCTAGGTATTTTATTCTCTTTGAAGCAATTGTGAATGGGAGTTCACTCATGATTTGGCTGTCTGTTATTGGTGTATATGAATGCTTGTGATTTTTGTACATTGATTTTGTATCCTGAGACTTTGCTGAAGTTGCTTATCAGCTTAAGGAGATTTTGGGCTGAGACAATGGGGTTTTCTAGATATACAATCATGTCATGTGCAAACAGGGACAATTTGACTTCCTCTTTTCCTAATTGAATACCCTTTATTTCCCTCTCCTGCCTAATTGCCCTGGCCAGAACTTCCAACACTATGTTGAATGGGAGTGGTGAGAGAGGGCATCCCTGTCTTGTGCCAGTTTTCAAAGGGAATGCTTCCAGTTTTTGCCCATTCAGTATGATATTGGCTGTGGGTTTGTCATAGATAGCTCTTATTATTTTGAGATACGTCCCATCAATACCTAATTTATTGAGTTTTTAGCATGAAGCGTTGTTGAATTTTGTCAAAGGCCTTTTCTGCATCTATTGAGATAATCATGTGGTTTTTGTCTTTGGCTCTGTTTATATGCTGGATTACTTTTACTGATTTGCATATGTTGAACCAGCCTTGCATCCCAGGGATGAAGCCCACTTGATCATGGTGGATAAGCTTTTTGATGTGCTGCTGGATTTGGTTTGCCAGTATTTTATTGAGGATTTTTGCACCAATGTTCATCAAGGATATTGGTCTAAAATTCTCTTTTTTGGTTGTGTCTGTGCCAGGCTTTGGTATCAGGATGATGCTGGCCTCATAAAATGAGTTAGGGAGGATTCCCTCTTTTTCTATTGATTGGAATAGTTTCAGAAGGAATGGTACCAGCTCCTTCTTGTACCTCTGGTAGAATTCGGCTGTGAATCCATCTGGTCCTGGACTTAAAGTCTGTTTTATCAGAGACTAGGATTGCAAACCCTGCTTCTTTTGCTTTCCATTTGCTTGGTAAATATTCCTTCATCCCTTTATTTTGAGCCCATGTGTGTCTTTGCATATGAAATGGGTCTCCTGAATACAGCACACCGATGGGTCTTGACTCTATCCAATTTGCCAGTCTGCGTCTTTCAATTGGGGCATTTAGCCCATTTACGTTTATTGTTAATATTGTTATGTGTGAATCTGATCCTGTTGTCATGATGTTAGCTGGTTATTTTGCACATTAGTTGATGCAGTTTCTTCATAGTGTTATTGGTCTTTATATTTTGGCATGTTTTTGCAGTAGCTGGTACTGATTTTTTCCTTTCCATATTTAGTGCTTCCTTCAGGAATTCCTGTAAGGCAGGACTGGTGGTGACAAAATCCCTCAGCATTTGCTTGTCTGGAAAGGATTTTATTTCTCCTTCACTGATCAAGCTTAGTTTGTCTCGATATAAAATTCTGGGTTGAAAGTTATTTTCTTTAAGAATGTTGAATATTGGCCCCCACTCTCTTCTGGCTTGTGGCGTTTCCGCAGAGAGATCCACTGTTAAGTCTGATGGGCTTCCCTTTATGGGTAACCTGACCTTTCTCTCTGGCTGCCCTTAACATTATTTCCTTCATTTCAGTCTTGGTGAATCTCACAATTATGTGTCTTGGGGTTGCTCTTCTCAAGGAGTATCTTAGTGGTGTTGTCTGTATTTCCTGAATTTGAATGTTGCCCTGTCTCACTAATTTGGGGAAGTTCTCCTGGATAATATCCTGAAGTGTGTTTTCCAACTTGGTTCCATTCTCCATCACTTTCAGGTACACCAATCAATCGTAGGTTTGGTCTTTTCACATAGTCTCATATGTCTTGGGAGGCTTTGTTCATTCCTTTTCATTTTTTCTCTAATCTTGTTTTCACGCTTTATTTCACTAAGTTGATCTTCAATCTCTGATATCCTTTCTTCCGCTTGACCAATTTGGCTACTGATACTTGTGTATGCTTCATGAAATTCTCATGCTGTGTTTTTCAGTTTCATTGGGTCATTCATGTTCTTTTCTAAACCGGTTATTCTCGTTAGCATTTCCTATAACCTTTTATCAAGGTTTCTTAGCTTCCTTGCATTGGGTTAGAACATGCTCCTTTAGCTCAGAGGAGTGTTATTACCCACCTTCTGAAGCCTACTTCTGTCAATTCATCAAACTCATTCTCCATCCAGTTTTGGTCCCTTGCTGGTGAGGAGTTGTGATCCTTTCAAAGAGAAGAGGCATTGTGGTTTTTGGAATTTTCAGCATTTCTGCACTGGTTTTTCCTTATCTTCATGGATTTATGTACCTTTGATGTTTGATGCTGAGGACCTTTGGATGGGGTTTTTGCATGGACATCCTTTTTGTTGATGTTGATATTATTGCTTTCTATTAGTTTTCCTTCTAACAGTCAGGCCCCTCTTCTGCAGGTCTGCTGGAGTTTGCTGGAGGTCCACTCCAGACCCTGTTTGCCTGGGTCTGCAGAGCCTGCAGAGCCTGCAGAACAGCAAATATTGCTACCTGTTTCTTTCTCTCAAAGCTTCATCCCAGAGAGGCACAAGCCTTACTATGAATACTGCTGTAATAAACAAGTGAATGCAGGTTTTCCTTTGATATATTGCTTCATTTTCCTTTAGTAGATACCTAGTGGTGGGACTGCTAGATTAAATGGTAATTCTATTTGAGTTTTTTGAGAAATCTCCATGCTGTTTTCCATAGTGGTTGTACTAGTTTACATTCCCACCCACAGTGAATAAGAGTTCCCTTTTCTCTGCATTCTTGCCAGCATTTTTTTTTGTCTTTTTAATGGTAGCCATTCTGACTAGGGTAAGATATTATCTCATTGTGGTTTTGATTTGCATTTACCTGATGATTAGTGGTGTTAAGCATTTTTCTTTTACCTCTTGGCCATTTGTATGTCTTCTTTTGAGAGTTGTCTATTATGTCCTTTGTCCACTTTTTTATTCTTTTGTTGTTAACTGTTGAGTTGTTTGAGTTCCTTGTGTATTCTGGATATTAGTCACCTGTCAAATGAATGGCTTGCAAATATTTTCTCCCATTTAATAGGTTGTCTCTTCACTCATTTATTCTGCTGTAGAGAAGCTTTTTAGTTTAATTAAGTCCCATTTTTCTGTTTTTGGTTTTGTTCCCTGTGCTTTTGAGGTCTTAAGTCATACATTCTTTGCCTAGAACAATATCCAAGAGAGTTTTCCCTAGATTTGCTTCTAGTATTTTTATAGTTTTGGGTCTTATATTTAAAGTCTTTAATGCACTTTGAATTTACTTGGTGTATGGTGAGAGGTAAGGGGTCCAGTTTCATTCTTCTGCATGTGGCCATCCAATTTTCCCAGCACTATTTGTTGAAGATAGTCTTTTTTCCCCAGTGTAAGATCTTGTTGGCTTTGTTGAAGATCAGCTGGCTGCAAATACATGGCTTTATTTCTGGATCCTCTATTCTGTTCCATTGGTCTATGTGTTTATTTTTATACTAATACCATGATGTTTTGGTTACTATAGCTTTGTAACATATTTTGAAGTCAGGTTATGTGATGTCTCCAGTTTTGTTCTTTTTGCTCAGGATTGCTGGAAAATTACTTTGAAACAAATTTTATATTTAGCCGAGAATTTATTCAAATGTGTGTGAATAATAAAAAGATTCTGAGCTACACTAAGTTCCTAAAGTGGGGTGAAGGAGTGAGACATGTTAGCAAGGTAGTAAAGTGGTCCAGGCCAACATCTGCTGGTTCTATTTCTCTTATTTAAACAGTTCCTCCAAAAATGTTTTTAAAATGAATCCTTTGTGGCAAAACCGCTGAGATGTTTGGAGATGTCATTATATGTCTAGGTATGGGTTCTCACCTCTTCTACTTAGTACTCTCTGAACACTGAATTTGAAGTAGTTTATCTTTCTTTAATGAGAAATTTGTCTCCAATATTTATTCTAATAATTTTTCATCTCCATTTTAATCTTTCTGTCCTGTATAATGCTATTATCCAGATGTTGTCATGTCTGCTATCCTCCTATATATGCATTTTTTCCATTTTCCTTTTCAAATTTGTTTGACATATAAAATCGTATTTATCATGTACAACATGATGTTCTTTATATATACATTGCAGAATGGTTAAATCTAGCTAATTAACATATGCATTATCTGATATATTTGTGAGAACACAACATCCATTCTAAATATTTTTCAATACATCGTTAATGTCATCTTACTGTACATTAGCAAGATAATGCTGTACATTAGATGTCTTGAACTTATTTCTCCTAATTGTAAATATGTACTCATTGCCAACATCTCCCCAACTCCCCAAGCCCACTAACCACCCAACCCTCTGGTAACCACCATTCTAGTCTCTACTTCTGAGATCAACTTCTTAGATTCCACATATGAGGGAAATCAGATGGTAGTTTTCTGTGTCTGGTTCATTTTGCTAAACATACATCCTCCATGTTCATCTGTTATCACAAATTACAGGCTGAATAGTAAGTATTCCATTGTGTATACATATATTTTCTTTATTTAGCCACTGATGAACGCTTAGCTTCCATATCTTAGCTATTGTGAATAATGCTGCAATGAACAAGGGAGAACAGATATCTTCAGCATACTGATTTTATTTTCTTTGGATATAGACCCAGTAGTGGGATTGCTCAATCATATGTTGTCATACAGTAGTTCAGTTTGTAATTTTTTGAGGCACTTCCATACTGTTTTCCATAATGGCTGTACTAATTTATATTCCTACTTATGGTGTGTAAGGGTTCCCTTTACTTCATATCCTTGCCAACACTTATCTTTTTTTTTTGATAATAGCAATTCTAACAGGAGGTGATATTTCCTTGTAGTTTTGATATGTATTTCCCTTATGATTAGTGATGTTGAGCATTTTTTTCATATACCTGTTGGCCATTTATATGTCTTCTTTGAGAAATGGCTATTGAGGTCTTTGGCCCATTTAAAAAATCCAGTTATTTGTTTCTATTGCATTATTTCAGTTCCTTATATATTTTGGATATTAATCCCTTATCAAATACATACTTTGCAAACATTTTCTCCCATTTTGTAGGGTATGTCTTCACCCTGTTGATCGCTTGCTGTGCAGAAAGTTTTCAGTGTGATGTAATTCCATTTGTCTATTTTTGCTTTTGTTACTTATGCTATTTAGGTCATATCATTGCCTGGAACAATGTCATGAAGGTCTCCCCCTATGTTTTCTTCTAGAAGTTTCACAGTTTGAGGTCTTTAATCCATTTTGAATTGATTTTTTCTTATAAAAGATGAGAGAGTTTAATTTCATTCTTCTACATGTGGTATCCAGTTTTCCCAGCATCATTTATTGAAGACATTGTCCTTTCCTCATTGTGTATTCTTGGTGCCTTTGTAAAGAATCCATTTACTGTAAATGCATGAATTTATTTTTCGTCTCTCTATTCTGTTCCATTGATCTATGTCTGTTCTTATGCCAGTACCATGCTGTTTGAGTTACTACAGCTTTGTAGTACATTTTGAAGTCAGATAATGTGGTATTTCCAGCTTTGTTCTTTATGCTCAAGACTGCTTTGGTTATTCAGGATCTTCCGTGGTTCAATACAAATTTAGCATTTTTTTTCTATTTCACTTTGATAGGGATTGTACTTTATATATAGATTGCTTTGGGTAGTATAGACATTTTATAACAATATTTTTTCCAATCTATCAACAAAGACTTTATTGTATTTTCTTTAATTTATGAATGTTTTACAGTCTTTAGTGTAGAAATCTTTCACCTCCTTGGTTAAATTTCTTCCTAAGTATTTTATTTTTTGGTAGCTATTGCAAATGGATTGTTTTCTTGATTTTTTAGAGTTTGCTGTTACTGCATATAAATTCTGTTCATTTTTGTATCCTGCAGCTTTACTGAATTTATTAGTTCTAACAGTTTTTTTGATGGAGAGTTTAGGGTTTCTTATATAAGATCATGTCTCTGCAAACAGGGACAAATTTAACTTCTTCCTTTCCAATTTCAATTACTTTTCTTTCTCTTGCTAGCACTTTCAGTACTATGTTGAATAGTAGTGGCCAATGTGAGCATGCTTGTCTTGTTCCAGATCTTAGCATAAAGGGTTTCAACTTTTCCCTATTCGGTATGATGTTAGCTATGGGTTTGTCATATATGGTCTTTATTGTTTTGAGGTACAATCCTTCTATACATAATTTGTTTAGAGTTTTTATCATAAAGGAATTTTGAATTTTGTCAAATGCCTTTTCTGCATCTGTTGAAATGATTATAAGGTTTTTGTCTGTCATTCTGTTAACACTGTGTATCATTTATTGACTTGTGTAAATTGAACCACCCACAAATTCCTGGGATGAATTGCACTTGATCATGATGGATGACCGTTTTCATGGGTTGTTGAATTTGGTTTGCTGAATTTTGTTGTTGTTGAAGATTTTTACATCTATGTTCATCAGGGATACTGGCCTGTAGTTCTCTTTCTTTTTTTGTTATGTCCTTGTTTGGTTTTGATATGTTTGGCTTTTGGTATCAGGATAATGCTGACCTTGTGGGATAAGTTTGGAAGTATTCCATTTTCTTAAATTTTTAGTACTAATTCTTTAAATGTTTGGTAGAATTCAGGAGTGAGGCCATCTGTTCCTGGGCTTTTCTTCCCTGGGAGGCTTTTTATTACTGGTTTAATCTCCTTGTTCTTTATTGGTCTGTTCAGATTTTTTTTTTGAGACAGTGTCTTGCTATGTTGCCCAGGCTGGAGTGTTCTGATGTGATCATAGCTCACCGCAGCCTCAAACTCCTAGGCTCAAGCAGTCCTCCCTCAGCCTTCTGAGTAGCTGGCACCACAGGTGTGGACCACCACACCCAACTAATTTTTCATTTTATTTTTAGTAGAAATAGGGTCTTACTATGTTGTCCAGGCTGGTCTCTCACTTCCAGGCTCAAGTGGTCCACCCACCTCAGCCTCCCAAAATGCTCAGATTACAGGTGTGAACCACTACAACTGGCCTCTGTTCAGATTTTTTGTTTCTTTATAATTCAATATTGGTAGATTGGATGTGTCCAAGAGTTTACCTATTTCTTCTAGGTGATCTGATTTGTTGGCATAACAGTTTCTTATGATCCTTTTTTTTTTTTGAGATGGAGTTTCACTCTGTTGCCCAGGCTGGAGTACAGTGGTGCAATCTTGGCTCACTGCAACCTCTGCCTCCCAGGTTCAAGTGATTCTTCTGTCTCAGCCTCCCAAGTAGCTGGGATTACAGGTGCCCACCTCTATTTTTCGTAGAGATGGGGTTTCAGCATGTTGGCCAAGCTGCTCTTGAACTCCTGACCTCAAGCGATCTGCCTGATTCAGCCTCCCAAAGTGCCTATAGGCATGAGCCACCACACCCAGCCTGATCCCTTATATTTTTGTAGAATCAGTTGCAATGTCTCCTTCGTCTCTGATTTGGAGTCTACTTTTTTCTTAGTCCAGCTAAAGATTTATCTTTTCAAAAACCAACTCTTTATCTTGTTGATCTTCCATAATTTTATTTTATTTTATTTTTCGAGATGGAGTCTCGCTCTGTCGCCCAGGCTGGAGTGCAGTGGTGCAATCTCGGCCCACTGCAAGCTCCGCCTCCTGGGTTCACGCCATTCTCCTGCCTCAGCCTCCTGAGTAGCTGGGACTACAGGCGCCTGCCACCACGCCTGGCTAATTTTTTGTATTTTTAGTAGAGACGGGGTTTCACCATGTTAGTCAGGATGGTCTCAATCTCCTGACCTGGTGATCCGCCCGCCTCGGCCTCCCAAAGTGCTGGGATTGCAGGCATGAGCCACCGCACTTGGCCAATCTTTTGTAATTTTTTAAGTCTCTGTTCCATTTATTTCTGCTCTGATCTTTATTATTTCCTTCCTTCTACTAATTTTGTGTTTAGTTTGTTCTTTTTTCTAGTTCCTTGAGGTATAATACAATATTACATTGCTGAAGATCTTCCTCCTTTTGTGATGTAGGCACTTACTGCTATAAACGTCCCACTAAGAACTGCTTTTGCTGTATTGCATGGGTTTTAGTGTGTGTTCATTTTCATTTGTCTCAAGAAATTCATTCCTCTTTATTTCATTCCAGCCTGAGTGAGACTCTATCTCAAAAAAAAAAAAAAAAAAAAAAGCGGGAGCAGGCACGGTGGCTCATATCTGTAATCCCAGCACTTTGGGAGGACAAGGCAGGTGGATCACGAGGTTAAGAGATCAAGACTATCCTGGCCAACATGGTAAAACCCTGTCTGTACTAAAAATACAAAAATTAGCTGGGGGTGATGGCACAGACCTGTAGTCCCAGCTACTTGGGAGGCTGAGGCAGGACAATTGCTTGAACCTGGGAGGCAGAGGTTGCAGTGAGCCGAGATTGTGCCACTGCGCTCCAGCCTGGTGACAGAGACTCTGTCTCAAAAAAAATAAATAAATAAAAGGGGGAAACTGTTAGTCTGACACCACAAAAATGACGTTTCTTTCCGTATTCTCGTTTTATATTAAGATTTAAACTATAATTAAGATTAGTTTATTATAGTCCCCAAATTGATAGCCAGTTATTTCCATACGATTTCAACTCAACAAAGATTTGAGTGTCAGCTAATGGATTTGAAATTTCTCTATAAGTATAGGCTCATATTTTCTTGACTTTTAATACATTTTTCTTTACCTTATAACAAGCCTACAACTTTTTTTTTGCCCCATAAAAACTACATTCTATTAAGTTAATTAACCCTTTAAAAATATAGCTTGAATCCGCCCTTTTTTCTCAAAGACCTCGCTGTCTAGGCAAGGGTTAAGTGAATACACTGATGAGAACAATAGGGAGCACAACAAAGTAAGTGCTATAAACCCAGCTGTCATTGGTAGCCCTGAGAGATTACATTTTAGTGGGAATGCAGAAAATGCCTTTTTCTGGGTTCTTAAAGACTAGATTTGATAGGAGATGATGGATGCTGGGAAAATAGAGGAGTAAGGCAGTCGAGGAAGAGGTACCAGCATAAGGAGACACACCAGCATGAGCCCAAGTGTGAAACTGCAGATGTCTTTTGGAAACAAGAAGGCAGATTGTGGTGAAAAGTTAAGTAATGCTAGATGAGTTTACACAGTCAGACCTCTGTATCTGTGGCATCTACATCTATGGATTAAGCCAACTGTGGATGAAAAATATTTTTTAAAAATTACATCTGTGCTGAACATGTACAGACTGTTTTCCATGTCATTATTTTCTAAATACAGTATGACAACTATTTACATAGCATTTACATCTTACTAGGTATTATAAGTAATCCAGAGGTGATTTAAAGTATACAGGAGGATGTGAGGTTATATGCACATACTATGCCATTTTGTCTTTCGGATTTGAGCATCCCCAGATCTTGGTATCCATGGGAGGTCCTGGAGCCAATCTGCCATGGATACTGAGGGACAACTGTACTTCAGTCAGTAGACGGGAAAACAGAAAATACAGATGTAGAAATAGTTTAGGGCTCAAAAATGGCTGACTCAAGCTATATTTTTAAAGGGTTAATTAACTTAGTATAGTTTTATGGGGCAAAAAAATAAAAGAAGTTGTAGGCTTGTTGTAAGAAAAATGTATTAAAAGTCAAGAAAATATGAGCCTATACTTAGAAAAATTTCCATAGACTTAAGGTCCTCATGGTCTCAATAAGTGGGATTTTTATGCTGATGGTTAGGATGCACAAAAGCTGATGTTTAGTCTACAAGAGCTCATCAGTGAATAAAATCTGGTATCATCCTCCTGGCTCCATCCTCAGAGGGGACAGCGAGATAGCATCAAAGATATGGTGTGGAAGAAAGAGAACAATCCCTTGGGGTAAATAGAATAGCCTGTCTCATTCTACTTTCCCAGAGAATGATACCTCTTTGATAGAAAGAACGAAGGGACTATAAAAGTTAGGGCAGATTTCTGAATACGTAGTAGGGCAGTGTTTTCGACTCAAGAGTTAAGAGAGGTGCGCAAGCAAATCAGGGCATTGCCACTGAGAAGTGACCCCACATTTAAGGGAGAATGTGCTACATGTGTTTTCTGATCTTCATCTGTACTCTTTATGTCCAGCTTACAAGACCAAGGTTCATGGTTCAGGGACTACATCCAGAGAAAAATCCCACACTGGACCATGGTTGACAGAATAGGGGGAAAAAAGGCTTTCTCCCCACAAAAGACAACTGTCCCTGAAAGGTCAGCGACGTTCCCTTTAGAAGCAAGTTGCCTGCTGTGATGCTTCTCTTGGATGTTCAAAAACATCCCCAGCTAGCCCTATGTGTTCTGCCCTCAGAAATGAGCACAGCTTTCCAAGAGGATCTACAGCTTTTGCATGGTGCCCAGTCAAGTTTTCTTTGTATTTCCTAATACTCCACCTGTTTGCACCCTGACTGCTTCTGAAAGGCACAGCAGCTTACTCGTGCATTAGGTTAGGTTTCACTACATTCTCCCTTTGTGGAGTTCTAATTTTGCTTCCAGTTGTAGGCAAGACTTAAGATACAAATCAGTAAGTTAAAGTTGGTATAATAACCTACATGTTAAGGGTGGTGGGAAGAGTAGTGGATAGGAGGCAGTTAAAATCGATGCAAGTTTTGGGAAAAAAAATTTAAGGAATGCTGAATTTTTGATGAAATAGGTCTTCAGCATGATGCTATATTAATGAAGGGTGAATATGTGAGAAGAGACTCAGAACAGTAAAACACAGGTACCACCTTCCTTAGAAGACCATGGTCCTGGCTCTGAGTCCAATAGCCAGAGTTCCCCACATCAAAGCCCAGGACTGAGACTTCTCATGAGGCCTCCATAGCACTCTAGGTGTTGATGGCCTCAAGTCAGCAGAAATTATGCTGGGTGAGAATACTCAGCCAAGACTGAGACACACACAGGTGTGGAAAGCCACGACTTACAGTCTTCCCTCCATGACTCCTTCTCTGTTGGTTCTCGGTCTCCTACCCTCCCCAATATCATCAGTCATGCTGTGATGGGATTGCGCCCTTTTCACAATTCCCTTATTCCTTGAAGCTGAATTGGATTTGGTGGCTAGAAGAAAAAAGATCCTGTGGTTTTTCTGAAGTCACATTTGACAAACTCTAGATCAATGTATTTTTTTCCAGATCTTGATGTTGTGCAGTGCAAAAAGGAGAGGAGGTACACTATTTGTCTGGATAAAGAATCTCACTTCTCAGTGTCTCTTCCTGGGTCCTTTCTTTTTGAAGGCATGAACTGGCTGAAGGTGCTTCCTTCTCCCAGAGCCACCCTGTTTTATGACCTTTCATGTCTCCTTAATCCATACAGGCTTTCCCTCTATAAAGTAATCAGTCTGGTAGAGGAGAAGAAAACTAGATGTAAGGGAAAGAAAGCAATAAAACCATTAGGAACAGAAAATTTATTATTATGCAACTAGCAAGCTGGGGTCAAAGGGCTTTCCCAAAAAAAGTTGTGTTTCCCTATATTACAGGTACCAAAACAGAGCAAAACATCCAGGAGAACCAAACTGAAACTCAGAAAAGAGACAATTTCTGAGGCCCACCAGATCCTGATTCCATTTTGAAATACTCTATTGCAGTACCTCTGGGTAAATATTAGCTGGTTGCTAAAGACAGGATCTGAGGCTGGGCCAATTCTTAAGGCACCAGCTGTCTTGAGGAGGAAGATGAAGACTGTGAATGAAGGACAGCAGACTTGCTTCTAGGAAAATAATATCTGATAAGGATGGTCAAGGAAGATACATGTCATCACTTTAAACCAACTTTACCAAAACGACTAGTTCTCTAGTAATTATTGAAATAACTGTTCTAGAAGTAGTATGCTTTAATTCTCTCACGATATCATAAACACTTTCAATATTAGTACTTATTGCTGCTGTTGTTTTCAGAGTACTAAAACTCTTTAGATACTGCTCGAATTGTGCAAGCACATAAAAGCTGGCTTCTCTAAGTTTTTACAGTGATTTAAATATCTTGAAGACCATCACTGAGTGAATTTCAGTCAAATATGTAAAAAGATGGAGTTTCTGTGTGATTATAGCACTTGGGGTCAATTCTGCTTTCTCTAGTAATTTTGGGACTCAATATAATAGTTCAAAATATGCTAACTTATAGAGCAAGGAGGTCATTAGAAGAAAACGCTAGTCTAGCTAAAGTAGATCATGACTTCATGGTTAAAATAAATTTCATACTGCTTTTTAACAATACATCAAAAAGGTTCAGGAATAAAATAGTTCACTTATTTGTTTGCTTAACTGTTCATTAAAATGAACAGTGTGAAGTTCTTAGAATTAAGCCTTGTTCCACAGACCTGAAGGATCTCTAGAGAAGTGATGTGACAGACTCAATATGTTACCAAATTAACAATTGCTCAATTAATTCTCCCCTTCATGTATCTTTTAATTTATCTGCTGGCATCCAGAAATGCTTGGATGTGTTGATCCTGTTGGGTGTACATATTTGATACACACAAGTTAGAAAGTGCTTCTTTCTTTGTCTCACTGAAGAGGGGGAAAGTAAAGACTGTGGCAGGAAGAAACTTGGTCTTGGATTAAGAACTGACACCAGAAAATGAACACATTTTCCCTCTTGGGTTGGGAGAACACACAATGAAGATCACAAAAGGATACATGTAAGTTGGGATGCCTCTTGCAGCCAGATGTTTCCGAATAAGTCGCTCAGTACCATACCAGTTAAAACCTTTCGTGGCATGTCCAATACGTGGAAGATGAACACTTGCTATTATGAAGAGAAGAACACATGTCTTCACTCATCAAAAATTGATTGATGGGTATAAAATACACATGGGAGAAAATTATTATTGACTATCTCCCTCAAAGCCCATAATTATAATGTCAAAAATATTCCGGGGGAAGAATTGTAGTAAGAAAAATTAAATTATTCTGTTGAACACAAGGACCTACAAGTTCTGGAAATACATACAATTGGAAATAGATTATGATTGGTGGAGGCAAAATTAAAATAAGCAAAGATTCTCTAACAAGCCAATCAATTCAATAAGCTCTGAGACACACTAGGTTTCGAAACAAAACTAAACTCAATTTTTGTCGAAGAACTGTCTGTTATTGGGAACTGTGACTCTCCAAGAGGAGATTAAATAAACAGCATTTACCAACTACATATGACCAAGTTGCTTCATGTCTAGTCCTCTGCCACCTCATCTGTAAAATCACGATAAAAATACCCGGGGGATGGAGACGGCCTACAGAGATAACCGGTATTAAAAGTGTTTTGGAAAGGACAAGGGGCTATATGACTACAAGACGGTGGGGTGATCACTTCTGTGGTTTGCCTTTACCGTGCATATTAAGTGGGATCTTGACATTTCTTACCTCCCTTCAAAAGTCGTATCACATGCCTAGAAACAAATTCATCTACTCTTGAGCACAGGTGGAAGAGCTTACCTTTCTTCTTTTTTGCTGCTAAAAATATCTTCTTCAGGCCCTCTTCTAGGGCTGCCATCTTAATGCCAGACAGGACATTGGAACGATCACGATGCTGAGCCACAATCAAGGCCAACTGGAAAGAACCACCATTAGATGACCAACCCAACATGAAACAGCCACACTCAACCAAGTGACCGCCCATGGAGGCGGCACAGCCCTTGATGGGTCACTTGGGCTTGGCTCTGTCTCTTTCGGATGCTATGCCTGAACAGCAATGTCCTACTATATGTATGACTTCATATCCCGTCATAATTCTTACTTTGTGGTCACTTTATACAGGGTTTTCTTCTTCTTTTTAAAATACTTTAAAACCAGAGAATGAGTCCAAAACATATACTTTCCAAAAGCTCTCAAGGGTTAAAAAAAAAAAGAGAATTTTTCTGAATTGTAGGCATGGAAAAGATCTTAGAGGCTCCTGTATCCCAGCCCTTTGATGCCTGAGTCAGCTCCACAACCCCCAGGACAAGCAGTCATTCCATCTCTGTTCGAACAATTCCCATGAGGACAAAATGCCAAGTATCTCTCAACCATCCTAACCTAAGTGGGCGAGCTGGAGAGTGTCAAGGGAGCTTCCGGGATGACATCACCACAGTCATATCATAGACATGGTGCTCTACTCCCTGTAAACAGTTTTCCTGAATCACTGGATTCTGAGTTTCTCATGCACAGACACTTTACTTTTCTCCTTTTTTAGCATTTTAGAAATTACTGAAGGAATGACTCAACAGAAACCACTTTGCTGTTAGTCACTGTGTAGTTTGGATGTGTGTCCCCCTCCAAATCTCATGTTAGGATGTAATCCCCAGTGTTGGAGGTGGGGCCTAGTGGGAGGTATTGGATCATGGGGTGGATCCCTCATGGATGGCTTAATGCCATACCCTTGGTGATGAGTTCTTGCTCTGGTAGTTCACATGACATCTAGTTATTTAAAGCAGTGTGGCACCTTCCCCCACTCTCTCTTGTTCCTGCTCTTGCCATGTGTGATACACTAGCTTCCCCTTTGCCTTCCACCATGACTGTGAGCTTCCTGAAGCCCCCAGCAGGAGCAGATGTCAGTATCAGGCTTCCTGTACAGCATGCAGAAGCATGAGCAAATAAATCTCTTTTCTTTGTAAATTACCCAGTCTCAGGGAATTCTTTTATCACAGTGCAAAAACAGCCTAACACAGTCACATAGACAGCAACCTCAAAAGGATGAGCCTCTCTTTTGGCCTGATTTTGAAATTTCTTAATTCTGGCTTAAAATCTGAACATGAACCCAGGCCTTGGAGAAAGCCAGGTAGGTGGGGTAAATCAAACTCACTACAGGCATCCCAAGATGCCTAAGATGCAAAAGGATTCTGATGTGGGCAGAGGACATATGTGTTAGTTCCTCTCTCCTGCTTTATTATGGCTGACTAGAAAACACAATCTTTCATAGAAATTTTCACATAGTAAGAAATGAAACCGTCAGAGTTCTGAGTCATGCCTTCTTACTCATGCAGTAAATGTTTATGGAGCATTTCTTATGAGCTAGTACTATGTAGGGTACTGAGGATAAAAAGACAAATAGAAATCCTCGTACTTAAGATGGGATCTGCTATCTGGACGGTGCTCCGGGGACAGATGGATGGAAGCCTGGGGACAGGGGAAGTACAGTGGAGACTATGGCCCAATCTGCTTGTTATAGGCTGAACTGTGTCCCCCCAAATTCATATATTGAAGCCCCAACCCCCCGTACCTCATGTTTACTGTATTTAGAGACAGAGTCTTTAAAGGGGCAATGAAGTTAAAACAAGGGTTTAGGGTGGGGCCTGATCCATTCTGAGTGCTATCCTTATAAGAAAGGAAATCTGGACACACAGACACCAGGGTTGTGCATGCACAGCAAGATGACCGCCATCTGCAAGCCAAGGAGAGAATCCTCGGGAGAAACCAAACCTGCCGATACCTTGATCTTGGACTTTCGGCCTCCAGAACTATAAGGAAATACATTTCTGTTGTTTAAGCTACCTAGTCTGTGTCTTTTTGTTATGGCAGCCCTAACAAACTAATACACTAGCAGAGAGGCCAATTGGGGCAGGGGACACTTCAAGAGAAGTTGATGTGAGTCCACTTGTAGTTCTGAGAAGAGATGGGTTTTACTTACCAAATCTTGCCCTTTGTTTCTTGATTCTTTATCATCAACAGGAAATAAAAGGACACCTCCCAAACTCAGGTCTGAGGTAAAACAGAAAGGAGCAACATAAAGAACACCAAGTTCACTAATGAATGAATCCTCCTCGTATCTCGCCTTCTTCAAATTCAGTTGGGTTTCAGGACCCACCTTCCTACACAGCCCTTTCTCACTTTCCTGGCCTCAGTCAACCTCTTAGCTGGGTACTCACCTGCTTCACTCCTGAATTTTTATGATCTCCTAATTTAATGCTCCTCAAACATTAACAACAAAGTACCCCTGTAGACATCAGAAAGTGAATACAAAACCCAGAGGTAGCTGGGGGGCTTTGGGGAGGGAGCACTATGAGCTTGAAATTCCTTTGGTAGTTTTGTGCTTGTCCTAAATCATTCAAATTATTACATTCTACTTTATCTCTACCTGTTTGTATAATATATTTTCCTACCCCATCCAAATCAAGTAAAACTGATAGTGAAGAAAAATGTGCTAATTTAATTCTATGGCTTTACATAAGCTGATGTGAAAGCGGTTAGAATCAAAATAGAGATGCTTGTGTTAAAAACTGACATATATGGCCGAGCACAGTGACTCATGACTATAATCCCAGTGCTTTGGGAGGCTGAGGTGGGAGGATTGCTGGAAGCCAGAGTTCCAGACTAACCTGGGCAACAAGGCGCAAGACCCAGTCTCTACAAAAAATAAGAAAAAGTTAGGTTTGGTGTTGTGAACCTGTAGTCTTAGCTACTTGGGAGGCTGAGGTGGGAGGATCTCTTGAGCAAAGGAGTTCGAGGCTGTGGTGAGCTATGATCACGCCAGTGCACTCCAGCCTGGGTGACAGGGTGAGACCCTATCTCAAAAAATAAAACAAAACTCTGACAAATAGAGCCAGGGAAGGCCATGAAGGGAAGGTTCTAATGCATAAACGTCTGATAACAAGAACTATCACAACAGATTTTACAAAACCCATGACCTTGCACAAGGGCCCTGGCAAGCTTACATAAAAATATACTTCTGCAAAGACATCTGCTCATCAACTGCCTGCCCAACCTCGGCGTGGTGCCACCCTTACTAATCCTTGTAGCCAAGGATAACTGATTCAAAAAAAGTATGTAATCTTCCTCATTTCTCCTTAAAAACCTCAGGCTGGGTGCAGTGGCTTATGTGTGTAATCCTTGCACTTGGAGAAGCTGAGGGAGGTGGACCACTTGAGCTCAGGAGTTTGAGGCCAGCCTGGGCAACATGGCAAAACCCTGTCTCTACCAAAAATTCAAAAGAGTGGCCGGGCATGGTGGTGTGCGCCTGTGGTACAAAGCTACTTGGGAGGCTGAGGCAGGAGGATTTCCTGAGCCTGGGAGGTGGATATTGCAGTGAGCCAAGATCGGGCCACTGCACTCCAGACAATGAGACTCCATCTCAAAAACAAAAACAAAACAACAAAAAACCTTTGTTCCTTTTATTTTACAGACCCTGTCTATTGGTTAGGTTGATACCAGTTTGAACTTTTTGTTCAGTCATTCTAAAATACTGGTTGTGCTATGCCATCCTTTTGATCAAATCCCCCAAAACGACCAGCTATTACCCATTCCATTAGATAAGGTTCTGCGCAGAATGGCATCTCCCTGGACAAATCATGTGACGTCTTCTATGATGTGGCCCAAGCCGCTGATGAAAACGAAACTCTCCTCTATTCTTCTGCCTAAACCCTCCACTCTGGCCTGCATGGCCTGTACGCCATCCTCCACACAAAGGAACAGGCTAACTGCCTGGGTCCTTCAATACCCACAGACAAGGAATAGTAAGTGTTGTAATGAGCAGTTGGGGATCCTCTTGCCATTTCTCTCCACCTATTCAAATTCAACCCACCTTTCCAGGCCCAGGACCTCCATGAAGCCTTCCCTGGGAATTGGAATCCACAGTTTCACCTACTTTGCTGCAACCTGCTTCAATCCTCCTTCAGAGAAAACTGCACACTCTCATCTCCATTTCCTTCCTGAGCCCTCAGGCCTTAAGTCTGAGCTTCCCACTCTCCTCAAAGTGCTCCAAGGTGAGCAACCTTGGGTCAAAATCCATGGCCTTTTCCCAATTCATCCTCACTTCAGTGTCTAATACCATGAACTTCTTTGCCTTCTTGACATACTTTCCTCCCTTGTACCTCAAAATACCGCACAAGGTTCCCTAATTGTCTGACAATTCCTTCTGTCAGAAATTCCATCTTCTTGCCTCAAGTCCTAAGTAGAGGTGTTTTCCAGGTCTGTTCTCTGCCTCTCATTTCTCCATCCTCTCTCCCACATGATTTTAAACACAGACTCCAAACAGGGACTCCTCAATCTGCACCTCCAGCTCTGACCTTCCCTGGGTTTTGCTTTGCCAACTGCCCAATCAGCATCTAGATCTGGATTGACTATTTCAACACACATTAAACCCTTCTTTCAGTAACTTGTTTTACTAGAAAAAGTAGTCATTCTAAGTTCTTATATCCCTTTCCACCATAGAGAACTGGGCAGAATTAGGAAAAAACAATATCTAAGGAATCTGGAGGGCCCTTCTCTATCAGACAAGGTCCTTCAATCTCCAGAAAATCACCACAATAATAATTTTATTCTTGCCACTTTGTTATTTCTGGATGTAAAAGGAGGTGCCTTTTTCCCTTCTCTGTGCCAAAGGACAATATTGTTCAGGCTTCTAAGTTCCCCTGGCACCCAACAGCTTTATTTCTGTCTCCAGGGAGTGTTATACCCAAGGTTGTGCTGACCTCTTAACACATCTTCATTCCACTCAGCACCAAACCCGAGTTCTTGTCAGCATTTTAATGGTATGTCCAATTTCTCTCCCATAGGTCTTTTTCTTGAGACAGTCTTGCTCAGTCACCCAGGCTGAAGTGCAATGGCATGATCTCAGCTCATTGCAACCTCCACCTCCCAGGTTCAAGTGATTCTTCTGCCTCAGCCTCCTGAGTAGCTGGGATTACAGGCATGTGCCACCATGCCTGGCTAATTTTGTATTTTTTTGTAGAGACAGGGCTTTGCCATATTGGTGAGGCTGGTTTTGAATTCCTTGCCTCGTCTCGGCCTTCCAAATTGCTGGGATCACAGCTGTGAGCCACCACGCCCGGCTTCCCATAGATCTTTGATATTTTCATGACATATTCCTTCATGTTTATTCCAATAGTTCTCTTTTTCTTTTTTTTTTTTTTTTTTTTTATTGAAACAGGGTCTCACTCTCACTCAGGCTGTAGTACAGTGGTGTAATCACAGCTCACTGCAACCTCAACCTCTTAGACTCAAGTGATCCTCCCACCTCAGCCTCCTGAGTAGCTGGAACTACGGGCATGCACCACCACATCCAGCCAATTTTTAAATTTTTGGTAGAGACAGGATCTCACTATGTTGCCCAAGCTGGTCTCAAACTCCTGGCCTCAAGCAATCCTCCTGCCTCAGCCTCCCAAAGTCTGGGATTACAGGCATGGGCCACTGTGTCCAGCCCATTCCAATACTTTAACATGTATGCAGGGATCAACATTTTTCAGAATACACACATTTATTATGCTTACTACAGTTCTATGAAGTAGGCAGAACAAGTATTATTCACAAATCACAGATGAGGAAACAGGTACAGAAAAGGTAAAGGAATGCCTTGAAGTCACAGAACAAGTAGCTAATTTATGACAGAATTCAGTCCCCAACTGGTTATTCTAATTCCTTATCTAGTGCTGTGTAACCCTCACGATACAGTCTTAGGTGTCCTCTTCTCTCTTATTCCACCCTTAACCTTTCCCTCTGCTTTGCTTCTTACCTTTCATTTTCCCAGCCAGCTCATATATTTTTCTTGGCTCAGCGGATCGCTTTTCCAGAGCTGTAAATAAACCACCTCTGCCCCAGTGGCCAGAGTCATCTGTTTGAAGAAAGAGAAAATTTTCATCTATAGGAGGTGAAGTCCAGTGCACAATTTAGAAAAACAAAGGCACACAAAAGGGACTTGTGGAAGAATGATTTTTCAAAGGGAAGAAACAAAATATCTTATCTCCTAGGAATATCACAGGTTGGACTTCCCAAATATGTTTATGTTTTCTGGAAGATATAGCTGGGGCCATGATAACAGGAAAGCATCTCAAAAATTAGGGTTCTCAATGAGCAAAATCTCTGTGGTGCATCTGTGATTCCTGGCAAATGACTGCGGAAGGACGGAGAGTAGATGGAACATTACAGAGTGAGTAGAAGCAATAGGTTATGCAACAGCACATAGGCAAGGTTATGAAACAGTACACAGGAAAGGTTAAGTGACTTATTCAAGCTGGTACTAACAAAGCTGCTTAGTATCTTAGCATTTATAGTCATTCATTCACACTACAAACGTTTGGTAGCATGTATTACACGTAAGGCATCGTTCTAGGCACCACAGTCACAGCAGCGAACAAGAAAAAACCCCTGCTGCCATAAGTGTATTTTTTAATGCAAAGCAACAGTCAAATAAACAAATACATAGGTAATGTGTCAGGTGGGACAGGTGTGATAAAGGAAAATATGGGAGAAGGGACAGAGAATAACAGGGGGGATGGGGCCTGTTTTATATGAGGTAATCACAGAAGACCTCTCTGAGAAACAGACATTTGAACAACACTTGATGTGGTTATTTGGGAAGAAAGGGTTTTAGGCAGATGAAGTAAAAAGTACAAAGGTCAAGCAAGGGAACAAGCTTGAAGTTTTGCTTTTTCTCAAAGGATTTGTTTGTCTTATCAATGTTGCTTCATTTCACCCTCTTAAAAACCTTGTGCAGAGGATAAGACAGATATTGTCCCATCATATGGATAAGGAAGTTGAAGTTGAAAGGTTGGGTAACTAAACCAGGTAAATGAGAAAGCCAAGAGTGAAATGATTCTGGAATATCTCCTGACTCTAAAATTCACACTTTTTTGACTGTACAATACTACACTGGGACCACCACCCCAGTCCCAGTGCCCCATCCTCCCCAGTTCTTGGCACCATAAGGACTGAGGCCCCCATCCCCAGCCCATACCACTTCTCGTACCTACGCAGTGCACAATGAGAGCATCCTCGGCCCCAGCCTGAGGGTGGGTGACATCACCACTAACGTACTTGAGGGAAGTAGCATCTGGGTCTTGGTAATCCAGCTCAGCAGAGCTCTCTTCCCCATTCTCAAGGTCCTCTGGCTCGCTCTCCTCAGAGGGCAGGCAGAAGGACTGGTAATTGTTGGATTCCCACCAGGCCATCCTTTAGCAGGCCAGAGACAAAAGGAAATTAACCCAGACAATCACAATTTCCCTTGGAGCACATTTTATACTGCTGTTCACAAACAATATCTGCCAAGTAGAAATGCAATTAGAAACTCACCCTGATTGAAGTTTTCTACTTATTTGTAAACAAGTCTTACTGATTAGGCTAACTGCTTCCTGACTACAATTCAATAATGAGCACTCCCTGAATGTTCCTGTTTTTAAGACTAAAAGAGATTGTTGAAGTAAATTATTCTTTGTCAGATAGCTACAATAAAATCTTAAAATCTTCTGGTTTTGGCCGGGCATGGTAGCTCACGCCTGTAATCCCAGCACTTTGGAGGTCAAGGCAGAAAGACAGCTTGGGCCTAGGATCTTGAGACCAGCCTAGGCAACACCGTGAAACTCTGTCTCTACAAATAATAAAAAAAATTAGCCAGGCATGGTGGCACACACCTGTGTTCCCAGCTACTAGGGAGGTTATAGTGGGTAGATCACTGAGCATGGGAAGTTGAGGCTGAATGAGCTGTGCCCATACCACTGTACTCCAGCCTGGGTAACAGAGCAAGAACCCATCTCAAAAGAAAAAAGAAAACAATTCTGGTTTTAATGGAATGCATCTTCCCTGCCTTATACACTGAGACTTTTCACTTACCTAGAGGAAATGTTTTCAGAAAGTATTCTGTTACCAATAGGAACCAACTTAAAATGAATTTTCTGTATTTTTAAAGTGATATTCAACTGTGGTCTCACTATACAATAGTGACTCCTTCAACTGTGGCCGCCAGCTTGGTTAACGCAGACATACTTTTTCTTATGTTCAGCCTCTTCCTTTTGCCTCTTCTTCTCCTCTATGAGTCTCCTTCTCTTGGCAGCTGCTTCTTGTCTTTTCTTCTGTCTGTCCTCCAGCTCTTCTGGACTCAGAACCCGCTTCCTTTTGGTAGATCCCTCCACAAGGCCTGGGATGAGAACCTAGAGGAAGAACAAGATCCATCACCAGGGTCAAGAAGATTCCTCCCCGAATTTCATTATCCCTAACACACACTGTACGGAAGCAACATGCTTAATATTCCACAGAACACTGCATCTCCACACACCCTGCATGGTGGGAACTGGAGGCAAAGCACTTGGAGGCACTGTTCATACTACACACTTCACAGGCACAGTGACCAGGATACCATGCTGTAAACTCAGCCCTAGCATTGGCATGGTTGAAACAGTCATTTTGATTCATTTCATTAGGAATAAGTTACTTCAGAAAAGTAACTTTTTTCCTTGACTAAAAGCATACCCTGCAGGATGCCACTTCAGCCATTTTTAATGGAACTCTTTCTGCAATGTATTATGTAACTTTTTTAAGATTGTATTTCAACATCATGATTATCTTAGTGATAGCTAGCATTTAATGACCACGTTAACTGCCAAACACTGTGAACACTACATATATCATTTATGATTGCCATCCTCTCTTCTTGTCATAGGGTCATCATTACCAACAGCAGGATATGGTATTTTGGTATAATATAGGAATGCCTTTAGGGGTGACTTGGATGGACAAGGCTGCTTTCACCTACATGACATCGTACAATATATTCTCTCCTTTATGTTTTTCATGCTGACTTTTTTACATAGTTTTTATACTAGGGTATAGTTAATTATAATAACATTTCAGCAAACACATACTTATTTCTTGACAAATCATCCTAAGAGAACAAAACGATGCCAGCATCATTTTTTTGTTTGTTTTAGAATGAGAGTTTGGAAGAACAACTTTTAAATAAATTAACAGTTCTTACACTGCCTTTATTTCGGAGTGATCGGCCCTCTTGACTAGCTTTCTCCAAAAGGGTTTTCTGAAGGTTTACCAGTTGTTCAAATGATTTTCTGTCTTCCTTACTGGGCTCTTTAGAATAATCTTTACCTTCAAATAAGTACATATGATTTTCTAACAACATAAAACACAAAGAGAGAAATGTTAGATACCAAGGAAAAATAGATTAATGCTATTCAAATCAATAACAAAAGTGGACAGGAGAACAGCCTATATTCTAAATGGGCTAAGTCCATATGAAGGAAGGTATTTCATTTCCCATCCCACTGACACTGAAGAATGTGGGTTCTACATGGGGATCCCATGTGTTTACTTTTCCAAGGGGAGAGCATGGCTTAAAACCCTTTGGTTCATCCCTAGATGGTTTGTGAATCTCTGCTGGATTCTTCCATTCATTCCTCATTCATTTATTCCCAACTATCCCTCAGCGCAAATCTCACTGACATTAAGATCATCTAATAAAATCCGTACTTTTTTATTCCAAACACACTTTTAATATTCAGCTTGGCAAATCTATGAGAAAATGAAGAATCACAAAAATAATCCCTTGGATTTACAATATTCTTTACAGATCTCATCAAGCGTCTTCGTCATGATCCTCACCACAATCCTGGTATAACTAATCCTACTTTTGAAAGGGAAAACTGAGGCTTAGGCAGAAATTAAGGGACTCTGTAATTCTCACTGGAAGAGGCAGGATTTTCTGATTCTAAGGCCAGTGTGCTCTTTTCAGTATATAATTGGGTCTCTAGAAGGGTGGAGAGATTAACAGGCTAGCAAATAATAACTGTGGTAATAATAACAATGAAGACAATAGTGTCATCTTGAATAGCACTTCATGCTGTCAGATCACTTTCACAACTATAATCGTGTCTGATTTTTCCAACTGTGTAAAAGAGTAAAGTAGGCATTAATAGGACCATTTTACAGATGAGAACAAAAAGGCTCAATGAGGTTGAGTGATCTGCCAAGATCATGAATCAAGTGATTAAGAAAAGTCAGGACCAGCCAAGACTAGCAACCACAGATAGGTAAGATAATGATTGAATCGGGAAGCATATTTAGTAGCACATGTTACCAAATAATATATTTTCACAATATTTGTGAAATCCATTATAAGTATGTTTTCCCTAGAGAGTATGAAAGCAAAACATTTTCATTCTCAAGAGATCAATTGCTTCACACTTGTACCCAAATCTAACCAGCTGTAATTCTAATTGGCATTTGCTAATTAAATCAGCAGGGGGCTTTCAATGAGGCACTCTATCAACAAGTAGAAAAAAATAGAGCTGAGAAGTGTCAAATATGATCAACATATGTAGCTTCATACTGCATGCAATTCTCAACTTCCAACCATGCTTTTTAAAAAAATGTTGGCATTTAAGATAAAGCAACCCTGTTTTTTATTTAATTCTGATTGGGGCCACGTTAGTTACTAGTCTTTCCTATCCACTTATATTCTTTGTAATCATACTTCCTATCTTCACTCTGCCATCACAAGCCTAGACCCGCGTCTCTATCCTACCAGGAGAATCATTTACCACAGAGCGGACCTATATCCATTCATCGAAGAGAAAATTCCAAAGTGTAATACAACTGGGGATTTTTTCTGGCAGTTGGACTGTCTAAATAAAGTAAAATTATTTTAGGCAGTTGGATTGACTGAGAAATATAATTATCTTTCTGGAAAAGAGTGTGACTTTATTTTGTTCTAGTAAACGTTAGGAAAATAAGCTGAAATTATCTAGATCAGTACAGAACTGAGTGTGTTGCTACTTAATATAATCAATTATAACTTAAAAATATGATCACATGCATCTATTTCTTCTCTCACTTGAAACCACAAAGTGACAGTTAAAGGAATTTTAAAAAAGATCTATGAGGCAATGGTGGATGAAAAAGTTCAAGAACCTTTTGGAAAATGCAAAGTTGCTGGAGGGATAATGACAGATTAAGAAGAGACATGGAAACAAAACACAGGTGCCTAGCCAAGGGCTCATTAGGAGTCTAGAGACCCTCTCAATCCCCCAAGAGCTTAGGACTTACAAGTACAGAGTACTGCAAAGCGGGGAATTGAGAGAAGATCTGCACCCCAAAGAGCAGGAGTGCCATGAGCCCTTGACTCACCCCGCCTTTTCAGTTTCAGCAACCAGGTGAACTCCATTCTCACCTCTCCCAGGGAAAATACTAGAAGATTGGTCTCTGGAGAAAATGGGTTGCCCAGTGAAAAGACATCAAATATGGATCAGAGAAGGTGCCCTCCATGTAAAAGCTGACTCACCAACCAGGAATAAGTCCCCAGGGCCCATGCCAGAGCTGCCCTCAGCTTTGTGGCACTTCATCAGCACATGTGATCAGACAGCCAGGGAATACCAGACGGTTGGGGAAACTATCGATGAGAACAAGAGATCCCCAAACGAATTTTCCTTTTTAGAAAAAGAGGTACCATGGTGACTATAGCTAATGATGACATATTGTATTCCTGAGAAATACTAGGAGAGTGGACGTTAAGTGTTCTCACCACAAATATATAACCATATGAAGTGATGTATGTTCATTAGCTAGATTTAATGATTCCACAATGTACATGTGCTTCAAGAAATCATGTTGTACATGATAAATACAATTTTATCTGCCAATTTCAATAAATAAATAAATATATATATATTTTTTTAAAGAAGTAGAAGTAAAAGTCAATGCAATGGGAAGAGAAATACTTTTTAAAAAGATGTAATATTCTCCCTGGAATACATATTAAGAAGCCATAATAAATGTCCCCAGAGAAGACAGTATGTCCTTGAAATGAGAACAGAGTTACAATTAAAACAATAAGCAGAGAACAAGAAAGAGTTCTTGAAGAATACAAACAAGATATTTTTATAAAGAATTTCGAAGATAAAACATAAAATCAAAAAGCAGTTTCCTGTAAAACAATGCCAGCTGCCCAAATTCCAACTTTTCCACCTATCCCACAAAAACTATACAGATCAACAAGGACAACAAAACCACCCCAATCCATGCCTACTACATTAGGAGTCAGAAAATATTACACACTTCAACTTATGGAAGTTAAGAGAAATGAACCCCCAAAACCAGCTCCAAAGCCCACACTAGAGTAGACAGTCAGGCAGAGACTATGCAGTGGAGAGGGCAGGAGGGTTCCAGAAAGGTCAGACAGATAAAAGTTACCCACAAAAGACAGTCCCATTCCAAGTGGGAAAATAATGAGGATAGGTCTGAGTGGATCAGAGCAGTGGCTACTAAGGAACTGAACAGAAGGGAAGGTATGAAAATACATGCAGCCAGGAATTAGGGAAGGCATTGCTTCTGGCAGGGAGAGAGACAACTTAGAAGTGGGAAGACATCCTTTGACAAGTTTGTGGCACAGAGAGAAAGCGAGCGATGGAAATTCACGGTCCTATAGAAACAAAAGAGAACTACAAAACCAGAAATCATGCCACTACCACTACCCAAAATAAAAAGGAGCTACCATCTAGTGAAGAAACAGCACTATTGTGTATAATTAAAAGAAAGTACTGGTGAATTAAGAAGCCTAGTAAGACTCCCAAACCTCTCACCCCAGTCCATATTGAATCTCTGCTGCAGCTGGTACAGAAAAATAAGTCATTTCAAAATAACTACAAGATGCCAGGGAATACCTTTACAAAGCTACCATGTGAAAAATTACTTCAAATCGGAAATTTAAGTGCTCAGAATAGAAAAGAACAAAATGACAAATGCTGACCAAATTCAGGAAAGAAAATTAAGAGAAAGACAAAACCATCTCCTACATCTCATGGATTACAGAAATTAAATGGAAAAAGCACATGACAAAGTCCGCACTGTTGATGAACGCAAAATAAATGCTTAATGTTAGCTGCAATTTTAAAAACAAGTAATTCTACTGTTTAGAAGAGGAATCGCTATGTGCAAAGCATCATACCAAGGATGGTAGGCTTTACTAATAAAGAAGAAGATGTTTGCAACCAAGGGAGAAAAGGTACAAATTCAAAGCCTTAAGATTGATACTATCATAAACATTAATACTATGATTTTGGTTCACAGTTCAGCTACAAGGGAAGAGCCACACAAATTTCCAGTTAGTTTGGGTAACGTTCTTTTATCAAGCAAGTCTTAAACAGTGTGCCCAAATGACAATAGGGTAAGGGAGAAAAAAGATGCCCCAGAGAGCAGCATCCAAAACTTTCCATGGGGACGTGAGCTCTAGCTTGGGGTGGTTGTGCCATTTGCTCTGCTCTAACCTCCAACTTACTTCCTTCCTCTTGATCTCTGCTCCCTCCTTCTGCTGCAGGCAAGGCATCAGAGACCCACTGGCCATCTTTTGTTTCTCCCAGGATGGACTCCAGGTCTATTTCATCCATGGTGCTCCCCTCAGAGGCCAGCAGTTTATCCAAACCAAATTTGAGTATCTCACTCAACTTGAATAGAGGAAACAAAAAAGTCCAGCAAATTCTCATGAAAAGAAACATTAGGATATCAGTGATTGGCTAAGTGGATTAACGACACCAGGCACAGTCCTTCTCTAATGAACAGGCAGCCTTTCTGCTCTCCCCATCATAGATAGTAACAGCCAGGGCCATTTAATAGTTGGATGATGGGTAAGCAGAGAGGTGATAAATGATTATCAGAGGTATTGACTTTGACAATTCTGCATAAAAACAAAACAAAAAAAATGTATAAGCCTCCAATTTTTTTGAAGAATAATAGTAACTTCCTGCATTTTCTACAGCACCTCTCACTGACTTTTTCATAAGCATTCCCAGCAGCCACTTGAGATCAGAGACCCTGTTAGCTACTTTCCAACCTCTCCACTGCCAGACTCCTTAGAAAGGGAAGGCTACACTAGGAACTTTACCTCTATCATGAACTGACTCCTTTTCTTTGGCAATTTGTTTTCCTAACACAGTGGTCTATCGAAACCACCTTGGCAAAGATCAGTAACAACTTCTGACCACCAGACCCGAAGGCCTTTTCTCAGTTTGAATTTTTCTGGATGTTCCTCTGGCATTGCACTATCCTGCTTCTCTTCTCTCGTCCCTCTCTGGAGTACTCTCAGCCTATTCCCTATGGCTGTAGGAACCATGCAGAAAGCACAGATAATTTTTCCTGGCTTTCACTTGCTACTTCCAACTTTGCACCTCCGTAAGCACTAATTCTGAGATCCTGACCCAAGGTGGATTCAAACCTTGGGCCCTTGTTCTCATCTTGCCCTTTTAGACTGGGTTATCTCCAGATCGTCTATTTTGTGAGTAACTTGGAAATGTTAAGGTATTCTGTAACAGCTTGAAGAAACAATAGACAGCTCACTTAAGCATGAATGTACCTAGATATATTATATTTACCCTCCATACACATAACCAGGATGACTGGCTTTGGCAGCTGGTACCAAAAATAGTAGGAAGCCAACTATTTATGATAAGAATTGGTCCATACTGGGACCCTCCCTTTCACCCCCTTGTACTTATGCTCACCTCCTGGCTCTCCCTTGTTATTGCTCACTTGCAATGTGTCTTAGTCATTAAGAAAATTACATGTGTTTTTATGAGAAGCTGTATATTACAGTAATTAAGGGCATGTGCTCGGAGGTTAGAGAGTGCTTGGATTGGAATCCTAAATCTGAATAACCTTGGGCAAATTACTTAAGATGGGGATAAAGATAGTGTCTATCTCATCCTGCTGTTATTCTTATTTACTGAAACAACTGGAAAAGAGCACCTCAGACAACACTCAGCACACAGTATCCAATAAGTGTTCACTACACCTGCATCTGCCTGCCTGTTTCTACTGTGTCCTCCCTGCAGGATAAAAAACCTGTTTCCTTCTTTCAGGACTTCAGAACTCCATACCTACTGCTTAGATTTACCAAATCAGAACCACATCTTTTACTTTTGGTTTCTTGGTATTTAAAAAAAAAAAAATACCCCCAGGCGCAGTGGCTCATGCCTGTAATCCCAGCACTTTAGGAGGCCGAGGTGGACGGATCACAAGGTCAGGAGATCAAGACCAGTCTGGCCAACATGGTGAAACCCCGTCTCTACTAAAAATGCAAAAATTAGCTAGGCGTGGTGGTGCGCGCCTGTAGTCCCAGCTACTCAGGAGGCTGAGGCAGGAGAATTGCTTGAACCCGGGAGGCAGAGGTTGCAGTGAGCTGAGATCGCGCCACTGCACTCCAGCCTGGCAACAGAACGAGACTCTGTCTCAAAAAAAAAAAAAAAAAAAAACCCAAAAAACAAAAACAAACAAAAATCCCCTGCTTTCTTTTTAGACAAGGGCTCTGGGTTATCACCTTTGCTTTTGGTAACCACAAATAACTCATAGCATCTGCATGGGGAAGAGATAAATCAGACATTAGAGTCAGAAAGTAACTTTCCGATAACCATGAGCTGGGCAAGAAGTCCAACAGAGTCGCTCTCAGCCAGCAGTCCATGTTCCCACTCGTTTGTGGCCCCATGGGGTGGAGGTATGTCTACATCTTTCACAGTGATGTGTCCAGCAGCCCACATCACAAGATACCCCTCATTGGACCCCTGGCGCTCCCTCCACTGGGAGAGTGCAAACAACCTATGACATCCTTCCTCCTCTAACAAGAGAATGCGGGCCTTGTGAGGCTCTGTCATTTACCCCTTCACTATGCCCAGCAGTGACCTTCTCTCTCTTAAGGTTCTATGGATAATTTTTCTGTGGAAAACTGCATTTAAGGGTATCTACAGCGTACCTCTACCTCTCTCTCAAGCTTTCATCTCACATTTATAATTGTCTCTTAGTGTGAAAACAAAATGTACAGCCTGCCCTAGCACCATTATGGTTAATTAAGCATGCATGTGACACAGTCAGCAACACAAGGAAAGTCAGAAAAAGAAAAAAGCCACACCTACCCCCTAAGATAAACAAAGAACAAACCCAGTGTTACTCTTTCTAGTTCTAGTCCCAAAATTAATAAAACCTTGAGCCTTTCCTGTAATTACTAACTCCCTAACAAAAACAACAGGATCCCTGTCTTTTGCAACACTGATATGTAAAGATATGCACTGGCCTTTGCAGATACGGTAACCATGTAAGAAAACTGCTGTTTTTTCAGACTAATTACAAACTTAGTAACTCTGCTTCTAATATTGTGTCACTTTTTCTCTCTTAAACACTTATGTTTTTTGATGGACTAGTCCTTTCCAATCCTAGTCCATCTTGCAAACTTTTACAAATAAAATTCTTTCCTTTTGTCTGAGTCTGCCTCTAACAATAGTTTGTTTATATTGTATTTTTACTGCACACTCTGACTAAAGCCTAAATTCTCTTTATCTTCCTAAAACTCTGCCCTACTTCTTATTTTCCTTTCTTCTCTCCTCATCATAGGGGCCTAAAACCTCACAGCCATCTTTGAATTTTCTATCTCCCTACTGTTGAGACCCAACTCTAAACAGTAGCCAACTCCTGTCCTTCCTTCTTTTGCAATGTTTCTCACACCAGACTCTCCCACTGATGCTGCCCTTGACAGACATTTATTACTCCCTTCATACCTGCATCTTTCTAGTATCCTAGGAGTTGGTCTCTTTGCATCCAGCCCCTCATCCTTAGGGCAAAAACAAAGCATCCAGGAAATATTATGAGTTTTAATTTTAACCCAAGGGCTGCTACAGAGTAACTCTAAGTCCTCTTCCAAAAGAGAGCTCTAAAATCTTCCAATCCAGTGTCTGTCTCCCATCCAGTACTCCCTTCTTTAAATAAATTACCTCTAGTTCTTTCACCCATTTTTTCTAAGGCACAATTATGAATTCCTGATCTCATTCGCCCTCTTCTGAGTATGAAGTAATGTAAGTCACTGATCAAAGGCTCTGGGACTAAGGTGGAAGTACAGAATTAATTGTTATTGAGTTCTTTATTTTAACTAATTCTCTTAACAGCCCTCTGAGCTAACCTGTGGTGTCTTTATTTTTAGAAATGCAAAAAGAGTAGATCTAAGAAGTTAAGAAAGCCGCTCAAACCCAAACAGCCAAGAAGTGATGAGGCTTGGAACTAATCCTTACTTCCTACAGACCCTGCACACAGCCAGCACTGTGGCAGGTGTGAGGGAGGCCAAGGAACAAATGTGTAGCTGGGGAGAGGGTGAGTGCTGGTTCTTTTCATTTACATTCTCCTCCACAAAGGGTATTGGTATATTCCAAAGTGAAGAACAGTATATCATATCATACCTGGAGGTCAGCATCGGCAGCGGGTTTCTGGGCTCCCAGAGTAAAATGGCCTCCTTCTATGATCATGTTGGTGAGCTGCAGTTTGGAGGCTGCTTTCCTATAGACTATTTCTTCCACAGTGTCTCGACCAATCAGCCGAATAACTTTAACAGACCTGGACATAAGTCAAACAAGGGTAGTGTGCTATAAGGGTGTGCAAAGCTGGGCAAAAGTATGCAAGGTAAATACATCTAAAAGCAAACAAAACCAAATACCATATTCAGGGTACAATGAAAGGGAGATTGGTTCATTTGGTCCTGAGCACTTGTTAGAGAGAACTCGCCTGAAATTCTCTCTGAACCATTCCAGACAGTCAAAGAAAGAATGATGGGGTAACCATGACTGGGATTCCTTATCTGTAGCCAAGGAAAATATCTGGAAGATCAAATTATCCTCAGATCAAAGGGCAACATCTATCTTTCTTTTTTTTTTTTTTAGCTTAGCTCCATAGCCCCATAACCCCATTTTTTAACTGAGTCAGACCCTAACTCAAGAAGGATGAGTTAAATGACTTCTAAAGTTTCCTTCTAATCCTTTCACAGTTTGATTTGACTCCTTCTAATAAAGTCAGTCTGGACTGATAATGTGACCCACCCAATACTACCCTAGGAGTCAATAGCACAGATGAGCTAAAACCTGGTGGTCTCTCAGCTCCCAGTGTGGGACTGTCACCAGGACTATATTCTTCACCTTTTTCACAACCCAGAACTGCTGCTGGGCAAGCCAAGGAAGCAGAAAAAAATCACTTACTTGTTTTGGCCAATGCGATGAGCCCTGGCAGCTGCTTGCAAGTCATTCTGAGGATTAAAGTCACTGTCAACAAAAATCACAGTATCTGCTGCTGTTAAGTTCATGCCAACTCCACCTGAAAACAATGCAAAAAGGAATGTAATCAGCAGCACAAAGACGAGGAGCTAGAAAATAAGCACAAGGCTAGAGTGGGTCAGACTGATAAACTGAAATCAGTCAAAACAATTGGCTTCATCCTTCAAATGGACCCACACCCCTAACTCCAAAGCCTTGTTCCAGCGGTGAGAAGTGCTACCTGACCTCTTATTGCCTGATGGGAAAATTTTTATTACTGAATGGAACAGAATGAGCGGAGCAGGGGCAAGTGGCCAAGGTGGATACTTAAGTCAGTGCCATGGAGCCACTTTATCTCTTCTGCTTAAAAACCTTGATTAGATTTTGATTAGAGTAGTCTGAGGAAAAGGACACATGCTCTTTCAGAAAACAGATCTAAATATGAGAGGTCTGCAGTGCGCACTGTCAAGAGAAGAGTGCCGAATGTCGCTTGCAAGTTACAACTAGGTAGCAAGATCTCTGATAAAAAGTTAATGAGAAGAGTGGATGATATTATACTCCTGAGCAGAGTGGGAAACCTCCTCCCTCTGATTAGAGAAAACTCCAGTGAGTCTTTTTTGTACTGGTTTCCACATTAATCAAAAAGAAAGTAACAAAACCAACGGCAAGACAAGAACACTCTTGTCATTTACTCTGAGTGTTCTGAGGCTTGCTCAGAACACTCTTGCTGGTCTTTCTTCAGTGCTGCAGGAAGAGAGCTGAGGAGGTACCTTGAGTTACAGGAATTAATTAAGAGAACCGTGAAGGTACATTGCAGCCTTCTCTTTGATTAATGTGAAAACAAGTACAAAACAGACTCCCTCTTGCCAGGGTCGTTAGAGCTGGTTGCTGAAACAAGCAAGCCTGAAAGGGCTTGTTCCATAAACCTGAATTAAGGACTAACTTTTAAGAAGGACTACTGACCATAAGCTGGATCTCCAGACAAATCAGGCAGGAATATTCTAATTAAAGTCTTCGTATCAAGTTGAAGTTGGAACAAGGAGGTAATCATGACCGATTACTGAGAGATGCTAAATTATACCTAATAATAATGATAATGACACTTACGCTGTGCTTACTACTTGCCAGGCATTATTCTAAGCACTCTCTCTATATTAACTCCTTTAACCCTCACAACAACCCTGTCGGGAAGTTGAGTAGTTGCTACGATTTTCCCCACTTTATAGATGTTGAAAGGGAGGGTAAGGGACTTCTCTGAAGTTGCAAGCCTAGAAGGTGAAAGAGCCAGGATTCATTCCCTTGCAGTCTTGGTCCAGAGCCCGTGCTTTTATCCACTATACTATAATACTTTTCAGGTGCTTATTTCATTTTAAAATGTGTTCCATAAAATTATCTTCTTGAATTCATGTTGTCTAAGTGCAGCTCTTCACCGAGGGGTGAGATTTTTATAAATAAGCCACACCCACATCCATGAATAGGAACATATTCATGAGCTATCACTGCCATCTGGTGGCAACATGACTCATCACAGAAATATTTGAAATTTGGAAGGAAACCTGTTAAATAAATGAAAATACTGCAAAACTACAACAAAACTGTGACAGCAAACACAACAGTGTTTGGAGAAGACTAATGTCCAGGACTGCTTCAGCTCCCAGATCTACTCTGAGTCCTCCAAGGAGATTAACTGAAAAGCAGAGATCTCTTTTTTCCTAATTTTAGACATTTCAAACATAATGCTGCTCTCTGAATATGAGGATGATGAAATCATTAAAGCATAAATAAAACTGTTTTCCCGGCAGTGATGATGCACTGCCTGATTCTTTCAGTTTCTCCTGAGACTAACCCTGAGGCAACTGATCACATGAGAAAATGGCTGAGACTCCATGTGCAGTCTATGATCTTGGAAGAGTGAGGCCAAATGAATCTTATGTTATTAATTTTATTAGGGAGATAAAACAAACACAGGTGAAATAATCTCCTTATAATCAAAAATTATATCTAACACTTCTTTCATATACCCTTATAGCAGCAGGCATTTAGAAAGCTTTCTAAATAAGACTGAACTCTCTTTTTAGAAAAATGTCAATCTGTCTTTAATAGAGGACACACATCTCTTTCATGTTCCTGCATGTACTCCATCAAGATTTATGTCTACAAAAATAAGATAATGAAACTAGGATCCTATGAGTTGAAAACTAAGGTCAGCTTGCTCCAGGACCTGAGAAAAATTTCTTAGGCTGGAATGTAGTGGTGCAATCTTGGCTCACTGCAACCTCCGCCTCCTGGATTCCAGCGGTTCTCCTGCCTCAGCCTCCGTAGTAGTTGGGATTACAGGCACGCACCACTACATCCAGCTAAGTTTTGTATTTTTTTAAGTAGAGACGGGGTTTCACCATGTTGGCCAGGCTGGTCTCAAACTCCTCACCTCCAGTGATCCACCCACCTCAGCCTCCCAAAGTGCTGGGATTACAGGCATGGGCCACCGTGCCGGCCTTTTTTTTTTTTTTTCCAGACACCACAATGACTTAGAGAATCATTTCATCTCCAAGAGCTGATTTCAAATTATGTAACAGTAAATGAAAGCACTCTGTAACTGGTAAAGCATTACAAATGTCGTAATATTCACGATTTAAATCATATATGGATGATGTCATAAATAATTCTAAAAAGTTGGTATTTTCAACATAATCACATTTTTTAACAACTAGATTTTTGTTAAGCTTTTCAGCACTATTCCAGAAATACTTATAGAGGAAGGACAACTAGTAGACAAACTGTTACCTTATTTCCCAAATTCACGGTTGGGAAGAAGAGCTACTTCCACTGAATGTAAATGAAACATTCCACAAAATCACATAAATCTTTCAGGACATTCCCAGGTCAATGGTCAAAGCAGATTAGAATTACTTTCCAATAACCCCAGGTTTCAGCCTTACTTCTTTGCTGAGATGACAGTTTGGACAGGCTGGATAGAAAACAGCACCATGCTTGATGTCCAGTACCTTGTTTTACATTCAATAGTAACCTCACCTTTCAGAGAATTAAGGAAAAAAGTGTACTAACCGTTGGGATGTAATAGTACTCTATTATCCCTCATTTGTCTGTTTCCATCAATGCCTTTGCAGCCTACCTGCCCTAGTACTCAGGAGAAAAACGAAAATGGGCTGCTGTCCAAAGTTCTTAATGGCCAAGTGTCTCTCTTCTCCTCTCACAGAACCATCCACACGCTCATAGCTGTAGCCTTTACAGAGAGGAAGAAAAACAGAAATCTTAACCCTTTTCAAGTAGTCTTTGGGGAATAAAAAATTAAGCCCAAAACCAAAGGCCAATTTTGTCCCTTTCCATATACAGGCACAGCCCTACTTTAAGCAAATCCCAAAGGGAAAAATTTAAATTAACAGGGACAATTATCATTTTACAAAATAACTCACCATAACATACTCCTCTGGATTTTTTAAATACATGCAGTTGAAGTCTTTGGCACTTATGAAGTTAATACTCAGTTTTGACTATTCTCAAGCAACCCTGAGCATCTATCCTGTGTGATAGTTTCAACTTTGCTGAGATGTAATTCTTATGTAAACAGAAGACAAGCGCTTGGAGGCAGGTGAGTGAGCCCCTTCTAACAGTCCAGCAATCTGCCTTTCAGTGAGGCTTTAGAGTTCGCCACCTGCCTCCATGCATCCGTGTGGGGAAGGGGAGCTACAGGATCAGGCTGTTTATGCATCTGGGGACCCCTCAATGGCCAGTGGCATGTGCCAACGGCATTCTGCAAGTGTCCACTGGACCAGGTATACTGCGGAACTCAGACACCCGGTCTGAACTACTTTTTTAAATTGTAAGGTCTGGAGCTGTTCAACATTGGGCTCAAGATCAACTCATGTTAGAGCCTTTTCTCATCATCTCACACAAATCTTATTACATATTAAACAGACTTCCCAGGTAATAACCTACATTCTTTATTGTCTATGCAGAAAAAGTTGCTCTTACTTTTCCCCTGGCTTATTTGTTATCTCTATAATTTCAATATTCACCTTTTCACTGATCATGAGTAAGTGCTCAACTGTTGAGGTGAATGTTACAAGACGCTAAAAGCTCTAGTCACTGAAACTTTATCACACATTTTCAAAAACATTTCCACAACATTTGCTCCACGGCCCATAATTTTAAATCATGTAACTGATGGGAACGTGGGTGTTTATTTCTGCCCACGTGCCTGTTCTCTGCTGTCCATCCTTGCCTTCACACATCACTCTCCTCTCGCCTTTTGATTTTTTGGTTCTGAATAATGTTCTCACCCTGCTTTCCTTTGTAATATTCTCATATCCCATATTATTCTTCATGGACCTATCTGGACTGTTAAGTCTAACAGAGCCTTAGGTAATGTAGTGGCCAAAAGGTGTCACCTCTGTAATCCATATAGTCTTGGAGAATATCCAACATCTGGGTCATTTGGGAGAAAAGTAAAACCCGATGGCCCCTGGCAAGAAAAAGAAAAGGAAACACTGCCAAGTCTAGTGGTATTTAAGGTCAATTTCCCTCAGGCAAAATTTACCAAACAATAAAAGTTTATAAATAAATACCAAAGTAGAAATATAAGTGTCGTATGATTTATAGACTGCCTCAGAACCTCCAAATGCTTTCTATGAGAATACACCTCCACAGGTAGCTGTATCCCTCAGAGCAGTCATCCTCAAACTAGAGTGGAGATTATTCCCAGGAGACGTGTCAATGCAACAGGGGATATAAGCCCTAGAATAAACAAGGTGCCTCTTTCTGGAATGTCAATTTGCTCAATGGAAAGAAATATAAGCTTTCATTTTAGTAGCAAAATAAATACAGATATGTGAAGAGTAAAATGCAAAATTCAAATACACACACAAAAAAAAAGAAAAGAAAAACTGGAGACTCTGAAGAAAGCCTGTGGTCAGTCATCTACAACTATGCCCTGTTTGGGGGTGTAAAGTCACTATCCTCTCATCTACAGCTATATGGGTTGAAAAGTCTGAGAAGCATTACTTTAGAGAAGCAAGGGGTAAGTGATGTCTCATTTTCCATAACACGAGAAAATTTTTGTATAGCGAGAGGAGGGAAGAAAGGCGGCAAAATGATGGAGTAAGTCAAGAACAAAGTCAAGCCTAGAGTCCCTTGTTACTGGCTGTTATTTTAAATTTGCATAAACAAAGAAGCACAGCACTGTCAAAACAATATTCTCATTATAAAAACTTATTTAATCTGAGCTTGCAACAAGTGTAAGAGGAAAAATTATGGGGAACTCTTTCAAGATTCAAGCCCCAAATGGGTAGAGAAAGCAATGAACCTGAAAACCTCAATTCTAATCTCATTTCTGCCATTTGTTGGCTGTGTGACCTTGGGCAAGTCATATAACCTTTCTGGGTCTGTGAAATAAAAAACTGGCCAGAAGGCATTTATAGGTCCTTCTCCAACTCTAACATACTTATGGCAGATATACGAGAACCAATGAAATACAGTAAGACATGAAATTATTTAACTTGCACATTCCTAAAGTTGAGCAATTTTGCCAAATCTGAAGTTTTAGATTAGTTCAGGCCATACCTAAGACAGTCATTCCAAAGGGATAATTTTGAAACCCATGGGAATCTGGGCTTTTCCTAGACTCCTCTAGAAAGAGAGAACTCTGGTGACTAGGAGGATTAGGTATAAGCTGAACACATGGCTGTTGAACACTAACTGAACCTGGTCTTTTTTTTTTTTTTTTTTTTGAGATGGAGCCTCGCTCTGTCACCAGGCTGGAGTGCAGTGGCATGATCTTGGCTCACTGCAACCTCTGCCTCTAGGGTTCCAGTGATTCTCCTGCCTCAGCCTCCCAAGTAGCTGGGACTACAGGCGCCTGCCACCACACCCGGCTAATTTTTGCATTTTTAGTAGAGACAGGGTTTCACCATGTTGGCCAAGATGGTCTCGATCTCTTGACCTCATGATCCGCCCACCTCAGCCTCCCAAAGTATTGGGATTACAGGCGCGAGCCACAGTGCCTGGCTCTGAACCTCGTCTTCTAATGCGCAACTCATGTCCCTGAGAAAGAGTCCTTCAAGTTCCCCTTAAGTTTAAATCAAACCCCACAGGTTAACAAAAATGAATGTTTACTGAGCCTTCATTATGTGTCAATTCAATGCCAAGTTACTAGCAGGCAACTATAAAAGAAATGCTCAGTGTTGTCTCTGTCCTTGTAGAGCCAAACAATATATAGTTGGAATGATAACGGTAAACATAAACACCAGTTAATCAGACAGCAGATTACGGCAGCACATTGCCAAGTGCTGGATTAGGATTATAAGTGCTGTACAAATTCAGGAAACGAAAGAATGATTGTGGAAGGGGTGGAGTGGGATAGAATGGGGTGGGAGTGTAGTCACAGAGAAGGCAGAACCTGAATCAGTGTTAAGAAAAAAAAGAAAACTGGAATTGGCCTGAACAACTCAGTGAGTTCCTCAATAGTCAGGTTTTAACAGTCATTAGCTCAGAGCAGCAAATGTGAACCTACCACCTACCCAGAATACAGGAATGCTAGTAGCTTATCCAGCAGGTGAAGCTTCCCACTAGCCTCAGTCAGGTGGTCTCCAACTTCAAAAGGCTCCGGCTCCACACCTAGAAAAGAAAGAACCCACTCCCAGTAATGTGCCCTCAGTAAGGGCAGAAGCCAGTAGCTAGGCTACAGGAAGAGAAGCCAAAAGCTCATCATATAAGTAGTTGTTTGCATGATGATCTCAGTCCTGCTTAACACCAATTACACAGCCTAGCACATCCAACAAGCCTAATAAACATCTGTGTAAGGAATAAAACCACTCTTCAGGAAACTGAGACAGAAGAAGATGCTAAAGGTCAAGGAGACCCAAAACTGAAATCGAGACTCACTCTATAAAATAAGTCAAAATGGCAGTCAGAATAACCTGGAGGACTTCTTTCAAAACCTATGTGTTCCCAACACCCCCTCCTCTTAAAAAAAGTTCTCATATGCACCTACTTGAGATTTTGTGCAATCTTTAAACAGTTCTTAGCACTATTTGGCAGAGATTCCCTTAAAATGACTGCAGCAAGCCCTCTGTACTGATCCTATCTAGAGTCTCCATGGCCACAGGAGTGCTTGCTCCAAGGGTTACCAATCAGGGAATCAAAAAAGCCCCAGTATGAAGAAAAACAAAAACACCACACATCAAAATTCCTAGGATGCAGCTAAAGCGGTGCCCAGGGGAAAATTTACTGAGGTCTGTATGATGAAGGGGAAGCAACAAAGGAGACTGAGAAGGAGCAGATGGAGAAGAGAAAGTATATCCCAGAAGCTGAGGGACGAAAGTGCTTCAAGAAAGAAGTGATTAGCTGTGCCAAAGGCTTCTGAGAGGGTAACTGAAATGTGAACTAACAAATAACCATTGGTTGGGCAACAGGGAGATCATTAGTGAACCTGGAGTAGCGGTGAGGAAAGGCTGACTGAGTCAATTCAAGACAATGGGAAATCTAATCAAGAAGAAATGATTTTTAAGAACCCAGCTTATCATGCATTCCACAAAACCACTGGTCTTGACTCTTCATGTAATGAAAGAAAAAAAACGCTGAAGAATGTTTCTAGATTATAGAAGAATAAAGAGACATGGCAAATGCAATGCAGGGTCTGCAGGATCTAGGACTGGATCGTGGATTTAACAAAAAAAGAAAAATATAGCCAGAAGGGATATTACCGGGACAACTGAAGATATCTGAACATGAATATATGAGTTAATACCAATACAGAGAAATTGAGAATAAACAAAGTAGACAAAGTAAGTATATGCAATTATTTTGAAGAATTTTGGTATGATTTGGCCACAGAAACATTACCAAAGAATAATGTGGGGGGAAAAGGCACTGTCTCACCATCAAACAAATATGGGTGATCCACACACTTTCGAAGCTGGGACAAAATGTTCTGTAGTTTAACTTTCTTTGCCGTCTCATTTTCAAATGCATCTGAAATTTAAAAAAAAAGAGAGAGACAGAAAGAGATGGCCTACTGAACAAAACAGAAACCAAAACCCTGAGTTTTTACAAGTAACCTTAATCATTTCAATTATATCCTTTGAACCTATACTAACCTCCCAAATTTCACTGAATTGTATTGAGAATTAACAGCATGTTCACATAAAATTTTCTCAACCATTTTGTTTTAAGAAAGACCCTCAACTGTAAATAGAACTCAGAAGTACTCTGTTACTCTTTTGCAAATTCTAAATTTTCTTTAACTGTTGTTGTGGAGTCAAGGGACAAAAAAGTGCAATTTGAGAAATTATTTCACTATCTTTCCCTTGTCACTTCCAATTCCTCCCAGTGAATTTGATTCAACAAAAAAGTTTTGCACTCTCTTAAATACAGCAGTTCCCCCTTACCCATGGGGAATATGTTCCAAAACCCCCAGTGGATATTGGAAACCATGGATAGTACCAAACCCTATATGTATTCTGTGTTTTTTCCCATACATACATACCTATGATAAAGTTTAATTTGGCACAGTAAAATATTAACGTCTCATAATAAAATACAACAATTATAACAATATTCTATTCACAATGTCACAGACAGAAGATTTGTTCTTACCAATCTCAGCATATAATTGTTTTTCATTTTTTTATTGAGAACTTTAACCTTTTTTGCTTAAAGGAAGCACTTTATGGCTTCTTTAGAATATCCAAAATGCAGGCATCACTACTCTTGTGCTTTGGGGCCATTTTTAAGTAAAATAAAGATCAGTTGAACAAAAGCACTGTGATACCATGACTATTGGACTGATGACAGAGCAGGCTACTAACGCTGACGGCGTGGATACGCAGAACAAAAGGAGGATTCATGTCCTGGGTGGAACAGAGTGAGATTTCATCATGCTACTAACAACAGAGTTTGATTTAAAATTTATGAATTATTTTTGGAATCTTCATTTAATATTTTCAGACTGCAGTTCAGTGCAGAACTGAAACCCTGGAAAGCAAAACTGTGAATGAGGGTGGACTACCGTATCTGACAGGGTGGGAGGATGAAAGACATGACTGGGACACCTGGAAGTGTTTGCTTAATTACAGGCACTAAGAAAAACTGAGTGAGGGGAGAAAAGGAAATTTCACAACTGCAACAACCAAGGCTGTTATCTTTAAGATGCTCTGCCACAGTCCCACTGTAGCCGACCAGAATTATTCAGAATACAAAATTCCATCCCATATTCTTGGGATCATACAAATGAGTGTGATTATAAAATATTTTACTACCTGAAATCACATCCTCATTTAGTTTCTAAATGGACAAGTGCCCTCTGATTACCTAGGTCTTTCATCAAAATGGCCTTGTAGTATTTCTTCTGCAATGCTGACATGCCATGGTATATCACTACTTCTGTCTTCTTGGGAAGCTCTGTAGCTACCTCAGCTTTCACTCGCCTCAGCAGAAATGGCTGCAAGAGTTTGTGCAGTTCACTTGCTACATAAGAAAAAAAAATACAAGAAGTGTGGGACAAAAGTAGAACCAAGGCAATGAACCCTAGAGAACTTAAAGAAATTTATTTTTGTTTCTTATTTCACGCTTATTTTGCATTCTAGGCCAGTATGATCATTTTTTTATAGTATTTCTTCCTTCATTGGGATCATCTTTTTTCTGGAATCATGACTTGTTCTTAGCCCAAGAACGAGGAACACTCAAATAACTTCTTATCTCATTTGCACAAAGCTGTTTTGTTTCCAGAATATTTTTGCGTTTAATCTCATTGATCAGCATAACAGCTTAGAAATTTCAAGTGAGGAATACTGTCCCCATTTTTATAGCTAAGTTAAGTGAGGCTCAGAAATTAGGCAACTTATCCAAAGTCACACAGCTGGATGTGAATGTGGCCAGCATTCAAATTTGGCTCTTTGACTTAAAATCCCTTCTTTCCCCAGATGTCTTGAATTTCAAAAATTATTCTAAATTAGAATTATACTACCTGTAGGATTGCCAGATATGCAAATGGAAATACAGATGCCCAGTTAAACTTGAATTTCAAATAAATAATGAATAACTTTTTAACACAAGTGTGTCCCATGTAATACAAGTATGTCATGCATTTGACTAGAAGTCTTATATTTTGTCAGGTAACCCAAAACATGGGAGTAATCAGAGCAGGTTCGCCAGGTGATCTTCAGTCTATGGTCTGGAGATTTTTGCTATGAGAAGCCCCCTCAAACTCATACTTACCCAACACATACAAACTCACTAGTTGGCATACCTCCTACCTGTTTTGAAAAATCATCCCAGGATAATATCACAGGGATAGATGGATAATCCTACAACACAGAGGGGCAAAGGTACAAGAACAGAAGACTACAACTCTTGGCTGTATGAATGAGGAAGGGTTCCCATCCCAGAATTCTGGTTTTGGTGCAGCATTAAAAGAAATACCAGTGCTGTAGTATGCTGAACAGTAGTTTGGGACTACAGCACCCACATTCTTTTCTCCCTCAGGAAGTGACTTATAAAGTTAACAAAGCCTTTATAGAAATTACAAGTTGGAAAAAAAAGTCTGCAAATCAGCAGGCACTTTCTATTTCTTCCAAAAATGAACTAAAGAAGCCCTACTGCAGAATCAAATAGCAAACAATTAAGAGAGGCATGAACAGCAGACAACTGGGAACAACATGTGTGACTTAACATCTCCCTAATATCAGCGGTCTGTCTCCCTGGAAGGTGTCCTCTGGTCATCAATTCTCCTTCTTTTCTACCTATAACCATTATGCATGAGGATGGTTTCTGTGCCAAGGCTTCTTGGGGATGATTTGCAGGAAAGGAACTTGCCTGACTCAGATTCTTTCTCAATATCCTGGTAGCGTTGAATAAAATCTCCCACCTCTTCCTTGGAAAAGAGATCAGGCTCCACAAAACTGAGGAGGGAGTAGAGCTCTTGGAGGCTGTTCTGGATGGGAGTTCCGGTCAACAGGAGACTGAAGACTACTGAGAACTCAAATACATAAATAAATAAAATAAAAATTCCATAACACTGGAATGCAAGGCTGAGTTACCCATCACAACCTTTACCCACACAGAGAGAGGCATGATTTAATGAAATGACTGAGGGGACATGAAATCAGATGGCTCAGGTTGAAGCTGCAAACTAGCTGTTTGATGCAGATGAAATAATACCTCTTCAGTTTCAACTATAAGAAGGGGACAATAATCCTGTGAAGAAAACACTTATATAAGGATGTAGTAACACTTTGTGAACTCTGAAGTATTGCATGAGAATTTAATATGGCTGTTATTACTGAATTTAGATGGGGATTCAAACTATGTGTTACTGCCTGTGTCGGGGAGTCTACTGAGGTATCTGAGACACAATGCACATGCTCATGCAGTTTGAGAATCCAACGCTACAGCATCAGGCCCCACCACTGCAAGCAATAAGTAAGATTTATAATAGGAGACTTTCCTTTTATAAAATTTAATGGTGCATCAGATGCAAGATGTCAAGATTTCTGGATGTTTCTGGACACAGCACCACAGAGAATCTTAAATGGAAAAAAAATTTCCTTAAATTTTCAACAACAAAGAAGAACACCAAGATGCAAGATGTCAAGATTTCTGGATGTTTCTGGTGATCACAGAGAATCTCAAATGGAAAAAAAAAGTCCTTAAATTTCGAACAACAGAGAAGAACACCAAGAGTAAGAGAGACATGAAGTAGAAGGTTAGGAAGGTTCTGGTGTCTCTGGAGATCACAGAGAATCTCAAATGGAAAAAAAATGTCCTTAAATTTTGAACAACAGAGAAGAACACCAAGAGTAAGAGAGACATGAAGTAGAAGGTCAGGAAAAAGAAGAAAAGATATTAGGTCAAGCAAAAGATATTCTCTAAACTGACATTCACAAGAATTTAGTAGAATTAAACAATACATCAAAATGAGGAAGCCATATCTTGACATCTTGTGTATGTATATCTTTTTTTTTTTTTTTTTGAGACAGGGTCTTGCTCTGTCACCCACGCTGGAGTACAGAGGCATGATCTCGGCTCACTGTAACCTCCTCCTCCCGGTTCAAGTGATCTTCCCACTTCAGCCTCCCCAGTAGCTGGAGCTACACACACTCACCACCACATTCAGCTAATTTCTTAAATTTTCTTATAGCGACAAGGTCTCACTATGTTGCCCAGGCTGCTTTTGAACTCCTGGGTTCAAGTGATCTTCCTGCCTCGGCCTCCCAAAGTGCTAGGATTACAGGTGTGAGCCTGTAATTACAGCCTGTTTTAAATGTCAAAACATAGTATGTAAACGTATATATACATATGTATGTATGTAAGTGTATCTATGCACATACATACATATGTATATACACATTTACATACATGTATGTATACACGTATATACACAATATTTTGATATTTAATATACATTTTGACTTTTTAAATAATATATATGCATATATACATTACTTTTTGAATGTATACACACAGCAAAGATTATGGCAGCACATACACCATTAAACCATTAAAGTGTTAATGTAGGAGTAGGATTACTGGGATGTTTTCCTTTTCTTCTTGTCTTTCTATATTTTGATTTGGAGGGGGGGCCATAGGAAGACACTGCTTTTATAATACAAAAAATGATAAATGAATAACACAATCAATGAAAACAGATGTAAACAATTTTTTTTTTTGCCATCTCCCTTTTTTATTTGTTTCTTTTTAAATGTCTAATCAATGTCTACCCATTCATGGTTGTTCTGCTTGTTAGGTGATGTTTTTGTAGTATTTCAAGTATGGGAACTTGTCAAAAGTAATGTTTCCAATCATCAGTTCACATTCTTACAATATGTGTTCACCAAGTAAAGAGCTGAGGTGAATGAAGGCTGTGAGGTCACAAAGGAAACCAAGGCTGCTAGTCGCTACAGGTAACTTACCCTATGACACAAATTAACATTTTGATTCAGTTAGGTCCATTTTGGGATCAAAATTTATAACTGGGTAAAGATTCAGAGACCATCTCTGTTTGTAAATAGTATTTTGTAAGCTTTTTTGTGTGTGTATAAAATACTTTGCAAACATTTTCCATGTTATTAAATATTCTTCTACATAATTGTTCTTGGTAGCCTTACCTTTTGCAAATGCACTGCATGAATGTCGCATAAATTGTACAACCAATTCCCTATATTTTACATTTAGGTTGCTTCCAACTATTTTTTTTTTTTTTTTTGAGACAGAGTCTCGCTCTGTCGCCCAGGCTGGAGTGCAGTGGCGCAATCTCGGCTCACTGCCAGCTCCATCTCTCAGGTTTACGCCATTCTCCTGCCTCAGCCTCCCAAGTAGCTGGGACTACAGGCGCCCACCACCATGCCCAGCTAATTTTTTGAATTTTTTAGTAGAGACGGGGTTTCACCGTATTAGCCAGGATGGTCTCGATCTCCTGACCTCGTGATCCACCCATCTCAGCCTCCCAAAGTGCTGGGATTACAGGCGTGAGCCACTGCGCCCGGCTGGTTGCGTCCAACTTTTATAAACTGAAAACAATATTAGGGGGAAATAAAAAACGGCAGTATCCCCCTCCCCATCTCAGCCCAATAAATACATGTATTTTCTTTCCAACTAGTTATCTGCAACCCAAGCTTCATCTAAAAAGGAATGCTTAGATGACCCAGAACCATTTCTTCACTTAATCCCTGAGCCTTAGTTTCCTTATGAATAACAAGAAAAGGCTCTGGGGCCAGCAACAGAACTTAGCTTTCCCACTCCAAATCCAGGTTCTTTTACTATGCCTGCTTCTCTCCTCCCGTTTTAAATTAGTAAACTGGCACAGTAGTTTATGAAGCCATCTTTCATAAGGTTAGATGCCAGGATATGACAACTGCTATGGATTGAATGTGTTTCCTTCAAAATTCAGGTGTTGTCAATGTAATATTATTAAGAGGTAGCGCCTTTAAGAGGTGGTTAGTTCATAAGAACTTTTCCCTCGTGAATAAGATTAAGGCCTTTATATATAAAAAAAAAAAAGTGTCATGCAGCATTTGGATAGCTTGCTCTTCTGCTCCCTCTTGCCCGTCCACCTTCTGTCATGTGAGGATGCAGTTAAGAAGGCTCTTGCCAAATGCTGGCACCTTGATCTTGGACTTCCCAGCCTCTAGAACGGTGATAAATAAATTTCTGCTCATATGAATTACCCAGTCTGTGAAAAACAGACCAAGACAAGCTCTCAGAAGGAGATACTGTTAAAAGTCCCTACAAAGAAAGCAAAGGACACCAGGGATAGAGGGGGCCCCACCAGGGGACAGCGACCTTTGAGACTGGGCTAATAATACACAGTGATCGTATCTACATTAAGACTCTAAAAACTACAACTTTCAGACCAGTAAAAATAGAATTCATATCTAAGACTTTCCTCCAAGTGACCTCTAAATTTATTAATTGGTTTATTATAGGACAAGGACCAAACTTCAATTATCATCACAGAAATTAACATATGTGGTCTCATCAATGAACAAATCTTTACCAGGTCAATAAAAAGGGTATTTCACATCGCACTGACTCCTCGGAAAAAAGGGCCCATCTAGGGTACAATGGTATTTCTCATCTACTTTGCCAGAATGATGCAAGAGATCCAGAGAAAGGAATGAAAGCAAGTGTATTATGCTCAAAAGTAGGACAAAGACAAGACAAACTGGAGGTAATATTCAATAGCATGTAATTGGTCTCTTCATGAACCCAGGTGAACTATCAAATTTTTTCAACAGGTAAATTGGGGGGAAGGGTACAACATGTCTGATATATCTACTATTGCACAAAGAAGAATTATAATAAGATTTTTTAAGAGAAATTGTTCCTTTGAAGATAATCAAAAGAGAGTTGAAACATCTGAAATAAAATGCATTCTATTGGGGTAGGGTTCTTATTCACCAGATATTAGTAAACCTATCTCCAATATAAAAGAAAGAAGAAGTTAGGCCATATTTAGTACTTCTTCTGTCTTCTATAAAATGTTCATTTAGCCCTGCAGAAATCGAACTCGAAAAAAGGTTTCAATTTAATTGACTCTATATAGGCCTAAACTAGTATTTTTTAAAGGGAGTTACGAAGAAAAGATGAATATGTGGAGCACATAGGATTTTTAGGGCAGTGAAACTACTCTGTATGATACTATAACAGTAGATATCATGGTATTGTACATTTGTCCAAACCTACAGAATGCACACCACCAAGAGTGAACCCGAATGTAAACTATGGACTTTGAGTGATAGCGATGTATCAATGTAGGTTCATCAGTTGCAACAACTGTGCCACTCTGGTGGGGTATGTTGATAATGGGTGAAGCTGTACAAGTGTGGGGACAGGGGACAGCTGTACATGTGTGGGGACATATGCATGGGAAACATCTGTAGTTTCTGTTCAATTTTGTTGTGAATCTAAAATTACTCTAAAATATAATGTATATTTAAAAAGAAGGGGTTATATAAAAACTAAGGCTACACTGTAAGTTTACCTCTGACAAGGTCTTATGCAGCAGGGAGCTTTGGTTTTTCAACCTGTGAGCTTCATCCACAACAAGAACACTCCAAGGGAATCTGTGAGAGAAAACCCAAGCTTTCAGTTTTGTGTAATTTAAACACATATTTCACAATCAAAAGTCTTACTACAAAACTGTGACTGTTATTAAAAAGACTTAACAGTAAGCCCCTTCTATTACAAATGCCACCAAATTACCTTCCTGAGAGGCTACATGTGCATAATACAATATCTGGATAAGGTAGTAAAACCAAGGGATTTTTTTTTTTAACAAAATGGGAAAGACCTATGCAGAAAGGAAGAAGCCAGAGACAGAAAGGAAAAGGAAACATTTATGATCTCCTACTTTGTGCCAGACACTAACCTCAGGGCTTTATGTGTTATTTAGTCTAAAAGAGTATAGCAAGCAGACAATTGTGCTCATTTTACTAATAAAGACACTAAAGCTCAGAAAGGTTAGGTGACTTGGTGAAGGTCATAAAGACAGAGCTGATGTTCAAACAGAAGAAAAAAATCAAGATAGACAGTGGTGTTGTAGGAACTTAAGAAGTGTGACTTTAAAATGGGTAAGTGGTGAGCAGAGTCAAATCTCACAGAGATGTCCAGGAAGATATATCCACTGAATTTGTTGACATGGAAGTCATTAGTGGCTGTTGCCAGAGCACATTTTGTAGCATACTGTGTCACATCAGCAATTTCTCAAGAAGTTTCAGTCATAAAAGCAAATACTTTGACAGATACTACTGAGAAGCTATTTAAGAAAAATTCAAAATACAGAAAAAGATATATGTGGGAATGTTTCAAGTTGTATTATTTAAAACAGCAAAAAATGGAAAATAACCTAAATGTCCAATAATAGGTAGTAAAATATTACATGGCATTTTAAATAATAAATATGATTATGTTGCAATTTAAAAGGCCTATAGAATAATAAAAAAGATATAAATATCATGTATCCTCTTTTACAAATGTGAAAGCCATGCAAAAGATAATAAAGTGAAAATTATAAGATGTTTAACTTTTTATTTTGATTATAAACATTCTGGAATCCCATTACATTATTTTCATATTTAAAAAACTAAATGTATATACAGGTAAAACAGAACACTGGAAAAATAGTAGGTATGGAAAGGAAAATTCCTCCAAAATTAGAGAAAGATCTTGAGCAGAGGTTCACCTTACAAGGAGGAGGCCCTCTTCCTGAGGCTACAGAGAAACTCCAGAGGACAGGCAGAGGAACAGAGGTCCCTATGACATTACCATTCACCTACTGAGAGAAGCGAGTAGAGGGAGGACTGAGGGTCCAAAGAGAGTGCAGGAAGTCGAAGGAGAAGGTTGGGTGGCATGAGCAGAGGATGCATTTAAGGATGACAAGAAACAAAGGTCCAGTTGAAGTTGCACAGTGGTCATGAGATAAGGTATGGAAGTTTCTCTAGGATGGTGCCTGGCTCTGTCTGAATTAGCTTTCAAAACAGATTAGGTCCTATTCCCTTGTGAAGAACTAGACATTTAGGTGTCCAAAAAATGCTTGTTCAGTGAAACAGGCTACAGAGTGGTGGATTTTGGCTCATGAAAGGAAGTGGGTCAAATCACTTATCAAAGGATACTCTAAATGATGTCCCCTGAAGAGGAAAAGATGGGGGAAATCCAGCACTGAATGGAAAGTTGGATGAGGTAACTTCTAATCCTCTTGATCCAAAGAGTTTTACAAGTCTATTGTCCAAAACATTTCAAATTTTTCATATTTGTAACATGCACAGCCTTAACTCTCCATAATAAATCTCTTTAGGGCAGAGATGATATTACACTTCCCTGCTATTCTCAGAATGTACAATACAGCAATAAGCAATATAACCTTCCAAATATATTGAAAGAATGTATCTATGTTGTTGGGATTCATACTACAGGACAGCATTATAAATGTCCCTCTGTTACTTAGGTTTTTAAATCTACCTGAAAATGCACTGAAAACCGATTATCTGAAATAGAAAGATTCTATTTCTGCTGAATAATGTAAAACTCCAGTACAACTAGCTATTTTGAGAAGTTCTCTTAAAAAGAGGCTCCACAGCACCAAATGCTGGGTTTAAATGTCTGCTCTGCTATTTATCATCAGCAATGTAACCTTGGATGGGTTACCAAATCTCTTATTTTCCTCACCCGTAAAATGAATAATAGCTGCCTCGTGGGGTTTTCATGAAAATTAAATGGGATAATTTATGTAAAGTACCCAGCAACATTTATGTCCCAATTTTATTATCTTTTGAGACTTCCCATATATTGCTATGTATTATGGATATCTGTACACTTCTCATCCCTCCACTGGAGTTTGTCTTCTTAGGGAAGCTCTATGATTTACTTTCCTGATATTGCCAATAACTCTCAGAACAATGTCTTTCCAGTGACTGACTTTCAACAAATATTAAGTTGAATATTAATAATAAAAAGAGAGGGAATGTATATCTTAAGAAAAATAAGATAATATGCTCACTTAAATGAAATACTAGATAGAAGTCATGAAATCTATGACCTAGCCTCTAGTATTTCAAAATAACATGAAAATAGAAATCCAGCTCACAGGAACCTGGATAAGAAATAACATTTAAAATATTGATAAAATACTTTGAAAACAAAGATTTTTGAATATTAAAATACAGAATATCCACCTAACCATGTAATAACTACAGAGGTTATAGAGAATGAAACCCTGTCAACATATCTTTCTTACCTAAACTCTAGCCCTTATTTAATCTGCATTGTAACTGTTATCTTGACATGATCCTATCATTCCCATTATTAGGTGGTATTGCTGAGTTTCTGATTTCATGGGCCAATATGAGGTTAACTAATTAGAGGTACACTTAAAACTCCCTTTCTAAAAAGTTAATTCCACGGCACTGATTGCTATTTTAGGTTATGTCCAGCAAACAGCTCAAATGGTTCTCCTTCTGTATTACAGCAAACTCTCCAAATGGTAGTACTGAAAGGGGTCTATGCAAGTTGCATGTAAAGAGCCTAATATCTATTAACCATACAAAGTATATTTAATCTCATTTAATTTTCGTAACAGCTATTTGAGGTAAGAAACAATTATCCTCATTTTACAGATGAAGAAGCTGAAGTTCATGGAGATTAAATAACTAACCCAAGGACACACAGCTAATGAGTAGAGGACTGTAAACACAGGACTCCCACCATGCCGCCTACCCATAAACAGAACTCATGGAAGACATACCAGACATGCCAGGAGAGGCAAAGTACTAAAACGTGAAGGAAAGACATGACATTCATAATACATTCAACCCAAGTTCTTAAATAGTACAACCTACTCACGATTTTAGAAATGATGCATCTTTCAAGCAAATCTGAAAAATTAGGAAGACACGTTATAAAGGCTGGCATTGATAAACTCTGATATTGATAAGCTAGTTTTCTGTGAACTCTCTTAAACTATAGGATTTATCTAAGTCTCATTTGTTCACTAAGTAAAAAAAAGTTCTGAGAATAATTTCTAAGTAGCGCCATCTTAAAAACAAAGAGAAAAGCCTGATTAAGTGGAAGGTCAGTGGCACACACTGTCTTAGACTGAAAAACAAGGATTTAAAATAAGGCCGGAGCTGTCTTCCATTCCTATCCTCCAGTAACAGACGTGATTCCTCAGTCCACAAAACCCTTTCCCCTGCCTGCCTGCCTGACTTCTGTTCATCAACCAAGAGGCAGCTCAAGTGCCACTTCCTTGAGAAGCCTTCCCCCTTGATCCACCAAGAAAGGAAAAGATCGAACTAATCTGAAGCACAATGATCCTTCACTTCTTTTGGTTACAGCCCTCTTTTGAGAATCTGATGAAGGTAGACTCCCTGCCCAGAAAAGTGTGTGCTCTCAACAAAACTTAAATATAATTTCAGCAGACTCTACAACTTCTAAGGTCACAGGTTAGGAGTTCTCGCTATAGAGAAACGAATGAATACCTCATAGGTAGTCAGTAGCACATGAAAACGTGACTCCTGTTTCAGGTCTTGCTGAAGGCAGGCTCTTTCCTCCTTGTCGCCTGCATATGTTACACAGGAAAGACCTGGAGCAAATCTGAATCCAAGAAAAGAAGTAGATAAACATAAATACTAGATCCATGTGACAGGATGTGCATATCTGGAAAATTACATTTCATGGGAGGATTGCAATGTACAGAACTCATGAGGTCCTACAACCAGAGTCTTGGGGCTCTGAATCTTATCTAAAAAAATGGTTGAACCTCAGAGCGAGTTCCTATGTGAACAGGTAGAGGGATCAGATCTAAAAAGGTCTTGTGCTGACTCTAAAAATAAAACGATCTCTTCCACATGAGTTACTTCCTACGTCACTATGAAAAATAGGCCGGGCGCGGTGGCTCACACCTGTAATCCCAGCACTTTGGGAAGCTAAGGCGGGCAGATCACATGAGGTCGGGAGTTTGAGACCAGCCTGACCAACATGGAGAAACCCGGTCTCTACTAAAAATACAAAATTAGCCAGGTGTGGTGACGCACGCCTGTAATCTCAGCTACTTGGGAGGCTGAGGCAGGAGAATCACTTGAACCTGGGAGGCAGAAGTTGTGGTGAGCCAAGATCGTGCCATTGCACTTCAGCCTGGGCAACAAGAGCAAAACTCTGTCTCAAAACAAACAAACAAAAAACAATGGCTTCTACTAAGTTCATCAATACTTACTACAAACGATTGCTGACCTTTAAATTGCCAAATAGTAATAATATTACTCTTCCCCTATTATATCCTCAGTGTCTACCTACACTCTATCAGCTCAAAGTTTTCTGGAATAAACTTACTAATTACGACAATAGGTTGTTTTATCATATTTTATACATCATCCAGAAAAAAAATCTTAATCAAGATAAACAATAAAATTTCAGCTACATCTACTCTGTACCTCTGCATTTCTTCTTTCCAGTTGCTCAAAACAGACAAGGGACAAAGAATCAGAAATGGCCCTTCATCATTTAATCTTCCTGCCAAATAAATGAAGAGAGCAATAGTCTGGAACACAGAAAAAGAAAGGCAGTTTTGATCACATTTCCCCATGAGAAACAACCATGAAGTTCCCACAACCCTGTAGGGAACACACACTCTTGTTTAAGACTTGTTTTACAAAGAAATATTGTACGAACTTCCGCATATCAGGGGAGTAATCCATTCGTAGAGCGAAATCATGTAAGCCTCAATATACTTGCACGGAAATTTATGGAACTCAATTACTTCAGTAGTTAACAAGCAATGAGGCTCAATGTTTAGGTAATTGAACCTCTACTGTAAAGAAAAAGTCAGGAAAGACAATAGAAATCAATGAAAATCCAACTGATGGCCAAGATCTGCGATACTCTGAAAACATTAAGCAAGAAGTGCCAAGATATGACTGTAAAAACGGCCAATCGCATGGTGGCCCTCTGCTGCCTGCCAGGCTTTCCCGAGTGAGGGAGGATGCTTTCCTTCCTCCCTCACTTCCTCCCACCTTCCCCTACTGTCTTCCTTTCTTCCATATGTATTTACAGGGTGTCTTCTATTTGCTAGGCACTGTCCTATGCTCCAGTTATACAACAGTGAACAGAACCGACAAAACGCCCAGCCCTCCTGGAGGACACATTCTAACGGGGAAAACAGACAATACACGATCCTAAGCTTAAGGAAGGGTATAAAATGGAAATATTGGTAAAGGCAAATGGGCATACTTCAGAAGATTCTAGTACACACTTATGACTTGAATGTTGCTGTAATATACAGAGAAAATAACCTATTTTAAAACAAAAATGTGTCAAGAGACTCCATCTTCAAATGCTGAGCTATTTCTGAGAAAAATCTGTCCTAAGGATATAATTCAAAATCCTGAGAAAGCTACAAGCACAAAGATGTTCCTATCAAGATTAAACAGCACAAAAAGGGGAGGAATCACCATTTCTCGTCTGTAGAACATTTAAGTAAATTATAAATTCTCTTGATGGAATATTATGCAATGTTGATAATGACTGTGAAGAATATAACGAAGTAAAAAATTACAGTGACACTGTTAGATTAACAAAATACAAACTATATACGCACTATAATTTCAACCATGGGCTGGGTGCAGTGGCTCACGCCTGTAATCCCAGCACTTTGGGAGGCCAAGGCAGGAGGATCACTTGAGCCCATAAGTTCAAGGCCAGCCTGGGCAACATAGTGAGACCTCATCTCTACAAAAAAATTTAAAAATAAGCTGTGCATGGTGGCATGCGCCTGTAGTCCCAGCTACTCAGGAGACTGAGGATTCCTTGAGCCTGGGAGGCAGAGGTTGCAGTGAGCCAAGATCATGCCACTGCATTCCAGCCTGGGTGACAGAGCAAGACCCTGTCTCAAAAACAAAAGTTCAATCATGCAAAACACGCATTGCAACTCATGGTTATGGTTAGAGTGCTTGATTACAGGGTGGTAGGTAGTTTTTATAACAGAAATAATTTTCTTTTTAAATTATCTATGGCTTCTCAGCCCAAGCTGTGCCAGGAACCATTCTTTAATAAGTGGCTTATTGAATTAAAACCATTCAGTCTAGCTTTCCCTGAGGATGCAATTTAGAGAAAGTTTATCTTTTATTACTATAAACCAGATGTGTCTACAAAACAAGTGTGGAGTTACTAGTGAATTCTAGCAAGAATTTAAGGAAGAAATTAACAGCAATTCTACATAAACTCTTCCAGAAAATGGAAGAGAAGGGCATACTTCTCAACTCATTCTACAAGGCCAGCTTTACCCCAATACTAAAATTAGATAATGACACTACAAGAAAATTACAGACCAATGTCTTTCATGAACATAGATGCAAAAAGTCTAAACAAAATTTTAGCAAAACAAATTTGGAGGTGATATCTTTTTAGAGAGCTTAAAGCAGAGCTATGTGAACATCCAAAGAAAGGACAAGTAGCATTTGCTGGCCCTGAATAAAGTCAGTAGGGGAACTGCAATGACTGAGGCAGAGAAGACTGTACAGGGAAGGCCCTTTCCCGGTGCAAGAGCCAGTTAGCCTGGATCCCAGGGACATTTGTGAAACTGAGCTTTGTTTTAGCTCCAGAGCTCTCAGCTCCAGAATGAGTTATAAGGAAGTATCGCAGTGGCGGTGAGCAGTACTCGTCGCATAGTAACACACCTGGCAGGTCTTCCCCAGGCCCATCTCATCTCCCAGGATACAGCCATTCTGACAATGGAAGCGCTGGGCGAGCCAGTTTACTCCCTCCAGCTGGTAAGAGCGTAGGTGAATCCCTAGAAACAAAAAATACAGCAAATCCGAAGAGCAGACATTTCAGTACATGCAGAGGCAATGTTCTAAGAGTTTGAATGAGGAACACAGCCTAAATTCACATAACCCTAAACCTCACTGGACGTATCTTTTGCTGAGGAGTTATGGATATCTAAACATCTGCTGACTTCCAAACTACTTTTTGAGCAGACTTATTCACCTTTATATTCAAAGCCCCAAAGTAGCCTGTCATTGTTACCTGATTCACTTGATAAATGAGAAAGTCAACTTGGGATCTGGCCTCTATACTGCCTGAGACTCACACCAGTGTCCATTCTGGGAAATGAGGCATTACTGATGCAACTTAACAAAGAGCAACAACACATGGATTGTACATGTGTCTGCTTGTTTAATTGCACCCATTTAAATATGCCATCAATGCTAAAGGAAAAAACTTAGGACTACACTGAATAATGCTTCAACACAGAAGCGCTGTTTTTAAGAATGGAAATGATGTTTCACAAAGGGTATTTAACTGTGTACAGGGATGGCAGAAAACGTGTGAAATTAATACGGAACTTACTCTCTTTTCTCTTTCCCTTGGTGAAAAAAATCCAATTTCAAAGAATAGCCATATCTTGGGAAGGTGAAAGACCTTAAACATACTTTATATAAGAACTATTAGCAAAAACATAACTATCTGGTTTAACTTATACCTTTAAAAAAATCTTCAAAATACATAATTGTACAAAATTTAAAAAATAAGTTATTTTTCTTAGGCACTTACAAATACCAGAGTAGTAGTAAACACTTTACATAAATTACAGTATCTCACGCCTGTAATCCCAGCACTTTGGGAGGCTGAGGCAGGCAGATCACCTGAGGTCAGAAGATCAAGACCAGCCTGGCCAACATGGTGAAAACCTGTCTCTAATAAATAATACAAAAATTAGCTGGGTGTAGTGGCGGGCACCTGTAATCCTAGCTACTTGGGAGGCTGAGGCAGGGGGAATTGCTTGAACCCGGGAGGCGGAGGTTGTAGTAAGCCGAGATCGCGCCACTGCACTACAGCCTTGGCAACAGAGCGAGACTGTCTCAAAAAAATAATAATAAAAATAAATAAATAAATTACAGTATCTCATTTAATGCTTATAATGATTCTATGGAGTAGGTATTATCCCCATTTTATAATCAGAAAATTCAGAGATTTCTGTTTCTGATGGGAGTATACTTACTTTCCCTTATTCCTCTTGCTAAGTACAAATAAAAACCCTAGACATGCTACAGAAAACAAGCATAAAACTCTGAAAGGTGTAGTGAAGAAGCAGACTGGCTAGGGACCTTGGGCCTGCGGAAGGCAGGGTAGTAAGTTCCCTGGAATTTATTTTTGCTTTATATATCCCAGTCTGACAGTTCAAGAAATCAGCCAACTGGAAACACCAACTGATGTAGACCAAAACCAAAACAAATAAGAACACCTCCCAATATTAGTCTCTTCTCATGCTGCTAATAATACCTGAGATTGGGTAATTTATAAAGGAAAGAGGTTTAATTGACTCACAATTCCACATGGATGGAGAGGCCTCACAATCATGGTGGAAGGCAAATGAGGGGCAAAGTCACATCTTACATGGCAGCAGGCAAGAGAGCTTGTGCAGGGAACTCCCATTTATAAAACCATCAGATCTTGTGAGATTTATTCACTACCATGAGAATAATATGGGGGAACTGACCCCATGATTCAATTATCTCCACCTGGCACCACCCTTGACACGTGGAGATTATTACAATTCAGGGTGAGATGTGGTTGGGGACACAGCCAAACCATACCACCCCCACCCCTCACAAGCCTGCTCCAGCTAGAAAATGGCAGCCTAGCAAGACAGGAAACTTTTATATAATAACTGCTCTATTCTAGTAAACACCACAGGAATAAACCTGTGGTCCCACCAGCAAAGGCTAAGTGGAAAGCATAGACTTCTACCTACAGCTACAACGAGTGCCCCAGCACCCCAGCCAGGATGGTATAAGAGAAGGCCAAGTAGGGAGCTGGGATTTTTATCCCCACCAACCAATAACGAGGCCCTACCCCTTAGCTTTCCCCTGCAGGATCAGTAGAGACTCAGGAGGGAGCCACAACTCCCACCCTCACCCAGCAGGATGGAGGAGCCCCTTCCCAATCCCCAGATGTGGACAGAGGCTGAAGGGGGAGCCTGGACTTCTATCCCCACCTGGCACTAACAAGGCAGCAGACCCTCTTCCCCTGCCAGAGCAGCATCAGACAAAGACAGTCAAACAGGAGGTTTAAACATGATTTAAAAAAAATGCCTGGCTCCAATTCTTATAAAAATCATTCATTATATCAAGAACTGGGAAGATTTCAAACTGAACGAAAAAAGATAATCAATAGGTGCCAACACCCAGATGACACAGACGGTAGAATTATCTGACAAAGACCTTAAAGCAGTAATGATAAAATGCTTCAACAAGTAGTTATGAATGCACTTGAACAACTGAAAAAAACAGGAAACCTCAGGTAAGAAACAGAAATTTCAGCAAAGAAATAAAAGATATAAAGACCAAAGGGAAATTTTAAAAACTGAAAAATAATATAACCAAAATAAAAGGCTACTGATGCTGTTGATGGGATCAACAGCAGAATGGAAGGAAGTGAGGAAAGAATCAGTGAACTCTACAGAATAGAAGTTATAGAGAGATTACAATCAGAAGAGAGAGAAAGCAGACTGAAAACAAATGACCCTCCGGGACCTTCAGGACTACCACAAAAGATCTAACATTTGTTCAATGTTGTCCAATAAAAACAGGTGAAGGAGGATAGGGCTGAAAAAGTACTTAAATAAATAATAGCTGAAAACTTCCCAAATCTGGCTAAAGAGCTACAGTTTCAAGAAACTGAGTAAACCGCAAACATAACAAAACATTGCCGGGCGCGGTGGCTCACGCCTGTAATCCCAGCACTTTGGGAGGCCGAGGCAGGCGGATCACGAGGTCAAGAGATTGAGACCATCCTGGCCAACATGGTGAAACCCCATCTCTACTAAAAATACAAAAATTAGCTGGGCGTGGTGGCGGGTGCCTGTAGTCCCAGCTACTCGGGAGGCTGAGGCACGAAAATTGCTTGAACCCAGGAGGCGGAGGTTGCAGTGAGCTGAGATAGCGCCACTGCGCTCCAGCCTGGCAACAGAGAGAGACTCTATCTCAAAAAAAAAAAAAAAAAAAATACACACCAAGATATGTAATTATTAAAATGCTGAAAACAAAAGACAAAGAAAATATCTTAAATGCAGCCAGAAAAAAAACAAACAACACCTTACTTAAAGAGGAAAAACTATTCAAATGCAAGCAGATTTCTTGTCAGAAATCTTAAAGGCCAGAAAGAAATGCCACAACATGTTTCAAATATCGAAAGAAAAGAACTGTCAATCCAGACTCCTGTAATCAAGAAAAATGGTATTCAGGAATGAAGAGGAAATTCTCAGATGAAGGAAAACAAAGAGAATTTATCATCAACAAACCTACCCTCAAAGAATGGCTAAAGGAAGCCCTTGGAAAAAAAGGAAATGATAAAAGATGGAACCTTGGAACATCAAGGTGAGAATGCAGCATTCAAAAACGTGTAAATACAATAGGTTTTCCTTTTCTTGAGTTTTTAAAATTATGTTTGACCGCTGAAGCAAAGATTATAACAGTGTCTGATGTGGTTCTAAAGGAAATATTTAAGACAATTATAAACAAAAAGTAAAGCTATAAATACAAAGGGAAGATAGATATACAGGGAAGTAATGTTTATATAAAGGGAAGTAATGTTTCCATACTTTACTCAAATAAGTAAAATGACAATATCAGTAGTCTGTGATTTTATACACACATACGTACATTTACATACAATACCCGTAACGACCACTAAAAAGCTACACAAAGAGATAAACTAAAAAACACTGTAAATAAACAAAAATAAAATTCTAAAAAATGTTCAAATAATTCACAGGAAGGCAAGAAAAAGAAACAGAGATAAACTAAAAACAATAAAAATAAGATGGCAGAGTTAAGCTCAAACATAGTAATAATTACTTGAAATATAAATGGTGTAAGTATACCAATTAAAAGACAAAGACTTGGCTGGGCACAGTGGCTCACACCTGTAATCCCAGCACTTTGGGAGGCTGAGGCGGGAGGATCTCCTGAGGTAGGGAGTTCAAGACCAGCCTGACCAACATGGAGAAACCCCGTCTCTATTAAAAATACAAAATTAGCCGGGTATGGTGGCTCATGCCTGTAATCCCAGCTACTCAGGAAGCTGAGGTGGGAGAATCACTTGAACCTGGGAGGCAGGAGGTTGCGGTGAGCTGAGATCGTGCCATTGCACTCCAGCCTGGGCAACAAGAGCGAAACTCCGTCTCAAAGAAAAAAAAAATAAGACTTCCAGAGTGGATTTTAAACATAACCCAATTATAAATTGTCTACAAGAAATTCAACCCAAAAATAATTAAATAAGTGAAAAGTAAAAGGAAGAAGTGGTAGACAAAATAGTGGCCCTCACAAAGATGTCCAAGCCCTGATCCTGGCATCAGTGAGTATGTGACCTTATATGGCAAAAGGCATTCTGAACACATAATCAAGGTTAAGGGGCTTGAGATGGAAGAGTACCCTGAATTATCCAGGTGGGCCTGGATAACGCAATGGACATACAATCTAATCACATGCATCATTCGGAGAAACTTTAACAGCTGTGGTTAGAGAGGAAGCTGGCTAGAGAAGGATCAAAGAGATGCAATGTTTCTGGCTTTGAAGTTGGAGGAAAGGGGCCAGGAGTCAAGTGATGTGGGCAGCCTCTGGATGCTGGGAAATATATTCTCCCCTAGAGCCTCCAGAAAGGAATGCAGCTCTGCTGATACCCAAAGACAGGAGAATACACATTGTTTTCAAGTGCCATGGACCATACAACATATTCAGGGCCTGTCTTAGTCCATTTAGTGTTGCTATGGAATACTCGAGGTTGGATAATTTAAAAATAAAAAGAGGTTTATTTGGCTCATGGTTCTACAGATTGTACAAGAAGCATGGCACCAACATCTGCTTCAGGTGAGGGCTTCAGACTGTTTCCACTAATGGCAGAAGGGGAAGTGGGGGTGGCATGTACAGAGATCACATGGTGAGAGAGGAAGAAAGGCGTGGGGGATGCCAGGCTCTTTTTAACAACCAGCTTTCTGGAAGCTAGTAAGTAAGAAGTCAGTCACTCTCTCTGCTCCCTGCTCAGGGAGAGCATTAATCTATTCAGGAAGGATTTGCCCCCATGACCTAAACACCTTTCATTAGGCCCCACCTCCAACACTGGGGATCAAATTTCAACATGATATTTGGTGGGGACAGATAATCCATATCCAAACTAAAGCAGGGCCAGAAAACCCCAACACATTTAAAAGAACTGAAATTGTACAGAGTATGTTCTCTGACCACAATGTAATAAAATTAGAATTCATGGACAGAAACATTAGAGGCAAATCTCTCAACACTTGGAAACTAGACAACACACTTCTTTCTAAACAGTCCATCAAAAGAGGAAGTCTCCAGGGAAATAAATACACTGAACTAAATAAAAATGAAAATACAACATATCAAAATTTGTGCAACAAAAATTAACTCAAAGTAGATCATGGACTTAAATAAGAAGCTGTAAAACTTTTAGGAAAAAACTCTTTAGGATCTGGGAATAGCCAATGAGTTCTTATATTTGACACCAAACAACAAGAAAACTATCCATAAGAGAAAAAATTGATAAACTGATAAATTTTAGCCAAAATTTAAAACTTTTGTAAGACATATATCTGAGAAAATATTAGTATCTAGATTATATAAAGACTAGAGTATGTCAAAACTCAACAGTGAAAAAACAACAACAACAAAGGATCCTATTTTAAAATGGGCAAAAGACAGAAAAAGACATTTTATCAAAGAGGTTACATATTTCATTAGCCAATAGGGAAATTCATATCTAAGCCACAATGAGATAGCATTTCACATACATTAGAATAGTCAATATAAAAAAGTAGCAATATCAAATGCTGGCAAGGATGCAAAGAATCCAAACTCAGTCATACATTGCTGGTGGGAATGTAAAATAGTACAGCTACTCTGGAAACAGTTTGGCAGCTTCTTTAAAAACTAAACATGCAACTACCATATGACCCACTCACAGCACTCCTAGGCATTTATTACAGAGAAATGAAGATTTATTTTCATACAAAATCTGTATACAAATGTTTACAATATCTTTCTTTTCTTTTTTGGCAATAGCCACAAACTATGAACAACTCAGATATCCTTCAGTGGGTGAGTGGTGAAACAAACTGTGGTATACTGTGCTGTGGAGTACTACTCAGCAATAAAAAGAAACTACTGATACGTGCAACGACCTGGATGAATCTCCAGAGAATTACTCTGAGTGAAAAAAAGCCAGTCCCCAAAGGCTACATATTGTATGATTTTACTCACCTATCATTTTCAAAGTGACAAAATTATAGAAATGGAGAACAGATTAGTGGTTGCCAGGGGTTAAGGAATTGGTGAGGTAGAAGGGAGGTGAGTGTAGCTATCAAAGTGCAAGTTGAGGGATCCTTGTGGAGATGGAAAATGTTCTGGATCTTGACTGTACCAATGTCAATATCCTGTTGTGATAGTGTACCATCATTGCAAGTGTACACAATGTGATAATGTGCCACATTGCAAGATATGACCACGAGGGGAAACTGGGTAAAGGTTACATGGGATCCTTCCGTATTATTTCTTAAAACTGGTGACTCATGCCTGTAGTCCCAGCTACTCAGAAGGCTGAGGTGGGAGGATCACTGAAGCCCAGGTCGAGGCTGCAATGGGCCACTGCACTCCAGCCTGGGCAACAGAGTGAGACCTTATCTCAAAAAAAAAAAAAGTTGAATTTTCAAAAATAATATGTAATTATATCCACAAAGATAACAATACTTAACACTTAGGAGTCAACAGCAAAAACCAGAAATTACCCTTGGTAGGTTAGGCAGAAAGGAATGTAATACAGGGAATTAGATCACCACAAAATTGTCGAAAGGCCTGGAGGAGTAACATCTAGGCTGATCTTCTGGGTACAACTGCTAAATCAAGCACCACAGTATGGACACACCAAGGAAGTATCTACCTCCACGACCTGGAAGCCAGGAACCAACCAGGAGGCCACGGTACTGTCAGCCCCAGGGACCTATCAACGCAGCCACAATCCATGATAACAAAATGAATGCTCTGTACCCTCCCACAGACCCATGAGGTAGTAGCTAAGTGGGAAGCGGAAAATCCAAACCCCTCTGTGTCCTTCCCCTCACTTTCCCCTTCCAAATCTCCCAGTCACGTGCCTGGCTAAAGCCAAGTCACGTTTACAACCAAACTACAGTGGGGTCTGGGAAAGGTAGTCTTTAGCTTTTTAACCTCCAGATGTAGATTCTTTTGCCCTTCTGTCAGGGAGATGACAAGTAGTGAAAAAGCAAGCAAAACAGCAAGAAGTAATAGGTCTGCATATTCCAGAAACAAAAAGGTCCTAAGGTAACTTCATGATCCAAAGATGAATATCCAAATGTCCATCAATATTGGTAACCAAATAAACATTAAATTAAACAATACGATAGCATATTAACTTCTCAAATTAGAAAATACCAGTGTTGCTGAGAGTATAGAGAAATAAGCAAAAATTTTGCATACTCTTTATTCTAGAAATGGTACCTTTCAGGAATTAAACGTCCATACCTATAATAAATATTTGGTTACAAGGATATTTATGTTACTTACAATAGCAAAAAAAAGAACCTAAATACCAAGAAGAGGGACTGTCTAAACTATGGTACATCCATATACTGAAAAACTGTAACCATTAAGAATGATGTTGAAGAAGACTGAATGATAAGGAAAAAAAGTTATGATTTCCCAAAAAAATGTACATGAAACTCCATTTTTCACCTTCCCCCTCCACCAGAAAGTAAAAGAAATTATACAGGATAGAGAACATGTTAACAGTAAGGAGATTATGGAGATTAATATTTATTTTCTTTATGCATAGGCTATTTCCCTGAATGTTTTACTGAAAATACGTACTACTTCTGTAACCAAACGAAAAAAAAGTAGTAAGAATTTTTTTAACCAACTCATGAAGAATAGTTTCTCATAACACTAGTTTATTCTGGTAAACAGAAATAGAAATTACAAGTTATAATATTCAGTAGCCATTCCTTTGACTCTGCTTTTCTATTTTCCTTCTCCACTACCAATTTATCCAAGTTGCCACATTTGCCTACTTAATTCTGAATTTACTCACTCCATTCCATCCACTCAAACTTGCAACCTCTTGTCTCCTCATTTTCACTAAAACACTTGCCCATATGTACGTTTCTCCTGGCATATTATCCACAGCTAAGTATCAACTGGCACACTTTTCTGAGCCCTCTCTCACACAAGTTCTTAAAGAACCATTCCCAACACTTGCAAGGAAATAGGCAAACCCACAAACATAAACTTTCGTTAAGATAAAGTCAAACATAAAAAGACCAGTCTACAAGCTCATACTTAAAACTGGATACATACTCCTTACAGCCACACATTCTTACAGACTCAGGGAATCAAGGAGAGAGGTCTTTCTCTTTCATGTCAGCGTCCTCTCCATTCAACTTCATCTTTCAGTCTTCTAAGCTGAACACAGAATTGCACCTTTTGTTTCATTCCTAGAATGACAAACCTTACTCTTTCGTGGTACTGAGCACTTAAATAAATTAGTTTATACTTTTAAATGCACTCTCACTAGTCTAAAACTCTAGGTAGGAAGGGTCCCTATTTGTTTTGCTCATCTTTGTAGCCAATGCCTAAGAATACGCTCCCAGTAGCATTCAATAAGTAATGAATAAACGACTGTATTATTACTGATGCATGATTCTGTCAATACAGTCAAAGCACACACTACGTTCCCAACTTATAAGTAAGGAAAACGAGGCTGGGGCGGTTCAGCGGCGAGTCAGCGCAGACCCAGGAGGAGAGCGGGGTCTCGGAGCTGCAGGAAGTACGGTCAGCCATGCAGCGGCAGGGCTGGGGGGCATGCAAGGTTCGCGCTTTGCAGACTCTCCGTAAGGGCTAGTGTCAATAAATCGAGTTACGTGCGGTGGTGAGCGGACAAGCTAAGTTGGCATATAGTACGTGGTTCAGTCAGTATTTATGAATGACTCAAGACACAAAAATAGCTTCATAAACAGTGCTTTGCTTGAGTTTGTCCGCTCACTACCGCACGTAACTCGATCCGGAGAATTAATCCGTGGCGAATTCTCCAATAACTGCGCGCGCACAGTAAACGGAGAAGCTGAAGCTGGGAGATGAGTTGATCGTTTTACAGAAGCAACCAATAAACTCCCCAGGCCGGGACCCAAACCCACCGGAACAGCAACTGGAAACCTACATCCTTGGTGCACCAGGCCGTCCAACTCTTCAGCGGAGGCCTGCAGGTGGCGCTGATCTCACCACGTTTCCCCTCCACAGGCCAGGGGCCAGGCCTGGCTACCGGGCCCGCGACCTCATTCATCTGGCGTCCGCCGGCCCCGCGCGCCGCGCAGGCGGGGGCCGTGGCCACCAAGCCCGGGCGCAGTTTCTCTCCGCCCACGGCAGGAGCGAAGGAAGGCCCTGGCGCGAGCGGGTAAACTGCCCACCGGGCGGCCCACCCGCTGCGCCCCCGGCCCGCAAGAGGCAGTCCCAATAGGTTGGCCCGCCTGGCCGAAGTCCGCCCGGAGCCCGCTCACCTGTCAGCCCCCACTGCCGTAAGTCCTGCTCCTGCACCCGCGCCGCCTCGGCTCGGCCCTCAGTATGAAGCCGCAGTAAGAAGCCAGGGGCTTGGCCCCCGCGGCTAGTAGCGCCCGCGCGCTCCATCGGGCCGGTAGAGGCCCCGCCCCGCGCGGCCAAGCGCGCACCTCCCTCCCAACTTCCCAACGCGCGGGGGCGCGCGACTGCGCGCTGGGGCCCACCTACGAGCGAGGCGCCGCCAGAGGGCGCGTCCTGCCAAGATATCCGGAGCGGAGCTGGTGCAGTCACCCTTCCGGACAGGCAGTTCTTGCAGTGCGGAGCGTGGAAGGGCTGCCCAGTTCTCACCAGTCGTGCTTCTGAAGCGCTAGGCGTCTGATCACGCACAGGACGTCTGATTGCCTGAACTGCCCGTCAAGGAGGTGGCATGTGTTCATCATTCATTTATTATTTAATCAACATCGACTATCATGTGTCAGACACTCCGCTGGGCCCTGGGGGTTCTAGAAGTAAGACTTGTTCCGTGCCCTCCAGTGATTCACGATAAGATCAAACTGTTCTTGTTCGGTTTACCTAGTGATAAATTGATTTAGTCCCTGAAATCCCTTTCTTACTGCCTGTGACCTGTAGGCCAAAATTGGGAACCTCTGAATAGTAGTAAATTAAAATCACCAAAGACGTCATTGTGGCAGTGGGTATCTCAAGTGCATTATGGGGAGCAGATTGAGGCAATGTGTTCAGTTAGGGGTCACCGTGACTCAGCATCAGCTTTGAGTGGATTTATGATGTAGTATACCACTAATATAAATATGATAATAACAAAATAGCTGCATTTATTGATGAAGTTCTGGGTGGTGTCCTAAGGGCTTTAAGTATATTTTCTTATTTAACCTTCACAATAACCAATAATTAGGTGTTATAATTGTCCCCACATTGTAAATGAAGATATTGGGACTTGTAATGGTAATTGGCAGTACTGGAACAGGAACGATATTATTCTCTGGCTAATGTCATTAGAATAGTATTCTCATTTAGGTTAATCTTGGTGCTTCCTTCTTCAGTAAACTCATGTTAAATTTGTACCCTCCATTCTCATCTTCCTCTAAAATAAAAGGGAGAAATTTGTTCTGAGCTAGAAAAGGGATGACTTCAGATTGGTTTATTCATAAAAACTCAAGCAAAGCACTGTTTTATGAAGCTATTTTTGTGTCTTGAGTCATTCATAAATACTGACTTTCATGCGCGTCCGTGTGAAGAGACCACCAAACAGGCTTTGTGTGAGCAATAAAGCTGTTTATTTCACCTGGGTGCAGGTGGGCTGAGTCCGAAAAGAGTCAGCGAAGGGAGATAGGGGTGGGGTCGTTTTATAAGATTTGGGTAGGTAAAGGAAAATTACAGTCAAAGGGGGTTTGTTCTGTGGCGGGCAGGAGTGAGAGGTCACAAGGTGCTCGGTAGGGGAGCTTTTTGAGCCAGGATGAACCAGGAAAAGGACTTTCACAAGGTAATGTCATTACTTAAGGCAAAGACGGGCCATTTAAACTTCTTTTGTGGTGGAATGTCATCAGTTAAGGCAGGAACCAGCCATCTGGATGTGTACGTGCAGGTCACAGGGGATATGATGGCTTAGCTTGGGCTCAGAGGCCTGACACTGACTGAATTACATACTATGTGCCAAGCACTCTATGGTACTGAAGATAGAGGCCACTTATCTCCTGGATCTTACATTTTAAAAGGAGGAGACAAGCAATAAATAAAAATCAGGTAGTGAAGGGGTGGCCTGCCCCTCCACACTTGTGGGTATTTCTCGTCGGGTGGAATGAGAGACTTAAGAAAAAAAAGAGACACAGAGACAAAGTATAGAGAAAGAAAAGTGGGCCCAGGGAACCGGCGCTCAGCATACAGAGGACCTGCGCTGGCACCAGCCTCAGTTCCCTTAGTATTTATTGATCATTATCGGGCATTTCTCAGAGAGTGGGATGTGGCAGGACAATAGGGTAATAGTGGAGAGACGGTCAGCATGAAAACATGTGAACAAATGTCTCTGCATCATAAACAAGGTAAAGAAAAAAGTCCTGTGCTTTTGATGTGCATACACATAAACATCTCAATGCCTTAAAGAGCAGTATTGCTGCCCACATGTCCCACCTCCAGGCCTAAGGTGGTTTTCTCCTATCTCAGTCAATGGAATATACAATCGGGTTTTACACCGAGACATTCCATTGCCCAGGGATGAGCAGGAGACAGATGCCTTCCTCTTATCTCAACTGCAAAGAGGCCTTCCTTTCTCTTTTACTAATCCTCCTCAGCACAGACCCTTTATGGGTGTCAGGCTGGGGGACGGTCAGGTCTTTCCCTTCCCACAAGGCCATATTTCAGGCTATCACATGGGGAGAAACCTTGGACAATAACTGGCTTTCCTAGGCAGAGGTCCCTGCGGCCTTCCGCAGTGTATTGTGTCTCTGGGTACTTGAGATTAGGGAGTGGACTCTTAACAAGCATGCTGCCTTCAAGCATTTGTTTAACAAAGCACATCCTGCACAGCCCTGAATCCATTTAACCTTGAGTGGACACAGCCCATGTTTCAGGGAGCACAGGGTTGGGGGTAGGGTTACAGATTAACAGCATCTCAAGGCAGAAGAATTTTTCTTAGAACAGACCAAAATGGAGTCTCTTATTTCTACTTCTTTCTACACAGACACAGTAGCAGTCTGAGCTCTCTTTCTTTTCCCCACAAGGTAGGATTAATGCTAAGACAAAAGTAAAACACAATCGCATAATGGGGCAATAGTAATTTTGTACAGCAGCTTTCCTGCTTGGGTGTTTTCTCAAAACAAACCTGAAGAGAGATTTATATCCTTTGGTGGCTTCTCCAGAGGGACCTCTGTCCTATGTGGCTGCTCATGAGTGGTTTTTGCATCTTGGTCTCCATGTATGACTTATTTCCTCTCCTCTAGATTCTACCAGTAGACTTATCTGCTAAAGCAGCCATATCAAGCACTTGCCACTTAAATATAAGCCTGTTTATTATTTTTAACTTAAAGTACATTTGTTGTAACAGAATACCAGATGATAGAGTCCTAGCTATAAGCCAGGTAGACTGTTGGTATACTAAGTCTGGTACCTAAAATACAGCTAAGAAAGGTAGCTGAGAGACTCCAGGTCTGCCAGTGAGGTGACACATAGAAAAGTTTTGCTCTGAATACTGTATGAAGAGATCTGTAGATGATCAGGATGGAAGGAAGGAGGCAGTTTGGAAACTATTGCAGTAGTCTGGGCAAGAGTTGATAGTTTTGGGGCCAGCATGGTGATAGTGGAGTGGTGAGTAGTGGTCTGCTACTAGATCTATTGAAAAGATAGAGCCTATAGGATTCACTGATTGAGCATCTGGGAGAAATGAAGAAGCAAAGGTTGGGTTCAGGGATGTGGCCCGAGCAACTGGTGGGATGTGTTGGATTTGTACAAACAGTGCTGGGCACATAGTGTTGTACTTGAGCGAGTTAGAGAGAACGCCACACTTTGAGACGAATTAAGAGTCTGTTTATTTAGCCAGCGGCTGAGAGATGGCTAACGCTCAAAGTTCTCTTGGCCCTGAAGAAGGGGCTAGATTTTCTTTTATACTTTGGTTTAGAAAGGGGAGGGGGGGTCTAGTTAAAACAATTTTCCAGAAGTAAAGTAGGCAGAAAGTTAAAAGGATAAATGATTACCAGAAAGTAAACAGTTCTAGGTGCAGGGGCTTTAAGACTCTTACAAACTGATAGACGTGGGGCTTTGGGCGTTATCAATTGGACGAATTCCTGGGAACTGCGGATATTGCTCGCCACAGTATTTTATCAGTTAATTGAATTCTTGGATGTTCTGGGAGTCAGCTTGCACAAGTTATGTCTTTGAGGAAGGGGCTGCCAGTGAAAGAGCCAAGATGAAGTCTGTCTGGCTCTCTTAGCTAAGGGACAGTCAATTCAGGTGGAAACAAGGCTAGGTGATTAAAGGAAAGAGAGAATCTAAAAACAGGGTTAGTAAAAACAAGGTTAGGCATTACAATAGTATGCCCTCAATAAATATTGTTGAATGTTTGAATGAGGTGCCTGTGGAACAATTTTAAAATCTAGGGCATATGATTGTTATAACTTTGAAGTACAGAGAGTGCATTTCACAGATGGGCAAACCAAGGCACAGAAAGTTTAGGAAGCTGGTCCAGTGTTTTCTGTGAGTCGTGATTAACTCCCAGAATAAAATTTAGCCTCAACTCATTTTTCATTCATTGTTCAGGTTATACAATCATGCTGTTTTTGTTAATTGTTTTATTCCTCCACAGAAAGGATATGTCCTTTGGCAACAGCAACTCCATAAGATTAATGCTAACCAACTAACACTGTCAGTGGGACTTAGCATGTGCAGACATTACCAAAACAAGCATGGATTAAGCACAGATTAAGAAACAAATTATGTTTGCTGTTTGTTGTATCCTTGCTCTGTTAGGTAACATCAGGGCACCAGTTAGAAGCACCTAGTGAGTCAGATACGGAAATTGGATAAAAGCTGTGACCAAAGTAAACATTTATTCAGACCTCTTGAGTAAATGAACTTGGAACTTTGAGCTTAGGTTAGAATTAGGTCCGTGCCCATGGGTGGAAGATTTTTGTGCTGGGATGAAAAACACTTAACTTGGGTTTTCTTTCTTGCAAGAAATGAAAAACTGTGTTTTGACTTTTGATGCCAGTATACCTCTTTGTCATGAAATAACATGTAATAAATTTAGAACCCAGAAAGCCAGGGAAAATATACCACAGTATAGAAGTATAGAAAAAAAGTAAGTTGGTTTCACAGGACTCTTGCCCAGTCACCTCAGAGAATTGCCACTCCCTTTTACTATCAAAGGTAAGGTTGTAAAATAGTAATATTATCAAGTTAATCTTTGAGAACATAGTTTAGAAATTGTAGGCATCAAAATTTGCCCACGGTCTTTTTGCTTGAAAGGACAGTGTTTTCCTTTTTAACTGGATGCCTTTTGACTGTCATGCCATGCCATCACATTGGTCACCCAGAATTTCATTCTTTATGTTCTCCAACCAGCAGTGTAACGTTTATGCAATCTGCCCAGCTAGTCCCTGAAGGCTTTTGAGTTTGCCAAACTGGAAATTTAACTTTTGTGACATATTGATGGCAGTGACGGCCTATCTAGAGCAGCTGCTGTCATGATGCCACTTGCAATGGGGGTGGCACACCAGGGCTGCCAGCTCCATGGAGCTGGGGGAACCAGGAACAGGTGGAGGCCCTGCCTCCTTCTGAGTTGGCAGGGCAGGAGCTTCCTGCTCCCCAGGTACAGCTGTGGCTGCCCAGCTGCAGCTGCAGACCTGGGCATCCCTGTGCTCTTTGGGGCTAAAAGCAGGCAGGAGCCCTACCCTCTCAGGCACAGCTGCAGCTGCCTGAGTCATGTCCACCAACTCGGCCTCCCTGTGCTCTTGGGTTCCTGGAGCAGGCAGGAGCCCCACCCTCCTGGGTGCAGCTATAGCTGCTCAAACCACAGCTGCAGACCTGGGCATCTCTGCACTCTTGGGGGCCCTGTAAGACCTCCCACCCCATTCCTGCAGGCTAAGAAGTGTCTCCTCCCATTGCCTGGCCTCTTTCTGCTCCCAGCACCCACTCCATTCCCAGAGCAAGGTTGGAGCTGAGGCTGGGTGCTATTGCAGCCTGGCCAGGTGTGCACCCACTCCAGGCAGCACTGACACATGGCTTTGGCCCCCTCAGGACTTTGGGTGCCAGCATGGGAGGGAGGCCAAGGGGGTGCTGGGGCAGCTCAGCCTCTGTGCTTGCCTGCAGGTGCCCCTTTGCACAAACAGTTTGGGTGCTGTGAATGCCAGCAGGAGGCAGTCTCCTGGGTGGAAGGGAGCAGGTCACCGGTGAAGACCTACCCTCAAGCTGGGGAGGGCCTGAAGCCTGGAGGCTGGGCTGCTGGTCCCAAAAACCAGAGTGAGAACTTGTGTTTTATCTGGGTGCCTATGGACCAGTTGGCGCACACTTCCTCTCCTCTGAGGCCTGTAAAAGCCCCAGACTCAGCCAGACTTGAGACAGTGGGATAACCAGCCGCAGAGAGGAGCTACCCACCCCAGGGTCTACTCTCTGCTAAGAGCTGAGTTGACAATGATGACCTGCCAGCTGTGGAGAGGAGCTGCTTACTCCAGGGTCTCCTCTCTGTGAGAGCTAAGCAGACATTGGGACAACCAACTGCAGAGAGGAGCTACCCACTCCAGGGTCTCCTCTCTGCTGAGAACTGAACACTCAATGGGACAACCTGCCTGTGGAGAGGAACTATCCAATGTGGGTCTCCTCTGAGCTGTTCTGTCACTCAATAAAGTTTCTCTTCACCTTGCTTACCCTCCACTTGTCAACTTACATCATTCTACTTGGACGCAGGACAAGAACTCAGGACCCGCCAAATGGTGGAGCTAAAAGAGTTGTAACACAAACAGGGCTGAAACATGCCCATTGCTTGCCACATTGTGGGCAACAAGAAGGAGAGAAGAGAGAAGGAGAGAGGAGCTGCAGCCCTTTGGGAAGCCCAGACCTAGGAGCTCACTGAGCCAGGGCTGTGACACCCTCTTTGGGGCTCTTTAGCTCTTGGCATCTCCAAGCTTCCAGGCACCACTGCATTCTCCAGTGCCAGCCATGAAATCTGCTTGTGGCACCCCTGGTCCAGCTGGAGCCTCACAGGGAGTCAGTGCCCATACTGGCACCTGGAGCTGCCTGCCTTGCCACAGCTGGCATGCCTGGCTGTGCATAGTGGCTGGACCTCATATTTGCTCACACACCCCTCTCTGCTCTGCATCTGGCTGGCCCTTGGCTGGCATGGGATCCAGGCTGGTAGCATGAGCCATGTGCAGCCTGCCAGGCTGAATGGACCAAACAAGCCCAATAGGCTTGAGCAAAACTTGTGCAAAAGTACCAATGGCCACAGAGGTTTCTGTCTCACAAAGCAACACCCCAAGAATCCCGTGACAATATTTCCATGTAGGGGACAGGTTGTCTCAATAATATACCATAGGAAGCCAAAATGTTTCTCATGATTCACCCTACTCTAAAATATTTTTAGGCAATGTAAAATTATGACCCTAAGAACTCTCTATGACCTTCTTCTTCCTCTGATTGACAAGAATCCAAAGCCATTTTTTTTACCCTAACCCTATAAAGCCTGGGTTTTAGTTTTGAAAAATGAGCATACCTATTCTGGGTTCTGTTGCACATGTATCTATCCCTGAGGCACAGTTATAACTTTGATGCAAGGGGGTTCCCCACCTCTATCCCCTCAAATTGCTCAAAAATGGCATGTCTAATTAGGCTTCCTAATTAGAGGGTTTTAACAATCAGAGTGCTTCTGAAAGGCCCATAATGCATAGTGAATTATGAGGATAATAGTAGCTATCCTATAATGCTGTTGTAAAAATTAAATGAAAATTTTTTCACAAGAAACTAAATACAAATTTGAATGTCCAAGGTATTACGAAGGACTGAAAATCTTCACTTGGGAATGAGCCTGGGGATCACTCAAGTATCCACATCTCATCAGTGGAGAATTAAGAAATTGGAAGTTATCCCTCATTATTGAGGTTCCATGGTAATCTCATTTGCTTGGGGTGTCTACAGGCATAGTGTTTTCCCCATATGTGTGGCCCACAGATATGGGTCATAAAAGTAAACAGAAATACACACACACATACACACACACACACACACACACACACACACACACAGTGTGGGATATCTACTCCATGGTGGGCTCTAACCAGCTTTGATAGATTGTATTACTGTTCCTAACTATCCACTTTCTCCCCACAAGATGGTTATACATTTATGCCCTTAGTCATGTGACTTGCAGTGCTTCCTAATAGGAAGAACCCCTGTGATTTGCCTTGGACAGTGGAATATGAGTGGATGTGATTTACCCTAGTATATAAGTTGAAGCTTTAAATGTGCTTGCCCAAATTATTCCTACCCTCTGCCATGGAAACTATACAAATGAAATAAGGGCCATGCTGGTTAAAATCTTTCATAATTTTTTCATGTCAGTATAAATTCATCTCATTAAATATAATATGTAATATAGTCCTTCCCCATCTTGATGAACGTTTATGAAGTCATTTCAAATTTTTCACTATTACTCCATAAATATAGACAATTGTTATTTGTCCATTCAAAATAAATTAGTAAAAACATTTTTAAGTTAGAAAACAAAATAATTTTTTACAATTAATGCTGACTAATACTTGAACTCCAACTACATGCCAGGCCACGTGTGGGCACTTTACATGTGTTATAACATCCACAGGTTCTGCGGCTTAGGACATGGATGTCTTTGGGGACGATGTTTTCAGCCTACCATGATGGCTGTGATTTATCTCCTCATCTTTTTTAGATATGCACTTTCTCTTCCTCCTCTCTGGGTAACAAAGTACCTAGCACATAGCAGGCATAGAATGGATGCTGTTGGGGTGATCAGACCCAACACCAGATCCTGGGGGTGACAAAGTCCGGTAGAGTCAAAGGATTGAGAAAACCACAGTTTGAGAAGTAAAGTGGGAGCAGGGGGCCATCACAATTGTGGAGGCTGCGAAGGCTCCGAGCTCTGGGAGCCCACGCTGTTTATTGGTAATCCAACAGAGAATCAGGTGGTGAGAATGTGGGGGTCAAAAGAGCAGGCTCATGATCTACAGCTGTGACGGTTTAGCATTTATTTATTTATTTTTTTTATTGATCATTCTTGGGTGTTTCTCGCAGAGGGGGATTTGGCAGGGTCATAGGACAATAGTAGAGGGAAGGTCAGCAGATAAACAAGTGAACAAAGGTCTCTGGTTTTCCTAGGCAGAGGGCCCTGCCGCCTTCCGCAGTGTTTGTGTCCCTGGGTACTTGAGATTAGGGAGTGGTGATGACTCTTAACGAGCATGCTGCCTTCAAGCTTCTGTTTAACAAAGCACATCTTGCACCGCCCTTAACCCATTTAACCCTGAGTGGACACAGCACATGTTTCAGAGAGCACAGGGTTGGGGGTAAGGTCACAGATCAACAGGATCCCAAGGCAGAAGAATTTTTCTTAGTACAGAACAAAATGAAAAGTCTCCCATGTCTACTTCTTTCTACACAGACACGGCAACCATCCGATTTCTCAATCTTTTCCCCACCTTTCCCCCCTTTCTATTCCACAACCGCCATTGTCATCATGGCCTGTTCTCAATGAGCATGTTGGGTGCACCTCCCAGACGGGGTGGTGGCCGGGCAGAGGGGCTTCTCACTTCCCAGTAGGGGCGGCCGGGCAGAGGCGCCCCTCACCTCCCGGATGGGGCGGCTGGCCGGGCGGGGGGCTGACCCCCCCCACCTCCCTCCCGGACGGGGCGGCTGGCCGGGCGGGGGGGCTGACCCCCCACCTCCCTCCCGGACGGGGCGGCTGGCCGGGCGGGGGGCTGACCCCCCACCTCCCTCCCGGACGGGGCGGCTGGCCTGGCAGGGGCTGATCCCCACCTCCCTCCTGGATGGGGTGGCTGCTGGGCGGAGACGCTCCTCACTTCCCAGACGGGGCGGCTGCCGGGCGGAGGGGCTCCTCACTTCTCAGATGGGGCAGTTGCCAGGCGGAGGGTCTCCTCACTTCTCAGACGGGGCGGCTGGGCAGAGACGTTCTTCACCTCCCAGACGGGGTCGCAGCCGGGCAGAGGCGCTCCTCACATCCCAGATGGGGCGGCGGGGCAGAGGCACTCCCCACATCTCAGACGATGGGCGGCCGGGCAGAGACGCTCCTCACTTCCTAGATGGGATGGCGGCCGGGAAGAGGCGCTCCTCACTTTCCAGACTGGGCAGCCAGGCAGAGGGGCTCCTCATGTCCCAGACGATGGGTGGCCAGGCAGAGATGCTCCTCACTTCCCAGATGGGGTGGCGGCCAGGCAGAGGCTGCACTTTCGGCACTTTGGGAGGCCAAGGCAGGCGGCTGGGAGGTGGAGGTTGTAGCGAGCCGAGATCACGCCACTGCACTCCAGCCTGGGCACCATTGAGCACTGAGTGAACCAGACACCATCTGCAATCCCGGCACCTCCAGAGGCCGAGGCTGGCATATCACTCACGGTTAGGAGCTGGAGACCAGCCCGGCCAACACAGCGAAACCCCATCTCCACCAAAAAAATACGAAAACCAGTCAGGCGTGGCGGCGCGTGCCTGCAATCGCAGGCACTCGGCAGGCTGAGGCAGGAGAATCAGGCAGGGAGGTTGCAGTGAGCCAAGATGGCAGCAGTACAGTCCAGCTTCGGCTCGGCATCACAGGGAGACCATGGAAAGAGAGGGAGAGGGAGACCATGGGGAGAGGGAGAGGGAGAGGGAGAGGTTGAGGTTTAGCATTTATATGGAACATGTTCTGCTACTTGAGATAATGGGAATACAACCGCTCTAGGAGCTTGGAGGGCTAGAAGCAAGGATCCAGCAAGTCTACACACATTCCAGAGGACATTATGTCAGACATGCAAGCCCTGCCTCAGCTTTCTTCCCAACACTCAGCTTTTTCCCAACAGACACTGTGCTAGAAATGACTCTTGGACTAGTCAGGATTGACTTATTAAGGTTTACTACTGAACAAATAGCTCTCCACATTTTAATTCAGCAAAAAGTATATTTCTCACTCATGTCACAGTCCAATGCTTGTCAGCCACCTTTCCTTTGCAGCCCTCCCTCAAGATTCAAGCCTATTCTATCTTACAAAGATGCCATTTAAAAGTGGCCTCTGGGGGGTGGAGCCAAGATGGCTGAATAGGAACAGCTCTAGTTTACAGCTCCCAGCATGAGCGAAGCAGAAGACAGGTGATTTTTGCATTTCCAACTGAGGTACTGGGTTCATCTCACTGGGGAGTGTCAGAAAGTGGGTGCAGGACAGTGGGTGCAGTGCACTGACCATGAACTGAAGCAGGGCGAGGCATCGCCTCACCCGGGAAGCACAGGAGGTCAGGGAATTCCCTTTGCTAGTCAAAGAAAGGGGCGACAGACAGCACCTGGAAAATTGGGTCACTCCCACCCTAATACTGCGCTTTTCCAATGGTCTTAGCGAACGGCACACCAGGAGATTATATCCCATGCCTGGCTCCGAGGGTCCTACACCCACAGAGTCTCACTGATACAGGAGCACCCAGATTCATAAAGCAAGTCCTTAGAGACCTACAAAGAGACTTAGCTCCCACACAATAATAATGGGAGACTTTAACACCCCACTGTCAACATTAGACAGATCAATGTGACACAAAATTAACAAGGATATACAGGAATTGAACTCAGCTCTGCACCAGGTGGACTTAATACACATCTACAGAACTCTCCACCCCAAATCAACAGAATATACATTCTTTTCAGCACCACACCACACCTATTCCAAAATTGATCACATAGTTGGAAGCAAAGCACTCCTCAGCAAATGTAAAAGAACAGAAATTATAACAAACTGTCTCTCAGACCACAGTGCAATCAAACTAGAACTCAGGATTAAGGAACTCACTCAAAACCGCTCCACTACATGGAAACTGAACAACCTGTTCCTGAGTGACTACTGGGTACATAACGAAATGAAGGTAGAGATAAAGAGGTTCTTTGAAACCAACGAGAACAAAGACACAGTGTACCAGAATCTCTGGGACACACTGAAAGCAGTGTGTAGAGGGAAATTTATAGCACTAAATGCCCACAAGAGAAAGCAGGAAAGATCTAAAATTGACACCCTAACGTCACAATTAAAAGAACTAGAGAAGCAAGAGCGAACACATTCAAAAGCTAGCAGAAGGCAAGAAATAACCAAAATCAGAGCAGAACTGAAGGAAATAGAGACACAAAAAACCCTTCAAAAAATCAATGAATCCAGGAGCTTTTTTTTTGAAAAGATAAACAAAATTGATAGACTGCTAGCAAGACTAATAAAGAAGAAAAGAGAAGAATCAAATAGATGCAATAAAAATGATAAAGGGGATATCACCACCAATCCCACAGAAATACAAACTACCATCAGAGAATACTATAAACACCTCTACACAAATAAACTAGAAAATCTAGAAGAAATGGATAAATTCCTCAACACATACACCCTCCCAAGACTAAACCGGGAAGAAGTTGAATCTCTGAATAGACCGATAACAGGCTCTGAAATTGAGGCAATAATTAATAGCTTACCAACCAAAAAAAGTCCAGGACCAGATGGATTCACAGCCGAATTCTACCAGAGGTACAAGGAGGAGCTGGGACCATTCCTTCTGAAACTATTCCAATCAATAGAAACAGAAGGAATCCTCCCTAACTCATTTTATGAGTCCAGGATCATCCTGATACCCAAAGCCTGGCAGAGACACAAGAAAAAAAGAGAATTCTAGACCAATAGCCCTCATGAACATCGACACAAAAATCCTCAATAAAATACTGGCAAACTGAATCCAGCAGCACATCAAAAAGCTTATCCACCATGATCAAGTGGGCTTTATCCCTGGGATGCAAGGCTGGTTCAACATATGCAAATCAATTAATGTAATCCAGCATACAAACAGAACCAAAGACAAAAACCACATGATTATCTCAATAGATGCAGAAAAGGCCTTTGACACATCAACAGCCCTTCATGCTAAAAACTCTCAATAAATTAAGTACTGATGGGACATATCTCAAAATAATAAGAGCTATTTATGACAAAACCACAGCCAATATCGCACTGAATGGGCAAAAACTGGAAGCATTCCCTTTGAAAACTGGCACAAGACAGGGATGCCCTCTCTCACCACTCCTATTCAACATATTGTTGGAAGTTCTGGCCAGGGCAATGAGGCAGGAGAAGGAAATAAAGGGTATTCAATTAGGAAAAGAGGAAGTCAAATTGTCCCTGTTGGCAGAAGACATGATTGTATATCTAGAAAACCCCATTGTCTCAGCCCAAAATCTCCTTAAACTGATGAGCAACTTCAGCAAAGTCTCAGGATACAAAATCAATGCACAAAAATCACAAGCATTCTTATACACCAATAACAGACAAACAGAGAGCCAAATCATGAGTGAACTCCCATTCACAATTGCTTCAAAGAGAATAAAATACCTAGGAATCCAACTTACAAGGGATGTGAAGTACCTCCTCAAGGAGAACTACAAACCACTGCTCAATGAAATAAAAGAGGATACAAAGAAATGGAAGAACATTCCATGCTCATGGGTAGGAAGAATCAATATCATGAAAATGGCCATACTGCCCAAGGTAATTTATAGATTAAATGCCATCCCCATCAAGCAACCAATGACTTTCTTCACAGAACTGGAAAAAACTACTTTAAAGTTCATATGGAACCAAAAAAGAGCCCGCATCGCCAAGTCAATCCTAAGCCAAAAGAACAAAGCCGGAGGCATCACGCTACCTGACTTCAAACTATACTACAAGGCTACAGTAACCAAAACAGCATGGTACTGGTACCAAAACAGAGATATAGATCAATGGAACAGAACAGAGCCCTCAGAAATAATGCCGCATATCTACAACCATCTGATCTTTGACAAACCTCACAAAAACAAGAAATAGGGAAAGGATTCCCTATTTAATAAATGGTGCTGGGAAAACGGGCTAGCTGTATGTAGAAAGCTGAAACTGGATCCCTTCCTTACACCTTATAAAAAATTAATTCAAGATGGATTAAAGACTTACATGTTAGACCTAAAACCATAAAAACCCTAGAAGAAAACCTAGGCAATACCATTCAGGACATAGTCATGGGCAAGGACTTCATGTCTAAAACACCAAAAGCAATGGCAACAAAAGCCAAAATTGGCAAATGGGATCTAATTACACTAAGGAGCTTCTGCACAGCAAAAGAAACTACCATCAGAGTGAACAGGCAACCTACCGAATGGGAGAAAATTTTTGCAATCTACTCATCTGACAAAGGGCTAATATCCAGAATCTACAATGAACTCAAACAAATTTACAAGAAAAAAACAAACAACCCCATCAAAAAGTGGGCAAAGGAAATGAAGAGACACTTCTCAAAAGAAGATGTTTATGCAGCCAAAAACACATGAAAAAATGCTCATCATCACTGGCCACCAGAGAAATACAAATCAAAACCACAATGAGATACCATCTCACACCAGTTAGAATGGGGATCATTAAAAAGTCAGGAAACAACAGGTGCTGGAGAGGATGTGGAGAAATAGGAACACTTTTACACTGTTGGTGGGACTGTAAACTAGTTCAACCATTGTGGAAGTCAGTGTGGCGATTCCTCAGGGATCTAGAACTAGAAATACCATTTGACCCAACCATCCCATTACTGGGTATATACCCAAAGGATTATAAATCATGCTGCTATGAAGACATATACACATGTAAGTTTATTGTGGTAGTATTCACAGTAGCAAAGACTTGAAACCAAGCCAAATGTCCAACAATGATAGACTGGATTAAGAAAATGTGGCACATATACACCATGGAATACTATGTAGCCATAAAAAATGATGAGTTCATGTCCTTTGTAGGGACATGGATAAAGCTGGAAACCATCATTCTCAGCAAACTGTTGCAAGGACAAAAAACCAAACACCGCATGTTCTCAGTCATAGGTGGGAATTGAACAATGAGAACACATGGAGACAGGAAGGGGAACATGACACACTGGGGCCTGTTGTGGGGTGGGGGGCTGGGGAAGGGATAGCATTAGGAGATATACCTAATATTAAATGATGAGTTAATGGGTGCTGCACACCAACATGGCACATGTATGCATATGTAACTAACCTGCACGTTGTGCACATGTACCCTAAAACTTAAAGTATGATAAAAAAAAAAAAGTGGCCTCCATGGAGCTTGCAGTGAGCCAAGATCGCACCACTTGCACTCCAGCCTGGGCGACAGAGTGAGGCTCCATCTCAAAACAAAGGGGGCCTCCAAAAGAGACTGTTTGCTGAATGAATATGGGCAAAATGCAAACGTAATAGAAAGAATTAGAAAACAGGGTAGCATCTGAGTAGAGGTGAGACTGTATTGTTTGAAAGCTCTTTCTGGGTTGGACCTTTGCAGAAACTCTGCAAACCCAGTTCCACATGCATGTGCATCCATACACATACACTCCTTCAAAAGCCTCATATGTTATCTTGGAATTAGTTGTTCTTATTTCTCACTCATAATATTGCTGTCTAGTAATAGCATGAGTAACTGAGTTGAGTCTGTATATTAATTTGGATGTATCAAGTTATTTTTCAATGAAGAAATTGACTTACTTGCAAATTGTCAGCTAGGCAAGAGAGAGAACATTTGAGTCAAGGTTTAAAACATTGTATAAGTAATTTTAATACAACACAAAACATATTTGCTATATTCAAAAGCAATTAATTATAAGACACAATTGAAGTAGGGGGACATTAAAATAAAATTACATTGTTAACTACATTTTAAAAGTAATTCTTGCATTATTTGTAAAACTGATTCAGTAGGAGGAAATTAATACTCAGTTTATAAAAGTATTCATGTTTTCCTTTAGGCATTTCTTCTAGTGCATTCAAAATTATCCAATTTACAAGTAATTCATTTTAAGTTAACTTCTAGCATATAAAATGGTTGTGTTGAAACACTGTCTTCAGAATTTTATTTTTAAAAGATACTATTTTAGTATAAATTCACATTTATAGTTGAATGCTTTTGTGAAAGATATTAGTCTTTAAAATATTTTACAGGCTGGCCTTGTTGGCTCATGCCTGTAATCCCAGCACTTTGGGAGGCCAAGGCAGGTGGATCACTTGAGCCCAGGAGTTCAAGACCAGCTTGAGCAACATAGTGAAACCTCATTTCTACAAAAAATACAAAAATTACCAGGTGTGGTGGCACACAGCTGTAGTCCCTACTCAGAAGGCTGAGGTGGGAGGGTAGATTGAGCCCAGGAGATAGAGGCTGCAGTGAGCCATGATTGCACCACTGCACTCCAGCCCAAGTGCCAGAGTGAGACCCTGTTTCAAAAAAAAAAAAGTTCGACAGTTCCAAAACACATTAATGTTAATTAGAGTCTGCTAAGTTGCTATAAATACAACAAAAAATTCAATGGCACAAACAAAATATCAGTTGCCTCTCATGAAAAAGTCCAAGATTAGCAGGTGCAGATTGGAAGAGCAAAATTGACTCAGGGAGTGGTAGAAGGAGAGCAAGGATCCAAGGCATGAGCCACAATCCATGCCTCTTACAACCCCTCACATCTGTCAAATAGAACCCTTGTCTGGATGGGCCCTTGTTCTAACCCAGTGCCTGAAATCTTGTATCTGTTATATTGGTGGTTCTACATGACTTTATATTTGAAAAGTTACATTTTAGAAGTGGATATTTTGTATTTTTGGTTACTAATATAACTGTGTGAAAGCACTATTAAAAATACTTTTATTTCGTTAAAATTACCTGTTTATGTTTTGGTCTCCTCCACTAATCTGTAAGCCCCTCTGAGTAGGAAACAATACATTCCTCACTATACTCCAGCACTCAGCTCAGTGCATGGGGATTTAAAAGTAAATTTCTTCCAGAAGTGTAGATTCTTAGATCCAGATTGTGAGGAGGGGAGGAGAGAGGTATAGGTGAGCCGGGGGCGGAAGTGGGGGCAGGATCATCTTAAGGAAGGAGACCACTGCTACTACTGCTGCCCTCCTCCCACCACCTTGCCTCGTTCACAAGACAGGAGGAGAGAAAAAGCAAAAAGTTGGAAAAAAAAAAAAGTAAGATAAATTGCCAGACAACCTTGGCACCACCACCCGGCCCTAGGAGTTAAAAAAAGTAATAATAATAACATCAACCCCTGACCTAAACTACTTGTGTTATCTGTGAATTCCTGACACTGTATGAAAAAAGCATTGTAGCCCCCAGTCACGTTTCCCACTCTTGTTTGATGTATCACGACCCTTTCACGTGGACCCCTTAAAGTTGTAAGCCTTTAAAAAGGCCAAAAATTTCTTTTTCGGGGAGCTCGGCTCTTAAGACGCGAGTCTGCCGACGCTCCCGGCCGAATAAAAACCTCTTCCTTCTTTAATTCGGTGTCTGAGGAGTTTTGTCTGTGGCTCATCCTGCTACAATCTGTTTGAACAGATCACCTGAAAGGTAGGTGTTCATTTAAGCATTTGGAGTAGAACTGGCTTTGGGGTTGTTGACAGTTTTCCCTTCACTAGGAAGTGTTTGTCACTTTAAGGCAAAAACCAGGAAGTTAAAAGTGGATGCAGAAGCGAGCACAGACGGGGCTAGGGGTTTCAGAGAAAGTAATTGAGAGTGCTGGCAACAGCAGCTGAAATATAGAGAAGTTGTAGGATTAACTTTTTCGCCCAAAGCAGCTTCAGCCCACGTTTTATTCCCATCGAGGGAGGGAGAATGGGTGCCGCTGAGTGGGCGGGGGAGTGGTCCCTGAAAGGAGGTGGAGTGCTACAGCCCCTCCCCGTTGGCTCTCGCTGTTTGTCCGTTGTTGGTTTATAGTAATTTGACAACAGCCGCCTGTTGAGTCTCCTCCAGATCGCAGCTGAAGGATCTGTTGAGCGCTTCAGGAAAGGCGGTGAGATCCGGTACCGCAGCAGAGCACTCTCAGCTCTGGGTCTTGCAGGCGCAGGGCTCCCCCATGCCAGCAGAAAGATTTCCTCTGGTGAAGAGGACCGTCGAATCTGTCCTCCTCAAGACACCTCTTGTACAGAATTTATTCGAATGCCACGGCCAAGGTCTTCCTTGAAAAATGTTAACCGATGTGTGCTTTTTGTCTTTTGTCATCCTTTCTTTAGGACAGGCGACACTAACAGGTGAAGATCTCGGGAGACCATGACTAAGAAAAGAATTGCTGTGATTGGGGGAGGAGTGAGCGGGCTCTCTTCCATCAAGTGCTGCGTAGAAGAAGGCTTGGAACCTGTCTGCTTTGAAAGGACTGATGACATCGGAGGGCTCTGGAGGTTCCAGGTACATACATCTCCTAGTCCCTTAATACTTGAAACCCTCCCTGCAACTAGGTGCATACGACAGTTTATCTTAACAGTGTCAGGTGGCCGGGCGCGGTTGGCACACGCCTGTAATCCTAGCACTTTGGGAGGCCGAGGCGGGCGGATCACGAGGTCAGGCGATCGAGACCATCCTGGCTAACACGGTGAAACCTCGTCTCTACTAAAAATGCAAAAAAATTAGCCGGGCGTGGTGGCGGGTGCATGTAGTCCCAGCTACTCGGGAGGCTAAGGCAGGAGGATGGGGTGAACTTGGGAGGCAGAGCTTGCAGTGAGCCGAGATCGCCCCACTGCACTCCAGCCTGGGTGACAGAGCAAGACTCCGTCTCAAGGAAAAAAATTAAAAAAAGATAGTTAAACTTATTATATTCCAAAGAATACCAGCCACCTTTATTGATCTCCAAACTGACATGCATTGGATTTGCTGGGTTTGCTTTTATTTTTACATTTTTTGAAGGAGAATTTTTATTCTTTTTATTTACAGAAAATTCAGCAGTGTACATTTAACCCAGTTTAGTGGCAACTTCTTTCACCTTTCCCTTTTCCACTTTGGTGATTCAAACCCACAGATTTAGGACCCAGGACATTGCCTCCCCATTGGCAGCGAATCTCATCATATCTGTCCATGTAATTGGTTCTGAAAACTGCCACCAACTTAGCCACACCTCCTTTGTCTTCCTAGTGAACCTGTGTGAAGGCAACGTCGTGCAGGTCTTCCTGTGGACTAGACATCCCAATCTTACCTCACCCTTGATAATGCAGTAAGGGACCCCCATTTTGGGACACAGGGCAGGCAGGAAGACAACCAGCTCGATGGGATCCGCATCGTGTGCAATCACCACCAGCTGAGTCTTCTTGTTCTCCACCAAGGTGGTGATTGTGTTAACCCCTGCTGGAAAGACGGGTGGTGTCTCGATGGGGGTATCCCCTTTGCTAGCAGCTTTCTTCTCAGTCCAGGACAACAGTCTCTGCTTCTTCTCTTGTTTTGTCTCTGGTCTGTGCTTGTGGGCCCGCGTAAGCAGTCAGTAGCTGTTTGGCAGTGCGAAGCCTGGGTGAACTGGTTAATGGCAGGAAGTGCTTTCAGCAGCTTATAAAAGGATAGCTCTTTGCTGCTGCAACCTGATATAGGGGGGCCATCTGACAAAGAGGGTGAGGTCTCTTTGGGGCTGTATGTCCTGTCCAATGCCAAAATTCTTAGGCTTTTTCTCAAACAGAGGATTCACAACTTTTTTGTCTTCCTGCTTCTTCACTGATAGCAGGGGCGGGGGCCGCCTTCTTTCCCTTAGCCTTCTTTCCTATTGGCATCTTGGGTGGCTAGAGGAGAACGGGTTTGCTTTTAAGCTAGTTTTCTGAACATTTAATAGTATTGAGGTGCCCTAGATAAGTTTTACGTTTCATATTTCATAAAAACTAACACATTGTTGGCCAGCTACATAAAAGTGGCTTTATAGCATTTCTTAGTTGAACCGAAATACAATCCTTTTGCACCCTGACTCTGTTTTGGGGACTAATTTTATGTGACAATCATCCTTATTCAGATCTGGAGTGGATCCCCTTAGCTGACCTGCATACGTGTATCATCATCAGTCTTGGACATGGGCTAAAAGCCTGTTGTTTTTAGTAAACAGCAGAAAATTCTGCTCTTAAAATCCAGCCACAATATGGTATGGAGGTTAAGAATGCAGTCTTAGGCTCAAACCTTATTTCTGTCACCTACTAGCAGTGTGACTTTGGGCACATCATTAAGCTTCTCTGTACCTGTGTTTCTTCATCTTTAAGAAGTGGATAATAATAGTATCCACTTTATAGAGTTATTGTCAGGAGTAAGTGAATGGATAATTATGCCAATCACTTACAACAGTGCCAGGAACATAGTGTTACATGTTGGTTATTATTCAGTAGGCCTAGGATGGGACTCACACATGTGGTGTCTTTACTAAGCATCTTAGCCAGTTTTGGCAGTTACTGAAAAGGCATGAAATCAATTGAGGATGGGAGGAGGTTGGGAGGGCATCCATCATCTTGTCTGATTATCAAGTTTCTGGTTTTTATCTCCAATGTGGTTTAAACTTATTCTCTGCTAAAGACTTAACGTGGAGGTTTTTCTTCTGATTATCCACTTGGCAAAATTTTAACACTTTGTAAACTGCTTCCTTGAAAATAAATAAGCTGTGTTTCATCATAACGCTCTGACTTCTGTTCCAACAGACCACACCTGTGTGGTTCACCGTTATATTTCTAGAGCCAAGCATGTATTCTACTATCTCCATTTTTTAAAGCTCCCCAGATGATTCCAATGTGCAGACAACAGTTCAAAGAGAGTTTCTATTCCATGGGATTTTGAAAATCTGACAGGAACAGAAGCCCCAAACTGTCCTCATTCCTCCCATTTAAATTTTTCTCCTTTCTTCTGTCCTTATTACTTCTTCCAATCCCATCAGTTCCAATTTCCCCAACTTCCATCCCCTGCTCTCTCTCTCTTTTCTTTTTAGGCAGAGTCTCACTCTGTTACCCAGGCTGGAGTATAGTGGCGTGATCTCAGCTCACTGCAACCTCTGCCTCCTGGGTTCAAGTGATTCTCATGCCTTAGCCTCTCAAGTAGCTGAAATTATACACGCACTACTACGCCTTGCTAATTCTTGTATTTTTAGTAAAGATGGGGTTTCACCATGTTGGCCAGGCTATTCTCGAACTCCTCACCTCAAGTGATCTGCTCACCTCGGCCTCCCAAGGTGTGGGGATTACAGGCATGAGCCACCGTGCCTAGCCTCTCTTTTCTTACACAGACTTCCTGCTCAAATGTGTGAGCCTTGTGCCTAGGTAGGAAATATAATCAGTGTATAGAGTTTGTAGAGAGAAGATTTATTCATCAATGGTAGAAAATTGTAAAATGCAGGAGCAGAAGCTTCTTTTTCTTCTACTCACTAACCCAATACTGCTCTGTGCTCACTCTTTTGGAAAGCAGTGGATTGGCACAGTGGTAAACCTTACCTAAGTTCCAATCAGGTGTTTCGAAGGATTTGAAGGATGTTGTTGACACAGGATAACACTTGTTGTGGTTAGTGATTTGAAAAAGAGTTGAAATATAGGAGTACCTCAAAGAGGTGAGATCTGTCATTCATTTCACTCAGTGATCCCAACAGACCTGCTGTGGATAGGATGGCTCTACTCTTTGTAAACGTTGAACTTTTGGAATACACATACAGACTTGCATTTATCAGTACCTCATAAAGTATTTTATTACAGAGGGACTTTCTAAATATCTCTTGAATGAATAAATGAAATGAAATTCAGAAGTTAGGAACATGCCTCACCTGCTCTCCATACAGCAAACATCTTAATTCCAAAATGACCTTGCCATTCATTAATTTACCTTAATTAAAAAATATATACACTTATGTACAAACATGTTTAAATAAGCTTTTAATTTTAGAACAGTTTTAGACTTACAAAATTTATTAGGAAGATAATACAGAGAATTACAGTACACCTCATGTCCAGTTACCCCATTTTACATTAGTATGATACGTTTTTAAATAATGAATGAACCAATATTGATACATTATTATTAACTGAAGTCCATACTTTATTCAGATTTACTCAGTTTTTCCTAATGGCCTTTTGCTGTTCCAGGATCCCATCCAGGATACTGCATTACATTTAATAGTCATATCTCCTTAGGCTCTTTTTGGCTATGAAATTTCTTAGACTTTCCTTGTTTTTGATGCCCTTGATAGTTTTGGGGCCAGGTATGCTGTAGAATATCCCTCAGTTGGGATTTATCTTATTTTTTTCTCATGGTTAAATTGGGGTTATGACTTTTGGGGAGGAATATTATAAGGTGCCATTCTCCTCACCTCCCATCAAGGGTACATACTATCCACATTATACCCACTGTTTTTTTTTTTTTTTGGAAACTTAAAACTCATTTTATGTTATTATAAGTAAGAAATTAGCATTCAATATATGCCACAATATATCTTTGTTGAAGTGTAAGTTTGTTCCACTTTTCTATTTTTCATTTTCCAACTTTTATTTTAGGTTCGGGGGTACATATGAAAGTTTGTTACAAGGATAAATTGTATGGGGCTGGTATAACTGCTAGCCATATGCAGAAGATTGACACTGGATCCCTTCCTTTTGCCATATATGAAAATCAACTCAACATGCGTTAAAAAGTTAAATGTAAAATCTAAAACTATAAAAACCCTAGATAATATCACTATTGATGTTAACCTTGATGTCCTGGCTTGAAATAGCGTTTGTCAGTTTTTGCCACACTGTAAAGTTGCTCCTTTTTTCTCCATTGCCATACTATACTCTTTGGAACAAAGTCACTATGCACAGCCCACTATTAAGGACAAAGTCTTCTATTCTAGGCCTTCTGTCTTTCCATATGAACTTTAGAATCCATGTGTTAGCTTGGATTCTAAAATAGCTTGCTGGGATGTTGATTGAGATTGCATTGTATCTATAGGTCAAGTTGGAAAGAACTGACATCTTAACAATATTTAATCTTCTAGTCTATGAATCAGAATATCTCTCCATTTATTTAAATCTTAGACTTTCTTCATCTGTGTTTTCTAATTCATGCTTATAAATCCTATACATATTTTGTTATGTTTATACCTACGTATGTAATTTCAGGGGTATTACTATAGATGGAGTTTTTAAAATTTCAAATTCCAGTTGTTCATTCTAGTATATAAAAAAGCAAATGACTGGGTGCGATGGCTCATGCCTGTAATCCCAGCACTTTGGGAGGCCGAGGTGGGTGGATCACGAGGTCAGGAGATCGAGACCAGCCTGGCCAACATAGTGAAACCCCATCTCTACTAAAAATACAAAAAATTAGCTGGGCAGGGTGGCATGCGCCTGTAGTCCCAGTTACTCCGGAGGCTGAGGCAGGAGAATTGCTTGCACCCGGGAGGCAGGGGTTGTGGTGAGCCGAGATTGTGCCACTGCACTCTAGCCTGGGCAATAGAGCGAGACTCTGTCTCAAAAAAAAAAAAAAAAGCAATTAACATTTGTATGTTAACCATGTATCCTGCAACCCTGCTGTACTCACTTGTTGACTCTAGGAGTTTTTTTCTTTTTTTCTTACTTTTTTTTTTTAATCCTTTGGGATTTTCTACATAGACGGTCAGGTCATCTGCAAATAAAAAGTTATCTTTATTCCTTCCCAATCCGAATATCCTTTACTTTTCTTTCTTCTATTATTGTACTAGCTAAGACTTCTAGTGCAATGTTCCATAGGAGTGGTGAGAGAGGACATCCTTACCTTGTTCCCAGTCTTAGGGGAAAAGTGTCTAATTTCTCACTGTTAAGTATGATGTTGGTTATAGGTATTTTGTAGATGTTCTTTATCAAATTGAGGAAGTTTCTCTCCATTCCTAGTTTGCTGAGAGTTTTCATCATGAATGGGTGTTGTACAAACAACATTTTAACAAAAATAAAAGAAAAAGAAAGCAATCCTACTGCCTTAATAAGTCGACTGGTTTTCTGTATTTTCACATTTTTTTCTATTTCAAATAAATGAAGTATACTCAAAAGAGACATGTCTAACAGGGAGCGATTATACAAGTATAATTATATACCCATAGATAGACATAATATTACATATTTGGTGATTAGAATGTAAATTTAATTTTACAGTTCCCTTTGTACTTCATTATATCATACGCCATTTTTAATGTTCCTGCACAGACTTCAAAATCATAGTTTTTGGTGTCTCCAAATTCAATTTCCATAATTCATTAACTAATTCATTTCAAAGCATTTATTGCACATCCAGTACACACCAGGTCCTGATAATAGAGATTTAAAGAAGGATATGGCTACTCTCGGGTTTCTCACAGTCATGGAAACAAATGCCTGATAATATAGTGTGTTTAAGTTATCTTTATAGAAATATGAACAGAGAGTTTTGGGAGCTTGGAGGATGAATAGCGGAATCTAATTCTCTGGAGAAATTAGAAAAGTCTTGTTGAAGGAAGTGACATTTGATGTAACTCTTGAAGGACAGGAAATTTTCCAGATGAAGAAATAGTAATATTTACGAAGGTTTAAAGTTGTGCAAGAGCCTAGAGTGTTTCAGGAACAATTTAATAACTTAGAAATTTGAGATTAAATAAGGACAACACTGGATGAAGATTAAAAGATAAACCGGGCTAGATTGTGAAATGTGCTAAATTTCAAAATAAGGAATTTTGTTTTCCATATGGAATCAAGAGAAACTATTAAGCAGTGGAGTGGCAGGATCTACTTTGTATTTATCAGGATACCCATGGAGTGGTGTGGAAGGTAAATTCTGCATGTTGAGGCTGGGCGCGGTGGCTCACGCCTGTAATCCCAGCACTTTGGGAGGCTGAGGCGGGCGGATCACGAGGTCAGGAGATCGAGTCCAGCCTGGCTAACATGGTGAAACCCGTCTCTACTAAAAACACAAAAAAAATTAGCCAGGCATAGTGGCGCGTGCCTGTAGGCCCAGCTACTCGGGAGGCTGAGGCAGGAAAATTGCTTGAACCCAGGAGGCAGAGGTTGCAGGGAGCTGAGATCGTGCTACTGCACTCCAGCCTGGCGACAGAGTGAGACTCCATCTCAAAAAAAAAAATTCTGCATGTTGAGATACTATAATTTACTAAACCATTCATCTATTTTGGGAACATTTAACATTGTTACTAATTAATTGCTATTTAAGTTATACAAAAATATATCTATGCATTTGACTTTATATTATTTTGAAATTTTTCTTGGGACAAAATTTTGGGAGATACATATATCTTATTGAAGTCTTTTTGAGATAAATGTTGATGTATTTTATTAGTTTTCTTATGCATTTTGTGAAACTTACATCTTATTCTGTATATCCCTTTCTCAATACAATTTGATATGCATCCATTAAACATTTATTGAGTGCTATTTATCATTGTGGATGCTGTGGGGAAAACCATGAGTACAATTCAAGGGGCTTACAATCTAGTTGGAGAGATAAGGAATACACTACAAAACATTATGGAGGTCTTTGAATCCTAAGCTGAGAAATAGGAACTTTATTCTGCAGGAAATGGGAAAACATCTAAAATTTTAATTAGGGCAGAGATTTAGTCCAGCCACACCTTAGAGAGAACACTTTGGTTGAAACAGGTAGGCTAGATTAGAAGAAGAGACTTCAAAGGAGTCTTATGAAAATGTTATTAGCAGTTAAAGAAATGAGATGTTGGATTATAGGTCAGAGAAATGGGAATGATCAATTTAGGATTCCTAGATTGAATAATTAAGCAATAAAAATGGGAGAAAAACAATCCTAAAGGTGGACAAAGCCAACAAACAACAAACACTCTCCTTTGTGGCTATTTAATGTTTCATAATACTCAATATCTCAATATCTGTTCATTTCTAGAATAAAAAGGGAGGAGGAGATCCAAATTGATTAAGGTGATTTTCCATAGTCAAAACAATTTTTGAAAATCTAAAAATTTGAAAACTCCTCATTTGTGAAATCTCGGTGACAGGCTGGGTAGATTGCATCATTGCATTACTTTATGTGATCACCACAACAATGCTATAAGATAGTTAATAGGAAGTTTTTTTTTCTTTTTCTTTTTCTTTTTTTTGTAGACGGAGTTTTGCTCTTGTTGCCCAGGCTGGAGTGCAATGGCGCTATCTCTGTCACCGCAACCTCCGCCTCCCGGGTTCAAGCGATTCTCCTGCCTCAGCCCCCCGACTAGCTGGGATTACAGGCATGCGCCACCACGCCCGGCTAATTTTGTATTTTTAGTAGAGACAGGGTTTCTCCATGTTGGTCAGGCTGGTCTTGAACTCCCGACCTCAGATGATCTACCCACCTCAGCCTCCCAAAGTGCTGGGATTACAGGCATGAGCCACCACGCCCGGCCTCAATAGGAAGTTTTTGAGGATGCAAAGAAGTTTGTTGTAGGGGAAAGAACACTGAATTGAGGATTAATGTCATTTAATGCAGTGCATCTCAGTTTGCATGAGCATCTGAATTCTGAATCACATGAAGATTTTGCTAAGATGCAGGTTCTGATTCAGTAGGTCTGAGGTGGGGCCTGAGAGTCTGCATTTCTAACACAATCTCTCAAGGGAAGCCCCAGCTGCTAGTCTACAGACCATACTTTGGTAGTAAGGATCTAGAGCAGTGGTTCTCAAATTTCAGTTGTTTTTTTGGGCATTTAGCTTGTCTCATTTTTGTATTATGAATAATGCTGGTATTAACATCCTTTAACATAAATCTTCCTAAGCGATGCTGAATATTTTTTTAAAAGGCTAGGTAAATTGCAAGGAGTTTCATATACATTTTAACACTGCTCTCCAGAAAACGCTGGAGATGTTATACTCTTTCCAGTATATGGAAACTGTTACACTCTTTCCTGTGTATCTTCCCATTTTGCCTCATTGTTACTCATTTAAAAGACTATTACTCAGTGTTAGTAACTTTCTGTTCACATGTTTAGAACTTCAGCTGGGATAGAATAGAATAGGTAGAATTTTTGGGGACTGGCCATATATTTTCTGTCCCAGACATTCTCTTCATGTGGTGAGGCTGGACTTCCTCAAGCTATGGTGGTCTCATGGTAGTTGGATTTCTCATATGGCTGCTAGCTTCTACCAGAGCGAGCTTTCTGAGACCCAGGCAGAATCCGCAAGGCTACTTATGACTTGGTCTTGGAAGCCATTCAGTGTCATTTCAACTGTATGCTGTTGGTCAAAAGCAAGTCATAAAGATAACTGAGATTCAAGGGGAAGGGACTACATAAGGGCACAAATACTGGAAGGTGTGTGTGTGATTTAATTGACACTTCTTTCAGAAAACTTTTTCAGATGTCTATTGGCTATTATAAAACATGAAGATGATCCTCAAGTTGCTATGAATACTTTCTATTTATTGCAGGAAAATCCTGAAGAAGGAAGGGCCAGTATTTACAAATCAGTGATCATCAATACTTCTAAAGAGATGATGTGCTTCAGTGACTATCCAATCCCAGATCATTATCCCAACTTCATGCATAATGCCCAGGTCCTGGAGTATTTCAGGATGTATGCCAAAGAATTTGACCTTCTAAAGTATATTCGATTTAAGGTAGAAAATTGTGTGGGTATCTTTGTGTTTGAAGTTGTTTGCCAAGTAAATGAATAACGTGGTTTCAGTTACCAATGTTTACTTCTAAAGATTGGCTTGATTTGCACATGTATTTATCCTACCCAGGCAAAAACTCCATTCTTTGTCCTCCTTTGCTCCTCAAAAATATTCAAGGGACAGTCTCTCTTTCATATATTTTGGCTGCAGATACAGGAAGCCAGCTGGCAGAGTGTTTTCATTACCTTCATTTCACATTATTTGATTGCAATAAACAGATGAAGGGAAATGTTTTCCCCATTACAGAAGGGAACTGATAGGTATGGGAACTTTAAAACTCTCTGGTTCCACAACTTGTCCATTACTGCTTAGCCCTTTTGTACTTTCTGAAGTACTTTCCAATATATTTGTTTACATGAACATCATAAAAACCCAGTAAAGTATAGCTCTTGGGTAGTTAACTCTGGTGTAGAGGGGAGAACATGGAATTGCAGAATAAAAACCTGAATTCTGGTGCTTGCCCTACCACTAACTAACTTAGATGTTAGACAAGCAATTTCCTCAATTTCAATTTTTAAAAATTTTCTTGTTTGTAAAACAAGATGATTGTACCAGATCACTTCTGTGGTTCCTTCCTGCTCTAAAGTATTCTAGGACTTTTCTATAATTTCTGATCATGACCATAAAAGAATTTTATGGTCAGATATTTCTGACAGCTGGCAAAAAGCCCAAACCTTCTGCCTTCTGATCATCCTGCTAAGTCATGCCTTTTTCTGCTTAATGACAATAAGAAAATGAAAACATCTAGTGAACTTCTAAAGTAAGTCATTTACATTCCAGTGGTGCTTCTCTTCATTTATTTAAACAATACTTATTGAACAAGTTTGCTACCATACTAAGCATTGAATATGCAAAGACAAAAAAGAAAAATCAGTAACTTTATAGTCTAGTTAAGGGGATAAAAATGAAGAAAAATTTTATTATAAATATAATTAATAAAAATAGAGAGTTACATGGGGACAAATGCTAGAGATCTATACGTTGCAGCTCGGAGGAAAGATGTTGAACCCATCAGGACATGAAATATCAGGTTCCAGGGAAGTTTTCTTAAAGAAGATAAAGTTTTCTTAAAGCTGAGTCTTGAAGGATGAGTAGGAGTCTACCAAATAAGGAATAAAAGGGTGATCTCGGCAGAGGCACCAGCCTGTGTAAAAGAACATGATAGAGGAACTATAAATAGTGCTGGATTGCTAGTGCATGCAGGGGTGGTTTGTCTCTCTTTTTTTTTTTGTTTTTTGTTTTTTTTCAGACAGAGTCTTGCTCTGTTGCCCAGGCTGGAGTACAGTGACACGATCTCGGCTCACTGCAACCTCCACCTCCCAAGTTCAAGCAATTCTCCCGCCTCAGCCTCCCGAGTAGCTGGGATTACAAGCATGTGCCACCACACCCACTAATTTTTGTATTTGTAGTAGAGACGGGGTTTCGCCATGTTGGCCAGGTGAGTTTTGAACTCCTGACCTCGGGTGATTCACCTGGCTCAGCCTCCCAAAGTGCTGGGATTACATGCGTGAGCCACCGCACCCGGCCGGGATGGTGTCTCTATTAGTCCATGAAGACATTATGGTCATGGGCCCGTAGAAGCACATAGTGTTTCCTTAACCTAAGTAGGGTAACCCATATTTATTATTTTTTATAAAGCTAAAAATCATAACACTATCCTGTTTCACAGCCTCTTTCTTTATAGTTCTTTGTAAAATGGGTATTTATGGGAGCCAAAGGGAGATTCATTTATATAAAATGAGAGCCACTGAGGTGTTTTTCTACCCTACCAGGAAAAGGAGCCCTATAGCTCAGTCACTTATTTAAAGGTAGCCAGGAGAAGAGAACCTAGGGTAAGAAGACATCAGAAGGTCTCAGGACATATAGGGGTCAGGAGAAGAATAGGCATTTAGTGCATGGAGTGTCATAAAAGCACAGGAGAAGCCCAGGCTTTACTCAGGTGTTACAGTGCCTTAGGACCTGGACCAAGAGACCTGGTGACTTGCACTTTTCTAGAAGAGGAGGGTACATTAGCCTGCCAACACTATGTTATTTTTTTCTGTCTTGTGGAAATTTTCTCATTCTGACTACAGCCCCAAACAGTTCTTATTTGTGGAGTATGAAAATCAAATATCCCTGCATGGGTCCTATTATGTGATAGTGTCTGTGATATCAGCCCTTTGTGTAACACTATGCAAGGAGAGTCATGTCAGGGATGTCCCCTGTGGTTATCACTTTTCTTTTCAGACCACTGTGTGCAGTGTGAAGAAGCAGCCTGATTTTGCCACTTCAGGCCAATGGGAAGTGGTCACTGAATCTGAAGGGAAAAAGGAGATGAATGTCTTTGATGGAGTCATGGTTTGCACTGGCCATCACACCAATGCTCATCTACCTCTGGAAAGCTTCCCTGGTGAGCAGCTTACCAGGAAGGAAGACCCTTGACCCATGCCTGTGACCTGACCCCTGAGGAATGGGAGGATTGTGGTCTGAGTAATTCCTACTTTGGAATGAAGTAAGACTTATCCTAATTATTCTTGTTCCCCAGAAGGATGTTGGGGTAACTTGTATTACTGCCATTTTTGTAATTTTGGAGATTAGAGCAAAATTTGCAGTCTATTTAGTTTTACAATGACTTTAGTCATTGTATCAAATGACTGGAGTATCAAAGGGAAGAATGTGGAGTTCTTGAGGAGCATTAGGTAGAATAAGGAATTTTTCAGCAGTAAACACAAATATTGAGTTTCTAAGGAAGGAATGAAAGCTTGAAGAATTTCAGTCTTTGGCCTGGATTTTCATTTTAAAAAAAAAAGCACTCTATACTCTAAAGTATATAAGAATATATGTGCTGTAAGTGAAATGCGAGTAGGTATTTAAGGGGATGAAAAGATAAAAGAGAATGGAGGTTTTCTGAGGCAGTTTATATTTATATCTCTAAATCCAAAATACAAACACATCCTGAGTTAAGCAAAGTACATATGACAAGGAAATCACAAGGTACTACTCTGAGGCTATGGGAAAAGAAAATAGGCAAAAATACTGAGAAAGGCAAGAAAGTAGCTGAGTAAAGAGAACACTTGGAGAATATATGCTTAAACTTAAGTCTGCAAAAAAAACAAATGACTTGACAAATGATATCTATCATGTAAACCATTACCCAATAATTATTTTCCCTTCTCTTGCAGGAATTGAGAAGTTCAAAGGGCAGTACTTCCACAGTCGAGACTATAAGAACCCAGAGGGATTCACTGGAAAGAGAGTCATTATAATTGGCATTGGGAATTCTGGAGGGGATCTGGCTGTAGAGATTAGCCAAACAGCCAAGCAGGTTTGAATCACTCAATTATTATTTACGTTGCTTAACTCTAGCTTCAGTTTCTCCAAGGAAGCTGCAGGTGGACCCAACAGAGAATAGGGATACCTGCACATAGCCCTTCAGTGCCAGTGGCAAATATAGGGCTTCGTTTCATTACCTCAGTTGGCAACATGGTGATTGGTGCTAATAGAGGAGTTAAGGCTACCAGTTAGAGTTCCATTGTGCAACTAGCCTCACACCAAGGAACTGGATCAGCTAAAGTCTGGGCTCATTATCCTAATCAGGCATCTTCTCAGAGTGTGCCTCTGGCTTTGATAAAGACAAAGTAATTGCTGGGAGAGGTTGTTAGAAAGCAGTATTGAGAGCGAGGATCTTCAATTGGCCAGCAGAAGTGCTATGTTCTTACATAAAGGAAAGCACGCGTGATCATTGGAAACTTTTCACTCATAGGATGGTGCTTGAATTTTCCTTTACACTCCCCAAATGGAAAAAAGTATCAATTTTATCTTCCCAAAGACAATGTGGGTATCCGTATAGCGTCCAAACTGTAGCACATGCAAGCAGCTTGCCCTGGCCTTTGCATACAGTTAGGTAACTCAGATAACATTCATTCTAAAGCAATTATATCTCCTTGGCTTTTTGTTTTGTTTGTTTTGGTTTTTGTATAGCAGACTTTGAACTGAGAAGCAAGTGTCTTCACTATAAATTCCTGGAAAAAGACATGCCAATATTGTATTTTGTTATTAATGTCTGTGTTGAATCAAACTCTATTGGCAATAGGTAAATGTCTTGGTTGTTCTTTAGTAACTTTAATTAAGCCATGCTTCTCTATAAAGATGTTTTAAATTGTTTTATTTTAATTAGAAGCTTAGTGCTACAATTCTGTTAAATGACTCTTACTCAGCAACTTTGTTTGAAAAACACTTCTTCTCATTGCTATCCTCATCTATAACCACAAAAATTATTTCATATGATACTTCATAAATTAATTCAACAGACATTTATCAGGAAATAATCATATAAACAAGGATTAAAAATAATTAAAATAATTATATAAACAAGGGTTAAAACGTATGTGGGTGTTATGGTAGAGGAATGTGCAAAATGTGGAGTGGGGACCCATGGCGAGAGCCATCTTTAATATCATTGGCTTGTCAAATGGGCAGTTCTAAGGGAGCTTGGCCTTACCTGCTCTGGGGAATTGCAGGTTGCCACATAACAAAGCATTTCTGTGTGGGTACAGATAAGGTGGCTGTGTCTGTGAGAAAGCCTGGGAAAATGCAAAGGAAAACTATGTCTGCATAGCAGAGGCAATACTGTCACACCACTAATCCAAGCTGAAGAAACTCAATTGCTGAGTTCTAACTTTTTACTTTACTTGTAAATTGTATTCATGATGATTTGTTTATAAATCAAAAACTTTAAATGGACCTATATATTTCAGTATATCATGGAAGTTTTTCGTATAATTCTTGTAGATGCTTTTGTAAAGAGAAAACATTCCTTTTTTTCAATATTAATTTCATATAAGATTACACTGATTAAACAATTTTCCTTATAAATCTGATTTGTAAATGTTATTTGCTTAAAACAAGGTATAGATGGAAAACTGAAATAAGAAATATGACAGCCATTAAGCACTTATCAAGTGTTTACTATATACCACACCTTTTACAAAAACACTGCTTAATTATCACAACAGCCTTGTGATATATGTATTATTATTATTACTATTTCATAAATAGGAAATCTTTTCATTAGGGCTCTGAGCGTTTTCATTACTCAGCAGAAGTTATATAGCCAGCACACAAAATTGTTCAGTTTCTAAGACCATATATGCTCTTTCAACTGTGACTGTGGAAGTACATAATTATCAGAGTGCTTACAGTCACTTTAGGCGAGATAAGATTTGTGAAGTAAACAATTATCCCTCTGTAGACAGGTCATTTTAGACAAAAAGACTATGAAGCAATGTGCGTATATAACTTAAAATCTGGAAGCCATCTCCAGAGAGTTTCATAGTGTAGGAAAAGTGATTCTTTTGCCAGGTAACTGCATATCAAATCTTTATCAGTTCTGAACATGAACTTTAGCCAGAGGAGGACACAGAAAGACTGACTAGCTTCCTGTTGTTCCACTAGCAATCTTATTTTTCTCCATTAAATAATCAATCAAACATTTCTTAAGCACAGGCTTTGGAGTTAGTCAGACCTGGGTTGGAAATTCACCTCTGCCACTTACTAGCTCTGTGATCTCAGGCAAGTTATTCATCCTTTCCATGCCCCTCATCTATAACATGGGTGTAATAATACTTTCCTCAAGAGGTTGTTGTAATATAGATGAAGGACCTAGCACAATGACTTAAAGGTCACAAATCCCAATAAATGGAAGTGATGATAATCTGCTGTGGATGTGTAGGCTTTATCTCCTATCCTTGAGAAAACACATTTGAAGAGACAGAAATTAGGAGTGTAGAAAGTTTAATATCAATAAAAATGATAAATAGCAGGGGTTTTTGTAATAATGCCAACAATGTCAATGGCAAAAGAATGAGGGTTTTAGATTAAATGGTCTCCAGCTGCTTTCAACTTTACCAGTACATGATTTTTAATGAGTTCTACAGGTGATAAGTGCTAGAGAAATTCAGAGGATGGAGAGAAAATTGTCAGCCTGAATAGTCAGCGGTTTCTTCATGGAGGAGGCAGTCTTGATCTGGGTCTTAAAAATGAACAGGCTTCGCAGAGTTAAGAGGAAAGAAGGCATTTCAGGCAGGCATAATAGCACTAAACAGAAATACAACGGTGTATTAGAGCAAAACATATTCTTGGACAGTAGATACACCAATTTAATTCTAAGTTTAGTGTTTGGGAAGGAAAATGGCAGGAAACAAACATAAAAACCCACAAAGATTGTGCAGGGGCTAAAAAGCCAGACTAATGAGTTTGAACTCTTTTTTTTTTTTTTTTTGAGACGGAGTCTCACTCTGTTGCCCAGGCTGGAGTGCAGTGGTGCGATCTTGGCTCACTGCAAGCTCCGCCTCCCAGGTTGACGCCATTCTCCTGCCTCAGCCTCCCGAGTAGCTGGGACTACAGGCACCTGCAACCACGCCTGGCTAATTTTTTGTATTTTTAGTAGAGACGGGGTTTTTCAGTAGAGACGGGGTTTCACTGTGTTAGCCAGGATGGTCTCGATCTCCTGACCTCGTGATCCGCCCGCCTTGGCCTCCCAAAGTGCTGGGATTACAGGCGTGAGCCACCGCGCCGGGCCTGAAATGATTCTTGAAGAAAATGGGGGTGCTTTTGAAGGTTTACGAATCTGAGTGACAAAAGCAAACAATTTCTTCCATGCCCCAGGTTTTCCTCAGCACCAGGAGAGGGGCTTGGATCCTGAATCGTGTAGGGGACTACGGATATCCTGCTGATGTGTTGTTCTCTTCTCGACTTACACATTTTATATGGAAGATCTGTGGCCAATCATTAGCAAACAAATATTTGGAAAAAAAGATAAACCAAAGGTTTGACCATGAAATGTTTGGCCTGAAGCCTAAACACAGGTATGTTCCCAGGATGGGAGTGCAGGGATAGTGGCCAAAGCACAAGAATAAGGACTCTTCACACTGGCTAATAGTAAAGCCACCTCTACCCATACATTAAGAAAACCCACAGTGGCTGGGCATGGTGGCTCACGCCTGTAATCCCAGCACTCTGGGAGGCGGAGGCGGGTGGATCACCTGAGCTCAGGAGTTTGAGACCATCCTGGCCAACACGGTGAAACCCCATCTCTACTAAAAACACAAAATTAGCCAGGTGTGGTGGCACCTGTCTGTAGTCCCAGCTATTCAGGAGGCTGAGGCAGGAGAATCACCTGAGCCCTGGAGGCAGAGGTTGCAGTGAGCTGAGATTGCACCACTGCACTCCAGCCTGGGCAACAGACTCTGTCTCAAAAAGAAAAAAAAAAAAAGAAAAGAAAAGAAAAGAAAGCCTATAGACTCATAGAATCTGAAATCAGATTTCTAACTTGTACCCACAGATGTCCAAGATCTATTGGTCTGTGGGTTTTTAATCTAGAATTCTCTTTGGCAGTAACCCTTTTCTCATTCCCCCAGGTATCAGTTCTTTTTGCATGATACCCAACAACAAAATGATAGCTGAGGACAGTGCGTCATTTACTCATTGAGTACCTGTTATGAGCCAGGCATCATACATGGGCATGAAATACAGAGAGAAGACATAATAGTAATAGTAATAGAAATAACACTCACCTTTCTGAGGACTTTCTATAAGATAAGCACAGTGCTAAATGAGTTACATGCAGTATCTCACTTAATCCTGACAATAGCCCTATAAGTTGGTACTATTTTTGTTTCACAGTGAGGAGGTCTATGCAAACCTACCCCAAAGGCTGAGGAAGCTGAGAGGCTGAAGAAAGAAGCTGACAGATTCAGTTTCTTAGAAACATTTCATAGGGACTTATGAACAGAAGCCATGTCTGTCTCAGGCAGTGGTGAGACAAGATGGTAGATCCCCATACCATTACCTCCTGACCCAGGGATGATATACCACAGGGGAGGGGCACACATACTTCAGAGCGAATGGGTAGGAGTTTGCCCTAAGGGTGGGATTTACAGTAAGTACATACTATTAAACAACAGATTAACTGGAAATCTCAGAGGTATTCCCGGAACCAGGGTTGATCAGAAGTCAATATGGTAGATTAACTTCTAAGATGGAGTTGCTTTGGCCTCCACAATTTTTGATCTACATTTTACAAATATAAAAACTGAGATGTAGAGAAACTAAGTAATTTTCCCGAGGGCAACAGAAATAATAAATGGCAGACTCAAAAAATAGATCTTACCTTAAATACTCTAATGAGAAGAAAGAGGACAGATTATAATGAAGAAATACATACAGTGTTATGAAAGTACAAAGGATGGGGTCCTCAGAGAACCAGGGAGGGAAAACATTTCTAGAGGCTGATTTTAAATTTATTTTCCCTCCAACTTTTTATTTTTGAAAATGTTCAGATCTACAGAAAAGTTGCAAAATAATAAGTACAATGAGCACCCATATATCCTTCACCTGGATTCACCTGTTAAGTTTGCTATATTTGCTTCCTTTCCCCATCTCTGTAGATAGGTCCATACATATAGAGCATACATACACAAGTACATTTTTTTCTGAAACCATTTGAGTACGTTGCAGTCATTAAGACACTTTAAATACTTCAGTGTATATTGTATAAGAAAAAGGGCATTCTCCTACATAACCATCATATAATTATCACACGTGGGAAATTTAACATTGATAAAATACATTAATACATTGGCAATATCCCCAGTTGCCCTAATAGTATTTTTTATAGCTTTAAAAAAATCTTTTTAAATCTAGTATCCTGTCAGGTAATCAATCACACCATTACATTTAGTTGTCATGTCTCTTTAATCTCTCTTTTTATATATATATATTTTTATTATACTTTAAGTTCTAGGGTACATGTGCACAACGTGCAGGTTTGTTATATATGTATATATGTGCCATGTTGGTGTGCTGCACCCATTAACTTGTCATTTACATCCATTAACTTGTCATTTACATCAGATATATCTCCTAATGCTATGCTTCCCCACTCTTCCCACCCCACAACAGGCCCTGGTGTGTGATGTTCCCCTTCCTGTGTCCAAGTGTTCTCATTGTTCAGTTCCCACCTATGAGTGAGAACATGCAGTGTTTGGTTTTTTGTCCTTGCGATAGTTTGCTGAGAATGATGGTTTCTAGCTTCATCCATGTCTCTACAAAGGACATGAACTCATCATTTTTTATGGCTGCATAGTATTCCATGGTGTATATGTGCCACATTTTCTTAATCCAGTCTATCATTGTTGGACATTTGGGTTGGTTCCAAGTCCTTGCTATTGTGAATAGTGCCGCAATAAACATACGTGTGCATGTGTCTTTATAGCATCATGATTTATAATCCTTTGGGTATATACCCAGTAATGGGATGGTTGGGTCAAATGGTATTTCTAGTTCTTTTTGAGGAATCGCCACACTGTCTTCCACAATGGTTGAACTAGTTTACAGTCCCACCAACAGTGTAAAAGTGTTCCTATTTCTCCACATCCTCTCCAGCACCTGTTGTTTCCTGACTTTTTAATGATCGCCATTCTAACTGGTGTGAGATGGTAACTCATTGTGGTTTTGATTTGCATTTCTCTGATGGCCAGTGATGATGAGCATTTTTTCATGTGTCTGTTGGCTGCATAAATGTCTTCTTTTGAGAAGTGTCTGTTCATATCCTTCACCCACTTTTTGATGGGGTTGTTTGTTTTTTTCTTGTAAATTTGTATGAGTTCTTTGTAGATTCTGGATATTAGCCCTTTGTCAGATGAGTAGATTGCAAAAATTTTCTCCCATTTTATAGGTTGCCTGTTCACTTTGATGGTAGTTTCTTTTGCTGTGCAGAAGCTCTTTAGTTTAATTAGATCCCATTTGTCAATTTTGGCTTTTGTTGCCATGGCTTTTGGTGTTTTAGACATGAAGTCCTTGCCCATGCCTATGTCCTGAATGGTATTGCCTAGGTTTTCTTCTAGGGTTTTTATGGTTTTAGGTCTAACATTTAAGTCTTTAATCCATTTTGAATTAATTTTTGTATAAGGTGTAAGGAAGGGATCAAGTTTCAGCTTTGTACATATGGCTAGCCAGTTTTCCCAGCACCATTTGTTAAATAGGGAATCCTTTCCCCATTTCTTGTTTTTGTCAGGTTTGTCAAAGATCAAATAGTTGTAGATATGTGGTATTATTTCTGAGGGCTCTGTTCTGTTCCATTGGTCTATATAAGAAATAATTCTCTCTTTGACATGGGCTTTCTTTTTAAGAACCCAAGGCATTGTTTTGTAGAGAGTCTCTAAATTTAGACTTGCATAATTTTTTTCCTTTATTATATTCAGGTTAAATGTTTTTGACACATATACTACATAGGACATGTTGATCTTAGTGGGTCACATCAAGAACCACATTATGTCAGTTTATCTCACAGTAATAATGCTAAATTTGACCACTTAGATAAGGTGGTATAGATACCATCAAGTTTCTCCACTATAAAGATATTTTTTCCCGTTGAAGTTAATCAGTGGGGTGACATTTGGAAACTGTGTTTCCTAAAAACCTTTCACCTAATTATTTTAGCATGCATGTTTTTGGTGGTTGCAAAATAAATTGAGGCTTTGTTGAATAATAGGAGATAGCCAAACAAATAGAGCAAGGGTATAGCATTCTAATTATAAAGACAAAGTCTTGGAACAGCAAAAAATACATTATGCTCCAGGACTTGCATGTAGTCTGGTATGGCTGGACTATATAGCAAAGATGGAAGAGTGACTGAATGTATCTCCAGGTTCATCAGGCATGAAAACCTTTGGTTCCTCCGCGGTCTTCTGAGCGGTCACGTGAACGGCTTCCTGCAGGCTGGCCATGGCGCTTCAAGTTCCCAAGGCTCCGGGCTTCGCCCAGATGCTCAAGGAGGGAGCGAAACACTTTTCAGAATTAGAAGAGGCTGTGTATAGAAACATACAAGCTTGCAAGGAGCTTGCCCAAACCACTCGTACAGCATATGGACGAAATGGAATGAAAAAAATGGTTATCAACCACTTGGAGAAGTTGTTTGTGACAAATGATGCAGCGACTATTTTAAGAGAACTAGAAGTACAGCATCCTGCTGCAAAAATGACTGTAATGGCTTCTCATATGCAAGAGCAAGAAGTTGGAGATGGCACAAACATTGTTCTGGTATTTGCCGGAGCTCTCCTGGAATTAGCTGAAGAACTTCTGAGGATTGGCCTGTCAGTTTCAGAGGTCATAGAAGGTTATGAAATAGCTTGCAGAAAAGCTCATGAGATTCTTCCTAATTTGGTACGTTGTTCTGCAAAAAACCTTCGAGATGTTGATGAAGTCTCATCTCTACTTCGTACCTCTGTAATGTGTAAACAATATGGTAATGAAGTATTTCTGGCCAAGCTTATTGTTCAGGCATGCGTATCTATTTTTCCTGATTCTGGCCATTTCAAAGTTGATAACATCAGAGTTTGTAAAATTCTGGGCTGTGGTATCACTTCCTCTTCAGTATTGCATGGCATGGTTTTTAAGAAGGAAACAGAAGGTGATGTACATCTGTCAAAGATGCAAAAATAGCAGTGTACTCTTGTCCTTTTGATGGCATGATAACAGAAACTAAGGGAACAGTGTTGATAAAGACTGATGAAGAATTGATGAATTTAAGTAAGGGAGAAGAAAATCTCATGGATGCATAAGTCAAAGCTATTGCTGATACTGGTGCAAATGTTGTAGTAACAGGTGGCAAAGTGGCAGACATGGCTCTTCATTATGCAAACAAATATAATATGATGTTAGTGAAGCTAAACTCAAAATGGGATGTCCGAAGACTCTGTAAAACAGTTGGTGCTACAGCTCTTCCTAGATTGACACCTCCTGTCCTTGAAGAAATGGGACACTGAGACAGTGTTTACCTCTCAGAAGTTGGAGATACTCAGGTGGTGGTTTTTAAGCATGAAAAGGAAGATGGCATCATTTCTACCATAGTACTTCGGGGCTCTACAGACAATCTGATGGATGACATAGAAAGGGCAGTAGATGATGGTGTTAATACTTTCAAAGTTCTTACAAGGGATAAACGTCTTGTACCCAGAGGTGGAGCAACAGAAATTGAATTAGCCAAACAGATCACATCATATGGAGAGACATGTCCTGGACTTGAACAGTACGCTATTAAGAAGTTTGCTGAGGCGTTTGAAGCTATTCCCCGTGCACTGGCAGAAATACTCTGGAGAAAACTCTGGAGTTAAGGCCAATGAAGTAATCTCTAAACTTTATGCAGTACCTCAAGAAGGAAATAAAAATGTTGGATTAGATACTGAGGCTGTAGTCCCTGCTGTAACGGACATGTTGGAAGCTGGTGTTCTAGATACTTACCTGGGAAAACACTGGTCTATCAAACTCGCTGCTAATGCTGCAGTCACTGTACTTAGAGTGGGTCAGGTAATCATGGCAAAACCAGATGGTGGGCCCAAGCCTCCAAGTGGGAAGAAAGACTGGGATGATGACCAAAATGATTGAAATTGGCTTAATTTTTACTGTAGGTGAAGGCTGTATTTGTAGTAGTATTCTAAGAATCGCGTGATGTTTTCTTATTCTCCTTACATTAAGAGGTATTTTGTGTTTGTATTCTTGGCTGGATGTTATAATAAACATATTGTTACTGTCAAAAAAAAAAAAGGAAACCTTTGGTCTACTAAATAAAAAGTATGGAATGAAGACAGTCCAAAGCCATTCAAAGATTTAGGCAAGTGAGTAACATAATCATACCTACATTTTAGAAAGACCATTTTGAAAATGGTGTGGGAGTGGGATGAGACAGGAGGTCCTAAAGACAATTGTATCATCTGGTTGAGATAACAAGGAGTAGATAAAACTATCTTGGGGATGTTAAGAGGAGAAAGGGAAAAGGCTTGGTGACCAGATATATAACTCATGGTTTTGTGGGTTGGGCAACTATATGGATGGATGGTGGTACTGCTGGTGAAAAGGAGTAGGTTTGGAGAAAAAGATGAAATCATGAGGTTGGAATGCAGAACACAATCGACCTAGTGTCAAAGCATAACTAAATGCAACAAACCAGTAGTGGTAATTTAAACATATAAAATTCCTGAGGCCAGGACAGCTCTGTCTGAAGATGAGTTAATATAGTATTCAGGCATTAAGACTACTTTTTAGGCCAGGTGCTGTGGCTCACGCCTGTAATCCCAGCACTTTGGGAGGCTGAAGTGGGAGGATCACGAGGTCAGGAGTTCGAGACCAGCTTGGCCAACATGGTGAAACCCTGTCTCTACTAAAAATACAAAAATTAGCCAGGCATGGTGGCAGGTGCCTGTAGTCCAAGCTACTCGGGAGGCTGAGACAGCAGAATCACTTGAACCTGGGAGGTGGAGGTTGCAGTGAGCCAAGATCATGCCACTGCACTCCAGCTTCGGCAAAAGAAGTAGAGACTCTGTCTCAAAAAAAAAAAAAAAAAAAAAAAGAACTGCTTTTTAGAAAGCTCCACGATACTAGAAACCAGCCTTATTATTATTAAAAGTAATGGCAAAAAAATAAGCAATTACTTTTGCACCAACCCAATGTTTCCAGTATCCGTATCCTACGCTGTCCCTAGGAAACAATAACAAGCCCGAAGTATACCAAGATAATTCACTGAAAACAACTTTGAGATAAATTCTAAAATCCTAGGCTGTGTATCATTGGACAAGTCACATAACTTTTCTAGGCCTCAATTCCCTCATTTATAAAACCTGGATAATGACACCTATTCTGCTTCCTTCATAGAGTTTTGTGAGAGTCAAGTTAATGCATGTAAAAGCAACTTATAAACTGTAAATTGCTACATACATGTAATTTATCATACAGTTTGGAAAACAGTGGCCTAAACTTAGCTCTTGAGCCTTTGAAACTGGAAATGAGACTGAACAGAATGTTGACAGCTTAGTTCTGTCAGACTTCTTGGTATGAGAATACAAACTATTGACCTGTGGCCTTATCATATCACACACAGAATATTATTGTTACTTGAGAAATCATATATGCACTCCTCAAACAACACTCTTCCTTCACTCCTCCAACACTCTCCCTTTCAGTGCATCCAGGGTCCAACTTCAGATCTGATCTTGATCTGTGCCAACCTAGTATAAATTAGACCTTTTCCAAACTTCATGCATAGACCAAGGGGAAGATTATTGGCATCCTGTTTACCTCCACCAAAGCAAAATTTTACTTATGTGGTACTGATTTCTCTTTCTCTCATTTCTCCACTTGATCTTTGTCACGACTCACAGAGCTCTGAGTCAGCATCCAACCTTAAATGATGACCTGCCAAATCGTATCATTTCTGGCTTGGTGAAAGTGAAAGGAAATGTGAAGGAATTCACGGAGACAGCTGCCATATTTGAGGATGGCTCCAGGGAGGATGACATTGATGCTGTTATCTTTGCCACAGGCTATAGCTTTGACTTTCCATTTCTGGAAGATTCCGTCAAAGTGGTCAAAAACAAGATATCCCTGTATAAAAAGGTCTTCCCTCCTAACCTGGAAAGGCCAACTCTTGCAATCATAGGCTTGATTCAGCCCTTAGGAGCCATTATGCCCATTTCAGAGCTCCAAGGACGCTGGGCCACTCAGGTATTTAAAGGTAAGTGACCATGCAAATAGACTACTTAATTACTTGGTGATATGTTTACCTCTGTTTAGGTACTTGTTTTTAAATAGCTAGAGATAGCATGTATGATTACAACAGTGCCTAGCACAAAGTTAGTACAGAAAAATATATTTTTGAGTGAATCTAAAGTAGCAATTTATAACCATGGACATACATCATACCTGGGAAATTTTTCCAAGCTATGCATGCTTTGACACCATCCTTGCTGATGCTTATTTAGTTAGTCTGGGGTGGGGCAGTCATAACATCTTTGAGAAAAATATTCCCCAGTAATTCCAATGTGTACTCCAAATTAGAATTTACTCATCTAGATTTTAGGCAACTGGCATATATTTCTGAAGTAAAATAGTTTTATCTTCTTTCATTATAGATAAAAATAAAATATAGAAATAGTATGACTTTATTTCGGCCGAAAATTAAGACCTGGTTGCAGACTAGTCAATATTGTAGGATATTCAATCCCCCAAATTCTCACTTTTCTCCTTTTATGTCCCCTCTTTCAGTTTTGGCTAGGAATATATGAAAAAAAAAGGGGAATAGGTTTCATATGAGTCAGTAGAATGATATAGCTTCCAAAGAAATAATTAAATCTAGCATCATTAAAAAACTATAATGTTCTAGAACATTACAACTGTTGTTCTCTAAACTGGCCAGACCACACCTAATGATACATTTTAAAAGTGAAGCTGGAGTGCGTTTAATAAGGAGAGAGAGAAAAATTTTTTAAGGGATTTGAAAACATGCCATCTGAAGTACAACTGAAAAAGCCGGAGAGAGATTTAGCCTGGAGAAGATAAACTTCAGGAGAGATATGAGAATTTCCTTCAAATATCTGAAGGGAAGGCACATGGAAGAAGGATTAGATTTACTCAGTATAGCTTCAAAGGGTCAAACCAGAATCAAGGAGTGAAATCTTGAGGGTTACACATCAGCTTACCATTAAGAAAAAAATCCAAAACCTTTTTCCTATCAGCCAATGCCATTTCATGATGGAACCAGCTGCCTCTGAAATTCTAAGCAGAAAAGGAAAAGGATGCCAAATGACTGAATGCTCACTGGGCCGGGGCAGGAGAGGGGGAAGGTATGGAGTAGATTCAAGCCTCAGGATAGAGAGAAACAAGATGATGTTTAAGGGTCCTTCTAAAGAAGAAATTCACTGATTCTATGGTTGTTATAACAAAATTTGCTATTGTTACTAGCATTTAATTAAAACTACTCAGAGTTCCTGTTGGAATTACACCTTTTTTGTTTTCACTAGTGAAAATCTTCACAGTTGCAGAGAAAAAAAGAACCAATGGTATTACAGTTGATAGTTCAACAACCTTTCTAAATTTCCCCAAATTTCTATTACTTCCAGTCCTATCCAGCAGATTATGTACTACCTGAGAGAACTATACAAGTAGTCAAACGCAAATAGCCCATTAAGTTGGCCTAATTCTAGTCATATTAAAGTGATCTTTTAATTGGGTCAATTACATAAGCGGAGAACAGTTCATTAAAACAGGCCACAGCATCTTAGTATACTTTAAGCAACTGGGACTCTTTTCCAAGACCAAGTGAATTCTTGAGAGGAAATAGAGAAAATGAGTATTTGCAAGAGTCTGCATTATGGTTATGAGATTATGGGATCTTAGGGAAAATGTACAAAAAGCCCAGCTTCCTATGCTAGCAGAAGCCTAGTGCTAATTCCTCCAGCTTTTTTCTAACACCTGGAAGGAAGAAATCTTCAGAATTCTCTAACTTTACCAGACTTCCAACAGGAACTCTGGGTTTTTTATTCTGTCCATGGCCAATCTGTCTGCCTCCCACATTCTTGCCTTTCTCTTCCCTGAATTATCCCTTCACTATGCCAATTTTAAACCCTTTGGATTAGCTTGTTTTTCCCATTTTTTTCATGTCTGCCCAACAAAGCCTGCCTCCTTCCTTGTCTGTTCCCTACCAAGCCCCATTTTCCTTCTTCTTCTGTTCTCTGGAATTATTGTTCTCTTGTCAAGAAAATATTCTACTCTTTTCTAGAACACTGAATTTACTTCCTTGCCTTGACTGAAATGAAACATAGTTTCTGTTTTGATTGCGTCTTTTGCAGCCCTTGCAAGTGTTTTATTTTCACTCAGCAACTTTCTTTCCTTCAAAACTATATCAAGTTACACCAAATCTCTGGATCACAAGAAGTCATTATGTCATAGGCTGGCATTAAAGTTCCTCCACAAATTGGATACAACCTCCAATTTCAGGCCCATCTTTCTTTCTTTTTTTTTTTTTTTTTTTTTTTTTGAGATGCAGTCTCGCTCTGTCGCCCAGGCTGGAGTGCAGTGGCGCTATCTCGGCCCACTGCAAGTTCCACCTTCTGGGTTCAGGCCATTCTACTGCCTCAGCCTCCCCAGTAGCTGGGACTACAGGCGCCCGCCACCATGCCCGGCTAGTTTTTTTGTGTTTTTAATACAGACGGGGTTTCACCATGTTAGCCAGGATGGTCTCCATCTCTTGACCTCGTGATCCGCCTGCCTCAGCCTCCCAAAGTGCTGGGATTACAGGCATGAGTCACTGTACCCGGCCTCAGGCCCATCTTTCACTAGTCTTTACCATACTTCCTACAATACTCTAGATGCACTGGATGACGTACCCACTAAGCAGCAAACACAGCAGGTACCCTTGTACCCTGTGCTTTTGCTTCCACTGTGCTTTCTTCTTGATATGCCCTCCTTTTACTTTTTATTTCTATAGGAAAAGTCTATGCATATTTCTTCCCTCCCTTTGTAATATAGTGATAGCTCCTTAAGTAAAGGACTCATGTTTATTTGCCTTTGTATTGCAAGCCTAGACCACTGCCTAGCACATAAGAGGTATCTAATAAACATCTATTCTAAGAAATGTCAGTTTAGCCTTGAGGTAAATTAAATTCTAAATTCTGATGTAGAAACTTCTTATTTGAGGATCTCAGCTTATGGGCTACCTTAGCCAATTTCCAGTTATGTTAAAAGCCTGAACTGGACTGAAATTGCAGAATGGGAGCCAGATCTCTTTTCTCTCATAACATTAGCTATACACTGAAATATGCAGGAGCAAGTCAGGATTACACAGATACAACCTGCTTTAGGCTGACAGCAGACTGAAGGCCTACCACCACAGAACTCTAATTCAGACTCTCTTCCTTCCCACCTTGTCTTGGAACCCTTGGAAGATCTCTGAACTTCAGTTCCTCACTGTTCTTCAACATTCTTCAGATAACATATACTGACCTTTTAGTATGTACCAGGCCTTCTGCTAGGGGCTGGAGAAGCAAATATGACCATACAGAAAATCCCTATCTTTCTGGAATGCAGAGCCAAGCAAGGAAGACTGTGTTAGCCCATTCTCATGCTGCTATAAAGAACTGCCTGAGGCTGAGTAGTTTCTAAAGGAAAGAGGTTTAATTCACTCACAGTTCTGCATGGCTGGGGAGGCCTCAGGAAACTTACAATCATGGCAGAAGGAACTTCTTCACAGGGTGGCAGGAGAGAGAATGAGTGCTGAGTGAAAGGGAAAGCCCCGTATAAAACCATCAGATCTCGTGAGAACTCACTCAGTATCATGAGAACAGCATGAGCAGTATGAGAGTAACCACCCCATGATTAAATCACCTCCCACCAGGCCCCTCCCATGACACATGGGGATTGTGGGACCCAAAATTCAAGATAAGATTTGGGTGGGGACACAGCCAAACCATATCAAAGACAGACAAGTAAACAGACGCTTAATGATTTGTTCATTCAGCAGATATTTAACTATATCCTAAACAAGTGCTCCAGTAGCAATGCAGAAGAGCTGCCATGAGAGCAGTGGGCAATAAGTACCCAATTCTCCCTACAACTACATAGGAATTTACTAAAAGGACAAGGAAATATTGACCATAGAGGGGAAATAATCACTACTGTTTATGCAAAGTTAGATGAAAGTGACAGAACAAATAGAGTTCTGGGAACTGCAAGTAGTTCAGAATGCTGGTAAAGTGTTATAGGAATGAAGGAAAATGAAACTAGAAATATTCACAGGCAATATCAAGAGTTTGCATTTAAGGTACAAGTTGGAGAACCACTGAAGGATTTTAACTGGAAGAGGAGTCAAATCAGATCTCCAGTTTAGAAGATATGTTAGAGAGGAGTGAAATGGGAAATAGGTCAGTACGAGCCTGTGGTAAAAGTCTCAGTAAGACAGCATGAGAGCTTTAAACCAAGGTAATGACACTCTAAAGGAATTGGAGGAGCCAGACTTAAATGAAATTTCACAGGCAAATCTGAAGAATTTGGTGACAGAAAGCATGTTGGAGAAGAGAGACAGAAAAGAATCTGTTCAGGTGTTGAGGCCATTCATTGGAATTGGGAAACTAAGACAGGGAGCAAAGACATGGAGGGAGATAAGAAATATGGTAAAGCTAATGTGTCTAAATAAGGAAACACTGCAAAAACAAAATTTATGAATTAAGACATAACTGTACCACAGAGTATACACGTAAAAAGATGTATACATCTTTTTAAAATTTTTTAATTTTTTTAAATTTTTTCACCCCATGAGCTCTAGACTAAGATGTATATACCTCTTTATCTATCTATATATAGACAGATAGGGTAATAGATAGGGTTTTTTGTTGTTTTTTTCTTTCTTTTATGAATTGGGTGTCTCCCACAATCAAGAAATATACCTCCTCCTTCATGTTTCTAGCTAATAGAAGTAAAACTTGTGGTTGTGTAGAAGTAATTTGGAAATTGACTCTCAAAACGCTTATTTTGAGTATCCGAAGAGACCTATGATTAAGCTTAAATGAAGCATTTCAGTGTTTCCTAATTGATTTATGATGATAAATAATAATTCCCATGGCTAAAATGTAAAAACACATGGAAAACAACAGAAGGCTATTTGAGAGTGATGAACTTCTGAGTTCCATATTTTAAGAGGGATACACCAGGATAGTTATTAGAGTATGCTTAGTGAAGGGCAACCAAGATGGCAGAGAATGTGAAAACCATTATATGGGAAACATGTACTGTTTAGCCTGATAATGAGAAGACTTAAAGGAGTTATGACAATCATTTCCAAATGTTTCAAGAGCTGTCATGTATTAACATTAAACTCTGTGGCTCCAGAAAGCAGAGCTTGGTCCAGTGGTGCAAATGCAAAGAGTCAGATCTTGGGGTCAATAAAAACAATAATGTTCCAGCAGCCAGAGCAGTCAAATAATTATATAATCACCTCAGATATAATTATTATAGATACCCATCACCAGTGATGTTTAAAGAGGAATGAGATAACCACTAGGTTAGAGTACTTGTAGAAAGAATGCTTGTATCAGGTAAAATATATTGCCATTCTGAAATTCCATATTCCACAATTTTATGGAGTGACACCTTAGGACTGGATGTGGCCAAAATCTTCTACATGGCATAGTCCCTAGTTATAGGGGCATACAACTAATTGTTTAAGCTTAGCATTGTTCATACTGGCTTAAATACTATTAAGCCTTAGTCTAGCCCTGTCCTTGGTGTATAATTCCTACAACTGGAACTGTTTGTGCATCTTACTTAAATTTATCAGTTAATATTAGGTATTATGAGTTCCCCTTGGCCTTAACCCCTACTCTTATCAAAGAAACATGTTTAGAAAATGAAGCTTATCTTCCACAGGACTTTAGGCATAAAATGTGATTAAGATTTATTTTGGCTGGGCATGGTGGCTCATGCCTGTAATCCCAGCACCTTGGGATGCAGAGACGGGTGGATCATCTGAGGTCAGGAGTTCGAGACCAGCCTGACCAATATGGTGAAACCTCGTCTCTACTAAAACTACAAAAAAAAATTATTTGGGTTTGGTAGGATATCAGTGATGGAAGATGAAAGGAATGAAATGAAGTGAGAAGGGAAGTTTAGAGAAAAAAGAATAAAAAGAAACGAACAAAGCATCCAAGGAATATGGGACTATGTGAAAAGACCAAATCTACGTCGGATTGGTGAACCTGAAAGTGACGGGGAGAATGGAACCAAGTTGGAAAACACTCTGCAGGATATTATCCAGGAGAACTTCCCCAATCTAGCAAGGCAGGCCAACATTCAGATTCAGGAAATACAGAGAACGCCACAAAGATACTCCTCAAGAAGAGCAACTCCAAGACACATAATTGTCAGATTCACCAAAGTTGAAATGAAGGAAAAAATGTTAAGGGCAGCCAGAGAGAAAGGTCGGGTTACCCACAAAGGGAAGCCCATCAGACTAACAGCAGATCTCTCGGCAGTAACTCTACAAGCCAGAAGAGAGTGGGGGCCAATATTCAACATTCTTAAAGAAAAGAATTTTCAACCCAGAATTTCATATCCAGCCAAACTAAGCTTCATAAGTGAAGGAGACATAAAATACTTTACAGACAAGCAAATGCTGAGAGATTTTGTGACCACCAGGCCTGCTCTAAAAGAGCTCCTGAAGGAAGCACTAAACATGGAAAGGAACAACCGGTACCAGCCACTGCAAAAACATGCCAAAATGTAAAGACTGTCAAGGCTAGGAAGAAACTGCATCAACTAACAAGCAAAATAACCAGCTAACATCATAATCACAGAACCAAATTCACACATAACAATATTAACTTTAAATGTAAATGGGCTAAATGCTCCAATTAAAATACACAGACTGGCAAATTGGATAAAGAGTCAAGACCCAACAGTGTGCTGTATTCAGGAAACCCATCTCATGTGCAGAGACACACATAGGCTCAAAATAAAGGGATGGAGGAAGATCTACCAAGCAAATCGAAAACAAAAAAAGGCAGGGGTTGCAATCCTAGTCTCTGATAAAACAGACTTTAAACCAGCAAAGATCTAAAGAGACAAAGAAGGCCATTAAATAATGGTAAAGGGATCAATTCAACAAGAAGACCTAACTATCCTAAATATATATGCACCCAATGCAGGAGCACCCAGATTCATAAAGCAAGTCCTTAGTGACCTACAAAGAGACTTAGACTCCCACGCAATAATAATGGGAGACTTTAACACCCCACTGTCAACATTAGACAGATCAACGAGACAGAAGGTTAACAAGGATACCCAGGAATTGAACTCAGCTCTGCACCAAGCAGACCTAATAGACATCTACAGAACTCTCCACCCCAAATCAACGGAATATACATTTTTTTCAGCACCACACCACACCTATTGCAAAATTGATCACATAGTTGGAAGTAAAGCACTCCTCAGCAAATGTAAAAGAACAGAAATTATAACAAACTGTCTCTCAGACCACAGTGCAATGAAACTAGAACTCAGGACTAAAAAACTCACTCAAAACCACTCAACTACATGGAAACTGAACAACCTGCTCCTGAATGACTACTGGGTACATAACGAAACGAAAGCAGAAATAAAGATGTTCTTTGAAACCAATGGGAACAAAGACACAACATACCAGAATCTCTGGAACACATTTAAAGCAGTGTGTAGAGGGAAATTTATAGCACTAAATGCCCACAAGAGAAAGCAGGAAAGATCCAAAATTGACACCCTAACATCACAATTAAAAGAACTAGAAAAGCAAGAGCAAACACATTCAAAAGCTAGAAGAAGGCAAGAAATAACTAAAATCAGAGCAGAACTGAAGGAAATTAAGTCACAAAAAACCCTTCAAAAAATTAATGAATCCAGGAGCTGGTTTTTTGAAAGGATCAACAAAATTGATAAACTGCTAGCAAGACTAATAAAGAAGAAAAGAGAAGAATCAAATAGATGCAGTAAAAATGATAAAGGGGATATCACCACCGATCCCACAGAAATACAAACTACCATCAGAGAATACTATAAACACCTCTACACAAATAAACTAGAAAATCTAGAAGAAACGGATAAATTCCTCAACACATACACCCTCCCAAGACTAAACCAGGAAGAAGCTGAATCTCTGAATAGACCAATAACAGGCTCTGAAATTGTGGCAATAATCAATAGCTTACCAACCAAAAAGAGTCCAGGACCAGATGGATTCACAGCCGAATTCTACCAGAGGTACAAAGAGGAGCTGGTACCATTCCTTCTGAAACTATTCCAATCAATAGAAAAAGAAGGAATCTTCCCTAACTCATTTTATGAGGCCAGCATCATCCTGATACCAAAGCCTGGCAGAGACACAACAAAAAAGAATTTTAGACCAATATCCTTGATGAACATTGATGCAAAAATCCTCAATAAAATACTGGCAAACTGAATCCAGCAGCTCATCAAAAAGCTTATCTGCCATGATCAAGTGGGCTTCATCCCTGGGATGCAAGGCTGGTTCAACATACACAAATCAATAAATGTAATCCAGCATATAAACAGAACCAATGACAAAAACCACATGATTATCTCAATAGATGCAGAAAAGGCCTTTGACAGAATTCAACAACACTTCATGCTAAAAACTCTCAATAAATTAGGTATCGATGGGATGTATCTGAAAATAATAAGAGCTACCTATGACAAACCCACAGCCAATATCATACTGAATGGGCAAAAACTGGAAGCATTCCCTTTGAAAACTGGCACAAGATAGGGATGCCCTCTCTCACCACTCCTATTCAACAGAGTGTTGGATATTCTGGCCAGGGCAATTAGGCAGGAGAAGGAAATAAAGGGTATTCGATTAGGAAAAGAGGAAGTCAAATTGTCCCTGTTTGCAGACGACATGATTGTATATCTAGAAAACCCCATTGTCTCAGCCCAAAATCTCCTTAAGCTGATGAGCAACTTCAGCAAAGTCTCAGGATACAAAATCAATGTACAAAAATCACAAGCAGTCTTATACACCAACAACAGACAAACAGAGAGCCAAATCATGAGTGAACTCCCATTCACAATTGCTTCAAAGAGAATAAAATACCTAGGAATCCAACTTACAAGGGATGTGAAGGACCTCTTCAAGGAGAAATACAAACCACTGCTCAATGAAATAAAAGAGGATACAAAGAAATGGAAGAACATTCCATGCTCATGGGTAGGAAGAATCAATATCGTGAAAATGGCCATACTGCCCAAGGTAATTTATAGATTAAATGCCATCCGCATCAAGTGACCAATGACTTTCTTCACAGAATTGGAAAAAACTATTTTAAAGTTCATATGGAACCAAAAAAGAGCCCGCATCACCAAGTCAATCCTAAGCCAAAAGAACAAAGCTGGAGGCATCACGCTACCTGACTTCAAACTATACTACAAGGCTACAGTAACCAAAACAGCATGGTACTGGTACCAAAAGGGAGATATAGATCAATGGAACAGGACAGAGCCCTCAGAAATAATGCCGCATGTCTACAACCATCTGATCTTTGACAAACCTGACAAAAACAAGAAATGGGGAAAGGATTCCCTATTTAATAAATGGTGCTGGGAAAACTGGCTAGCCATATGTAGAAAGCTGAAACTGGATCCCTTCCTTACACCTTATACAAAAATCAATTCAAGATGGACTAAAGAAACTACCATCAGAGTGAACAGGCAACCAAGAAAATGGGAAAAAATTTTCACAACCTACTCATCTGACAAAGGGCTAATATCCAGAATCTACAATGAACTCAAACAAGTTTATAAGAAAAAAACAAACAACCCCATCAAAAAGTGGGCAAAGGATATGAACAGACACTTCTCAAAAGAAGACATTTATGCAGCCAAAAAATACATGAAAAAATTCTCATCATCGCTGGCCATCAGAGAAATGCAAATCAAAACCACAATGGGATACCATCTCACACCAGTTAGAATGGCGATCATTAAAAAGTCAGGAAACAACAGGTGCTGGAGAGGATGTGGAGAAATAGGAACACTTTTACACTGTTGGTGGGACTGTAAACTAGTTCAACCATTGTGGAAGTCACTGTGGCGATTCCTCAGGAATCTAGAACTGGAAGTACCATTTGACCCAACCATCCCATTACTGGGTATATACCCAAAGGATTATAAATCATGCTGCTATAAAGACACATGCACACGTATGTTTATTGCGGCACTATTCACAATAGCAAAGTCTTGGAACCAAGCCAAATGTCCAACAACGATAGACTGGATTAAGAAAATGTGGCACATATACACCATGGAATATTATGCAGCCATAAAAAATGAAGAGTTCATGTCCTTTGTAGGGACATGGATTAAACTGGAAACCATCATTCTCAGCAAACTATCACAAGGAGAAAAAACCAAACACCGCATGTTCTCACTCATAGGTGGGAATTGAACAATCAGAACAGATGGACACAGGAAGGGGAACATCACACTCCAGGGACTGTTGTGGGGTGGGGGTAGTGGGGAGGGATAGCATTACGAGATATACCTAATGCTAAATGACGAGTTAATGGGTGCTGCACACCAGCATGGCACATGTATACGTATGTAACAAACCTGCACATTGTGCACATGTACCCTAAAACTTAAGGTATAATAATAAAAACAAAAAATTTATTTTTACTTCATTCTCTTTCTGTTGATATAAGGTCCCTTTGTTATCAAGAATACAGGTGCAGCTGTGTTTTCCCACTCCCCTGCCCTTTAACTTTGTAACTAATTTTCCATATACCTTTAAGTCCATTTTCTCATGTCCATATTTCATTTCCCAACTGAAAGACTACATTAGGGAGGAGGCAGGTATTGGTTGGAAGTCAGAGTAGGGGAAATCCCTTCCAAAGACAAAGAAGAATAAGTAGAGTAAGCTGCAGATGTTAATATTATATTGTGGTGGTGGTAAGGTGATCAAGTGAATTGTAACCTCCTTGAGTACAGGAAACTTACCCTGTATTTCTTTGAATTCTCCATAGCATAGTAATTGTTTATAGGATTATTGTTCCTTCTGAGGTAATTTTACAGTTAAAATGTTAATTTTTGTTTTTAGGTCTAAAGACATTGCCCTCACAGAGTGAAATGATGGCAGAAATATCTAAAGCTCAAGAGGAAATTGACAAAAGGTAAGAAACTCTCCCAGGAAGATATATGGTTACATTTCTACTTATTTCTTAATAAAAGAAATATTGTACTGTATTTAACTGCCTCATGTTAGCTTAAGGATTTAGATTCTATTATGAAGAAAAAAGGAAAAATAATTTGTGACAATAGAATGGAGAAATAGCACTAGTAGTCTAAATATGGGTAAGAAAAGAGAGAAAAGTTTTAGGTGTCTAAAATCATATGTTTAATGCCTAAAAAAAGTCACATAGGAAAATGCATATGGAAATAAAATCAGAAGGCAGAAGGTATATTATTTTTGTGAGGATTACTTGAAGTGCTAGTAGACTTGCCAGAGGAAGGAAGAGTGACAGTAAATGAATGAGAGGTAGCTATGGGTGAATTACAAATCTGTAGGTAGATTTACAAGTCTGCAGTGGCCGCTTTGCTGGCAATGCTCATGTGACAGCACACTCAAGTCACAGTGGCTCATGGTATGAATAGTCACTGTGAGTTGGGAACATGGTAACAGCCAGCTGCTTAGTGTTTTGATGAACACAATCATTTAGCAGTCTGAATTTCAGAACTTAAGCTCAATCGCTGGGTGTTTTTTATTTGGACAAAGTGGAAATTGATGGTAAGTCTCTAAATTTCTGTGGAAAACTGAGAGACACAATCATTCCAGGCCTAAAGAGGTGGTTATCTTCAACTGATGATACTTGCATAACTTTCCTTTGTGTGGGAGGAGGAGAAAGTAAGTTTTTATTTAATTCCGTTACAACTTCCAGGTGCTCTCCTATTTTCCTCCTTCCTTTCACTGCCAAACCTCTGCACTAAATTTTCTAAATTCTCACCTTTTGCTGCCTCCCTAAGCCTTCTGCATTGTTAACTTCCATCCTTACTCCTTAAACTGCCTTTTTTTTTTTTTAGACGGAGTCTCACTCTGTCACTCAGGCTGGAGTAAGTGGCACGATCTTCGCTCACTGCAACCTCTGCCTCCTGGGTTCAAGCGATTCTCCTGCCTCAGCCTCCTGAGTAGCTAGGACTACAGGTGCACACCACCAAACCCAGCTCATTTTTGTATTTTTAGTAGAGATGGGATTTCTCCATGTTGGCCAGGCTGGTCTCAAACTCCTGACCTTGTGATCTGCCCGCCTCAGCCTCCCAAAGTGCTGGGATTACAGGCATGAGCCACCGTACCTGGCCGGAAACTGCTCTCTTAAAGGTCACCTGTGACCAACTTCATTTTCCTTCTTCTCACTACTGAGTTTGGTGCTTTTAAACATTTCTTCCTTCTTGCAGTGCTTTCTTTTCTGGCTCTAAAGTATCTTATTTTAACTTTCCTCCTCTCTTTCCTTTGACTTATTTTTGTCTAACCACCTCCTGAACCTGAGTAGTCAGTAACCCAAGGATATAATGTAACCTTTTTTTTTTTTAACTTCTGAAATAGTAAATATTTATTTATTTATTTATTTTATATTTAAGTTCTAGGGTACATGTGTACAACGTGCAGGTTTTTTACATATGTATACATGTAACCTTTATTAAAGGCCGACTATGTGTATACATTGTTTTATATGAGTTTATTTAATCTGCATAATCAAGGCAGGAGCTAGTGAACCTCTTTTGTGAAACCTTCATGAATACTATAGCTCTTTTTTTTTTTTTTTTTTTTTTGATATGGGGTCTCACTCTGTTACCCAGGCTGGAGTGAAGTGGTGTGATCTTGGCTCACTGCAACCTCCACTTCCTGGAGTCAAGCAATTCTCCCGCCTCAGCCTCCTGAGTAGCTGGGACTACAGGCATACTAACAACGCCCAGCTAATTTTTGTGTTTTCTGTAGAGATGGGGTTTCGCCATGTTGCCCAGGCTGATCTCGAACTCCTGAGCTCAAAGTGATCCGCCTGCCTCGGCCTCCCAAAGTGCTAGGATTACAGGCATGAAACACCACGCCCAACCTCATGAATAGTATAGATCTTGACCTACTATTATAGGATAAATAAATGCATGTCTACAAACTCTTGAGCCAACATATTGTTCATAAGGGAAAGCTCTCAAATTCTTTACTGTTTTACCTTTTTCTCTCCTAAATCTAGTCCCATTTCAATAAATTCCTACTTGACCCTCTATCAGGTCCTCTGAAATTCCATCTCACCAGTTCTACCTCAAATTTATTTTCTATCATTTTTTTCCTGTCCCTGTTCTTGGATTCTTCAATCTCAATTGGCTTGACTTGGCTTTTCTCTTCCTCTCTGTCCTACAGTTCTTTCTTTTCATTACAGAAAGTAAAAAGTGAAAGTCACTCATTAGCTCACCAAATCCCACTCCACCACACAGATATCACTGTTAATCAACCACATTTTCCCCTTTAAAAAGCCCTTTTAAATCTTTAAATCTGCACTTGGTGTAATAATTTCATTTGTCTCCATTTGGAGGGCTACTTCCTCTTGTGGAATAAATCATTCTCCCTCATCCTTTCAGGATTCCAAATTAACATTGGCCCTGGGAAGTCCTGCCCTGTGGACCCTGTCACCACTGCCCTCATCAAATAATAGAGGATGCCATACTTGAGAATTTTTGTGATGGGTTTTCTCTTTCTCATAACATCAGAGTCCTTTGTATCTAGATGTGCTATACCTGCCCCTCATCTTATCTGTATCTTTCACATCCTTCAAGAACCTAACGATTACAGCTCTCTTTTAACTATCCCCTCTCCACATTTCTATTTGGCAGTCTGAAACCACTCAGAAGTCTCGCTTCATGTTTATCTGTCTTATCTCCTTTTGTAAGTCCTAAGATCCTTAAGGACAGTGACCAATGTTTTATCTTTCTTCTCTATATTCCACAGCTCCTAGTCTGATATTGAGCCAATAGCAGGCACTCAGAAGGCAGTAATTGATTGACTGACTGATTGAATTATTGACAGGCCATGGTTTCTGTCTTTTCTACTTTAGGTATGTGGAGAGCCAACGCCATACCATTCAGGGAGACTACATAGATACCATGGAAGAGCTTGCTGATTTGGTGGGGGTCAGGCCCAATCTGCTGTCTCTGGCCTTCACTGACCCCAAGCTGGCATTACACTTATTACTGGGACCCTGCACTCCAATCCACTATCGTGTACAGGGCCCTGGAAAGTGGGATGGGGCTCGAAAAGCTATCCTCACCACAGATGATCGCATCAGGAAGCCTCTGATGACAAGAGTAGTTGAAAGGAGTAGTTCTATGACTTCAACAATGACAATAGGCAAGTTTATGCTAGCTCTTGCCTTCTTTGCTATAATTATAGCTTACTTCTAGTTGTCCTATTGTCACTGCCCTGTTTTTCATTGGGAAGCTTATCTACAGATGCCTTCAGAATCTGACGAGATTGACTCTCAGTTTCATATTGCCCAGAAATCTACTTTAATGTCTCTTTCGAAAGCATTAATTCACTTTCCTTTTTCCTACAATGAAACCTGTTTTCCATTTGTATTAACTCATCTCCCTTCCACTCATGATCCGTCACTCTTCCTTGTGGTAATCCCTAGACTGGGAGCTCAGGTACTCTTTTAGTCATCTTTGTATGTCTTTAGCAGAGTTCTTGACATGTGGTAGGTGCTTAATAAATGTTTGTTGTTTATCAAATTTTATGGTAGGGAGAGTAAGTCAGCATCGGTATAAAATCGCTTACTCCACGTAACTCTTCTTCTGATAGGGTTTGATTTTCTATTAGAAGCTCAATTTTAGTTTTTTTTCATATTATAACTAAATATGTTTCCTGAGAGATAAGAGAAATAATGTTCCTACAATAGTTGTATGTATCTAAGATAAGACATATAGATGCTTAAGACATTTTGTTTCACTTGCTATTCACTAGTGTACTTGAAACATGGTCATTTTTAGCCCTTTTCCTTAGGAACCATGTCTTTATTTTCTCAATAAAGAAATTACTTTCAACTTTCTAGGCTCACAGTCATTCAGATCATCTACCATCTGCCAATGAGATCAACTTGGTTGAGAATTTTGGGATTTTAAATTAGCTGTCCTACCTTTTTAAATCTCTTTTAAATCCTTCCCATATTAGGATCCAACAAAACTTTATCTTAGGAAATATGATAAGTAGCTTCCAATTGTTGTAGTGTGGTCTACAAATGTGATTTGATTCATCTTCCCCCACTCTAATTTTCTCCCCTTTTCTCCTCCCTTACATGGAGTCTAAGTAAGTATTTGAACAAGTCATTTATGTATTAAATTAGAACTGATATTAACTAAATGTAGGAACATTCTGCTTATACCAGTTTTTCTCATGTCGTAAAGTGTAGTTCTGAAAAACAGAGCAAATGAAATGCAAAGCAGGTACTTGGGTTTACATCCCAGTGCCACTGATGATTCTGTTTTCTCATCTGTGGAAGTTTCACTGTTCTTGTTTCATGGAGAAATTAACTAAGTGTCAGCTGTCAGGCACACTGAACTCAGGTGATGTTCATTAATAGCTGTTGTACAATATGTTTGTATTTGGATTGCTGCTTATTACTTAACAACAGGATAAACCTGAACAATGGAAAAGACCAACATTAGAGAGTATTATCTTTCCAAATACACACACCTGTAAGAGAACTGGAAATGTGAGAACTACAACTTCTTCTTATTTAAACATTTGAACAATTGCCGGCCCTTTCACCGAATTTACCTGTGGAATGCCTTTTGAGAGTTAGAGAACTGAGAACTGGTATTACTTTTCAGGTCTTTTGCTTTCCCTAATCCTTGTGATACTGGAGATTTATCATCTATTAAAATGGACCTAGTATTTTTAAATCTGCATATCAAAAGCAAATTGAATGTCTCTTGCTTCCTTTTAATTTCTTTTAACATATAAATTTCTCTTTTAGCATGTAAATTTGTTGAATTAACAGCCCTTTGATAATATAATTCCTAGTTATCAGCAATAAGTACACCAGTTTCTTTTTTAAATTAGGAGTATGTAATTCTAAATTAATTGATTCTCTCATTGTACATATTATATGCAAGGTTACAAAAAAAAATCAATGGTTAATGATTTTTTAGCTCAACCAAGCTAAAAGATGTGAACAAGAAATTGAACTCAAAACAACTTAAGATACAAAGCTCTTGTTACTGATAATGTCTAATAATATTCATCAATTTACCATATCTTGTTCTTATATTAAAATGTTCTATCATTTTCCTAATTATTTTAAAGTCGATTACAAAAATATATATATATTCTTGTAGTGCCAGAAAATTGAATACATTAATAAATGGGGTAGAATAGATGAATCTCCCATGAAGAAGAATTCCAAATAATTTATGAACTCTGCCCTCAAGGATATGGAGCAGAACTTCCTACTTCTCTAGTGTGAGCTGAATAGTGACTTCCTTCCAAAAATTACATATGGAAAGGGGGAAAATAACTTTGTAGTGGAGAAATCTGATAAACACTATCTCGGCTAGGTTATCAAGATTAACACTAACAGTAATAAGTCACACTGATAGTATGTACCTTTGAGATGAAGTGATGAGAAGGCCACTTTACCTCTCTGTTGTATTCCTCTCAAAAACCATAATGCAGTCTAACCATGAGAAAAACATCAGACAAACCCAAGTTGAAGAATATTCTACAAATACCTGACTACCTCAAAACTGTCAAGATCATCAACAAAGAAAGTCTGAGAAATTGTCCCGGAATAAAGGGGCCTAAGGAGACATAACATCTAAATGTAATGTAGTATCCTGGATGGACTCCTGCAACAGAAAAAGAACTTTAAGTAAAAATTAAGGGAATATTAATAAAGTATGCATTTTGGTTAATAATGTATCAATATTGGTTTATTAGTTGTGACAAATGTACCAGAGGAATGTAAAATGTCAACAATAAAGGAAATTGGATGTGGGGTACATGAGAATGCTGTACTATTTTTGCAACTTTTCTTAAATCTAAAACTCTTATAAAATTTAAAAATAAAAAGAAATGTGGAGTTATTATTATTATTTTTTGGCTCAGGATTTGACCCAGAGCTATGGTCTGGCAGAATTTTCTCAGAGGAGGAATACTGGCTAGTACAAGTCATTCAAATTACTGTGTTTTTCTATGATTTCTCCACAAATTAAGTTGCTTTAATAATGCATAATGTAACTTAATTCAGCAGTTTTGCTTCCTTTGCTGAGTAAGTATAGACTATAATTATAGAGAATGTAAAATGGTGATATAAAGTCAAAATACACAACTTCTTAAAATCACTTAGATATGTTCTTTATTGAAGCTGTGCACATTAACCCAGCAGACCCCACTAGCAAATTTATGATATGTTGATGTCATGTACATTCATAAATAAGATTATTTTACTTAATACTGGGCCTGTTACTTTTGTTAGGAGTAATACAGCATTTAAACAACCTCCAGATTGCCTAATGGAATTTCTAAGAGTGCCAAGTTTTTCCATGCTTTTATACACATTCTTGTGCTGTACTTTCCTCTTGATAAATTCTCCACTGGCCCAGCTGGCTAACACCTATACCATCGTCCAGATTCAGGTCATCTGTTTTCTCTTCAGGGAATATCTTCCTGACCCTCAGTATCAAATAGGTCACCTTCCTCTGTGCTCTCATTACAACTAGTGTTCTTCTCAATTACATTTTATGAATAGCCTTATCATAATATATAACAATATTTGGTTCTCTCACCTGTTTCCTCCTTGAACTAGTAAACTCCTCGAAGGAATACATTTTGTACTTAATCTGTGTGTTCCTAGTGCCTAATGTAGTGGCTGAAACATAGTAAGACCTCAGTAAGTTAAGAATTAATTAATTAAATGAATACATTCAATATGGGAGGTAAATAGATGACTTTTAAAGGATTAAATCAAACAGTGAATAATTCTTTTAGAAAAAGTGACAAAGGAGATTAAAGGGTGATTAACATTTTGAAATGTCTGCAGGACAAGCATGTTCTTCCAAAAACTGTTCTGAGTCATTGATCTGAATCAGTATGTTATCTTTTTTTTTGAGACAGAGTCTCGCTCTGTCGCCCAGGCTGGAGTGCAGTGACGCCATCTCGGCTCACTGCAAGCTCTGCTTCCCGGCTTCACGCCATTCTCCTGCCTCAGCATCCCATGTAGCTGGGACTACAGGTGTCCGCCACCACGCCTGGCTAATCTTTGTATTTTTAGTAGAGACGGGGTTTTATCGTGTTAGCCAGGATGGTCTCGATCTCCTGACCTCATGATCCACCCACCTCGGCCTCCCAAAGTGCTGGGATTACAGGTGTGAGCCACCACGCCCGGCCTGGTATGTTATCTTTAATGTTTAGTTGTGGTTTAAAACACAAGTGATATGTCCTCGTCTATAATTCATTTCCTCAATCAAACATAAGACATAACAAGCCAAGATCTTGGTACAAGAAAGAAGGTAGGGTATATATATGTCATCCTTGACCCTCATTTCACTGCTGTTCTGCCTTGCTTTCCCAAATTCCCCAGCTCCTTTGACGCACCCATAACTTCTGATTGAAATTATTAGCAGAATTGTTGACTCCCCTTCATTCAGTAAAGATTTTAGCACCAAGCTCTCTGCCTCGCTATAATATAAAACTACTCCTGTAGTTGGTTTTAACACTGATGTAGGTAATACTTTCACCAATCCAATGTCTTAGTCAGGATTAGCTTCAGCTACATTTAACAGAAAAACCTCAAATAACAATGACTTAAATAAGATTTAAGTTTATTTTCCTCTTATATTAAAAAAGTCTGGAAGTAGATAGTCCTGAGATGATATAACAGTTCTTCAGCTTCTCTTTTTGCTCCACTATCTTCAGCATGTGGACCTTATACTTCATGGTCCAAGATGGCCCACTGTAGCTATAGCCATTATATGGACATTCTACACAGAAGGAAGGAGAAATGTAACAATGGCACACCCCTTTTCTTTTAAGGAGACTTTACAAAAGTTCCACATAACATTTTCACTTAGTCTTATTGGAAGAACTTAGTTACTTATCTAGCTACTAGGGAGACTACAAAATGTGTCTTTATACAGAGAGGCAATACCTCAGGAAAAAAATCAAGGTTCTGTTATTAAGAAGGAAGAGAGAATGAATGTTGAGGTAGATCTCTAACACTCTGCTATCTGGCCTTTTAGTTATGTGATCTTCTTACTCCAGTGATTTTATAATCTGCCTCATCTCAACTACCTATACCCACATGGACATATCTAAGACATTGTCATGAATAACCGCAACACCACTAAAGTCTCAATTTCAAGCATCCCACTCTCTAAAACTCTCTCCTACCTTTTCAGTTCATTCACTCTGGTACTCCAACTCCAGCAGTTCTTTGACTCCACTGGGCTGCCCATCAACCTGCTGTCTTCATTTCCCAGCCCACCTCATTTAAAATGCATGGCCCAACATTATAATCACACCCTACCACGCACTCTCAATTACTTTGTTGCTCTCCTCCATACTTGCTTAGCTAAACTTCATTTTGGTTATCTGCCTGCATCAAAACAGCTAAACATGACAAGAGAAAAATACTAGTATGGTGACTTGCCTTTTCTGAAATTCATAACCACTGAACATAGGTAGACCTTCAGTGCTACTGCCAATCATACTTCATTTTTCTAGACAATTCTCTGTCCCACCTTTCTAGTTGATTACTGCATATAACCTATCTCCGCAAACCTCAAATATGTTGTCTCCTTTCCTCACAGTCAGCTAATCATCTTCTCTTTTTTTCCTCTAAGAAAATGGAAACAATCGAAAGACTTTCACATATCTTCACTCTGTGATGAGGTTTTTAGTTGGGGCTAGTCACATAGGCACCCTCTGCTTAGCACATATCAGAATTCCAGACTCCCAGAAGAAAAGCAAGTGTTCAGCATAAATCACATTGTTTGTACAAACAGTTTTAAAAAAGTGAGCCACTCTTATCAGTTAAGGTGGTAAGAAACCTCCCAAAATCCAAGTTCCCAAATCCCACCCATGGGCCAAACTTGCAAGCTAAAGCAGTCACAAGCATGGAGTTGTGCTCTAATTCCTTGAGGGGGCAATAGCTACATAAATTATTTGGAATTCTGTATGAGAGACTTGTTCCCACACATCCTAGTTGATTTTAATTGTTTATTTTTTAGGTATGGCGAAGCATTATTACGGTTCTAAGAGTCAGCAAACTCCTTTCTGCACAATGCCGTTTACTGGGGATCTTGAATACTCGTCTCTAGACCCTTGTCTAGGCCGCGTTTCTCAAAATGTGGCCCTTGAGGCAGAAACATCAGCCTTGTACTTGACACAAGTCCTCAGGCCCCACTCCAGACTTACAGAATCAGAAACTCTGGGTACACAGACCAGCAATCTGCATATTTGACCCTCTAGATAATTTTGATGTATGGTAAAGTTTGATTTAGTCAAAAGGAGAGGTGGACCTGTATCTGTTCTGTCAGGCCGCTCACTGATCCTTAGGCCTTTATTGTACTCTATTATCTGCTAGTACCAATAGCTTCTGACTTGTGAAAATTGGGTGGGTAGGGGTGAGAAATGGCATGGAGCTGGGGTGTGTTCAAACTGGCATCTTCCTTTCTCTGAGAATTTTAAATAAACTTATTTTAAGGCTCTTTTCAGGCCGGACGCAGTGGCTCATGCCTGTAGTCCCAGCACTCTGGGAGGCCAAGGCGGGTGGATCACGAGGTCAAGAGATCGAAACCATCCTGGCCGGAATGGCGAAACCCCATCTCTACTAAAAAGTACAAAGATTGACTAGGCGTGGTGGCACACACCTGTGGTCCCAGCTACTCAGGAGGCTGAGGCAGGAGAATTGCTTGAACCTGGGAGGTGGAAGTTGCAGTGAGCTGAGATCGCGCCAATGAACTCCAGCCTGGCAACAGAGCAAGACTCTGTCTCAAAAAAAAACACAAAAACCAAACAAACAAAAAAAGTTCTTTTCAGAGTCTTTTTTCTCTATTTCCCTGGGTGCAAATTCTCTCATTTGAAGAATCTTCTGACTATACAACATGACACTGGACTTCCTCATGTACTTTATTATTTTTATTACTTTAGTTATTTTTAAGACTATTTATTTAGAAATGATTGCAGTCCTCCACAAAAGTTACAAAAATAGTAGAGTTCTTATATATTCTTTCCCAGGCTCCCTAAAGAGAATATTTCACACAACATTATGACAATTATCAAAATAAGAAAATGAACACTGATATTATACGATTAAGTAAACCATGGACCGCATTCCTATTTTTTTTTTTTTTACAGTTTAAAGGGGTCTTATTTATTGTCACTGTTCCAAATGCACAAAAAAATTAGAAAATACCCCCAACTCAACCCGACTCCCACAACATTTCCCCCAACACCAATAATTTTTCCCAAAACCACAAACATAAACTGGTCCTGGTATTTCCATAACAGTGCAGCTAAGAAATGGCTTAGAGAAAATTTAACAGGATTCAGATTATATCCATTCTGTCCTCTCGGCCCTGAGACGTAATAATTCCCATATGGGTCCTAGTCCTCCCCAGTGGTTTTCCCATCTCTGGTGGAAGAGTCCTTTTACAAAGTGGTGTTTGCCTACTGCTTTAGAGATCCTCCTGTGCCTTCTTCTTCTTGGGTTTTTCTTCTTGAATTACAGGGGGGTTTGTAGCTTCTCGTTGTAGATAGCTAATAAAATCACTTAATTCATGGCCACCTTCATATTTCTTTGGATTTAGCTTCTTGTTGGCTGGAGAGAAGTATATGGTAGGAAAACTCTGACTTCATATGGAGAAGGCACATCATTGGCTGTGGCATCCATCTTGGCTATGACGATATTCAGGTCTTTGCTGAGCTTCTCGCCAAGTTCTTTATACTTGGGCTCCAGGTTCTTACAGTGACCACACCAAGGGGCATAAAATTCAATCAGCACATCTTTATTTTCATTATTCACTATTTCATCAAAATTCTCTGCTACCACTACCTTCACAGGCCCATCATTGCTCTCTGGGATAGGTTCAGACTTCAGGTATCTCTTCAGATTGCCATCAAAGTAATCCTGCAGGAACCTCTCCAGAGCATTCCCATCACGCGAGAAATCCTCCTGCATGACAAACTTCTCTCCTTTAGCAGTTCTGATAGCAACAACAGGAATCTCTCCAGCAGTGCTCTCCAAGCCAAAATCAGAAAGTTCATGGCTAAAGGTTTTGCGGCTAGCTACAGCAAAGTTGAGTTTGTGCCCAGCATCCAGGAATTTCTTTGCCACCATCATTACCCTGTTTCTCCAGTAGTTGGAACCTTTAGCATTCTTTTCATAGTCCACATCATAGTAAGCAATAAGTAAGTCCTTGCCCTGTATCAAATCTTTATTGTCTTCTGTCATGTGAGGGCAGATACCAAAAATGTTTTCCTGGATAAACTTTTTAATTTTGCCACTGGTCATTTTTTGCACTGTATATGCCACAGTCTTGTCCTCCAACTTGTTAGTGAGATGTGAAGGACGAAATAAGATGATACCATCTCCGTTATCATCATACTCGTTCACCAGAGACTCAACATTCGTATGTGCAAATCGGTAGTTATCCCTCAAGTTGCTGGCTGCTTTTAGGAACTCGGAGTGAGCTTCACTGAATGAATCATCGAAAAAACCTACTATAGAGGCATCTTTATCACTAATGAATTTCTTAAATTCTTCCTCAGTCCTGAGAGGCACTGAAGCTGGGCCTGCCTGCTTCTTCAGGTGGCTGACAATTCCATCAGCAGTCCTAGGTCCATCATAAGCACCTGCTTCTTCACCATCTCTAAACATATTCAGGGTTGGATATCCACTGACTCCATATTTATTACAGGTGTTAGTGTTGGCAGTGCAATCAGCCTTTGCTAATGGGACTATTCCTTTTAATCTGGTAGCTGCAGCTTCATACTCAGGAGCAAGTCTCTTGCAGTGTCCACACCAGGGGGCGAAGAACTCGACGAGCATGAGGCCCGCAGAGCCCGTGTCGGAGATGCGACTCTCCAAGTTGTCGTCCCTGAGTCCTAGCACGTCGGAGGCAGCCGCGAGGCGGGCCGCGGCGAGAAGCAGCGCCACGCCCGGGAACAGCGCTGGGCGGCGGAGGCACATGGCGGCGAGGTGGGGTGGGGGCAGCCGGAAGGGTCGCGGCTCGACTGGGACTGCGGCGGTCGGGCGCGCGACCACCTATTTTACCACTTTTCTACTAATTTAGTTTTTGTGTTCCAGGATCAGATTCAGGGTCCCATTTTGCATTTAGTTGTTAAGTCTCCTTAGTGTCCTCTAATCGTTGTCAGTTCTTCAGTCTTTTGTTGTCATTCAGGACTTAGGCACTTAAAAAAAAAGAAGTTTCATACTCAAGTTTGATTTAGTTTAACCTAATGTTCTTTTTCTGTCCTGGGATCCCATCCAGGATATCACATTACATTTAGTCATCACCAGGCTCTTCTAGACTGTGACAGTTTCTTATACTTTCCTTGTTTTTGGTGGCCTTGATAGTTCTGAAGAGTACTGGTTATTTTGTACTTAATTTGAGATTGTCTGATATTTCTTCATGATTAGGCTGGGGCAATGAGTTTCGGGGAGGAAACAGATCAAAGATCAAATGCTATTCTCATCATATCATATCAAGGTTACATGCCACTAATGACATACTAGAGATGTTAGCCTTGATCAGCTGGTTGAGGTAGTGTTCTTCCTCCTTTCCATACTGCGCTCTTTGAAAAACATTTACTAGGCTTGACTCATGCTTATGGGGTGGAGAATTATGTTCCATCTTCTCGAGGGTAGAGTACATAAATTTTTTGGAATTTTTCAATATGAGAATTATCTCCCAATTATTTGTTTCTTCAATCATTTACTTGTATCAGTATGAACTCATGGATCTTATTTTATAATTTGGGTTAAATCCAATGCTGAATTACTTATTTTTTGAATTATTCTAGCTTTAGCTATTGGGAGCTCTTTTAGTTGGCTCCTATGTCACTTTGATATACCATCAGTTTTTTGTGTCTTTTTAAAGCACTTGTTTATTTTCTGGCACTATAAGATGTTTCAGACTCATCTTGTATATCCCCTGCCCCAGTCCTAGAATTAGGCATTTTTCTCAAGGGCTCTGGTTCCCTTTGTTGGAGAACAGTATTAGAAACAAAAAACTGGATGCTGGGTGTGCTCCTTGCTTCTGCTTGTCATTGCTTCTAGGCCTTCGGAGGACAGAACTTGGAAATATATGTGTGTATACTAATGTATTAAACATGAATCCACATGCATTTTTAAGTATTTCTATATTTACCCATCTGTATCTATATTAAGCTAAACATTTCATATTGATGCCTCCTACCGTAACCCAGGATTTAATGATCACATGCCTACTCCTCTCATTTTACAGATGAGAAAATTTATGGCTAAAAAGATAAAAGTACTTGCCCTACATCAAATAATTTTAGAGTTGGCAGCCTATTTGTACCAAATTAATACTCACATGGTGATGATATATACATAGTAGATTCATAGTTAATGAAGATGTTGAGATACTAATTATTCCAGTAATGTATATCTATAATTTTAGAGGAAATTTGCAGTGAATATTTAGTCACAGTATCACTATACACCATATCTATTTAGAGTTGTAGTAGTTTCCTTAGAGATTTCCAGAGCATGTGCTCCTCTAGAGCAGGGGTGGCTCAGCAAAAGCTCAACAAGTATTGGGGCCCTCAATCAAGGTTTGTTGAAATAAATGGACTATACTTATCAAGAAATACTGGCTAAATATTTAACCTGCACCTCATTTATAAAATGGAATATCATGGATCATCTGTTCTGCTTACCCTCATAGGGTGGTTCTGAGGATCACATGATAGAATTTACATGCAAATCCTTTGGAATCTGAAAGGAAAAATTATGATACTATTTGGGGAAAATTCTGTACCTTTGAATTGGGTCTATCTTCCTTTAGGTGAGCAGAATCACTATTATTTCTCTGCCTGTATAAAAACTATAAAAAGATTAAAATCAATGGTATTTGTTTAAAAATAATTAGTTTACCCAATGGTTGAGTAGTCTCTTGTGTATAAACTCATATATTTTGCTAATGCTGATTTTATTAATAGTTTTTAATTTAGGCATAATTTTCATACAATAAAAATTTACTTTTTATTGTACAGTTTGGTAAGTATCAATAACTCCACTGCAGTCAAGATACAGACCTGTTCCATACCTCCCCTTCAAAATTTCTTCATGCCCTTTTGTAGTCAATCACTCCCCACCCCCCACCCCCAAGTCCTGGCAAACACTGATCTGTTTTCTGACCGTATAGTCTTCCTTTTTCCAGAATGTCACATAAGTGGAGCCTGGCTTCTTTTACTTCCCATAATGCATTTGAGATTCATCAATATTATTGTATGTATCGAGTTATTCTTTTATTACTGAGTAGTATTCCATTTATAGCTATGCTACATTTTAATTATTGATTCACCAGATGTATTAGCCTATTTTCACACTGCTATAAAGACATACCTGAGACTAGGTAATTTATAAAGAAAAGAGGTTTAATTTACTTATAGTTCTGCATGGCTGGGGAGGACTTCAGAAACTTACAGTTATGGTAGAAGGGAAGCAAGCTCATCTTATGTGGCACAGGGGAGAGACAGTGAGTGTGTGTGAATGAAGGAAGAACTGCCAAACACTTTTAAAACCATCATCTCTGGTGAGAATTCATGCACCATCACAAGAACAGCATGGGGGAAACCGCCCCCATCATCCAATCACTTCCCTCCCTTGACACGTGAAGGTTATAGGTCCTTCCTTCAACACGTGGGTATTACAATTTGAGATGAGATTTGGGTGGGGACACAGAACCAAACCATATCACCAGGTGAAGGACATTATGTTTTTTCCATTTTAGGGTTTGTGTTTTTTCTATTATATGAATAAAGACATATATGTGTTTACAGGTTTTGTGTGAACTTGTTTTTATGTCACTCGGATAAATACCCAGGAGTGGGAATTAGTATGCTGCATGATTAAGTAAATGTTTAACTTTATAAAAAAGATCAGATTGTTTTTTGAAACAGTAACCATCAAGATCAGATGTTATACCTATCCTTGGTCATAAATGGAGGATGAAACTTGGTGAGTGGAGATGGGAATATAAACCTCCAGATGCCCAATTTAACCTGTCATCCAGTTCTGTAAAATCAATCCTTCATTCTCACATCCTCACTTCTCAGAGGAAGCGAGGTCTCTTTAGCAGTGTGTGTAAAGGCTTGCATGTGAGGCTGCCCATGTTATTTTTCTGTTTATTAGGCAGAATGATTGATCTGAGGAGACCAGTGGCAATGACATCCTAGACACAGTAACATCAGGACAACCCATTACTTTTCCTATTACCTCCTTCTTTTCCTTTCCTCTAGAAAGAAAGAAGAGCATTGGGGTGACAGCAATAAATCTAAAGGGAACAATTATACTGATACTGGTTAAGAGGATCTTGTATCTTTACTTATTCCCGAATCTAAGAAAAAAAAAAGGAATTTGGGACTAAGGAGAATTCATTCTTCCTACAGTGTCACATTACATTTGTTCTGTGTCTAAAACCTGCAATATTCAAAACTGACTTTTATTATTAACTGTTGAGTGACTTACAAATGTTGTTAGAGCAGAGCAGGGCAGAACAGTGTCATGGATAATCTTCCAAAGCAGATAATTCAAAAGTCATTTCCATTTAGCTGTGCAAAAACAGTTTATTTCTCTCCGTCAGTTTTCCATTGGTTAACGTACTTTGTTTCTGCTAGGCTGATTTGACTACTGCAAGGAAATACATACCAAGGACATATTATTTGGCATGGTGAAACCACCTTGGGGTCAGAAAACTGAATACTACACAAGTCAAGGTTTAATGTATTATGTATCTTCAAGGGCCTTGCTTCAGTGTCCTATGGTAAGGAATTGAGGGGTGGAGGGAGAAAAGTAGGGATAACCAAAAAGCATGTACTCAGACATAAAGATTTTGGAGGGGTGAGCAAGAAGTTGCAGTAAAATCGTACCTTTTTTTTTTCTTCCTGTAAACTGTCTTTGGTTTATGAGCCAAAGAATGAGTTTATAAGAGGCAGAGCAAAGAATAGGGGAGTAGTGAATTTGTTGTACTTAAGTGGGATGTCAACTTCATAATATAAAAATGAACGTTTCAGCAAATAGAGCTGCTCACTCAGAAAGGGTGGCCTATGTAACTTGGGGTTCCCCATCATTGGCCGTGTTTAAGCCTAAGTGGCATATCTGGTTAGAAATGGATTACAGTAAACAGTATTCCTGTATCCTTCATTCCGCAAATGCAAAAGCCTACTCTGTATAAGGTACATGCAGAATATGAAAAGGTATCAAATCTGGATCTGCTCTCTGCCAGCTGTCAAAGCATTGCTTCTCACACACTTTAATGTGATCTTGTTAAAATGCAGATTCAGAACCCTGGGGATGGGGCCTGATTCTGCATTTCTAACAGGCTCCCAGTTGACGCCAACACTGCTGGTCTGTGTAACACAGAGTGATAAACGTTTCTAGAAGGAGACATGCAAATACTTATAATACAAAGGTAAGTACCTTAGGGATTCCACTAATTTTCATAAAAAACCTGGATCCCTCCCAACCCTAGGGCTGTCTTTGCCCTTTTTATACCTTTAGTGTTCCTTCTGATGTTTTCGTTGTTGCTATCTTCCTTGAATTTTATTTCTTCTGAGGTTTCTCACTGTGTATGCTGTTTCTTAGCCTAGGAGAGCCTTTTCGTTCTTCTCCTAAGACTAACATTTTACTAATTTGTCAAGGAGCTAGAGCTCCTAAACACGCCATCTTGAATTCTTCCCTGCGACCCCAGTCGGGCTGAAAGCTCCTTCCTTGTCGCTCCCCACTGAACAGATTTTTCTTGGGGCGGGGAGAGGGGGACGGAGTATCGCTGAGTCGCCAGGCTGGAGTGCAATGGCGCGATCTCGGCTCACCGCAACCTCCGCCTCCCGGGTTCAAGCGATTCTTCTGCCTCATCCTCCCAAGTAGCTGGGACTTCCGGCGCGCGCCACCACGCCCAGCTAATTTTTGTATTTTTAGTAGAGCCGGGGTTTCACCTTGTTGGCCAGGATGGTCTTGATCTCCTGACTTCGTGATCTGCTCGCCTCAGCCTCCCAAAGTGCTGGGAATACAGGCGTGAGCCACTGCGCCCGGTCAGAACAGTTTTAACCTCCAGCAATGACCACTGCTTCCTTCTGCCTGCAGTTGGAAGTCAGTTTCAGTTTTCTTATTCCCTATAAGGAACCCACCTCTCCGGTCGCCTAACACACAGATGCTGCCCAGAAAACGTGCTGGCGCACCTGAGGCGGGGTAGAAAGCCGTGCCGCTCCTCCCGGCACCGAGCACCGGAGCCCAGGGAGGCGGCCTCCGAGTGTCATTTGGGGACGTCCCTTCTGCCGGGTAGTCTCAGAGGCCAAGCGCTCCTATTATCCCGGGCGCAGTCTCCCCAGGCGGGACAGGCCCTGCCTGGCGCCCCCTCCTGGCGCTGGAGGCTGCGTGCGACTGCCCACCATCGAGGCGGCGGCGGCGGCGGCTAGAGAGGCCGGCGGGTCCCGGGCGCCGAGGCTGCAGGCCGCAGGGAACGCGCACTGGGCGGACTCCGCGCCGCCGGCCTTGTAGCCATTTTAGGAGGAATCGCTGGTCGCCAGCGAGGGGTGCGGCTTCAATTTCAATAACTTTATTGGTGGCCTGATCTGCAGAACAGCCATCACATCAGTGGCCCTTGGAGGAGGGAGCGCATCGCCCGAGGTGACTGGAGTGGGGGCGCCCCTGGCAGTGAGCGCGGGGACGCGGGGGAGGTCCCGATAGCGGGTTTCCTGAGCTAGGGCCAGTGAGGGCACCGGGGTATTTGCAGGCGTTCCCGCAGGCCAGGAGGGAGAGGGCTCCAGGGCTCGGCTTCCCTGGGGCGGGGAATCCCTTGCCCTGTCCCGAGGCGCAGGGGCGGGGCCGGGGGGCGCCCCTGACGCGGCGGCTGAGGTGTTCCCAGCCCGGTGTCGTTCCCCGCGGTAGGTGGTCCCCGACGAGCTGCAGCCATGGGAAACACCACCAGCGACCGGGTGTCCGGGGAGCGCCACGGCGCCAAGGCTGCACGCTCCGAGGGCGCAGGCGGCCATGCCCCGGGGAAGGAGCACAAGATCATGGTGGGGAGTACGGACGACCCCAGCGTGTTCAGCCTCCCTGACTCCAAGGTAAGCGTCCCATGCCCGCAGTTGGTGTCAGTACTGCAGCGGGTTGATTTCTGGGCTCCTCTTCCCTTTCTTGGTTCTTTTCTACCGCGCCGAACCGGGCTATGGTTTTTTGAATTAAAGGGATTTATCGGGGACAGAGGTGTTGGATGATAATTCCTCTTGAAGTGCCGCCTCAAAATAGGATAAAGAGGCGGAGTTCTTGCTTTCCTGGTGTTCTGACTAATCTGTTGGCCACATTTTTAGGATGGGGACAATAGACATCCCCCCATCCCCGATCCTCCGAGCACGAATGGCTCTCTTCCATAGCGTTGCTGAATTTGTAGTTTGTAATCCCTGGTGGACAACTTCAGAGGGTAGGTTGCACGAGTTGCTGACCATAGGTGGTAGTTTCTCACCTTTGCCCTGAGGTGGCTAAATGAAATTCTTTTTCTGAAAATTTCTATGTATCAGTATCATTTTTGCTCTTCTAGCAGCTCTACAGTTGTGATCCTCTTCCCTTTTGGCACGGCTGTAAGCAGCAACTACTTGCTTATTGAATACTTTCTCCTAGTCTTGGGGATCAATTAAGGACATCATTTAGTTGACTGCTTAATTTTTGTCCCATACTTTATAGTTGTGGTGGCTGAGGCTGTGCCTCTTTCACGCCCCGCTGCTGCTCCGTAGGTGGAAGAGCCAATGATTCCACGACTTGTTTACTCCTCAGTAGTACTTCAAAATGTTGCGTGGCTAAAAAAACGACAACCCACAGCTGCCCTGAAGACCTTGCTCTCAATTCCAAGGACTTTCAGGAAGAGAACAACTTGTTTTCACTCTGTAAGAAAGGACAGATGGAGCTGATAGCAGCGATTACCATTCTAATGTTTCTAATGGCTTTCAGAGCTGTCAGCATGAAATACAAGTAATTCCTCCAGGTAGACTGACTGGATGAGATAGAAAAATGGAGGGCTTGAGGAGATTCGGGTGTGTTTGATGTTTCCTATCATTTCATCACTTCCCAGGGAACTGGGGCTTTAGAGAGTGAATAGAGTATTGTTTGCCATATTGGTAGCACATGGAATTTGGATTCCATGATTTATTTCTTTGGATCTCAATTGATAACATCATCACAGCCTGGCGCAGAGGCTCACGCCTGTAATCCCAGCACTTTGGGAGGCCGAGGCGGTTGGATCATTTGAGGTCAGGTGTTCGAGACCAGCCTGACCAACATGGTGAAACCCCGTCTCTACTAAAAATACAGAAAAAGTAGCCGGGCATGCTGGTGCATGCCTGTAGTCCCAGCTACTCGGGAGGCTGAGGCAGGAGAATCGCTTGAACCCGGGAGGCGGTGGTTGCAGTGAGTTTAGATCAAACCACTGCACTCCAGCCTGGGTGACAGACTCTCAAAACAAAAAAACAAAAAAACAAAAAAACCAACCATAATCACAGAGAAGTGAGAGTGATTAAAAGGAGCACTTATTGGGGTTTATTCTCCAATTCTCCATTCTTATTTGGGCTATCTACAAGCCATCTGAATTTACTTCTTCAAAGCTTTCGAAAGGTGATCCGCCTCATTATATTTTTACCCTTTTCCTATGTTGATGACTCAGGATTTAAATACAGTGTATTTGTCGAACTGTGACTGCAGTAATTGGTGTCCTGATTAAAAGCCAGGTTGCTCTGTCTGAATTGGGGCCTATTTTGTATTATTCTTATCTCTCACCTCAGTCTTGGCATTTGTGAATTAAGAAAATTATTCATATAATTTTCAGATTGTCTGAAAATCAGATAATTCCTAAGGTCTCATTTAAGTCTAAAATTTTATAGTTCTCAATGTAGCCTCTTTACTTCTAAACTCAACATTTTACTTAAACATCAAACTGTAGTTCTGATTGTCGTTTTGCCTCTTTTCCTGGTAGTTTTGCTGAGTAACTTGGAGTAAACAATCTTTCTGCTAGTCAGTTGCATTCATTCCTACTACAGAAATGTCATGTCATAAGTGGAAGGGCTTTCCTCCAAAGCTAGGCATATTAATAGTTTGTAGCTTTCAAATTCTAAACTGAAAATCCTGTCATAAAAGTAACTGACAGAAACAGTGGCAGGGGGGCCTACTTTGCTTTGAATGCCTGCCTTTTTCAGTGGACTAGTTCAGTGGTTCTCAATCCTGTTTGCACATTAGAATCACCTCAGATTTCTTTAAATAGTTTTTGGAAAATTTGAAACACTTTCAAAGTAGGGGGAAACAGTATAATGACATCTATATACATGCCACCCAGTTTGAACAATGATCATATCTTGAATGAACATATAACATCTATACCCCAGTCCACTATTCTCCCACTAGTTATTTTGAAGCAAATTCCCAGATATTATATCAAGTATTATTTTATCTGTAACATTTTAGGATGTACCTCTAAAGATGAGGGTTTTTTCTTTGTTATTTTAACATAATCACGGTATATCTGGGAAGCTTTTTTTCCTTTATTTTAACATAATCACAGTGTTATCTAGAAAGCTTTTTAAAAATAGGTTCCCAGATCTTACATCCGAATCTGAGGGTTATTCTTAGGCATATGTCAAATTCTTGTAATTCTAACGCAGCCAGTTAGTCAAGAGTGCATTGTTCTGAGAATATGTAGTTTTCTCTTAAGTCAATTCCTTATGTGAAAGTCCTTTCAATTCTCTTTCTCTATTTACTTTGGATTATCCTGCTACTGATATGCTATACTGTAGTTTTGAGGAATATCAAGAGAATGTATGGAGGGAAGCTATGTCAACCATTTTGAAAAGAAAGCCCAAATGAATAAGCTAGTCCTTTTTTTAAAAAAAAACCCACATTATTCAATTTAGTAATATTTAGGCTTAATACTATACAGTCTTATTTACCAAAGTCACTTAAACCAGTCTAAAATAGGGGTCAGCAATCTTTCTGTAAAGGGCCAGATAGTAAATAGTTTAGACTTTGTAGACCATACAGTCTCTGTTATAGCTACGCAATTCTGCCACTGTAGCCTGTAAGCAGCTATAGACAATATAGGTAAGCAAGGCAGGTATGTTGGTTCACACCTCTAGTCTCAGCTTCTCTGGAAGCTGAGGTGGGAAGATGGCTTGAGCCCAGGAGTTCGAGGCTGCAGTGAGCTATGATTACACCACTCACTGCATTCCAGCCTGGGTGACAGAGCAAGGTCCTTTCTCAATCAATCAATCAGTAAAATAATAGGTAAACAAATGGGCAGAGCTGTTTTCAAATAACACTTGATAAAAGCATCTGGCTTACTGGCTGTCTGCCAACTCTTGGTCCAAAGGATAGTAATGAAAAGAAACAGGAGTTACTGTTTTTACAATCCCATAAACCTCATTTGATAAGAGAGCTACTTTTGATAAAGGAAATTGTATTTTTGATCTCTTGCTTCTTGAGGTTCTAGAATTTTTATTCCTACTCCTGAAATAATTAGTATAAGCCTGGGATAGGGGAATAAGTAAGATTTCATAGCCACTTCTCAAGTTTTAAGAAATCAGTGATCTAGTTTTTGAATTTTTAATGTTTCTTCTTTTTACTTCTTAGCTGAAATACAGTTTATGAATTACTTATGAATTTTGATATCTCTGACTTCCATTACAACTGGTAATTGAGAGCTATTCATATTTGCCTATAAAAATATATGGCTGACTTAATTATCTTTTACAGAACCATACTTTGTTTTCATTTTTTTTTCCTCTGAAGAAAGACTCAGAAGCATATCATAATTGCCTGCCTATGAGTTAAACTAGTGGTAGGGAGTTATTTTTTTCTTTTTTTTTTAAGGGAGAGTCTAAGGCTCTGGAAGGGTAAGTGACACAGGTAGACTCAAAAGTTAGGCTATGATTTAGGCAGTGCTTGAGCATAGGCCATTTGACCATTTTTGGTCCTAGATGAGTTCTTTTTCTATAATTTGTTCAAACTCTGATTTAGTTGCTAATTTTGGGGTTTATATCCTTAGCCAAAGCCTAGCACCCTTCTCTATCCTAGGGAGGAGAGTGACCTTTTTAGAATTCTTGGGTCACAGTTTATTCTAGGGATGACCTACTCCTTCTTACAGCTCCCTGGGGACAAAGAGTTTGTATCATGGCAGCAGGATTTGGAGGACTCCGTAAAGCCCACACAGCAGGCCCGGCCCACTGTTATCCGCTGGTCTGAAGGAGGCAAGGAGGTCTTCATCTCTGGGTCCTTCAACAATTGGAGCACCAAGATTCCACTGATTAAGAGGTGACAAGTGTCTTGGTTGAATCTAAGGGTCCAGGAATAGAGACCTGATTTCTTTTCTCAGAAGAGAGACCCAGCTGGACTTTTCTCCACCTACTAAGGACTGTCTCTAGAACATGCCCTTTTCTGCGGCCACTTAGTATATCTGTGGGATTTTTTTTTAACCTCATAGTGAGTCAGAGATGTTTTACCCTTTAGAATTTCATTGCCTCAGAGGGATTCATAATAGCTTTATGGCTACATTCTTTAGGACTATGTCATACAAGTCCTGTCTATGCTTGTGGGAAGTCTTTTGTAACTGTCTGAGTCTTGTTGCTCTGACTTCTGCACTAAAGCAAAACACATTTTGAATTTTTAGGTAGTCATGTTATTTGTTGCTTCCAAAGCAATAATGAGTGATTTAACTGGTTGTCAGAATGGCCCTTTGTATGGTAGTTCATTCTCTAGAAAAGGTTCACCAAAACAGGGAAAGAGTACCTTGAGGCACTTCTGTATCCTAAACCTACCTATCTTATTTGCACTGGTGAGGAACTTGTTCTACTGAAGCAAAGTAAGTTATACTAAGGTGAACCATTTGAGGGGATTAATGTTTTTATTATTCTTTTCCAGATATTGGTTAAGAACTAACGTTGTTGGGAGGAGCTGGTAAATACATGTCCAAGATGATACAGAAAAGGAGAATGGGTTTATACGTTGTTTTTTACACCAGGGGATACAATGGCTTAGGAATCTGGGAAATTATTCATATGATACTATGATTGCCACTTGTTTTTTAGATTCAGTCTTCTAAAAGGAACTTGGCCTGTTTGCCTTTCTTTTTTCTTCTGTAGCCATAATGACTTTGTTGCCATCCTGGACCTCCCTGAGGGAGAGCACCAATACAAGTTCTTTGTGGATGGACAGTGGGTTCATGATCCATCAGAGGTAAGGCCTTGATCTCCAAGGGTAACCATTGACTTAGCAGTCTCATTTTAGCTGTCATTTCTGTCAAGACTGATGGGCAGCTGCTCCCCTACACTGGAGGATTTCTCTCTTGATAAAACGTGGAGGTGCTGAGAACAATCGTGTAAATTTTAGTAAAAGAGGAAGGTTGGATGGAAGAGATGGATTTGAAAGAGAGATTCAATAATTTTTTCTATTCACTGTTTCAGCCTGTGGTTACCAGTCAGCTTGGCACAATTAACAATTTGATCCATGTCAAGAAATCTGATTTTGAGGTGTTCGATGCTTTAAAGTTAGATTCTATGGAAAGTTCTGAGACATCTTGTAGAGGTAATTTTGTATTATTTACTCTCTCTTGCTGTGTCTTTCTTGTAGTTCCTTCCTAAAAGTTGTTTATGTGTGTATATACATATAGAGGGAGAGAGAGAGCAGGGGGTTGGGGGGAGGAGAGAGAGAGACAGAGATTTTTCTCCTGTAAACATTTAGGTCTCTTATTTGCAGCAAACACAAACACACACATTGTAACACAAGTCTCATGATACAATGTTTACCTTATTACATGGGATACACTCTATTTTCCATGTTATCTTTTATAATCACTAATGGGCTACAGCCTATAGTTTGAAAAGCTGTTTCTAGTAATATTTCAAGTTTTCCACTGACCTTTGATGATATTACCCAGCAGAGGCGATACATGTGTGTAGTTTGTTTGGTTTGCCCCATCTTAATCCTGCCAGTTTGAGACCTCAGTTAGCAGTTTCATGATTTTATGAGGTCCAAAAAATGTGGGGAAAAAAATGGTTTAAAAAACCAACAGCCTGGGCAATATGGCAAGACCCATCTCTACAAAAAATTTTTAAAAATTAGCCGAGCGTAATGGCACATGCCTGTGGTCCCAACAATTTGGGAGGCTGAGGCGTGAGGATTGCTTGAGCCCAGGAGGTCGAGGCTGCTGTGAAGCATGTTTGAGCCTCCTCACTCCAGCCTGGGCAGCAGAGTGAGATACTGCCTCAAAAACAAGACAACCACCCCCCTGCCCCCTGACAATTCTGTTGTAGGTAATTGAAATTTTGTAAATTTTTGGTTAAAAAAAAAAAAGTCTATGGTAGCGGAAAATATCTTTACACTTTTATTTCCTCTAATATTATTTGAGCCAAGGCCTTCATCTCTGCTTACAATTGCTATAGTATCAGAGAATATTTTGCTAACCACACTTGTAGTTACCATTTTGTTACTTTACAATAAGAACTATCTAAAGAATTGTGCACAGTATTCCCAGTGAGCACACTTCTCTCCTGTGAGTTCAAAGCCTGCCTCTGCTACTAACTAGTTTTGCCATCATGAACAAATCTCTCAACCTTTTTCGTTCTGAGTTTCTTCACAGTAAAACCAGGGACTTAAACTTTCAGTGATTCTCAGCTGAGGAGGCACAATACCTTAAGTGGAACATATTTGAATTTCAGGGGAGAAGGGTGGCTTTGCTGTTTTTAAAAGAAATTATTGGCTGGGCACACTGGCTCAGGCCTGTAATCCCAGCACTTTGGGAGACCGAGGCGGGTGGATGACGAGGTCAGGAGATCAAGACCATCCTGGCTAACACGGTGAAACCTCATCTCTACTAAAAAATACGAAAAATTAGCTGGGTGTGGTGGCAGGCGCCTGTAGTCCCAGCTACTCGGGAGGCTGAGGCAGGAGAATGACGTGAACCCGGGAGGCGGAGCTTGCAGTGAGCTGAGATCTCGCCACTGCACTCCAGCCTGGGCGACAGAGCGAGACTATTATTAATAGTGTAATCATCTGTTGAGGAAACTTTTGAAAATGTTGTTTTCATCATATAAGCTCAGAAGGTTAAATTGGGCATTATTTTTGACTGGTGGGACAGTAATTTAAAAGGGTTTTAAAATGCTGAATTAGATTATGAGGATACTTGTGACTAATTTTTGCATTATATAATTCTGGCAAAGTAACCAATAAATAGACATGTATCATAATTATATAGAGAGAAGACTTGCATACTTTTGATATTTCCCTTTCTCCTAATTTCCCAATCTATTGAGGTAACGCTTATAATCCATTTTTTACTAGGAATCTACAGATAATGGATTTTAGTCTGCACTCATTTACTGTCTATCCATGTATGTAACTTTAGGCAAATAACCAATTTGTATTTATTTTTTTCTGGTGAAAAGGCAATAAAAACTATTCTGTGCACTTCCCAAGGGTATTTTGTGGATCATGTGACGAAATAACAAAGCATAATACTTTGTAAGGTTTCAAGTTCCATATGTTTTAAAGATATTATTTAATATCAGAGTATTACTTCTGCTTTTTTCTTTTGCCTTATATGTATTTTTTATTTTTAATTGACACATAACAATTGTACATATTTATGAGATACAATGTGATGTTTCAATACATTTTATATGTGTAATGATCGAGTCAGGGCAATTAGCATATTCATCTCAAACATTTGTCGTTTCTTCGTGGTGATAACATTCAAAATCCTTTCTTCTAGCTATTTTATTTTGTTACATTATTGTTACCTATATTCACTCTACTGTGCAACGGAACACTGGAACTTAGTTCTTACAATGAATTTGGTGGCTCACACCTGTAATCCTAGCACTTTGGGAGGCCGAAGTGGGAGGATCACTTGAGTCCAGGAGTTTGAGACCAGCCTGGGCAACATAGTGAGACCCTGTCTCTACAAAAAAAATCAAAAAATTAGCTGGGCATGGTAGCATGTGCCTTTAGTACCAACTACTCTGAAGGCTGAGGTGGGAGGATCACTTGAGCCCAGGAGGTCAAGGCTGTAGTGAGCCGTGATCAAGCCACTGCACTCCAGACTCGGTGACACAGAGCAAGACCCTCTCTCAAAAAAGAAACAATAACATTTAAATAAAATATATTATAATATATTTCTCTTCATTTTTGTATATTGTATTCTTGTCTGCATACTTTTTTTCATTTTTTTGAGATGTAATTTATACATCATAAAATTAACTCTTAAATTGTACAACTCAGTAATTTTTAGTATATTCAGAGTTATGTGATTATCACAACTATCTAATTCCAGAGCATTTTTATCACCCGCAGAATAAACCCTGTACCCATTAGCAGTCACATCCCATTCCCTCCTCCCCTCCGTCCCTGGCAACCACAAGTCTTGCTGTCTTAAGGATTTGCCTGTTCTGGACATTTCATATCAGTGGAATCCTACAATATGTGGTCTTTTGTGACTGGCGTCTTTCACTTAGCATAATGTTTTCAGGGTTCATCCATGTTCTAACCATGTATCAGTACTTCGCTCTTTTTTATGGCTGAATAAGAGCCCATTGTGTGGACATACTGTTTGTTTATCCATTCAGTAGTTGATAGACATCTTGATTGTTTCCACTTTTTGGCTATTATAAATAATGCTATTATGAACACTGGTGTACAAGTTTTTGTGTAGACATATGTTTTCATTTCTTTTGGGTATATACCCAGTGTATAATGCTGGGTCATGTGGTAACTTTATGTTTAACTATTTGAGGAACTGCCAAACTGTTTTCCAAAGTGGCTGGACTACTTTACATTCCCTCTAGCAGTGGGAATAGTGTGAGCGTTCCAATTTCTCCATTCCTTTGTTGACACTTATTACTGTCTGTCTGTTTGATTTTAGCTGTCCTAGTGAGTATGAAATGGTAGCTTATTGTGGTTTTGATTTGCATTTCCCTAATGACAGTTACATACATTTTGTCCTTATTGTTGCAATCATTGTTGTATTGGTAGTCTTAGGAGTTTATAACCTTGTTGTTTGGCTGGAAAAAAGAAAAAATCTAATCTTTTCCCATTGTTTGAAAGTTACAAGGCATCTTTACATCCATTATCTAATTTGATTTCCTTAAAAACATCATGAAATAGGGCAAAGATTATTTTTATTTTATAAAGAAACTGACCATTGTGGAGGGATTCTTCCAAGGTCCTACAGCTGATACATGTAGTAGCTCTTCCCTGAGCCTGGGTCTTTGAGTCTTTATATCTTTGTCTGTCTCCCAAATCATGTTGCTATGTTGAGGAGCTTCATGGTTTATGTCCAGGGGACTCAGATTTTTCCTCTGGTTACCTTACAGCTGTAGATCCCACAGGTCACAAGTTTGTGATCCAGGACTTCTACCATATTTAATGTTAGCTGCCATGTATTGATAGCTTTTTCCATGCATTCTTGCTAATTCTCCAACTCTTTCTCATATTTGTATAAATATCTTTCAGACCTTTCCAGCTCACCCCCAGGGCCTTATGGTCAAGAAATGTATGCGTTTCGATCTGAGGAAAGATTCAAATCCCCACCCATCCTTCCTCCTCATCTACTTCAAGTTATTCTTAACAAAGACACTAATATTTCTGTGAGTATCCTGAGTATTACTGGGGCATCTGGGGGTGTCTAGGACCATTTGGACCAAAGTTCAGTAATCCTAGAGGTTAGGATTACTACAGAGGTGTGTTGAGATTATAAGTCATACACATACCAATAACATTACAGATTTCCTTTTTCCAGTGGTGAGTCACAGCTTTTTCAGGTACTGATATAAAAATTCATAGTTGTCTCCTCATCCTAATAAAATCAGGATCAGAGCTATGGACTTCTTTTGAGCACAACATAAAGGAGTAGTTATCATTTGGGGGTGTACAAAAGAACTATGAAAGCTTTTTTGTATATAATTCATGTCTCTATTCAATCTACTTGATTCCTACTATGATTGTTTTTGCCTTGTAACACAACTCTTCCTTGTGTGTTGTGGGCAAGATTTTTGTTTTAGCTCTCTTAAGGAAGATTAGTAGATGCTGAGGCATGAGATTTCTGCCCTGGACTGATAATTTTTCTAATTTTCTGTAATAGGATTGTATTATTGATACATACTAGAGTGGGTGCATTATTGAAAAGAGATAGCGCATTCTAGTTTAAATTTCTCAAAGAGCTCTGAGGAAGAGTAAGCTGTTTGGTTTGTCTGTGCATTAATTTCATTTAGTAATTTTTTTAGTAATTTTTTTCTCTTTCTCTTAGTGTGACCCAGCCTTACTCCCTGAGCCCAACCATGTTATGCTGAACCATCTCTATGCATTGTCCATTAAGGTAAGTGGTGGCCCTGGCTCTTCACAGAGCTCCCTGGAATGAGAGGTCAAGGGTAACATACGTTCTCAGTGGTTACTTTCTCTGCTATTTCATTGAAGCTGAAGCTGGCAGTAATGATCAAATTATAGAAGAACTCTCTTTTTTTTAACTACTAGGTTGTTTGTTTTAAAATCTCAGTCTCTGTGTTCTGGCTGGCTGAATTGCCCTCTGATAGGACTTTTTTGCTGCCCAGTTATTTTTTGGGTGACTAGAATCTTTACACTAACTGTTTACTTAAGTTTGTGTTCATAGCATAGGATTTCTTCTGCAGAAAAAGCAGGTTTAGCTTCCAGTTCAAAGAATGCTTGAATGTGATATTAAGGCTTTCATTTTTTGAAGGTGGAATTGAGCTACTTTCAGGTGCCTCATTCATATATACTCAGGTGCTTGCATCTCTCCTATACACTAGTTAAAGGAGAGATGTGACCAGATTTGCCCTGTCCCGTCAACTCTAGAGTCCTCCTTGGTTTTTCTGCTGCTTTAGAGTCTGGGTTGGAAATAGCCATTCTGTTCTGTCTTGTTATGTCTTTGTGGTTTGGCTATTGGAATAAAGTTATATAGCTCTGCAGTTATCAAACCAGGCTGATTATCATTAGAGTCTCCTGGAGAAGATTGTAAAAATACAGATTCAGCAGCTCCATTCCTAGAGATTCTGAATAAGTGCATCTAGGATGGGCCCTATAATTTTTTTAAGCTGCTTTTACTTGGATATATAGCTGGATTCGGGAAATCACTGATATAGCTAACAAACTATGTGGTACAATATAACACTTAAAAATATATTATTGAATTTAATTTTTATAATAACGTTGTAAGTATTTTTAACTCCTGTTTTATAGATAAAGAAACTAAGGCTCAGAGAAGGTCAAATTGCCAGTAAGTACCAGAGACAGGACTGCTGAGGTCCAGTCCTCCTATGCTGACTTCATATTCTTTCCTATATTATCATTATGCCAGGTCTTTCCAAGTAGGTTTTTCTCAGGTATTCCTCATTTCCACAAAACCTGTGGAAGTGTAAAAGTGAATTGTTTACCTGCCTTGCTTCTGTCGTATTTAGGCTTTGTGTCAGCATGACTCTGGAGTGTTAACCCGAGAAGCATTCATGGTGGATAATACAGTACGGGGGAAGGTAGAAGGATACACTTGTTCTTAATCGGATTTGCTTGGGTTCTTTGGGATCTGATGGATTTTGCCTCCTGTAACTGCTCCTTGGATGTCATTTAATTTGCCTAGGCTTGCCATCTCCTCCTGTGGTACATCTGTAGTCTACAACACAGCCTGGGAAATGGTACCTCTTGCTGTCTTCTTACTGGTTCTGACTCAGGTGAAGGTGTTTGATTATTGTGGCTTAGCTTGGTTCTGACCCATTCCTGATTCTCTCATATTGTTTAGGCAGTTTGGAATTGATCCATTGGATTGGGTGTCTTTCTGAAGAGGATTTTGACATCTACTTTGTTCAAGGATAGAGAGGGATTCCTAGGTTCCCTCTAAATCAGAGAGATCTTTTGGAAGTCATCCCTGGTTTTAAATGAAAATTAGACCTGCTTTGGGACTTGGAAATAGTTTTTCAGAAGGATTGTTTCTTTTTTTCCTCATTGTCTTTAAGACTTTCTTCTAGAAATGGATGCCAGAATATTTTGTTCTTTTTTGTTTTTCTTGCTAGTTTTAGGCCCAACATTAGAATTTAAAGTAGGGAAGGGAGCAAGGTAGGAGACTATTATTTCTTCAGCCCTTTTATGTGTCAGAAACTGTGTCAGATATTCTCATGTAATCATCAGAGCAACCTTAATGGTAGGTGTTATCTTTTGTAATGATGAGATAAAAAGACTTGGACACACTAAGTAGATTACCCAAGGCCACAAGTAGAATGATGATAGGAGTCAGAATTGGAACTAAAACTTATTTGACCTCCTGCTCTTATATCAAACTATCTCTGTTAAAAGTGAGTGACTGTGAAGGACTGATGACTGGGAAGAGCTACCTACTGTCTGAAGTAATGAATTAGCTGCGTATGTTTCTTTTCCTTGCAGGACAGTGTGATGGTCCTTAGCGCAACCCATCGCTACAAGAAGAAGTATGTTACTACTCTGCTATACAAGCCCATTTGAAGGGATCCCTTCTTGCCTCTAAGGATTCAGGAGAAGCATCTCCCTTGCATTTCTGGACTGAACCAGTCTTACCTGAGACTGGAAGGCTGATTTGCTTTGAGGCTGATATGTGTGTTTCAGAGCCTCTGAGTAGGATGCTCTGCTTTTGCATTTGATTGCAGATGAGAGCTTTATGAGTTCACGGAATTTATTTTAAGAAAAAAAAATATACATATGAGAAGAAGGTAAATGGAAGCCTCCTAGCCCCAGCTAGAAGTATTGTTTCTGCCTGTGGGTTTTCACCAAGACCTGTTTGGGGGCGCTGCAGGAATAACTATATAGGAAGATTTTTCCTAAAATGAAAGAACAGCAAACTCTTAGGATCCTTGTTGGGTGGAGATTCTATCACTGCTACCTTGGCTCTCCAAGGAATGGGCTTGTGCTAGACCGCTGCCCTACTTAACAGCTGCCTCATTGCAAGGGCAGTTTTTCTTGCATGGGTTCTCTATATTCCCAGAGTATGTGGCACAATCTGTGTTGTTTATATGATACCAGATGCCCCACAAGAACCCTTATTCCTCTCATTTCACATTCTTCCTTTAATAGCCTCCTTCAGATCCCATACCTGACCCCTCTCTAACACAAAACTTATTGGGTAAGTGACTTTGAAAAGTTTTGTGGCACCTGACCCACCCCAGACACTAGGGCTATCAGAAGGTCTCCTTTTTAGCCCAGCACAGGCCCAGGCCACTTTGTCGTGTTTGTTTTAACTTCTAAAGAAAATATGTTTCAGCATTATAAGAAAGGCAGAATGCAGAACACCTACATTTTTGTTTTAGTTTGGTGCCAAGGCTCAGGCTGTATTGGCAAATTCCCGAAAGTTTTCCCACTTTGCCTGGCCCTGCTTCTGTCTTTTCTTTCTCAGTAAACAGTTCTGAAGGCAGGAGTGGAACCCGGGAGTATTTTCATGTCTTTCATCCTTGAAAGATTTTTATGTGCCTGCATTTTTTTTTTAATTAAAAAATGCCTTTTCATTGGTCTTAAGAGACCGCATTGGAGAATTTCAGGCTTTTGATAAATGCTTCTTCAAAGAGATTTTCTTCTCTAGTCTAGCCTTCCACATTCTTAGATTAATATGGCCAACCCTGTACACATCACTACACTAAACACTGCTCTAGATAAACTGCTCAAGTTCATTTAACTCATTTGATGCACCTAAAGGGGTTCCTCATTTTAAAGATTTGTTAGGCCAAGAAGCAAGAGAGTATTCCTAGTATTCCCAACCATGAAAAGTATCATTCTTTGCACCAAATGTTAACAAAATCATTTTGTTCTCCTGCCTCTTCTTTTTAAAGGTGTTTGATGATTAAGTGGGGTCACTGAATTCCATTTGTGGACTGAAAAGTATTCAATCCACTTTTGGGGTTCAGAGATAAAACATTTTTTCCCAAGTAGCTGGGGCTCTTCCATTTTGCAGATAAGTCAAATAATCAACACTAAAGGAGGCTAAACTGTTGATGAATGAGAGACTCCCTGACTGCTCAGATGACCCTAGCCACACTGAAAGGGCACCTACAGGTCAGTTTAGCTACCTCCTGTCTTTCCCATGCAAAGCTGATAACACAGTTGTCTTTGGACTTGTAGACCTCTTGGATTCCAGGTGTGATGGAGTAAAGTGTGGGATTGTTGTTTTGCTGGGATGCAAATAACTAAATGCTTTGGTGGTTAATTGCTAAGAGTAAATACTACTTTAGCCATCCAAGGCCACCTTCTGCAGCAAAAGGCTTTTGTGGAGAACCTTTTATGTTCCCAACCACTTTTTGAATGGTGTGCCATTTAAAAATCCAGGCCAGATCCTATTATAACCAACTCTCAGGATTTACAGCCTTCAGTTGTACTAGAATTTTGTTTTTATCCAATACTCATTAAATAAGTGGGCCACTTAGGAAGATTCAAAATCTTGGTTATTACATGAAGTTTGTTATATTTCTTGTCAACAGTATTGAAATGTAATATGTATGTGTTCATGTATGAAAATTTTTACTCCACACAGGTGTTTCAGTAGAGTGGGGCAGGAAAAGAGATCTCTTCGATTTCTTTCAGGCCTGAGGCTTTTGTGAAATGCGTCAGCCCCCTGTGACAGTAGGTTTTGATGCTAGTGATCTTCAGATCTTTCTCTCTGGAAATGTGCAGAGAGTGTCAGTTTCCCAAGTTCTGAGGTAACTCTCAGCCCAGATGTGAAATGGGAGCCTACCAGCTGGTATAGAAGGGAATGGGTAGGAGGCACTGGGTGCTGACTCATTCAGCACTGTCCCTTTTCTATACTGCTGATACATCCCATGGTTCTGAGAAGCCTTATCTCAGTCTATTTGGAAGAGAGGGAGGAAGAGAAGGAAGTAACCCAAAGTACTACTCATTTATCATTGTATATTGATTAGTTAAAGGGATAATTAATTTAATGCTGAGGAGAGTTTGACAGATTTTGAAAATGAGTAAAGGCAAAAAAAATTTTTTTAGCCTTTATTTTGCTTTTGGGAATTTTACAGAGTCAAAGTAGGCAGAATAAGAAAATAGTTCTTCAGGAGGGCCGACCTTTAAAGAACTTCAACATAGTTTCGGAATTGTGGGGAAGAGAAGAGTGACTGAGCTGAGAAGTAATAATAGAATAAAGGGTTGAGTAACTTACAACTGAAAATGATCTCTTTTAAAAAGAAATTAAATCAGACACCACATGGTGGTGTCCTTGGATCTCACTGTACAGAATTAGCAGTGTATAACCATCTTCTCTTTTCATCTTGTTCCAATTCTCTCCTCTTTCCTTTCCATTCTGCTTTAAGCTCATGTGTCAGGCAGACTTTACCAGAGTGTCAGACATTACCTAAAACACATACGTTAGCCATGCTGCTGGTATGGAGAAATTCCACACCATGATTATTAGCCTCCTTTAAGCTGAATGGGATTTAACCATTCTAGGCAACACCCCTGAAGGGCATACCTAACCTCAATAGTGTTGGCTTTTAAAACGTATGTTTGTATGGTAGAGAAACTTTGTAAAAGAAGAATCCAAGAGAAGTTTGTGAGGATCCTACAAACCCAGGCCCACTCACTTTGCTCTAATTCTTTCTAGTATCTTGTAGATCTAATGGGTCTGGGATAAAAACTTTGAAAAGTGTCAATATTCCATGTATGCTGCTGAAATGAAGTTAAGTTTGGAAAGAAGTGATACCTCTAGACTGGGTTTATATTAATCTGGGATATAAATGAAGAAGACATACTAATAGAACTCCTTGCTTTTAATTGGGGAAATAGGGCTTTAATAATTTTGACCTCAACTAAAAATGATATGCAATAGTCTCTGTGTGTGTTTGAAATACATTGTGTTCTCAGAGATTTCTACATTCTCACGTTCTAGTGATTTGGGGCATGGGCTTAATAGCAGATGTACAGTGTATTCCTGCATTATTGTGATTCCCCTTAAAGCCCAGTTCTTGCTGTCTTCTACCAGGGGCTGCTGACTCCAGTTACCCATGGAATGCAGGACCTGGGAGGGGTAGCCATTAGGGTCTTTCAAAACTCTTTGGATCTAAGCATTTGTCTCTCCTTAAGTGCCAATCACAATTGGATATGGAAGGACTGTGATTTCTGCAATGAACCCAAACTTTTAGAGTAAAAAGCCAAATTTAAATTATAAGAAAGAAGGGAAAAAAGAGAAAAACTCAAGTCTATTACTTGTAGAGTCCAATTCTTAGCAATGGAATCGCTCTAGGATTCTAGTTTGGGCTTTGTCTGGATTTGCTTTTCTCAGTTGTGCTTTGAAGTGAATAAGCTTTGTTACAAATTAATTTTTTATTAGTTCCAATATTAGTTGGAGTTAACTTGAATTGATTGTATGTAGCACAGCACTTTTGCAGTAAGATTGGTGTGAAATACTAAACACTATGGATTTTGTAGGTGTCAGGTTAAATGGTCAAGGGATACCTACATTAAGTCATATATTAGGTATTGATGATCTTACTTCTTTTCTGTTCCCCTGTACAAAACACTTACCTAACCCAGCTTGTGGTTTTAGGACAGCCAAAGCTCACTGTTGTTGGTTAGTCCTAATCACTACACGGGTCTCATAAATGAGACTTGTTTGAATTTTGGTACATTGGAGCATGTTGGTTGGTATTACACGGCAGCATTTCGAATGAGTGCAGCTCTGTGTCTGTCAGAAAGGAGAGATAAGACTACTTTGAAGGGAATTAAATATGTGAGTCCTCTTTTTAATGGTGCTTTTTGTAACCTTTAATGCTGAGGTACAGAGCTGCTTTTCAATATTTCATAAAGGAGTGGCAGACAAGAGTGGATTTTAAAGCTGTTCTTCAAACGTAATTTGTCACTGGACTCTGACACACCTGGAAATTATATGATATGATACATACAGAAATGTTGTGGGTTTTTTCCATAAAACTTTAATAAAAGTATTATACAGCAATAATATCTGAGTTATTGATTGATGACTGATTATATTATCAAGGTCTGTTTGCCTTGGTGTCTCAGGGCCTAAAGAATGTAAACTGCAAGAAAACACATTTGAAAGAAGTCATGGGGTAGGGGACACAAATGATGTCCTACTTTTTCTCTTCTTTTTGTTTCAGGCTATGCCAACATTATAGGAATGCAGACTTCATGATTTGATTTTCAGCATTTTCTCTGCTGGCTGCACATTTAGCTATCATCCTGTACTGGATTAGCTGAGCTCTTAGACCAATGATTCTCATCCCTGGCTGCACATTCATAACACCTATGGAGACTCTATAAACATTGGTGGTCAATCCATTTCCACCCTAGTTAAATGGAAATCTCTGGTATGGGGTCCAGGCATCTGTATTTTTTAAGTTCCCCCAGATAATGCTAATAGACATCTAGGATTGAGGACTGCTATCCTGGACCCTTCCTACTTCTCTTTCTCTGTCAGATTATATGCTTCAGTATATATGAAAACATTATATACTTTATTCTGACAGCAGATCATTCACCTGAGATGGCCTTGTTCAGGGACATGATTAAAATATAATTTCTGTTTTCCATTCCGTCATTTCACAAGGTTTCTACATAGCTGGCCTCTGGACTTTTTTTCCTAAAACAACCAAGCTGTTGTATTTTTGCTGCTCTAAAGAGTCAACTGAGTTGAACTAAGGAAGAAAAGGGACTGACAATGTGGAGTGTGAGAAGAATAGGGGAGTTACTGAGGGAGTGGAAATGCAAGACAGCAGGACATGAAAGGAAGACCTGTGACAGAAATCAACTAGAACAGTTCACCTCAAACCTCAATAGCAAGTCCAGAGATTGCCTCCAGGCTAGAGGTAAAAAGTGGGATATGGTATGAACTCAGCCTCTGGAAGAATGGTCTTCTAAACATCATGTACCCCAGTCACTGAAAACAAAATGGCACCAGAATTTCATCGGGGCCCAAACTTGCACTGATGTGCTTTCTAAAGCATTTATTTCTGGCTCGTTTGGCTTGGAGTCTTTTGTAGTATCTCTTCCAAAGACCCCCTTCTCCCCTGCCTTGACAATTAACCATGACACAGGTGATTTGGGTACATCATGAGTCTCTTCCTCTCCCTACTCCTCTGTCCTCTGTGGTCACTGTTCATCCAGAATCACATATGCAGGTCTGGAGTACCACGTCCCTTTCTGTAACCCATTTCTTGGCTCCAGGGCACGTACATTGACTGAAGATGAACCACTCTGTTCTCTCCTGGCAGTTAGCATTCTCTCAGCACTTAGCTGTGTTCTGAAGGAGGCTCCTGTCTCTCAAGAACTTCCTAAGTAGAAAGGCAGAGTTCTGTGTCAGAAGTTAGAAGGTTTAAGGTCTGTATGCCGGGCGATATTTTAAACACAAAGTAGGGTTTCACAGACTTCTCAACGACTCCTGAGCTAATTTCCACTTACTACATCTTCCAAAGCCCTCTTGCTAGTGACAGCTTATGATGAGAATATCAGGTAAGGATATCGAACACCTGAAAGAGTTATGGAGATTACTACAGACCTGTATACCTGGATGGTGTTGAGGGGTGGACTCTGACTTCAGACCAGCTGATACTCTAAACTATAACCTACAACTCTAACTTATTTTTTTTGAGGGGTGGGGGGGAAATCTCTGTTATTGATTACAATAGTTGTGGATCACTTACAAGTTAGATATAGCGATTGGGTAGTGGAATGGGTGTTGGATGCAACAGGATCTTGGAAAATATTTCTGGGGGTTAGAGGATAGGCTGAGAATATTATAGATGTTTGGAAACATTTGTGCCAACCTGAAGATGGTGTTTCTTTGTCTCTCCCAATTAGCACAGCTGTGTTCTGTTGGTCATCTGGTAGAGTGATCAATCTAGAGTTAGAATACCTAGGGATGACATAAAGGAATATGACAGTCCGGAAATCTACCAGATGAAGAGCCAGTCTGAGCTCAGAGGGGATTTTGAGCCAAGGCATGGCATTTTATTTTTAGATGGAGCTGAACATTGTGATAGTAACCAGCACTAGATGAACTAAAGTTCAGGAGGAAAAGCGGAACTATCCAAGGTGAACTGAGATTACTAGCCATTTTATCCCCTGGGCCCATTTGCTTACTCTGCACGTGGAGTTAGGACTGACCTTTGCCCAGACACAGGGTGTTTGATGGGGTCAAATGACATTAAATACCAAGCACTGGATCCCTAAAATATGGGAAACAAATGAGGTGAGCCCTTTAGTTGCCCAGGTTACATGCTGAAGGGAAACTAAGATTGCAGATGGAATCAAGTTTGCTAATCAGCTGACCTTGAGATGCAAATATTACCCTGGATTATTTAGTTAGGCCCAATCTAATAAGTGCAAGAGGGAAGTCAGAGTGATAGGACATGAAAAGAACTTGACTTGCTGTTGCTGGCTTTTGAAGATGAGAAAAGAGAACTATAAACCCAGGAATGTGGTAGCCTTAGGAGCAAGGAAATGGATTCTCTCTCAGAGCCTCCAGGAAGAAACACAATGGCTTTATTTTAGTTCAGTAGTCTTTTTTTTTTAATTTTATTATCATCATACTTTAAGTCTTAGGGTACATGTGCACAACGTGCAGGTTTGTTACATATGTATACATGTGCCATGTTGGTGTGCTGCACCCATTAACTCGTCATTTAGCATTAGGTATATCTCCTAATGCTATCCCTCCCCCCTCCCCCCACCCCACAACAGTCCCCAGAGTGTGATGTTCCCCTTCCTGTGTCCATGTGTTCTCATTGTTCAATTCCCACCTATGAGTGAGAACATGTGGTATTTGGTTTTTTGTTGTTGCGTTACTGACCCATTTGGATGTGGAAATACAGAAGTGTAAGACAATAAATTTGTGTTGTTTTAAGTCACTAAGTTTGTTGAAATTTGTCAACAGCAGTGATAGGAAATGAATACAACATGTCTATGGTCTGATCTAATATCTTAAATCAAGAGCCATAGGATCAAGTTGTTTCCAAGTAACTTACCTGCATCCTAGAACAAAGCTCAAGAATATTTATAGGAAAACAAAAATGTTCAGCACCAAACAAGAAAAAGTTTATCATATCCGACATCGGAAAAAAACTGAGGCACTCAAAAAAATAGAAAAATCAAACCATTATGAGAAAAAAAAAAATCCATCAATTGAAATTGACTCAGAACTGTTACATGAGGGTAGAAATAGCAGACAGTTGAAACAATAATAAGTTTATAAGTTCAAAAGCTGGAGAAAAAAGCAAACATGTTTATATATATATATAAATATGTAAGTGTGTTTTATCACGTCTGAAAGACCCAAATTGAACTTTATAGATTAAAACTACAAATCATGAGAAGAAAAGTAAACTGGATAGGCTGAACATTAGATTAGACATTGCAAAGAAAGATTATACTTGAAAGACGTAAGAATAGAAACTACACAAAATAAAACTGAAAAAGGGCTTAAAAATGAACAACACATCAGTGAATTGTGGAAAAACTTCAAGTGGCATAATAATTGGTACTATGTGTGTCCCCTCCAAAATTCATGGTGAAACTTAATCTCCATTGTGGTGGTATTAATTGGGGCCTTTTAGGAAGAGATTAGGTCTTGAGGGGTCCTCCCATGTGAATGGGATTAAGGCATTTATAAAAGAGGCTTCACACAGAGTTTTGGCCTTTTTTGCCCTCTGCCTTCTACCATGTAAGAACACAGCAACAAGCAACCATCTTGAAAGTGAAGAGCCACTCTCACTAGACACCAGTGCCGGTGCCTTGATCTAGGGCTTCCCAGCCTCCAGAACTGCACAAAATAAATTTCTATTATTTCAAAATTGCATAGGCTGTGATATTTTGTTATAGAAGCAGAAATGGACCAAGACAACTGGAATACCCAAAAGAGGTACGAGAGGAATAGGACAAATATTAGTAGAAATAGTGACCCAAATTTCCCGAAATTTGATGGAACCTATAAAGCCACAGATCTAAGTAGCTCAATTAACCCCAAGCACAAGAAATAAGAAAATAAAACAACTAAATGAAGGCAAATCATAATAAAATCTCTCAAAACCCGTTAGAAAAATTGTAAAAGCAGCCAGAGGAGAAACAACTAGTTATGTACAAAGGAAGAAAGATAAGGGTGATAGCAGATTTATCATCAAAACAATTATAAGCTAGAACACAGTGGAGCAACATCTTTTAAGTACTGAAAGAAAAAAAACCCCTACAACCTGGAATTATTTACCCAGTGAAAATACGTTTCAAAAAGTGAAGGTGAAATAAGAACTTACATTAAAAAGCTGAGGCCAGGCATGATGGCTCATGCCTGTAATCCCAGCACTTTGGGAAGTTGAGGGAGGGAGATTGCTTGAGGCCAGGACTTTGAGACCAGCCTGGGCAATATAGCAAGACCCCATCTCCAAAAAAAAAATTAGCCAGCTGTGGTGGTACGCACCTGTATTCTTACCTACTCGGGAGGCTGGGGCAAGGGCATTGCTGTTGCTTGAGCTCAGGAGTTGGAGGTTGCAGTGAGCAATGATGCAGTGCACTGCAGCCTGGGTGACAGAGTGAGCCCTTTTTTCTAACAAAAACGAAAAGGCTGGCAGAGTGACTTTCATTTCTGGGAAGATGGAATAGGCATGCTTTTCCCTATTCCTACCAGTAAGTAGAAATAAAACCCTGGACATTTTCTATACAATAAACATAAGGAGACTCTGAAAGATGAAGAGAAAAGGGCAGAAACTTCAGGCTTCAAAAAATGACACAGTGAGTTAGTTGTCTGCTCTCTTTAGCCCATGTGGACCAGGAAAGGGGCAGCCTAACAAGGGTCCACTTTCATTCTTTTGCATGTAGATATCCAGCTTCCCCAGAACCATTTGTTGAAAAAACTGTCTTTTCCCCATTGAATGGTCTTGGCACCCTTGTCAGAAATCATTTGATCATATATACAGGATTTATTTCTGGGCTTTTTATTCTATTCCATTGATCTATATGTCTTTGTGTTAGTACCACACTGTTTTGATTACTTGAGCTTTGTATTAAATTTTGAAGTCAGGAAATATGAGTCTTCCAACTTTGTTCTTTTTAAAAAATTTTTGTAGAGACAAGTTTTTGCTATGTTGCTCAGACTGGTCTTGAACTCTTGATCTCAAGCAGTCCTCCTGCCTCAGCCTTCCAAAGTGCTGGGATTACAGACATGAGCCACCATACCCAGCTTGTTCTTTTTCAATATCGTTTTGTCTATTCAGGGCCCCTTAAGATTCCATATGAATGTAAGGTGGATTTTTCTATTTTTGCAAAAAAAAAAGTTGTTGGAATTTTGGACTAGAGGTTGCACTGAATCTGTATATCACTTTGGGTAGTATTGACATCTTAGCAATATTAAGTCTTCCAATCCATGAATATGGGACATCTTTCCACTTTTTCATGCATTCTTTAATATTTTTCTGCAATATTTTATAGTTTTCATTGTACAAGTCTTTCACTTTCTTGGCTAATTCCTATGTATATTTTTTGATGCTGTTGTAAATAAAATTATTTTCTTAATTTTCTCCTTTGATAATTGTTAGGGTATAGAAACATAAATTATTTTTGTGTGCTATTTTGTGTCCTGCTACTTTGCTAAAGTCATTTATTAGTTCTAATAGTTTTTTGTGAAATCTTTAGTGTTTTTCTACATTTCAGATTATGTCACCTATGAACAGAAGTAATTTTACTTCTTTCTTTCCAATTTGAATTCCTTTTAGCTCCCTATATTATCCCAGTAATCCTCTGGGAGATTCTCTACACTCTCTAAGGTTGTAGCAAAGACTCTTCCTTAGAGAAGACCCTGCCTTATGCCATCCTTTCTTCTCTGAGACATCCTCCTGTGGATGAGAATGGGATGAGAATGTGATGAGAATGGGATTGCCTTTGAGAATTCTCAATGTTCCAGCCTCTGATTAGGAAAAAATGTCTCATCCTATGTGCCCTGTCCCTACCTTGCTATAATATCCAGAGGTTAGAACAATTCCCACATTCTGATAAAAGTATATTTTTGAGCACTTATTTTCTACAAGTTTGAGGTCTTAAAGGAAATCTTATTCACTGACCTGTGTACCTCCAGTGCTTATCATGGTGTCCAAAAAATTAATTACTCAATAAATATTCATGAGATAATATATGTAAAACCCTTTGTAAACTGAATGTGCAGAAGAATATAATTATTACTATTTCGGTAGATGAAATGGTCCTTTTTCCTTAACCTCTCCTGGTCCTAAAAAGAACTGTTAAAGGTAAGTCTCTAACACTTCTTCAAGCACTTTTTATTCCTGCTAATCCAACAGTTGTTTCTTGGGCTCTGGGGTGTGGGGCAGAGGCTTATGGCCACATTTTTCTCCTCTTGGCATTGTGCTCCCTAGGAGTAACGCGTCCCCATTTCAAGTTGCAGGGTTCCATTCTTTTCCAGTCAATGCCCTCACTTTAACGGTAGACACCTGGCTAGGCTGTGCACTCATCTTTCATTGCAGGTCAGCCAATCGCATGATGCAAGCTTGTGTCTGTTTTTCCACAATTTCAGCTTTTTATCTACAGGATATAAGACTCTCACTCAGGGCAGTGTTAGCAGATTTGAGGTGCAGTGTCTGCTTCTGAGGCTGGGAGACAGAATCCCTGAGTTCATCCTTTTCTTTCATCACTTTGTCCACTGAACTTATGAGCAACTAACCAGCTTCATTATGTTCCTTAGTTCTTCACATATGGTCAAAGGTATTATGTATAGAGTCACTAAACTCCTTGCCTCTCATGAGCAGTGAATCATGAGTGTCAAATGCATCTATTTTGCATAACTCTCTAAACTGTTTGCACAGAAGACTATCAATGTTTTCCATACTATTAGAAGTAGAGTCCTTAGCATTTTGGGTCCAATAATATTAAGCAGCCAACTCCAGAAACCCCAAAACCAATGAAAAACTCCATCCTTAATATTCTGTTCCTCTAGAACCACCCCTGGTAGCAAAATCTGTATTAGTCAGGGTTCTCTTAGAGGGACAGAACAAATAGGATATGTGTGTATATATATATATATATATATATATATATGTATATGTGTGTGTATATATAGTTTATTTTATATATATATGTATATATATAGGAGTTTATTAAGTATTAACTTACACAATCACAAGGTCCCACAATAAGTTGTCTGCAAGCTGAGGAGCAAGGAGAGCCAGTCCGAGTCCCAAAACTGAAGAACTTGGGGTTCAATGTTTGAGGGCAGGAAGCATCCAGCATGGGAGAAAGATGGAGGCTAGGCCCGTCTCTGTCCTTTTCACGTTTTTCTGCCTGCTTTAGTTCGCTGGAAGCTGATTAGATTGTGCCCACCAGATTAAGGGTGGGTCTGCCGTTCCCAGCCCACTGACTCAAACATTAATCTCTTTTGGCAACACCCACACAGACACACCCAGGATCAATATTTTTAGTCCTTCAGTCCAATCAAGTTGACACTCAGTATTAACTATCACAGATGGGATCAACTGTAGCGTAAGAAGTGAAAAGTTACTGCATTGAACAGCCCCTAATAACTTCTGGAGAAAACATATTTCCACTTGACCCTAATGATGGCTTTAAATACCAAAATCAAAGAGAACCACTGACTTCCATTTTCTTTCAGAGATGCGAGTCTTTTAGTAAACTTAAAGTTGGAAAAATGGCTCTGTCTCTAGTGCCATGCAGTGAAACAGATAGCATGGTAGATGACATAGGCAAGGGCAGAATGGAGTTAATGACAATGACATAAGATGATAAAAAAAATAATAATTTGGGGCCTTTGAAGGAACAGATGAGCTGGCTCAGAGAAACATTACACCATTGTAGAAAAACAACTTTTGCAAAATTTTCCACTCAGTGGGCACCACATATTTATTTTAGGATCTTCATTCATTCTTTCACAGACAGTTTACTTACTGGCTTGGGCCCACAATGACTTTTCCGACAGAGGTGAGGGATTAGCACAACAGCACACATACACCTGAAAGAAATAGTGAATTTCTAATTTTCAGACTTTAGTCTCTGACCTAACCAAATAATTCACTACTATAGATTTTAACTATTAATAATATTAATGATGCTTACAAATATGCAGATTTAAGCACATCTTATAATAATAATGTATGCTTTAAACAAGTGGTAGAACTGTAGTCCAGGGATGTTAATAAAAGTGGCAAATAACATTACAACATTTATTTTTTAAAAAAGAAGATGAAGTCTTACTATGTTGCCCAGGCTGGTCTTGAACTCCTGGACTCCAGTGACCCTCCCACCTCAGCCTCCCAAAGTTCTGGAATTACAAACTTGAGCCATCAAACCCCACCCATATTATCTTACCATCCAATAGGAAACAGGTAAAAGAAGGAAGAAGGCTGGCAACCCAATGTACAGTATGTCACATACATACTGTTGATTGGTTATAAATCAGTGGGAATAAATTTATGTTTATACTGACTTTTGGGTTCTGTCATAGAGGCAGAACATGGAGAAACAAAAAACTGGAGTAAAAGATAAATTCATTTGAGTAATAGGACTTTAGTAAACCACAGACAAACATTTAAGAAACCACCCTTAAAGCTGTTTGTGGGCCATGTTTTAGCCTATCAAAGTTGAACTTTAGGAGAGATACGTAATGACAAATGAATGGTTTTTTTTTTTGGTTTTTTTTTTTTTGTGACACAGTCAAATGACCCACTGGGAATGTGACCTTGTGATTCACCCAGGTGAGCAAGCTTGACATGATTGGACATAAATCTAGGTCAATAACTAAAGAGGTACTCAAATGTGCTACACGTGTCAATTGTGACATAACAAACTGAAGGCCATTCATTCTCCCTTGAGGGAATGAGGCTGATACAGCAGGAGACTGCAGACTCCACTGCAGAATCAGGGTCTTGATGCTCACATACTGAAGGGAGTAGATCCTACTTCGCATGTGGAGTAGGATCTACTGTCTCCTAAGGCTGAGTATTTCACAAAGAAACCCTCTCAAGCCCATTATTATTAGTTATTTTAAAGATCTGGTCTCATTTTATAATAGATCACATCAGAAATAAGACTAGTCAGGATCAGGTACCTACTCATGATAACTTGATGGATATATCACTGAAGATCATCCCAAAGTCTCTGACACTACGTAACTCTGGGATAGATTATTGAATACTAAATTTGAAAATAAGGGATAACATTGGCTTCTAAATTTTACAAATGTAACATTGCAGACAGACATGCACATGGGAAGCCCCATCAACTGCATAGGTACTCTTAAGGAAAACTTATTGGTAAACATGCAGAACATTTCACGTGCATTGGTCCACAAGGTACAAACTCTGCCCAGCCTCAGAACTTGATATGGGTTCCTCTTCCTTGGGCTGATGATAAAGCTCCAAGTGAAATAAAAAAGATTCTTTTCACCTGGTAAATACACAAGACCCTAAAAATATTGTCACTGCCAAATGTAACTTGAATCTGAAAAACATTTGTTTCTAGCAGGATACAAGATCAATAGACAAAAATCAATTCTATTTTGTGTAATTCCAATGCACAATTGAAATGTAAAAAGCAATACCAGTTACAATAGTATCAAACATATAAAACACATAGGGATAAATCTGATTGAAAATTACAAAACGTTGCACAGAGAACATAATGAATACCTAAAAACTAGAGAGACATTATTTGTTCATGGGTCAGGAGACTAAATATTGTTGAGATGTTAGTTTTCCCCAATTTGAACTATAAATTCAATGCAATTCCACTCAAAATCTCAGCAAGCATCTCTGGTGGAAATTGATCAGCTGATTTTAAAATTAATATGAACTAGCCTAACCAAAATGCCTGTACAATGAACAAACTTGGAGGGCTAGCTCTACCTGATTTGAAAAACTATTATAGTAATCAAAACAGAGTGGTATTCGGATATAATCAATAAAATAGATTGATAAAATAGGAACAAAATATACAGTCTGAAAATAATACATATATAGAGAACAGATTTTTGACAAACATGAAAAAGAAAAATATATATTAAAAATGTATAATCTTTCAACAAATGGTCAAGGATTTTTTTAAACAAATGAATATGATAATCCACATGCATATAAAAATAAGTAAAAAATCAGATCCATGTGTCATTCCATAAAAATTAGTGTGTACCAGAGGCTGGGAAGGAGAATGGAGAGATGATGGGAGTTGGTTAATGAGTACAAAAATACAGTTAGATAGAAGAAATAAATTCTAGTATTCAATAGTGTAGTAGGGAGACCACAGTTAAAGTTAATTTATTGTATATTTCAAAATAGCTGGAAGAGAAGAATTGGAATATTTATAACACAAAGAAAAGATAAAGGTTTGAGGTGATATCTTAATTACACTGATTCGATCATTATACATTGTATATATTTATCAAATTATCACATATATCCCCAAAATATGTACAACTTCTGTATATTAATAAAAAAATAATAAAATGTAGATCATAGACACACTTATGATGATTGAAATTACATCAAATATTTCTTCTGATCACAATTTTATAAAACTAAAAACCTACAGAAGGATTATTGGAAAATTCACATACACAGGGAAATTAAATCATGTACTTTTGAACAGCTCATGGGTCAAAGAACAAATCAAAAGGGAAATTTAAAAATATCATGAGACAAACAAAAAAGAAAACAAACATAATAGAACCTTTGAAAACAGCAAAAGCAGCTCAAGAGACAAGTTTATAATGATAAATGCCTGCAATGGCAGGGTGTGATGGCTCATGCCTGTAATCCCAGTACTTTGGGAGGCTGAGATGGGTGCGTCACTTGAGGTCAGGAGTTCAAGACCAGCCTGAACAACATAGTGAAAGCCCGTTTCTACCAAAATATACAAAAATTAGCCAGACATGGTAGCATGTGCCTATAATTTCAGCTACTCAGGGAGGCTGAGGCACGAGAATTGCTTTAACCCAAGAGGGGGAGATTGCAGTGAGCCAAGATTATGCCACTGCACTCCAGCCTGCACAACAGAGTGAGACCCTGACTCAAAAAATAAAATAAAATAAAATCATAATAAAAAATAAATGCCTACATTAAAAAAGGTCTCAAATAAATAACCTAACATTACACTTCAAGGAACTAAGAAAAGAACAAAATGAAATTAGCAAAAGGAAGAAAATAATAAAAATCAAAGCAGAAGAAAATCAATTAAAGAATAGAAAAACTATAGAAAAGTTGACAAAATTGAGTTAATTTTTTGAAAAAATAAACAAAATTGACAAACTTTTAACTAGACTAAAAAAAAGAGGGAAGAGTTAAATAAATAGCTTCAAAAATGAAAATGGGGGCATTTCAACAAATGCCTCAGAAATAAAAAGAATCATAAAGAACTATTATGAAGAACTATATACCAACAAATTGGATAATCTAGAGAAAACGGATAAAATCATAGAAACATACAACCTACCCATATTCCATCAATAAATAATAGAAAGCCTGAACAGACCAATAACAAATAAAAGGATAGAAGCAATAGCTATAAACCTCCCAAAAAAAAAGAAATGCCAGGACCAGGACTCAGGACAAAAGGGCTTCACAGCTGAAATCTACTCAACATTCAAAAAATAATTATTGGTGGTTCTTCTTAAACTCTTCTCAAAGATCTAAATAGAGAGAATACTTCCAAAATCACTTTATGAGGCCAGCATCATCCTGATACCAAAGCTAAAGACACCAAAAGAAAAGAAAACTACAGGCCAATATCGCTGATGAACACAGATAAAAAAATCCTTAATAAAATACTAGGAACCCAAATTCAACAACACATCAAAAAGAGTATATGTCTTAACAAAGTGGGATTTATTCCTGTGGTTGAAGTTTGGTTTAATATATGCAAGTCAATGTGATACAGAATGAAAGATGGAAACCACGTGTTCACCTCAGTAGATACAGAGAAAGCAGTTGACAAAGCTCAACATTGTTTAATGATAAAAACTCTCAACAAATAAGGCATAGATAAAAATTTCTTCAACATTATGAAGGCCACTTATGAGAAGCCCACAGCTAACATGATAATCAATCAAGAAAAACTGAAAGCTTTTCTTCTAAGATCCAGTCCAAGTCAAGGACGCCCACTCTCACCATTTCTATTCAACATGATACTGGAAGTACTAACAAGAGCAACCAGGAAAGAAAAAGCAATTAAAAGGCATTCAAATCAGAAAAAAAGAAATGAAATTATTCCTATTTGCAGATAATATGATCCTATATGTAGAAACTTCTAAAGACTCCACAAAAAACCGTTAGAACTAATAAATGAATTCAGTAAAGTCATAGGATATAAAATTAACTAATAAAAAGCAGTTGGATTTCCGTATACCAATAATGACCTATTCAATAAAACATCTAAAAATACTATTTATGATAATATCAAAAAGAATAAAATCAGCAATAAGTTTAACCAAGGTGGCAAAAGACCTACACACTGAAAACTATAAAACATTGTTGAAAGAAATTGAAGATATGAATAAATGGAAAGATATGGTATGGAAGAATAAATATTGTTAAAATGCCTGTACTGCCCTAATGTGGTCTACAAATTCAAAGCAATCCCTATCAAAATTCCAATAGCATTTTTCGCAGAATAGAGAAAACCTCTAAATTTGTATGTAATCATCAAAAGCCCAGAATAGACACAGCAGTCCTGAGAAAGAAAAGCAGAGTTGAAGCTTTCATACTATGTAGTTTCAAATTATATTACAAAGCTATAGTAATCAAAACTCTATGGGACTGGCATTAAAACAGACACATAGACCAGAAACAGAATAGATAGCCCAGAAATAAACCCAGGTACATACAGTCTACTACTTTTTGACCATGTCCCCAAGAACACAAAATGGGGAAAGGATAGTCTCTTAAACAAATGGTGCTTGGAAAACTGGATATCCACATGCAAAACAATGAAATTGGACACATACAAATACACAAAAATCAACTCAAAATGGATTAAAGACTTATGTGTAGAATGTGAAATCATAAAATTTCTAGAAGAAAACATAGGGGAAAAGCTCCTTGACATTGGTCTTGGCAATAATTCTTTTGATAGGACATCAAAAGCAAAAATAAACAAATAAACAAATGGGACTACATCAAACCAAATAGCTTCTGCACAGCAAAAAAAAAAAAAAAAAAAAAAAAATCAACAACATGAAAAGGCAGCCTACTCATTTGGAGAAAATATTTGCAAGCCATATATCTGTCAAAGGGTTTATATCCAAAATAAAAAGAACATATAGAATTCAATCACAAATAAATAACTTGACTAAAAAATGTACAAAGGACCTGAATAGATATTTCTCCAAAGAGGGCATACAAATGGCCAACATGTATATGAAAAGTTGTTCAATATCACTAATCATAAGGGAAATGCAAATAAAATCCACGATGAGATTTTACCTCACACTTATTAGGTTGGTGATGGTATGAAAGACGAGGGAGAAGTGTTGGCAAGGGTGGGTAGAAAAGGAAACACTTGTATACTGGTGGTGGAAATGTAAACTGGTACAGTCCTTATGGAAAACAGTATGGCAGTTTCCCAAGAAGTTAAAAATATAACCCAGCAATCCCTCTTCTGAGTATATATCCAAAGGAAATGAGATGAACACCTAGTGGAGATATCTGCAGTCCCATGTCCACTTATAAGTGAGAATATGTGGTATTTGGTTTTCTGTTCCTGCATTAATTTGCTTAGGAGCATGGAATGTTTTTCTATTTGTCTTGTCTCTGATTTCTTTCAGAAATGTTTTGTAATTCTTGTTGTAGAGATCTTTCACCTCCCTGGTTAGCTATATTCTTAGAAATATTATTCTTTTCATGGCTATTGTGAATGGGACTGCATTCTTGTTTTGGCCCTCAGCTTGGATGTTATTGGTGTATAAAAATACTACTCAATTTTGTACATTGATTTTATATCCTGAAACTTTACTGGAGTTGTTTATCAGTTCTAGGAGCCTTTGGACAGAGACTATGGGATTTTTTAGATATAGAATTATATCATCAGAAAAGAGAGATAGTTTGGCTTCCTCTGTTTGTATTTCAATGCCTCTTATTTCTTTCTTTTGCCTGATTGCTCTGGCTGGGACTTCCAATACCATGTTGAATAGCAGTGGTGAGAGCAGGCATTTTTGGAGAAGTTAGAAAGATCTCAAACTAACAAACTATGGATCAACAACTCTGTGCTGTAAAGAATAGAGAAAAAAGAAAGAAAATTAACAAAGCGACATTACACCAAGGGGAATTAGGAAAAAAAAAAAAGCAAACCAACCCCAAAGCTAGTAGAAGAAAAGAAAACCAAAATCAGAGCTGAACTGAATAAAATTGAAATGTGAAAATACATACAAAACTCAATGAAAGCAGTAAGAAAAACTAGAATAAATGAGTAAATTCATGGAAACATATAATCCCAAGATTAAATCAGAAAAAATAAAATAAAACCCAGGAATAGACCATAAAGAGCTCTGAAATTGAATTAGTAATAAAAAACCTACCACCAGAAAAAGGCCAGGACCAGATAGATTCATAGCTGAATTCTACCAGACATATAGAGAAGAGCTGATAACAATCCTACTGAAATTATTCAAAAAGTCAAGGAGGAAGGACCCCAACCTAACTCATTTTATGAGGCCAGCATCATTCTGATACCAAATTGACCAAGACACACAACACACACAAAAAAAACTTCAGGCCAATATGCCTGATGAACATGAACACAAAAATCCTCAACACAATACTAGCAAATCCAATCCAGCAGCACATCCAAAAGCAAATCCACCATGATCATGTAGCCTTCATTCCTGGGATGCAAGCTTGGTTCAACATGTAATTTGATTTATCACATAAATGGAACTAAAATAAAAAACAACGTGATTATCTCAATAGATAAAGAAAAGGCTTTTGATAAAATTCAACATTCCTTCATGTTAAAACTCTCAGCAAACTAGACACCAAAGAAATATACCTCAACATAATAAGAGCCATCTATGACAAACCCACAGCCAACATCATACTGAATGGGCAAAAGCTAGAAGAATTCCCCCTAAGAACTGGTAAAAGAACAAATTAATAAATTTAACTTCAACAACACTTTTAGAAAAATGCTCTTCAAAAGACATTTGTGGCTGGACATGGTGGCCCACACCTGTAATCCCAGCACTTTGGGAGGCCAAGGCGGGTGGATCACATGAGGTCAGGCATTTGAGGCCAGCCTGGCAAACATGGTGAAACAACTGTCTCTACTAAAAATACAAAAATTAGCCAGGCATGGTGGCAGGCGCCTGTAATCCCAGCTACTTGGGAGGCTGAGACAGGAGAATCGCTTGAACCCGGGAGGCAGAGGTTTCAGTGAGCCAAGATCATGCCCCTGCACTCCAGCCTGGGCAACAGAGTGAGACTCTGTCTCCAAAAAAAGAAAAAAAAGAAAAAAAACAGCGTTGGTAAGAGAATGAAAAGGCAAGACACAAGGAAAATATATTTGGACATTACATATCTGATAAAGAACTCCTGTCTACAACACTAAGGGAACTCTCAAAGATTATTAAAAAGGAGACAAAAAAATCAAATTTTCAAATGAATAAAAGGTATGTAAAGATACTTTGGCAAAAAAAAAATATGAAAGGCACATAACAACATGACAAGGTATTCAACATCGTTAGTAACTAGGTAAATGCAAATTTAAACCACTGAATACCAAGTAAAATGACTAAAGTTAAAAAATTCACCATTCCATATACTGGCAAAGATGTATGGGAATTAAAACTTCATGCATTGCTGATGAGAATGTGAAATTTTACAAGCACATTATAAAGCAGTTTGGCAGCTTCTTAAAATAGTAAACCTGTACCAACAATATGATACTGCTATTACATCCAAATCAAAGGAAAGGATATGTCCATACAAATTTGTTGATAGAAGCTTTAGTCTTAACACCAGAAGCCATCCAAATCCACGAACAGGTGAATGAATAAAATAAATTGTGATGTATCTGTCACGTGGGATATTACTCAGCAGTATAGCAGAGCGATCTATTGATACACCTGACAACATGTCTACATCTCAAAATAATTATTCTGAATGAAAAAATCAAACCAGAAAAATGTACATTCTATATGATTCTATTTATAAAAAACTTTAGAAAATTTAAATTGATCTACTATGACAGAAAGACAACCAGTGGTTGCCTGAGGTGGGGAGAGAAAGGTGAAGAAGGAATTACTAGGGACACAAGAAAACTTTGGAAGTGGTAGATCTATCCTCTATGGTTTTTTTTGTTTTGTGTTGTTTGTTTGTTTGTTTTGAGACAGGGTCTGGTTCTGTCATCCAGACTGGAGTGCAGTGGCACAATCTTGGCTCACTGCAATTTCTGTCTCCTGGGCTCAAGCCATCCTCCCAACTCAGCCTCCCAAGTAGCTGAGACTACAGGGCTGGCTAGTTTTTGTATTTTTTTTTTTTTTTTTTTTTTAGAAATGCGGTTTCACCATGTTTCCCAGGCTGGTCTCAAAATCCAGACCTGAAGCAATCTGCCTGCCTTGGCCTCCCAAAGTGCCAGGATTACAGGTGTAAGCCACTGTGCCCGACCTATATCCACTATCATGATTGCAGATGTATATTCTATTCAACCATTTAAAATGATACACTTTAATTATGCATAGTTTCTTTCATGTAAGTTATATCTCAATACCCAATATAATTCTCTATATTATCAGGACAAAAGAGAAAAATCATATGATTACCTTGACATACACAGAAAAAGTATTTGGTAAAATTGAGAACTTTTTCATGATTAAAAAATACAAACCCCTTAAAACTCTCAGCATAATAAGAACAGAAGGCAACACTTCCAACCCCACTAAGGGCAAATTCGAAAAAGCTACAGGTGACATTATATTGAATGGCATATGGTCAAATGCTTTTCTATTAAATCAGAGAAAAAAGGTAGAATATCTTCTGTTACTCTTTCAATCCAGCATTATACTAGAGATCTTAACCAAATCAATAAAGTAAAAAAAAATTAATAAAATAAAGGCATTGAAAAGACTGAAATGAAAGAATTGAAGCTGTCTTTATTCGCAGATAATGATTGTGTATGTAAACAATCCTAGAAATCTACAAAAATCTACAAAAACTAAGCTATTTTGTCAAGGTATTGCCAAACATAAGTTCAATATAAATATAGTATGTTGTATTTCTGTATATCAGCAATGGGCATTCGGAAAATGAAATAAAAATACAATTTCATTTAAAGTAACTTCTAAATACATGATGTGCTTAGAAATAAAGTCAACAAAATTTATGTAAGGCTGGTACTCTAAAAACTACCAAACATTGCTTTGAGAAATTATAAAAGAACTAAATTAGTGGGGAGATAAACCTTGTCAGGAATCGAAAGACTTGTTATAGTTTAAAAGTCAGTTTTTCCCAAACTGATCTCCAGATCAATGTAATTCTAATAAAAATTCCAACAGGCATTTTGGTAGAAATTTACAAGCTGACTACCATTTGTATGGAAATGTCAATGATCAAGAATAATAAAAGAGCAATATTATAAAAACACAATGGTGAATGAATTCACTACATATTTCCAGAATTACTATACAGCTATGGAAATCAAGATCATGTGTATTGTTAAAAAAAAATAGAACATACATCAATGGAAGAGAAGAGAGAATCCAGAAATAGATCCTTACATATGTCTAATAAATTATTCTTAGACATGAATTTATATGTGTACATGTAAAATCACCTTTTTGAAGATTATTTATCTTTATGTCCAAAATATGGAACATTAATAGAACATAAAAAGAAGCCACAATATAGGAGATATCATATTTACCACCAACAAAGGATTTTTTGGGGTATATATATATATATATATAAAAAATGCAGTTTGATAAGATAAACAGCACTATAAAACAGTTTCTCAAAAGACTTGAATAAATACTTCAGAAAAGAAGATACATGAATGGTCAATTAGCACATGAAAAGATACTCAACTCTTTAGTCATCAGAAAGATCAATCAATACAATGATGAGATACCATTATGTATCCATGAGAATGGCTAAAATTCAAAACATTTAAAATACTACATATCGGTCAGGTCCTTTCAAAATCTGGCTAACAGTTTCTTATAAGGTTAAACATATACAAATCAGTTGGACAGTCATTCCATTCCTAGGAATTTACACACTATGTCTGCACTATATTCTGTATGTGGATGCTCATTATACTTTATTAATAATAGCTCAAACATGGGATGACACAAATGTCCAATAACAAGTGAATGTATAAACAAACATGGTGTAGCCACACAAAAGAATACTACTCAGCAATTACAAGGAATTATTTATTGATGCAGATACTCATTTGGATAAATTTTAAAATTAAGATGATGCATGAAAGAAGGCAGACACAAAAGAACACAGGTATAATTTCATTTATAGAAAATGGTTAAAAACGCAAACTTACCTAAAGTGACAGTGGCTCCTTGGGGCTGAGAGTTGAAAGACTGATGAACTTCAAAGGGGTACAAGAAACTTTGGGGCATAGGGAAATTCCTAAATATTGATTGTGGCAGTATTTCCATTGGTGTATACATTTGTAAACATGCATTGAATTACACATTTTAAAGTGGTGCAGACTGTTGTACCTAAATTATACCTTTATAAAGTGGACTTCATAATCTTATTTTTTCCTTACTAGCTATTAGCAGCTAGAAAATGAAATTCAATAAAACACAATAGAAATTAGTATCCAAAATCATTACATTCTTAAGAATACATACATTGAAGCAGATACAAAGCCTCTAAAGGGTATTGGTGAGAGAAATCAAAGAAGGCTAAAATATATATATATATATATTATGTTCATGGATTGGAAGACTCCATTTTGTTAGGATATTACATCAACATAATTCTGATTAATAACTTTAATAGTAGTTTTTAGAGAAATTTAAAAGCTAATTTCAAAATGTATTTAAAAATCAAAGAATCTAGAACAGGCAAGCCAGTCTTAAAGCGGCAATAAATTGGAGGACTTACTCTGCTATATTTTAAAACTCATTTTAAAGCTACAATGACTTAAAAATTATACTACTGGTGTAAGTATACATAAATATATCAAAGTAAAAGAATGCAGTTTCAAACAATATGCCCACATATGTACAGTTATTTAAATTTTTTAAAAACAAGTACGCTAATGCCCTTAATTGAGGAAATGAAAGACTTTTCAATAAAAAAGTTCTTGAGTAAAATAATATTTGTTGTTTTAAAAATTTAATATTAACAACCACTTTCCACAATACATTAAATTTAACTTAAGATGTGAAAGTTAAAATTAGAAGTCTTGTAAAAGAAAAATAGAAAATATTTTCATGAACTTGACATAGGAAAATATTTCTTATACCAGATACTGTAGCACTCATCACAGTGAGAAATAAATTAAATTGTACTTTATTTTTAAAAAGCTTCTGCTTATTACAGGTTATTGTTTAACAAGTTAAAAGCTATCTGTAAACCAGGACTAATTATTTGCAACATATGTATATGTATATGTATATGTATGTGTATATACACATATATGGACTCATTCATTTGAAATGGACTCATTCAAAATATATAAAGAACTATAGATCACAAAGAAAATGACAAACAACCCAGTATATCAATGAGCAGAAAAATTTGAAAAGACCCTTTACATAAAAATATATCTAAATGACCAATAGGCATGTGAAAACCAAAATAGGATATCACTACACATCTGGTAGATTGGCCAAAATTAAAAAGACTGAAAATATTAAGTGGGTTAGAATGTACAGCAACAGGAAATGGCTTATATTTTTCATAGAAATGTAAAATAATACAACTACTTCCCAAAACTTTGTGTCAGTTTTTAACCTTTCACCAAACAATTCCATCCCTAGCTATACATACTCAGGAGAAATGTGTATGTGTCTTCACAGAAAGAATTGTACGAGAATATTCATAGTTACTTAAGCATAATAGTCAACAAGTAAACCTGTCTACCATTAGAAAAATGATATCAAGCCGGGCACGGTGGCTCACCCCTGTAATCCCAGCACTTTGGGAGGCCGAGGCGGGTGGATCATGAGGTTAGGAATTCGAGACCAGCCTGGCCAACATGGTGAAACCCCGTCTCTAGTAAAAATATAAAAATTAGCTGGGCGTGGAGGCACGTGCCTGTAATCCCAGCTACTTGGGAGGCTGAGGCAGGAGAATCCCTTGAATCTGGGAGGCGGAGGTTGCAGTGAGCCGAGATCGCGCCATTGTTCTCCAGCCTGGGCGACAGGGCGAGACTCTGTCTCAAAAAAAAAAAAAAAAAAAGAAAAGAAAAGAAAAAAGAAAAATGATATCAAATTGTGTGATAATCCTACAATAAATAGGATATTACTTGGCCAAAACAATATAAAATGAGAGAAAGGCACAATCAAACAAATTAGTAGCATATATAACCACCTGAGTAAGAGAAGTCAAAACAAGAGAACATATTAAATGATTCCATTTTTATCAAGCACAAGAATAAAAAAAAAATTCATCTATGGTGGCTATTATAGTTTAGATATTGGTCCCCTCCAAATCTCATGTTAAAATTTGATCCCCAGTGTTGGAGGTGGGGCTTAATGGGAGGTGTTTGGGTCATGGGAGTGGATCCATCATGAATAGATTACTCCCCTTCCTGGGAGAAGGTAGTGAGTGAACTCTCATTCTCTTAGTTCTTGCAAGAGCTGGTTATTAAAAAAGAGCCTTGCACCTTTCCTCTCTCTCTTTTTCTTCCTCTCTCACCATATAATCTCTGCACACACTGGTTCCCTTTCACCTTCTGCCATGAGTGGAAGCAGTCTTACGCCCTCATTAAGAGAAGATGTTGGTGTCATGCTTTTTGTGCAGCCTGCAGAACTATGGGTGAAATGCACCTCTTTTCTTTATAAATTATGCAGCCTCTGGTATTCCTCTCCAGCAACACAAAGGGACAAAGACAGTGACAAAATTCAGATTGTATTCTTCATTTGGGGGATGAGTATTGACTGACAAAAGCACATCAGAACTTTTTGACATGGGGGAAAATGTTCTCTATCTTGATCTGGGTGTTATTATACAATGCATAATTACATTAAAATTTATTAAGTGTGCCCTTATGTTTTTTGAATTTTACTCTATGCAAATTACACCTCAGTGAAGAACTGTTAATATAAAGCAAAGGGAGAGATGACAAACACTCAAAAAAAGTGAAAAGTGACAGAAGATAGGTAACAAATATTCAGCATATAAATAATAGGGATCCATTGAGAAGAAACCAAAATCAATGGAACAGAACAAACAAAAAATGTATAATTTTAAAAAAGGTTTGAAATTTAAAAGTTTAAAATAATATTAAAATGACACACTGTTTCCTTGGGAAAATCAATGTAGAACCACAAATTCTGAGACCAATTCCTGTAAAAGTACTGTCATTCAGTTTGATCTAATGGTACAAGGTTAGCTTTGAAGGCCAAAAGGAACTGGCTTCTAATTCTTATTCCTCTTCTTACTAGATTTGTGACCTAGAGAAATTTTCTAATCTGTCTGAGTTTATTTTCTCATCAGGAACCAGATAATATCTAAGTAACTAGATAGTTTATAGAATTAAATATGATCACATTGCAGTGGACATGAACCCTAATTAAGTGTTAAGAATATAGTTACACTGAGCTTTCCTTTATCTACTTTAAAATTTGTAGTCAAACAACAATTGACAAAGAATAGACAAAATGTTCTAACATATTCTTCCGTTGTTTCTAGAAAGAAGTCACACATGCAGTATAAATAATTAGAGAGGATCTAGTTCGTATTAAATAACCTTCCCCAAACCCTGAAGCAGGTCTACTTTCTAACACCAGAGGTGAAAGTCTTGACTGGGTCCAACCCCTGTGGTCTCTTCTGTCTGGAATGAACTGAGAAAGTCCACTGCAGTCTTAGAGTAGCACGGGCTGCCAAGCATTCTCAGAGTGGCTCTTGACTTCAACTCTAATGGCCCTGAGCTATAGATGCAACTGGGTTGGGTTAAATTCAAGCTGAAATATATGACCAGAGCTCTCGCCAGCATCAAAATTAGTGGAAGGATACCAGTCCTCAGAGCTCTGTTACAGGCCATGGGATGCTCCATGGAGGGGCAGTGGGCATATGAATACCGATCAGGAAAAATATTGTAATGAACGGGAGGCATAAATAAACAATGTCCATCCTCCACTAAAACCCGGGAAAGTTCTCATTCCAAAAGTGATGTCTTGAAGAAAACATAGGTATAAATCTTTGTGACTCTGGATTAGACATTTGTTAAATAGGGACAAGCAACCTGAAAATAGATAAATAAATGGATTTTATTAAAATAAAAAAACTTTCATGCTTCAAAGGACTCTGTCATTTAAGTGAAAAGATGATTCACATAATGGGGAACTATTTGCTAGTCATATATCTGACAAGGGTCTAGTATCTAGAGTATATAAATAATTCATAAAACAGCAATAAAAGACAACCAAATTTAACAATGAGAAAAAAGGATTCAATCGACATTTCTCTAAAGGGTACATATGAAGGGCCCACAAGCTCCTGCAAATATGTTCAATTTTTTCATCATTAGGAAAATGTAAATTTAAACCAAAGTGAGATACCACTTCACACCCACTAGTGTTACTTAAAAAAAAAAAGACAACATGTGTTTGAAAAGTTATGGAGAAAATGGAATTCTCATGTATTACTAGTGGAAATGTAAAATGGTATAGCCACTGAGGTTGGAAAAGAGTCTGTCAGTTCCTCGAATACTTAAACAAGTGACTTATGATGCAGCAATTGCACTCATAGTTATATAACCAAACAAATTACAAACAGATGTTCACTCAAAAACATGTACAAAAAATTTACAGCAGCATTATTCATAATAGTTAAAAAGTGGAAACATCCCAACTGATCATCAGTTGATGGACAGATAAACAAAATGTGGTATAACTGTATAATGGAATATTATTTGGCCATAGAAAGGATTGAAGTACTGATGTAAGCTATAACAAAAATGAACCTTGAGAATATTGTGCTAAGTAAAAGATGCATGTGCAAAAGGCCACGTTGTATTATTCCATATATAGGAAATGTCCATAACAAGTATATCCATAGGGAGATAAAGTAGATTAGTGGTTGTCAGGGACTGCACAACAGGGAGAATTTGAGAGTGACTGGCAGTAAGTACAGGCATGCTTTTTGGCATTATGAAAATATTCTAAAATTAGATGGTGGTGATGGTTGCAAAACCTTTGGAATATAGTAAAAGACACTGAATGGTATGCTTAAAAATGGTGAATTTTGTGATTTATGAATTATACTTTACAAATAATAATAACAACAATAATAAAGCAAGGTGTCTTTCCACACCTCCATGCCCTGTATTTTCATGAAAAAAAAAAAAAAATCATCTCAGGGCCAGGCTCAGTGGCTTACTCTTGTAGTCCCAGCACTTTTGGAGGCCTAGGTGAAAGGATCACTTGAGGCCAGGAGTTCTAGACCACTCTGAGCAACATAGCAAGATTTCCTCTCTATAAAAAATAAAAAAAAAAAAATTAGCCAGGAATGGTGATGTGTGCCTACAGTTCCAGCTCCTTGGAAAGCTGACGCAAGATGATCACTTGATCCTAGGAGTCTGAGGTTGCAGTTGGCTATAATCAGCACTGCACTCCAGCCTGGGTGACAGAACGAGAGCCTATCTCAAGCATCTTGCATTAAAAGTAAGTGACCAGAATATGATGCTGACAGCATGCTGTGATGGAATGAAACAAATTAAATTCAAAAAGGTGTTGTTGTTCTTACTGTTGTTTGTAGAAATAAGGTATAGGGAAGAGAAACACATACTTGGAAAGAACTGACATGACTGAATTGGAAAATGTGGGAAGGGGATGGGGAAGAGGCTGCTCCACTTGAGATCTGGCTCCAGGGCTTACAGCAAAGGGAACTTGGGCAAGTTACAGACTCTCTGTGCCTTGGTTTTTTCATCAGCAAAACAGAAATAATCATCCTGTAAACTGTAAGGTCAATGGTATCAGTGGGTCCCCAAACTGACTGCACATCCGAATAATGTTAACAAACACATTCCAGGCCCATCTGAGACCATAGAATCAAAATTTGTGCCAGGAGGAGAATGAACTTGTATTTGCACCAACTTTCCCAGCTGTTTCTTACTCTGATCAACTTGGGGGTAGGACCCATTGAGCTGCATCACATCATTCCAAAGCCAAAACACAACAGCAGAACAAGAATATTTTCAATGCAGTCTCTAAAGCAGAGGAGAAACTGTTAGGGGAACCTAGAAGTAAAGGAGATCTGGCTTGCTGAGCTCCACTTAAACTTTATCCTGAGTACAGCAGAGACAGGAGCCCTTTGGGACACATGCCCGAGGCAGTGACAGTCCAGCTTTGGAAGAGTGGAAGCCCTAGTTTCAAATTCAAGCATGCTTTGAGTAGAAATTAAGTTTACCTCTTTTTGCACAGCAACATGGCCAATCTTTCCTAAGCTGCTCAGCTTACAAGAAAAGGAATCATATGGCTAAGAATTCAAATTTCAGCAGACATGGGAAAGTAAGGAAGTCTTATAAATCTATTCTAGCTATCTAACAAAAGATCAGAAATTTAGCAATTTCTTTCACATTCAGGACAGTTGTCCAGAGGCATTGAGACATGAAGGAAAGATCTTCTAAAAAGGGAAAGCATTCCTTCATGTCCTAGGACATCTCTGCCAACTTTGGGGAAGTAAGAACACAGCTGTCCACTCTACAGTATGGGTTGCTTTTGCAACTAAAATGTGTCCGACATCCTGAGACCTGTACCCATTTCAGGGAGCCTTGGGAGGAGCCCAAATCACTGAGTGAATTGGACAGTGCATGGAGATGGTTCAGCACTGCACGGCTAAGTGCAGGAGCAAGGCCAGGTCATTCTGAGAGACAATGGGTGGCGCCTGATGGGGATAAACAAAGATAAAATCAGAAGTTTGTGTTTCATTTTCAAAAACTCAAACCAATAACTAATTTGTTCTTTATAAGTAATAACAGTTATTTTTCTTTTTACATGAGAATTTAATCTCAAAACGGAAATCTGAAAAATACTAAGTCCAGTGCATAAAACCTGAACAATAACTTATATTTATTCTTTCTAAATAGATCTAATAGTAAAATCCCCTTCATAAAACATATATTGTGGTTATAAAAAGGCAAAAATCTTAGTGAGACTCATAGGTATTCAATAGAAGAGTAAATTAAACACAGTCAAGGGAAGACCCAAGTCTCACACTTCAGACACTTCTGAATTTTGGTCCCAATACTCTAGGAGGGCACACCTCTGTTTGGAAAATGATGCATAATAAATATTCTTCCCTTGACTCATTCTGTTCATTCTTTCAGAATCACAGAAACAAAAAAAAAAAAATGGAAATCTGGTCAAATAAATAATTTGTTATCCCTCTTCTTCAGGTCTCTTATCTGTTTTTTATAAATAACAACATTACTTTAAGGATTATGGTGAAAATACAATGTCTATATATGTGCACAGTTTTGAGCAAAATGCCTGGTACAAATTGGTCAATGAATAATTACTGAATAATTATATAAATATTTACTGAATTATATGGATTCTATGAATAACTACTGAATAATTATTGTGATTGCTTTTATTGGCAGTGCTCACAACTCATCCCTGTGTGACCTCAAGTCAGTCATGTAACTTTGTGACCTCCAGTTTCACCATTTTTTTTTTTTTGAGATGGAGTTTCACTCTTGTTGCCTAGGCTGAAGTGCAGTGGTGTGATCTCAGCTCACTGCAACCTCCGCCTCCCGGGTTCAAGCAATTCTCCTGCCTCATCCTCCCGAGTAGCTGGGATTACAGTCATGTACCACCATGCCCGGCTTATTTTGTATTTTTTTTTAGTAGAGACAGGGTTTCTCCATGTTGGTCAGGCTGGTCTCGAACTACTGACCTCAGGTGATCCACCACCTCAGCCTCCCAAAGTGCTGGGATTACAGGCGTAAGCCATTGCACCCGACCTTCACCATTTTTAAAATAAAGAAATTTTACAATTTTTTTCTTGCCATATAATGTCAGGTCTCACAGACACCAGAAAATAAATTTATTTACATTGATACATTTCAAAGCAATGTCCTTACACAGTGTAGTTGGAGGATGGTGGGGGCTGCTGAGAGGCATGCTTTCAAATGAGATTGACCCAGTCCTCCATCCTTCACTTCCACATGAATGCTGAGTAGCCCAGGGTCATGCTCATTGCACCCTCAAATCACACAAGTCCAGCAGCCAAACCTAGGAGACCTGGGCTGTGGGACTATCTCCCCAGTCCCAGGCTCACAAAACCTAGGTGGGGATAAAAGCTGAGAAAGTGAGGAGGTGGCTTGGGATCACTCTCCCCTACTCATCCCTCTCATCTAAAACTCACCTTCTACTGCACAGAAACACTGAGGATCACAAACCACCCCTGACCGTGTCTTGCCCCCTTGATCTTGCCATGTTCTGTTAGTGGAATGCAACCACACTTCAATGGTGTTAGACAAACTCAGAAAATATATATATGTCAGTGTTCCATAAGAACTGCTCACGGCCCTGTTCTTTTTATTATATGGGAAAACTGAATGAAAGCAACAAAATAGTATCAGGTTTACAAAACTTCCCAAGATAGATGGTCACACGTGATATATGTATATTACTTGATACCTTGAAAAGAGCTCTTGTGGGACTAGAATGACATCGATAAGTGACAAGTATAAAAGGTAGTGCTCACTGACATTAGAAAACAAATCAACCCACACATAGAAGAAAAGCTTTGAAGATAGTGGTGTCAAACTTGTCTTAAGTGCAATGAAAAGTCAAAATTCTCATCCAGTAAGAGAAAAGAAATCAACCTAACAATGAGATGCAGCAAGAAGAATACTGAGATGGGAAAGAAAACATTTTTAAAAAATGAATTATTCATTCACTTTTTAGTGGATAAAGAAAAAGCTGCAGACGACGCTGAGAATATCATGGCGGTCTAACAGTTTGATATCTTTCACTTGTGGAAAAGCCTTCAGCTCTGTTTTAACTGAAAGAGAAAGTGTGGTGACTTCATGACTACCATTAAGAAAATATAACCTGTTGAATAACTAAAATCAGAGCAGAACTGAAGGAAATTGAGACACAAAAAACCCTTCAAAAAATTAATGAATCCAAGAGCTGGTTTTTTGAAAGGATCAACAAAATTGATAGACCGCTAGCAAGACTAATAAAGAAGAAAAGAGAGAAAAATCAAATAGATGCAATAAAAAATGATAAAGGGGATATCACCACCCATCCCACAGAAATACAAACTACCATCAGAGAATACTACAAACACCTCTACGCAAATAAACTAGAAAATCGAGAAGAAATGGATAAATTCCTCGACACATACAACCTCCCAAGACTAAACCAGGAAGAAGTTGAATCTCTGAATAGACCAATAACAGTCTCTGAAACTGTGGCAATAATCAATAGCTTACCAACCAAAAAGAGTCCAGGACCAGATGGATTCACAGCCAAATTCTACCAGAGGTACAAGGAGGAGCTGGTACCATTCCTTCTGAAACTATTCCAATCAATAGAAAAAGAGGGAATCCTCCCTAACTCATTTTATGAGGCCAGCATCATCCTGATACCAAAGCCGGGCAGAGACACAACCAAAAAAGAGAATTTTAGACCAATATCCTTGATGAACATTGATGCAAAAATCCTCAATAAAATACTGGCAAAACGAATCCAGCAGCACATCAAAAAGCTTATCCACCATAATCAAGTGGGCTTCATCCCTGGGATGCAAGGCTAGTTCAACATACTCAAATCAATAAATGTAATCCAGTATATAAACAGAACCAAAGACAAAAACCACATGATTATCTCAATAGATGCAGAAAAGGCCTTTGACAAAATTCAACAACCCTTCATGCTAAAAACTCTCAATAAATTAGGTATTGATGGGACGTATCTCAAAATAATAAGAGCTATCTATGACAAACCCACAGCCAATATCATACTGAATGGGCAAAAACTGGAAGCTTTCCCTTTGAAAACTGGCACAAGATAGGGATGCCCTCTCTCACCACTCCTATTCAACACAGTGTTGGAAGTTCTGGCCAGGGCAATTAGGCAGGAGAAGGAAATAAAGGGTATTCGATTAGGAAAAGAGGAAGTCAAATTGTCCCTGTTTGCACATGACATGATTGTATATCTAGAAAACCCCATTGTCTCAGCCCAAAATCTCCTTAAGCTGATAAGCAACTTCAGCAAAGTCTCAGGATACAAAATCAATGTACAAAAATCACAAGCATTCTTATACACCAATAACAGACAAACAGAGAGCCAAATCATTAGTGAACTCCCATTCACAATTACTAAAAGATAATAAAATACCTAGGAATCCAACTTACAAGGGATGTGAAGGACCTCTTCAAGGACAACTACAAACCACTGCTCAATGAAATAAAGGAGGATACAAAGAAATGGAAGAACATTCCATGCTCATGGGTAGGAAGAATCAGTATCATGAAAATGGCCTTACTGCCCAAGGTAATTTATGGATTCAATGCCATCCCCATCAAGCTACCAATGACTTTCTTCACAGAATTGGAAAAAACTACTTTAAAGTTCATATGGAACCAAAAAAGAGCCCACATCGCCAAGTCAATCCTAAGCCAAAAGAACAAAGCTGGAGGCATCACGCCACCTGACTTCAAACTATACTACAAGGCTACAGTAACCAAAACAGCATGGTACTGGTACCAAAACAGAGATATAGATCAATGGAACAGAACAGAGCCCTCAGAAATAATGCCACATATCTACAACTATCTGATCTTTGACAAACCTGAGAAAAACAAGCAATGGGGAAAGGATTCCCTATTTAATAAATGGTGCTGGGAAAACTGGCTAGCCATATGTAGAAAGCTGAAACTGGATCCCTTCCTTACACCTTATACAAAAATTAATTCAAGATGGATTAAAGACTTACATGTTAGACCTAAAACCATAAAAACCCTAGAAGGAAACCTAGGAATTACCATTCAGGACATAGGCATGGGCAAGGATTTCATGTCTAAAACACCAAAAGCAACGGCAACAAAAGCCAAAATTGACAAACGGGATCTAATTAAACTAAAGAGCTTCTGCACAGCAAAAGAAACTACCATCAGAGTGAACAGAAAACCTACAAAATGGGAGAAAATTTTTGCAACCTACTCATCTGACAAAGGGCTAATATCCAGAATCTACAATGAACTCAAACAAATTTACAAGAAAAAAACAAACAACCCCATCAAAAAGTGGGCAAAGGACATGAACAGACACTTCTCAAAAGAAGACATTTATGCAGCCAAAAGACACATGAAAAAATGCTCACCATCACTGGCCATCAGAGAAATGCAAATCAAAACTGCAATGAGATATCATCTCACACCATTTAGAATTGCAATCATTAAAAAGGAAACAACAGGTGCTGGAGAGGATGTGGAAAAATAGGAACACTTTTACACTGTTGGTGGGACTGTAAACTAGTTCAACCATTGTGGAAGTCAGTGTGGCGATTCCTCAGGGATCTAGAACTAGAAATACCATTTGACCCAGCCATCCCATTACTGGGTATATACCCAAAGGATTATAAATCATGCTTCTATAAAGACACATGCACACATATGTTTATTGCGGCACTATTCACCATAGAAAAGACTTGGAACCAACCCAAATGTCCAACAATGATAGACTGGATTAAGAAAATGTGGCACATATACACCATGGAATACTATGCAGCCATAAAAAATGATGAGTTCATGTCCTTTGTAGGGACATGGATGAAATTGGAAATCATCATTCTCAGTAAAGTATTGCAAGGACAAAAAACCAAACACTGCATATTCTCACTCATAGGTGGGAATTGAACAATGAGAACACATGGACACAGGAAGGGGAACATCACACTCTGGGGACTGTTGTGGGGTGGGGGGAGGGGAGAGGGATAGCATTATGAGATATACCTAATGCTAAATGATGAGTTAACGGGTGCAGCACACCAGCGTGGCACATGTATACATACATAACTAACCTACACATTGTGCACATGTACCCTAAAACTTAAAGTATAATAATAATAAAAAAAAGAAAAAAAGGAAAATATAACCTGTTGGGAAACTGTTTCTGCCTTGTACACACAAGAAGCGAACAATGAGGATATGCTTAGTTGTATTGGGAAAGAGATGGATCTGTGGCATTGTCACAAAAGTACACAAATACTGAGAATGACTGCTGAACGAATGGTCCCCCTCAATGGTGACCCTCAGGTAAGACCAGGAGGTGTTGTATTTCAGCAAACCCTGGGCAATTGTAATGCAGGGTTCCTAAGATTCCATGACACTCCCACCTTCTAATTTTGTTATTGCAACTGCAGGCCATTACCTGGCACGCTGGCCACTAGCTGCCTCACTCTTATCAGAGCCTGAGCTACAGGCAGTGACTTTGGCTCAGATATCTGGCATCTCAAACTCTGTTTTTGTGGTTAAGGACTCTAAAGTGCTGTGGGGAGTGATCAAGTTTTTCTCAGCGGTAACAATTCCAGTTACTGTCATCCCTCAGTCCTGATTAAACCTATTTGATTTCACTAGTCTTCAACCCATTATGTGTTTGGGTTTCTTCTCCTTAGTCCCTGGCTCAACCTCTTCTGGCATAAATGTCAGCATGGCTGTATCTGCCAGCCTTTTGTTGAGTGAGAGGGCAGAGATGAACATCCTAGAAATCAACCAAGAATTGCGCTCGCAGCTGGCATAGAGCAAACAGCAGTTCTGAGACCTCAAAGAGAAATTTCTTATAACTCAAACTATTGCCTACTCCCTGGCCAACCAGCTGAAGAAGTACAGTAAATTCTATAGGCTCACTATACCAAAAATGATGAATGATCGCCCATCTTCTCCCTGAGAGATGAAATGCTCTCTTAATCAAAATTAATTTTATCCTTTCCATGCTTCTAGGAAAACAGAAGAGGATATTTTAACCTCATTTTTTAAAAGATGGAAAACAGAGGCACAAAGTATTCAGCAACTTTTCCATGTTTGCAATTTGGTGTGGGGTGGGACTAGAGTTAAAATACCAGTTATTGATTTCTGACATAGGAACAGAACCACCTGTTTTTCTCAGCAAGAGGCTAAATCATGTTTACAAGAATTCTCTCTGTACCATATAAGATCCTGCAGACAAGTAGCATCTAATCTGTGGCTCTACATATCTGGGACTAATGAATTTCCATTCAGTTCAGGCTGTTGAGGCCTGATAGGCAAAGTTCCATGCTGAGGACCCTGGTGGAAACGTGGTGATAGCACACAGTACCAACTCCAAGGAGCTTAAAGAGGAGTCTGCACCTAATAGAAATTGTGGTATCCATAAGTGACAGCATCAAGAGCAGGGAATACCCTGGTGACAGGGAAGTCTTGCTTCCTGGGGCACAGGTTGTTATTTCTCTCTCTTTTTTTTTTTGAGACAGAGTTTCACTCTTTCTTGTTGCCCAGGCTGGAGTGCAATGGCCCGATCTCGACTCACCACAACCTCTGCCTCCTGGGTTCAAGTGATTCTCCTGCCTCAGCCTCCCAAGTAGCTGAGATTACAGGCATGCACCACCACACCCAGCTAATTTTTGTATTTTTAATAGAAATGGGGTTTCTCCATGTTGGTCAGGCTGGTCTCGGACTTCTGACCTCAGGTGATCCGCCCGCCTCGGCCTCTCAAAGTGCTGGGATTACAGGCATGAGCCACCACACCTGGCTGAGGCTCTTATTTCTAAAGAGGAAAAAAGAGAGCCCCCAAGACTGTGTGGAGGTAGCAGTGTGTAAAGCAGGGACCCTGGGCTAGTTTCCTGGGCTCCATCCAAGTTGCTCATCTTCTCTGTGCCTTAGTTTCCTCATCTGTTCATGGGTATTATAATAATACCTACCTTGGTAAATTGCTACAATGAATTATACAACCTATTGCTTGTAAACCTCCTGGAACAGTTGTTGGCACAGAGTAAACACTATTAGTTCTTCATTCTACGGTTTCTAACTTAACAGGAACTTGATTAGTATTTGGGCATATTTCCTTCATGACCTTATGGTCTTATGCCTCATATTTTATGCAATTATATCCAGATATGATTTTTAAAATCTTGCACATATTGGTGCTTAAAATTCCCAGTTAAAAAAGAAATCAGTCCTGTGAACACACAAAATCTGTGACAGGTCTCAGTTAATTTAGAAAGTTTATTTTGCCAAGGTTGAGGACGCACGTGGGACACAGCCTCAGGAAGTCCTGACGACATGTGCCCAAGGTGGTCATGAGACATCAATTAATATATGTAAGAAGTGCATTTGTTCAGTCTGGAAAGGCGGGACAACTTGAAGCAAAGGCAGGAAGATCCAAATTATATGATTTCTGAGTACTCTAAGTGTAAGCAGAAATTAACACCAGCTGGTTGTTAAATGCTTATTTTAGTCGTTTAAAAGGAATTTGCAAGATACAATCCCAAACTAGTTTCTTAACTAGTGATTGGTCTCAGTCTGTAGACTGCTCTCTACCATCCTAGAAGAAGAGAAAACAACTCATCTTCCCTGTTGGAAGAAGCAAGCTCAAACTTCATAAAGGAGTTACCTGCATTCCATTGTCATGGAAGCAGGAAAATTTGCCTTCCTGTTGAAAGCAAGTAAAACTCCAAAAAAAGAAGAGTTGTACAGTAAAATAAACTTAAGATCTCAACCAAATTTGGGGAGATCAGGGATTCTCTGGAGGGGGTGCTGTCAGATCTCAGCAAATTATCCTATTGGCTTGAGCCATAAAGTTAGCTCATGCTGGTACCAAGCACTGACAGGAGATTTGTCAAAGGTCAGGGGCATCTCCACTCAGAATCCCCCCGTGGTGGTTACCAAAATGTGAACCCAACAAATCTGAGACAGGTCTCAGTTGATTTAGAAGGTTTATTTTGCCAAGGTTGAGGACGCACAAGGACACAGCCTCAGGAGGTCCTGACGACATGTACCCAAGGTGGTTGGGGCACGGCTTAGTTTTATACATTTAGGGAGACATGAGACATCAACCAATATATGTAAGAAGTAAATTGGTTCAGTCTGGAAAGACAGGAAATCTTGAAGGAAAGGCAGGAAAACTCAAAGTGGAGAGGGAGCTTCCATGGGAGGGAGCTTCCAGGTCACAGATGGGTGACACACAAATGGTTACATTATTTTGAGTATCTGATTAGCCTTTCCAAAGTAGTCAAATCAGATATACATCTATCTCAGTGAGCAGAGGAGTGATTGAATAGAATGGGAGGCAGGTTTGCCTTAAGCAGTTCCCAGCTTGAGTTTTCCTTAGTGATTTTGGAGGCCCAAGATATTTTCCTTTCACAGTCCCATAGTCCTAGAAGCCTTCCCAGCTGTACAGAAAATCACTACTTTATGCCCCAGTGCAGGAGAGGCTGCAAGGCTTGGGAAAGTGTCCCATGATTCAGAGTCAGACCTCAGGGGCTGTGAATTCTGACCCTACCTCATTCCAGGTGAATCATCTTGTCAAGTTGCTTGGTGGGCCCCTGAGCTTTTTTCCTATCTCTAAGTTGGGGAGTATCAGATGCCAGGAAGTGAGGAGACTGAAGAGTAAAGATGTGCAATCCCTGCCTAGAGCCTGGTACTGGGGACAGTTTTGTCCTTGGGATGGACCTGGCTCCTGCCCTGTAGGCAGTGACTGCAACAGCATGTCCAGCCTTCCACTGAGGCAGGTGTGTCTGTCTTTTCTCAGAGTGTGAAGAGTGCAAAGACCTCATAAAATCTAGGCTGAGGGATGAGCTGCAGTTCAAGGAGGAGAAGCTGGCAGAGAAGCTCAGGCAAGCTGGAAAGCTCAGGTGAGGGGGCCCCATTGGGGGCAGGCAGGTGGGCAGGAGTGTGAATCTCTGTGCAGCAGCTCAGCGGGGGAGAAGTAAGAGCTAAGCCGAGCCAGGGGAAGGGCAGGAATTGCCATGGCAGACACATGTCACACAAATATTTATAAAACAGAGAACAATAATAGTAATTTATGGGTTGCAGTTATTTCTCAGAGCCTCGTTTTCTCTTTTTCTAACAAGTAATTGTTGAGGTGAAATTTGCATAACACAAAATTAACCAAAGGAAAGTGAACTACCCAGCAGCATTCAGTATACTCAAGATGCTGTGCGATCACCACTGCATTTACTCTTAGTCAGAATCAACTCCTAACTGACTTGGGCTTCTCATTTCTTCAACCACTATTGCCTTCTTGACACTGTCATTCTTTTATTCTTTCATGTTTCCAGTTGTACCTGGCCACATTTCTGTGCACGGCTTTGTGTCCAGTCACTGAATAATGCACGATGTGTATTTGAACATGAAAATGTCCACAGGCAAAATGAGAAATTGAAGGAAAATCCTTTTGGAACTGATTTGGTTACAGAAGAAAAAGATGAATGGAATGTTGAAAAATCTTCCTGGAGCTCTCTCTCTCTATCGCAGTGGGGAAGACCTGTTTTTTTAAAAAAATACATTTTTCTTTCTCTTTGCAACAGGCATTTCCTTTAATATGTGCTGACTTTCTGCGTGGAGGGCTCCTTTGTTTCGATATTAGAACTGATCACTCATCTCTTTCCACTACTAAATTTTCTCTACTATCCCACCTTAGGCAATATAAAGTCTCTGTTCACTCCCAGGCCCGAGAGCCGGCCCAGTTACAGGACAAGTTACGGGAAGGGAGAGATGCCTTCCTCTTACTGAATCAGCATCTCAAGGCCCTCCTCACTCCTGATGATTCTGACAACTCCCAGGGGCAGGACCTCTGAGAGCAGGCTGGCTGAGCACCTTGTCCACAAGCTCAGCCCAGATAAGGAGACCACAGGCCCTGATGACACAAAACCCCAGGCTTGTGAGAGACTCTACACCTCCATACCTCCACAATGACAGTTACATAGGTGGTGTTTCTTTCCATTAAACATATGTGGCCATGACATGACCAGGATTTCCTGGGTAGGAACAGAGACAAGAAGTCCATGGGGTTAGAGGTCACAGTATTGCAAATGTCTCCTCCTCCTTGATAGTCACGTTCTTTGGAGCAAGAGGCCATATCCATTCAGTTTTAAAGGATAGGAAGGAGGCTGTGACAGGAGGCAACTTGTTAGAGTAAAAAGAGTCCTGGATTAAGAATGAAGTTTCCCAGGCTGTATCTTCAGCAATGTCCTTAGTAACCTTGGGTGAGTGATTGATTTATCCTTTCTGGATTTCTTTGTCTAAATCTCTACAGGGGTCAAAATGTCTCTTCAATGGTAGATACAGCATTCAAATATGGGAACACTTATGATTACATTTCAAAATAAGATGAAGCCCCTCACCGTGTGGTGTTGGAGAAGGCACTTGATGTGGGGGCATTTGGTGGTAGGAAGTGCTTCAGACTGGAGCACTCCCCATGGAGAGAATGTCCCTGAATAACACAGCAGAAGCCAACTTGGAGGGCTTGTGAAGTCTCCCAATGCATGGAGAAAGGTGGGACAAGGCTGTTTGTCCTCCCGTAAGAGAAAGAAATATATTCTAAATGTGAGAGTTGTGACAGGACACCGATCCTGTGCCTGGGAATCAGATCTGTGGCAGGATGGGGAAGACAGCTGCCAAAGTCCAGAAAGATGCTGGACAAGCCTCCAGTGATACGGGGAGCAAAAGGTCTTTTCAATATTTGGCCACAGCTTGATGGTGGCCCTCCAGATCAGAAATTCATTGCCTGATGGATCAGGAAACCATACCAGGGAATTTTGTTAAAGATAAAACATGAGAGCTTTCAGCACAATGCTGACCCATACATAGATGTTAATGTCTCTGTGCACATAGGGCTTGCTGTACTTGCAGTGTGTGAAGTGAGGAATATCTAAATGGACACTTCTATATTTGTTTGCAGAGAATGATGAAGGTGATAATGAAAATGATAAAGATGAAGAGATTCATAAAGGATGAGAATCACCTGCCCCCAGGTAACACTGAATAATCAGGCAGGTAGTGGGTGGATAAACCATGGAAAAGGTCTTAGAAAGAATACAAGTGAGTTGAAGGTAGTCACAGATTCCAGATGGAGGGTAAAGAAAGCTGCAGAGTGTGCTCATTTCATGCGCTCACCCAACAAGGAAATAGCCCTAGTCCATTGTCTTCATGGTCCTTGTAAGCATGACCCTCGATAAACCCACCAGCCCTAGGGATTTCCTGCATTCACAGAGAACTGTTCTCTCCTGTAATGAAAACCAGGAGGAGATGCAAAGCTGCTTTCTACATGATTGTCTTCAGGTTCTTGTTAAGAAAGATAAATAGCAAAGAGGTGGGCCAGGCATGGTGGCTCACACCTGTAATCCCAGCACTTTGGGAGGCCAATGTGGGTGGATCACCTGAGGTCAGCAGTTCGAGACCAGCCTGGCCAACATGGCAAAATTTCGTCTCTACTAAAAATACAAAAATTAACCAGGTGTGGTGGTGGGTACTTGTAATCCCAGCTACTTGGGAGGCTGAGGCAGGAGAATCGCTTGAATCCGGGAGGTGGAGTTTGCAGTGAGCCAAGATTGTGCCACTGCACACCAGCCTGGGCAACAGAGCGAGAATGTGTCTCAAAAAAATAGTAAAGAGGTAACAAACAGAGGAATTATTTAGGAAGTTTCTAGAAAATATAAACATCAAGAGAAGTACCTAGAAAAAAATTGTACATTTCACAATATTAAAAAAAAAAAAGACCTAGAAGGCACACCATTTCTGGAGCCTACAGTGGCTCAAGAGCCTGTATTCCTTTGGCCACAGTATTTAAATTCAACCCAACTTTGGCACACGATGTAGCAGCTGTTATGGTTCTCCATGCATGCTGAGTGTCACATCTGCACACATAGAGACAGTTGAGCCTCCATCTTCTTCAGCTCCTATCTTCCCAGTGCAATGAACACCAGCTGCTCTCTTCCTCTTTGGCTCCCATGGCATCCACAATCTCTTGCAGAGAGAGGAGGAGTGCCTGTTCCCTCTTAGAGGGAGCCACCCCTTTGCTTTTGGGGACAATTCTCTTATGCCTCTGTCAAAACTGGCTAGGACTCCCTGGTGTCCAATCCCTCTCTGTTTAATATTTTGCCATCTCTATCCCACCTGACTCATCAGGGAGGTGCAGAAGGCTGAAGAAAAGGAAGTCCCTGAGGACTCACTGGAGGAATGTGCCGTCACTTGTTCAAATAGCCACGGCACTTAGGACTCCAACCAGCCACACAGGAACACCAAAATCACATTTGAGGCAGACAAATTTGACTCTGGGCTGGTTGTAGACAGTGAATCCTCTCATGATGAATGGGAGGATGCTCTACACATTCTCCCAGGTAGACTCTATATTCCCTGTCCCTCATACCTCTGTCTAGGCTGAGGAAGATCAACTCTGAAAAAGAGCTCTATACAAACAAATTGGTTTGAATTAGAAATTAGGATGGGGTACTAAACACAGATATCAGGAGGTTTAGGGAGTTTTCCTCTCCTCCTCAGCCCATATCATGCCTCTGTCTCCCTGTTCCCAGTGTCATGGACCCCAGGCAATTGGGACAAACTCATAGTTACCTTTGTCCAGGAGGTGTGCAGGAGGTATCTATCAAGCCTCCTAGCTTAGATCCAATATCTCTCATCACCTGTCATTATGTCATCTGTCCCTGAACAAAGTCCATGGAGTTTTTATGCCTTTTTAAGGAAACTGGCAGCCTTGCCTTTGTATTTGGAGATATTGTTCCCCGAGTTTCACTGCTCTCAGCTTCAGTCTTGATCTCCTTTAAGTCAGCTTGCTTAGCTGCACAGTCACCTTGAAACCAGGATGGAAACATTTATTCTTTACCTTGCTGATATGTTTCCACAGAGCAAGGTTGGGCCCTGAGTTCTCCACTCCATCAATGTCCAATGTTTCTTCGTAGCATCACATATATATATATTTTTTGAGACAGAGTCTCACTCTGTCACCCAGGCTGGAGTGCAGTGGCACAGTCTCGGCTTACTGCAATCTCTGCCTCCTGGGTTCAAGCGATTTTCCTGCCTCAGCCTCCTGAGTAGCTGGGACCACTGGTGCACACCACCATGCCTGGCTATTTTTTATATTTTTAGTACTGACAAGGTTTCACCATGTTGGCCAGGCTGGTCTCGAACTCCTGGCCTCAAGTGATCCACCCACCTTGGCCTCCCAAATTGCAGATTATTTTTTAAGACAGAGTTGTTAGAATTTATCCAACAGTCTAGTCTCATGCATAGATGCCTTTAAACATTCAATGACCATATTATCTGGTGAGATAAGTCAGTATTGCAGCAACACTCTCAGAAAGTAGCTTGACCAAGTTTTGGAGATTTTTTGGGAAAAAATTTTGTTTAACTTGCATAGACTCAGGCAGGGAATGTGGCATTACGGTCTACACATAGAGGGAGATTTTGGCCTGTGGGTCTGGAAAGCAGGCTCATCTACTTCACACAAGACTTAATCTATAACATTCCTGTCAGAATCCATATTCTCGCACTGAGAATATTTATGTCCTTGTGCTATGACTGGACACTTATTTGGTCATATGTGAAGTGTGATTTGCTGAATGTGACCTGCTTCTCTGAATTTATTTACAGAAAATCAAAGTAATCACGAGGAAGAGGAAGAAAAAGGGCCAGCGTCTCCCAGGTAACGCTGTGTAATTGTGAGCTATTAGTTCAATAGTGATGCTTGGAGACTGCAGATCCAGGGAAAATGAGGAAATGATGAATAGAACAATTTCTTCCATTAACCCCACCACAAATTGTCCTTATTAACACTGTTGTGGGTTATTCATGGCACTTGTGTTGGTTTTAATTTTGTAGTCCTCTCAAGATAGGAACCTGCAATCAGATGAGCCAGGTGAACTAACCAAACAGGGATTTCTTGGTATTGCCTGTTCTCTCCCATGTGTTTAAATCCAGGGAGAGATGTATATATGCTTTCTGCCCATTTGTTGTTAGTATCTTTGCTAGTATTTGCACAAGAAAAGAAATTCAAAAATAAACATATATATCAAAATATTGGGAAAAGGGGGCCCTTAATACACAAGATCTGTGTGTCTGCACTGCCTCAAGAGCTCTGTTCACTTGAATGCTGCATGTAAAATTCAACCCAATTTATGCAAAGTGGTTGAAGCCCTGTGTTAGTTCTCTGTGTTGCAAGTCATGATGGTAGTTTACACGGAGAGTCTGGGTGCCCTGCAGTGGCTCATCTGTGGCAAATGCACTGAGCATGACCTGCACATTTTTGCTCTGTCCCCAGAGCAGTCACCCTCTACCCTGCATTTAGAAGGATAGCTTTTTTTCTCTTGAAGGAAAAATGCCTTTGCTTTTTGTGACCACTCGATTCTGTTTCCCATTGGATCAGCTGAAAGGCCTTGTTGTCTAATCTCTGTTGGTTAAATCTTCTGTCATCCCTGTCCTGCCTGGCTCATCAGGAATCTGCAGGAGACTGAAGAGGAGGAAGCCCCTCAGGAGTCCTAGGATGAAGGTTATTCGACTCTATTAATTCCTCCTGACATATCTGCCTTGTACCAGTCTTACAGGAGCACCTTTCACTCATTAGAGGAACAGCAAGTTGGCTTGGCTCTTGACATAGGTAGTGAGTACTCCATTGTGAAGGTGATAAAGCTCCAGTTAGCATCCCAGGTAGACCCCGTAATCTTTGGGCCTTGTGCCCCTGGTTGGACTGAGAGTTGCCATCACTGCGGGCTGAACCTATATATCAATGTAGATTTCAATCACTCTGGAGTCGAGTCTGAAGCACAGGCATGGGGTGGGTCAGTGAGCTTTGCTCTCTTCCTAGTCTCAGGCCATGCCCATGCCAACCTGGACTGACTGTCACGACATTGAACTCAAGGCAGGTGTGGCAAACTCACACCAAACTGTGCAGCACATGCCCAGGAGTTGTCTGTCAGATCAGCTCATCTGAATTAAATGTCTCTTGCCAGCTACAAAATTCCTTATGAGTTTTGTTCCCAAAGCATGTCTGTGTGGTTCTTTACCTGCCCAAGGCCAGTGTCACCCTTGTCTACCTCTCAGTGGAAGATGTGACCCAGGTTTCACTGAATTTATCTCCATTTTCTGTGTCTTCTAAGTTGGCTTGTTTTAGCTCATCTGTCCATCATCTTGCTGGTATGTTTTCTAGATAAACAGTTGACTTTTCACTCACAAAAGCCATAATAGCTGATGCTTCTGTGTAGCACCAAGACTCATTCTGACTCAAGAGCTGGTACATTGCACCCATCCAACAAATCTCAGTGTCCACAATCTCATAAACTATCAAATTCTGGGTATTTGATGAGAGAAAGCTTAATATTGAAGTATCTCTCCTACGAGGTGTTAGAACTATTTGCCTACAATTTATTGGGGAAAATATTGCTCATTTGTGTACACAGACCTAGGACAGAGCACATAGGGAAGATAACATTCCAAAACAGGGGAATTTTGCCCAAGGCTCATGAAAGAACCCAAGCCAGTTTTCTCAAGACTTGACCTCAGGCCTACTGGAATATTTCTCTCAAAGTCTCCTGTTCTCACACTGAGAAGACTGAAGTCCCTGTGTTAGGATTGGACAGAGGAATGTTTCTGTGTGCAAGGAAGAACTGCTTAATGTAAGAGGCCCCATCTGAATTTATTTGCAGGACCTCAGTGTGATCAAGTGAAAAAGGACGATCGAGAGGCAACATGTCCCAGGTGAGTCTGAGAAATTGTGGGCAGTTAATTTGGTGTTGACACCTGGAGATGCCAAGTCCAGGGAAAACAGAACATGCTGAAAATAATGATTTCATTCTTGTCAGCCAAGCCTGAATTACTCCTACTAATATTGCTGTTGCTTTTCATTGCAGTAAATGTTTAGGTTTCCATTTCTTCCTACCCTTATCATTTTCTAACCTAGTGAAGGTTGGCCATACCTCAAAAGCTGTATTCTCATGGCGACTGCACAGAAACTTGAGCACATTTTATGGAAAATTATTGAGCCCACTCTATTCATGCTCACTGTTTGCTGTGTGTCCTCAGGGCACCAACTCAGAGTGTCCTTTAACTCCCTCATCAGTGTGTCACCTGGACAATTCACTAAGTTCTCTTTGTCTGTCTCTCTTTCTTTCTGTCTGTATTTCTCTTTCATCATTTACTACCCAGCCATGGCCTATTCCAATATAAAGGCAATAATTTGTTACCTCATTAATGGATCTATCCCTTTTCTTTTTTAACCACTTCTTTATGCCCCATGAAATCTAGCTGGGGCTCTGTGGTTTCTCATTTTCCCTCACTTACCCTTAGTTTTTCCTACTTCTTCAAGCTCAGCAGGGAGCTGTTGGAAGTGGAAGAGCCTGAAGTCTTGCAGGACTCACTGGATAGATATTATTCGACTCCTACCAGTTATCTTGAACTGCCTGACTCATGCCAGCCCTACAGAAGTACTTTTACTCATTGGAGGAACAGCATGTTGGCTTGGCTCTTGATGGGGACAGTGAGTACCTTACTATGAAGGTGATAGGGCTCCACCTGGTCTTCTGGATAGGGGTCATATTCCTGCTCCAAGTGGCCCTTACTGACCCGAGATGTCATTGCCACAGGGAGGACCTATAGGTGCATGTAGGTTGTAATGAAACTCTAGCTACACTTGGAAGCCCAGACATAGGATGGGCCAGTGAACATGGTTCTATTCCTAGTCTCCAGCCATGCCTGTGGCAACCTGAGCCCACTCTCAACACATTGGACCCAGGCAGATGTAAAAAATTCACAGAACTATGATTTGGACTCAAGGGTTTGTAGGTTTCCTCCTTCATTCTAATTTCAGTGTCTAAAATTCTTGCATTCATGAATGAGCTGGGTATTTGATGATACAGGGCTGAATACTGCAGTTTTCCTCCTAGAAATCATCTGGGACATTTTCTTTGAATCGATGGGAACAATAAGGCATAACTGTTTCCACAACTTGGGATAAATGATTTTGGGATAACGATCTACCAGAATGGGGATATTTCACCCTTGGTTCTGAGATGCAAATCAAAGAATATCATGACCAGCTTTCAGGCCTCCTGAAGTATATCTCTCACATTGTCCTGTTCTCATGCTGAGGAGCCTGAGATCCCTGTGTGGGGATTAGACAGTGGGCTGTTATGGGTGTAGGTGAATTGGCTTATTTTGTCTGTCCCTGTCTGAATGTATTGCAGGAATTAAAAAGGACCAAGAAGAGGAAGAAGACCAAGGCCCACCAGGCCCCGGGTAACTTTGAGCAATTGTGAACAGCTACTTCTCTGTTGACACTTTGAGACTCCTGGTTCAGAGAAAACAGAGCAGGCTGACAATATCGATTACATCTTTTCAACGAAGCCTGAATTATTCCTACTAACATTGCTGTTGGTTTTCATTGCAATAGATATTTAGGTTTCCATTTCTTCCTCCCCTTATCATTTACTAACCTACCGTAGGTGGACCATACTTCAAAAGCTGTATTCTCATGGCAACTGCATGGAAACTTAAGCACATTTTATGGAAAATTATTGAGCCCATTCTTTTCATGATCACTGTACACTGTGTGTCCTGAGGGCACTAACTCGGAGTGTCCTATTACTCCCTCATCAGTGTGTCACCTGGACAATTCACTAAGCTCTTTCTCTCTCTCTCTCTTTCTGTCTCTCTCTCTGTCTCTCTGTCTGTCTTTCTCTTTCATCCTTTTCCATTTGGCCCTGTTCTGTCCCAAGATATAGCCAATAATTTGTTACCTCATTAATGGATGTATCCTTTTCTTTTTATAACTACTACCTTATGCTACTCATGAAATCTAGCTGGGGCTCTGTGGTGTCTGATTTTCTTTGGCTTACTCTTTAATTTTTCCCACTTTTCCAGGCTCAGCAGTGAGCTGCTGGAAGGGGAAGGGCCTGAAGTCTTGCAGGACTCACTGGATAGATGTTATTCAACTCCTTCCAGTTGAACTGCGTGACTCATGCCAGTCCTACAGAAGTGCCTTTTACTCATTGGAGGAATAGCATGTTGGCTTGGCTCTTTACGTGGACAGTAGGTTCCTTACTATGAAGGTGATAAGGCTCCACCTGGTCTTCTGGATAGGGGTCATATTCCTGCACTGAGCAGCCCTTACTGAGCTGAGAGATGTCGTTGCCACAGGCAGGACCTATAGGCGCCTGTAGGTTTGAATGAAACCCTAGTTCCAGTTGGAAGCCCAGACATAGGATGGGTCAGTGGGCATGGCTCTATTCCTATTCTCAGACCATGCCAGTGGCAACCTGTGCTCAGTCTGAAGACATTAGACCCAAGTTAGTTGTGACACGTTCACATAACTATGCAGCACATGCCGGGAGTAATCTATCAGACATTTTAATTTGAGCCACATATCTCTGGGTAGCTACAAAGTTCCTCAGGGATTTCATTTTGCAGGCATGTCTCTGAGCTTCAATACCTGCTCAAGGTCAACGTCATCTTTGTGTACAGCTCATGCAAAGGTGTTACCCTGGTTTTAATTAACCTAACCTCATTCTTTGTATCTTCAATGTCTGCTTGTTTTAGCTGATCTGTCTGTTACCTTTTGTTTTGGTTTTGGAAGCAAGACTGAGCCCTGTCACGTTTTTGATGCCATGAATAACCAATGTTTTTTTTAAAGAACCAAAGAGTTATTTTTGACTCTAGGGTTTGTTAATTTTCTCCCTCATTGTAATTTCAGTGTCTAAAATCCTCGCCTTTGTGAACAAGCTGGGTATTTGATGAGACAGGACTGAATACTGCAGTCTTTTTTTCCAGAAATTATTTTGGGTGTTTGCTTTGAATTGATAGGGAAAATATTGCATAACTGTTGCACAAACTCAGGACAGATGATACTGGGATAATGATCTACCAGAACAGGGGACATTTCACCCTTAGGTTCAGAGACAAAAACCAAGGAATCTGTATCATGTCTGACCCTCAGGCCTCCTGGAATATATCTCTCACAGTGTCCTCTTCTCATGCTCAGGAGACAGATGTTCCTGTTTTAGGATTGGACAGTGGATTGTTGCATGAATAGGGGAATAGACTTAATGTGTCTGTCCCTGTCTGACTTTGTTGCAGACATTGAAAAAAATCAAGAAGAAGAAGAAGACCAAGACCCACAATGCCCCAGGTAACTTTGAGCAATTGCAGACATTTAATTTATTTTTGATATCTGGAGATGCCAGATACAGGGATAACAGAACATACCTGTCCATTCATTCAGCCAACTATGAAATCGCCATATTAGTAATGTTAAGATTATCAGTGTGGAATAATTATTAAGCAGGATTATTAGTCAATATTAATATTATTGGTACAATATTAATAAAGTTGCCTCTTTTCATTTTACACCTATATTTGTATTTGTTTCTCTTATTGATTCCTTCAAAATTGTACTAATCTTTATTCAATTGACTTTGTTGAACTGATCAATCACATTTTCTGCAGTTTCCTTTTCTGCCTTTTTGGCTTAAAGTGAACTTGAGATGCTCATCCAATGTCTGGGTCTTTGCCATTATATTGGCAAATATCTGAGAGCAGGAATGTGAATACACATAATTCATATCATGCCAAAATTTTGAGAACAAGAGGTGTTGAGGTCACAGTAACTCTATCAGTCTATGAAGACACAAGGGTCTGCTGCATGTGCCGTGTCATAGCTCTTTGGTAGAGGGATCATTCCATCTCCTTCCTTTCCAGCTCACTGCCTACCCAGAGCACTGAGCACCTGCTGCTCTGTCTCCTGCTGGAGACAGAGAAGGATCATTCTCTGCCTGAGGGGACTGTTTTTTGCTTCCTCTGGCTTCTCCTGTCAGACTCTCTGTAGAATCAATTGGGCACTGTAGTTTCTGTTCCCTCTAATGTTTATCTTCTGTGTTCTTCACCCACCAGGCTGAGCCCGGATCTGCCAGAGGTGGAGGAACAGGACGTCCCACAGGACTCCCTGGATGAAGTTTACTTGACTCCTTCACTCCCCCATGACCTGTCTGACTGCCAGCAACCTTACAACAGCACGTTGTACTCATTGGAGGATCAGCTCACCTGCTTTGCTCTCGATGTAGCCTGTGAGTACTCCAGCCTGAAGGTCACAAAGCTCTACTATTCTCCTAGGTGGCCTCTATATGTTCTGTTTCCTGTAACTTGTGCAGGTGAGATGGATCATCTCTGCAGCCAGGCCCTGTAAATTCAGAGTGTTTTGAATCTGGTTCTTGGATCCAGTTTTATGCTCATTCGATGGGTGGAACCCCTTTCTCTTGTGCCAGGTGATTCCTCTGTCACCCAACCCCTTCTCACAAGAGCAGGCTGTAGGTATCAAAACAGGCCAGAGAGGGGAATGATGAGGGATCATTGCAAACTCTTGGCCACAACAGCTCACCTGGAGAATTTTATATAACAGACTTCATTCCTTAAGATAGGGCATCTCTCTTTTCAGACATTATGTTGAGCAGCACCCTTCTCATCACATATCCTGAGCAGCGCCCTTCTCTCTTCTCTGGCCATCCACCTATGCTGGCATTTTCCCCCCATTATTTTGGAGGGCTGTTTCATGATTCCTGTGTTTCAAGCCAGATTCTCTACTACCTCCTCTGAGGTGGCTTCCCTCCACTGAGGCAGTTAGTGTCCCTTCCTCCATGTATGGCCATGGCTTGCATCCTCTGTAGAGCCCCGGTGGTTTCTTTCATGTGTGGGTTTGTAGTTTCAATCATGTGTCATCTCAGTGCTATATTCTCATGTGAACCATCAACAACTAGTTTCCCTGATCAGGTGCTGGCCTAACTGATGAAGAAAGCACAGTGGTTCTCATCCCCATGATCTCCAGCAAACCCCTCCTGTGAGCAAGTGACCCTTGAGGTGGCTGTTTCATAGGGTGTGTAAGGGAAAAAAAATTTTATTTTGTTCTCACTCATTCTGTTTTTTTGTACCATTATTCTGAGAATTTCACGTGAATTGTTACGAGTTTTACCCGTTGACTCTTGTAGGAAGAGCAAGTAACTCTGTGATGTCCCCCATCTGAATATGTTGTAATGAAAGTAGTGACTGAAACTTTGGTCTTCCATTCTATTTTGGTCAGTAAGCACCTTCCTGCTGGAACCATCCTCTTTCCTGTGTTTCATTTCTCCTTCAGTTTCAAACAAGCAAAGGCTTTTGCAGGATCACAGCAATTCATAAAATGAAGTAAAATACACATTACGCTTCCACCTGTTGTACACCTTGCCCTTGGCCAAGCAAGCTCTATCCTTGCTATAACCTATGCAGTGCCCAAGGGGCACTCCCAAGTGGGCAGTGGCATCTCCGTGTTAGAGCTGAGGATGCTGAGGCTCAGCAAGGTCCCTTCACTTGCCCAGGATGCCCCGAGTAGTCACAGTGAGAACACGGGCACCACTCCATGGTGCAGTTGCTGTCATTTCTCTGTGGTTGGATCTCTCAGAGACTGAGCTAGGATGAGTGCTCAAGGTTTTTCCCTTTGTAGCAAATTTGTTGGAAATTATTTCAAACTGAAACAGAAAATTTGCTGGTCTGGTACAAAGAACTCCTGTAGCCCCTCACGCACATAACCCAGTGATAAATAGCTTAGTGCACTTTGTCTTTGAGCAGAACCAGTGGCTCCTTCAGTCCCTCCAGGGGGACCTACAGCTCCAGAAGGTGCTTGCTGGAAAATGTCTCAGGGAATGAAAGATGCAGTCTGTTCCTACCTTGTATCACTTGGGTTTCTGCTCTCAACATGGCAGTCTTGGAGCCCTTATAAAGTTACTGGGCTCTGCCTCAGGAACACCCCCACCAGGTCCAGGCTCCCATGAGGAGGAAGGGAAATGCTCAGATACATGTCTCAGAAGTGAGATGTCTGTGATATGGGCCAGCTCTGCCAGGGCATCATGAAACATGGGCCAGGAGAGGCCACGTTCATCCATGCAGACAGGCTGAGATGCATGAATGCACTGTCTCAATTACACCAGAAGACATCCTGTGTGTGGGTTCTGATGATAACCTATGAAGAGTCTGTACCATGCACAGCTGTGATCCTAGCCTTGGTGCCAGAATCGATGTGCTCCACCTATCCTCTCGCTTCAGGGAAAGTTACAGTAGAATCAAACTAAATCATAACTTGATCACTTATTGAGGACTTTTCCCCACCTGCTCAACTAATAATACGTACAGTATTTCAGAAGTTTGAGTTGTTTTTTGTTTCCTTCTGAAAATGCAAAGAATATTAAAAGTATAAGCTTAAGAAGACTTAGTATTCTGAGAAACAGGGATAAAAGGACTTAACAAAATTAAGTATTTAGAGTTAAAAACATTCCCAAACATTGATTCTAAATGGCACTTGCAGAGGACAAGAATGGGAAGCCTGGGTTTGACCAGGCTTCCCCAACCAGATTTGTTGTTTTGAGTTGTTTCCCCATCTGCCCAACATAAACTACCATGAAGTTGCATTGAGTGTCCTAAGTGATGTTTAATGAACAGTAAACTGTGCCCTGAGCAACTAAGGAGGCCACATGAGGTGGCGTGAAGGGCTCGGGGACAAAGACCCAGAAGCTGGAAGGCACCCCATGCAGGGCTGCACCAGAGAGGGGCCAACCTGACTCCAGGGAAGACACTGTATGAGGGAGTGGTGGGAGGTGATGCTGGATAGGATCATGGGACAGAAGTTAGAAGGAGCACAAAGGCAGGGTGAGCGGGGAGAGTCACCCAGTGGGCAGTACTGAGAGAGTTTTCAGAAACAGAGTAAGAATGTGGAAAGAACAGGACTTCTGGGCAATAAAATTGCTGAGACAATTCCTAGTGTGAAGATGGCAGAATTAGAGAAAGCAGTTGTGGGGGTGTATGAAGCCAGGCATCAATGATGAGTCTGTGGGGAAAAGAAAGAGAGCTCAGACTGTTACTGTGTCTACGTAGAAAGAATTAGATGTAAGAGTCTCCATTTTGTTCTGTACTAAGAAAAATTCTTCTGCCTTGAGATGCTGTTAATCTGTAACACTAGCCCCAACCCTGTGCTCACAGAGACATGTGCTGTGTTGACTCCAGGTTTAATGGATTTAGGGCTATGCAGGATGTGCTTTGTTAAAAAAGTGCTTGAAGGCAGCATGCTTGTTAAAACTATCACCACTCCCTAATCTCAAGTATCCAGGGACACAATACACTGCGGAAGGCCGCAGGGACCTCTGCCTAGGAAAACCAGGTATTGTCCAAGGTTTCTCCCCATGTGATAGCCTGAGATATGGCCTCATGGGAAGGGAAAGACCTGATCTTCCCCCAGCCCGACACCCATAAAGGGTCTGTGCTAAGGAGGATTAGTAAAAGAGGAAGGCCTCTTTGCAGTTGAGATAAGAGGAAGGCATCTGTCTCCTGCTCGTCCCTGGGCAATGGAATGTCTCGGTGTAAAACCCGATTGTATGATCTATTTACAGAGATAGGAGAAAACCGCCTTAGGGCTGGAGGTGAGACATGCTAGTGGCAATACTGCTCATTAATGCACCGAGATGTTTGTATACGTGCACATCAAGGCACAACACATTTTCTTAACTTTGTTTATGACACAGAGACCTTTGTTTACATATTTTCCTTCTGACCCTCTCCCCACTATTACCCTATTGTCTTGCCACATCCCCCTCTCCGAGATGGTAGAGATAATGATCAATAAATACTGAGGGAACTCAGAGAACAGTGCTGGCGTGGGTCCTCTGTATGCTGAGCGCTGGTTCCCTGGGCCCACTTTTCTATACTTTGTCTCTGTGTCTTTTTCTTTTCTCAGTCTCTTGTCCCACCTGATGAGAAACGCCCACAGGTGTGGAGGGGCAGGCCACCCCTTCAAGTCTGATACACTGTGCTCTCAGGAAGATGAAGAACAGATACACGGAAGGCATTTTAAGGAAAACTTAGAGAAACCTTGGTGAGAATGAGGATGTGCAGAGGGGAGGAGAGAGAGAGAGGAGCCCTGCAGCAATGTGGATCAGGCCCTGCGGGCCCCGTCCCTCTTCTGAGACCGATCTGGACTGGCGTGAGGCCACTGGAAGTCTTTCCTTAGTCCACTTTCTGAGAGTGTGATTTCCTCTTCCTGTGGAAATAGCAATAATTTTTATGAGGGGGTGCTGCCCGGACCCCACTGGAGGAGTGGGTAAGATGAGGATTGTGCTTGGTGTTGCCTCCCTACAGAACCACACATGCTGATCGGTAATACCTGTGGCCCCTAAGTGTCGGTGAAGGGACTGGTCCCTCTACAACATTGCTTATGACTGCGGACACCCACTATATGGCAACAAGATGTATATGTGTGGGCAGGTGGTAAAACAATTATAGGCAACGGAAATTCAAAATGTTTCAGAACTCTAAAAAGTTCACCTTATGGAGTATTTGGTCTATTGCAGGGGGCCCCAAGCCCCCGGGGCTGTGGTCAGCTACCTGTCCCTGGTCTGTTAGGCACCAGGCTGTGCAGCAGGATATGAGTGGCCAGCAAGCAAGCATATTCCAGCCTGAGCTCTGCCTCCTGTCAGATCAGCGGTGGCATTAGATTCTCATAGAAGCACAAACCCTATTGTGAACTGTGCATGAACGGGATCTAGGTTGCGCGCTCCTTACGAGAATCTAATTAATGCCTGATGATCTGAGGTGGAACAGTTTCATTCCGAAATGATCCTTCCCTCTTTTCACATCCCCCACCCCTGGTCCAAGGAAAAATTGTCTTCCACAAAACCAATCCCTGGGGCAAAAAGTTTGGAGACTGCTAGTCTACAGTGTCCCAAAACCCTTTTCTATGGTTCCTTCCCAAAGCCTGGAGGCTCTAAGTCCTCCCCTATTCTTATACTCCTGTGTGTTGAGAAAAATAGCATTTCCTATGCTCTGAAGATTCTCCAGAACATTCTTTCTAGGCTGCAGGATAGAGATTAATAATAACAGAATATTTGGCATGGCCTTGTTAGCCAATCCAAAGCCCTCTGGGCTGAAGTGGGGGGTTTTCACTTCAGGGACATCCAGCCTGGGTACCTTCCATCTCAGCATCCCCAGGCACAGACAGGAAGGTGACATCACCCCATTTACATGATGTCTGTCTTTGTGGCCTGGGCCACTGGGTGGCTTACCTCAGAGGCGGAGATGTCAGAGATGGGTGTTCTGGGCATGATTAAGAAAGGGAAAAGTGAGAGCGTTCCTACTGAAGCCCCTTCTCCTTTCAGCTCCCACCCAGGTGGCCTGTCCTCACGGGCCTTGGAGTGGAGACTTGAGCCACCACCTGTCAGAGGTGGAGGCTTCACAGGCACAGCTGGAGCCAAGAACCCTGGTGCCCAGTTGTCTGTGACTGCAACTGGATCAAGGGTTTGACTGTGGCTATGGCTTAGCCAGGTGGGGCGTTTCCTCCACCACCTGCAGCTTCACAGCCAACGGTGATCCTGGGAACCAATGGCCCTTCCAAGGTAGGGAAGGAAAGGGCACTAGGAAGCTCTAATCCAGGTGTTGGTAGTCATGGTGCTGTGAGGGGAGGAGGCAATGGGGTCTCTTCGTGCTCCCTCTGAGTCAAGCAGAAATCCACAATGTTCCAACCCAGTGAGGTGAGCAAGAGCCTGGGGTTTAGGATCAAATCTGCTCTCAGGTCCTGGGTTTAACCCTTACTCATTATTGACCTTGGCGAAGTCATTTGTGGTGTTGGTATTTACATCTCAGTTCCGTCATCTGTGAGACCTGAAAAATAATATTAACATTCAATTATTGTTGATAACATTAATTATGAGAATTTCCAAAGGGCTAATTCAATAAAAATTGCTCAATAAATCTATGAATAGATGTTATCTAATTCTGTTATCTTTCTGGTAAATTAGCACTTAGGAAGTATTGTGGGATCTGGCCAGCAGCCCACAATGCAACAGGGTTCTTTCTTTGTTCCCAGGCAGATCGGCAGGTTGAGAAATAATAGACACACACAAGGTAGTGAAAGCTGGATCCAGGGGTGTCACCACCTTCTGGTCCCATGATGCTGCCAATGCACGGGATATACCAGCATTTATTATTAACTTTAGTGAGGGCGGGAGTAGGTTAGTGAGGGATTTAGGATCATCTGATTATGAGTGAGATGGTCACATGTGGATGAAGTAATTTTTTAACATAACATCTGTATGCAGAAGTACAGTATACAGAGATAAGAATTTACAGTATAGTGTGTGCATCAGTAATTTCTAACAGAGCCTTAAAACAGAAGCACAGTCTTTCCATAACCTATGATTAGCAAGATATTAAGCAGCAGTAACAGTTGCAGCAAAAGCTGGTTACAAACAATCCATAGAAACAGGACGTGAAGCTAGATAACCAGTTAGACCAGAAATCCTCAGAAGGGAGTATGCCTTAACCCTAAAGAGGCCTAGAAGAGCCGTGGCAAGATGAGAGTGTTTATAGCCCTATCTTATCCATATGAACAGGCACCCCCCATGTGTCCATTTATAGGCTCTCCACAAGGGTTGCATTCCATTCCCAGAGCTATGAACATCTGCTTTTCTGGGATAGGAATCTTGGTGATGTGAAACCTCCCTGACTGCACGTCCGTTCATAGGGTCTCTGCAGGGGGAAGCACATCATGCGCTGTTGGCTCATTCTGGCGCCCAACCTGGCATTGTCTTTACACAATCCTGCATGCAATGTTGTGTTTACAATAATCAGGAGCATTTCATCTTTTATTCCATAGCAATAGTTTCAGGGGGTCTCCCTACAGGAAGTGACTTCACATGCACTGTTTCATCTTAGGGAGAGTAACTGTTAGGGTCTCTACTCTCTAGGGACCCCTCTTCCTGTGTTTTCTTCGAAAGTCTCTTTTGCCAGTTTTCTTCCTCTTTGTCAGCATCCCTTTTTAAGTCAATTTTCCCCTATCAAGCACTTTCAGTAACAACCTATTAGGCACATTCAGTAAAAGTGCAAATCCTGGGCCCACAAGTCAGTCTCCTGACATACCCAGCTTCTTGCTCTGTTTTTTTTCCCCCTTGTTTTGAAATAAAAGAATGAAAGGGCAACCTTCTCATGGAAAGTGTACAAATCTGTCTGTTTTATGAAACTCCATTTAGTTCATCATCTCCACTCACGTCCATGGCCATGTCCTCAGTTTCCTTCTCCCAGGGTTCCACTTCTGCTCAGATTTCCTTAAAACCCTGGGTCGTGTTCATCCTTACTCTCCGTCCCACTCAATATCTCCTCCTGGAGCCCCTGGGGCTGCCTGTTGCTCATCTGTCAAGTGATGTCCCCAGCTGAGGAATAAGGAGACCTGCGTCCTCAGGAGGAGGGAGGGACATGTGAGATAAAGAGCACCATCTGGGTCGTGGAGAGGACACATGGAAGATGCTCAGTGAGTGTCGGGGGATGTGTAGTCCCTGACATGTGCCCTGATAACTTTAAGTATTTAAACTGATTTCTTCCACTGATGTCTCTTTTGCTTCTCCATGGATTCCCACACCCCCAGTCAGGACTCACCCACCTGGCTCCAACACTCTCACCTGCTGGGTTTCCCAGGAGTCCAGAGCACTAACCAGGCTCCAGGCAAGAGGACAGAGTGAATGCCTTTTGTTTCATTCTCCTTTACTGGTGACTTCTCCCTGCTGTCTAATAGGGCATTTGTTTCTCACCATGTCTTCCCTTTGTCATTCATCTTATTTTTCTGAATTTTTTTCCAATTTCAATGGACCAGATTATAATGTTAGTGATTATAATGCTAATTCAACATCCTCCACATCCCTATGTAATACTTTCTTCCAATAGATTTTTATATATAAATACATGCATTTATGTCATTTGTCATGTACATTATGCATATTTGGCATGTATTTTTAATTAAATGTGTATATATGCTATATATATATCTGTATGATCATTTCATCAATATCCCATGTTTAGTCTTCCCAATTCTTTTCTCTCATATGTGCATTTAATGTTGATTTTGCTTGATTTTTAGAATCTTCTCCCTCCCAAAACACAGCCTGTATCCAGTGTGACTTCCTTGCCTTTGCCTTATCTACCTAGAAGCTATTTGTGTTTATTAATCCTAAGTTTCTTGAATATGTTTGTCAATTGAGATCACCTTTGCCTCCTGGCAATCTTGTCATTATTGGGTGATGCATGAAAAATCAACAATGCAGAAAATACCAAAATGTCTTTCTTGGCTTCCCTTTACCCCTTGGACTTTCTTGTCCAAGGCCACTTTCCTTCTCTGATGATCCTCTTGGGAGGAAGAGAAAGTCACAGTAGGATCATGGATGACAGTGAACACTGTTGGGTGTGGTTTCATTTTCAGAGCTGGGTTTAGAGCCTTCCCTTGAATGAAGAACCCTCCCCAGCTGGAAGGGGATGCTCTTGAAAGCTCAGCTGACAACACACATGGGCATCAAGTCATTGGCCACATTCATGCCTCAAGTGTCCTAAAACCGAATATGATCAAAAGAAAACTGCTGTTCAGCAAGTGGAGACTGGCATGCAGATTCCCTGGCCTGCAAGCCTAGTGTAAAAAGGTAATCACATCTATGGCTCTTAGCTGCACTCACTCCTGTGTCTATGATGACAGCTCATTCTCCCATTGCTTTTCTCTTCCCTATTCATTCTCTCCAGCAGCTGCCATCATGTCTGTCTGGTTTTACCTCTGTGTCCCATGAGCTGCCACCCTCCCAGGACCTTCCATTCCCATCTGCTCTTTGCTCTCTGAACTCTGCTCTGTTCCCATTGCTACCATCTTGGGCGTCCCTCTCACTTCAAAGTTTTGTTTGTCTAGATATTGAGAATATTTCTAAATGTCTTAAGATGTAACCAGGTGTGGAATCAACTTCAGGGAATTAGAGAAAATAAGTTGGGCCATGGTTACAATCCCTGCTCTCTCTTTGCTAACTGCAAGTAGACTCTCTTGTTTTTCTTTCTTTCCTGAGCCCCTTGGAAAGAATACTTATGATTTTATATATATATATATATATATTTTGTTTTTTGTTTTTGTTTTTGTTTTTTTTTGAGACGGAGTCTTGCTCTGTCACCCAGGCTGGAGTGCAGTGGCGCCATCTTGGCTCACTGCAAGCTCCGCCTCCCAGGTTCATGCCATTATCCTGCCTCAGCCTCCTGAGTAGCTGGGACTACAAGTGCCTGCCACCATGCCTGGCTAATTTTTGCATTTTTTGTAGAGACGGGGTTTCACTGTGTTAGCCAGGATAGTCTTGATCTCCTGACCTTGTGATCCACCTGTCTCAGCCTCCCAAAATGCTGGGATTACAGACATGAGCCACCTTGCCCAGCCTTCTATATTTCTCTTTTTTTCATTTTTTATTTGTAACCAACCAAACAAGCAGCAGTGAAATCATATTTCATTGTAAAACTTTATTCCTGTCCTAGCCAAGGTGACCCAACAGCCTCTCATGACTGTTGAGAGTCCAGATTGGAGCCTTTTCTCTCCCTTCTTCCAAACACTATTGAAAGGGTCTGAGGCTGGGCTGTAGTTCCCAGGTGGTCAATAGCAACTCATGTGGCCTTAGTTCAATCTTAGCCCTGTGGCATCACTGCTCCTCTGTTGTGAAAGGCAGAACTGGATGTGGATGTGGTCTGAGGCCTCTGCTGCTTCTCACATCCAGGGTTCTTCCCATGGCCTTCCCACTGCTCCCTTAAAAGACTGGGACATGGAGTTGTAAGGGGGTGGGTTTCTCTGCAAAGGGTCCTCTCCTTCTGCAGCCCTCTGTTTCTGGGCATGCATGGTTGATGCTAAGCACATCCTCACTGGGAGATGTGAAAAGCAATCACTTTGCTCCAAACAGAGCTAATCAGGAAGAAAGGTACTGATGTTACCAGTTGCTAGTAGGGCATAGATGAGGTCCCTACATTCTGCACCCCAGGCTGACTGGAAGTTCTGGGGTATTTTCTTCTCACTTGTGGATGGCACCTGCCACTTCAGCCAGCCTGAGGCTTACCCTGCAGCTGGTCCTCCCAGCAGGAGCTCAGTTTGCCCCTGGGTTATCATCACTTAGCAGTCCCTCCAGACTCAGCCAGACAGGACCAGACAAAGATTCTCATTTGATTTTTGTCTCTCTCTCCCCTAAAGATACCAAATACTGCTGGAAGAATGAAAAGGATGAAAGGATGTCATCAAAGTAGTTTTTTCACTTGATGGAAAAGACTAAAACAGCAAAGCAAGTTCAAGATCAAACACAACACCACAGGGATCCTTTGATGAGAAGTGAACTTAAGACCATGAAATGCTGTTGATGATTTTAACCCACCAGCCTCCTTTGATTTGAGAAGCCACAGCCCTTCCCCCTCCAATTGTGATCAACTATGATCAGTACCTAAGGAGACTGATGCCCAGATGAACAAACAGCATTGAGAGGCCTTAGCCCTGCTCCTCTCAATTCCTATCCCGTAGAGAACAGGAGTCAGGAGCCGCTGGCAGGAGACAGCATGTCACCCGGGACTTTGCCAGTGCAGAATAAGAACAATGCCACGTTCTTGCTGAAAGCACTTAGCCTGAGTTTCGTAGGAGGTAATCACCAGACAACTGCAGAATGTAGAACACTGAGCAGGACAACTGACCTATCTCCTTCACACAGTCCACGTCACCATGAATCACACAACAAAAAAGAGAAGAGACATTTTGGGTTGAAAAAGATTGAAAAGATAATGTAGCTACACTTCTTTGGTCATTTTGAACCCAAAGCATCTCATCTTTTTATTGTTGTCACTGATGGTGGTGACATGGATTTGTTTGTAGAGGACAGGTCAGCTGTCTAGATCATGGTCTACATTCTGAATTTGTCTGAAAATGTCCTTATGATTAAATTCAGCCTAAACATTTTGCTGGGAACACTGCAGAGTCAATGCGGTGAGTTTCCTACCTCAGCCCATCTGCAGGCAGAGAAGGTCCAGTTTGTCCATCACCAGTATCATGATACCAGGACTGGTCAGTTGGTTAAGGAGGGGCCTAGGAGATCTTTCACTTGTAAAGACTCCTTATTTATAATTCATTTGGAAAGTGGTTTGAAAAAGTATAAATATCTTGTATTCTAACGATCTTCCTCTGAACATTTTATCATCAATTAATCACCCCTGCCTGTGTCAGTTATTATATTTCGTGGGCGGCAAGCCATCCAGGTGCCGAGGCAAGAGACTGAGGGCATGAGCTGTTCCAGTATAATAAAATATATAAAACAACAAGAGTTATACTAGATCTAGATCATAGACATGATTATATATGAATATCATTAATCATTAGTTTGTAGCAATTACTCTTTATTCCAATATTATAATAATCCTCGCTCTATAATCATAACCTAGGAAAAACTAGGCCATACAGAGATAGGAGCTGAGGGGACACAGTGAGAAGTGACCAGAAGACAAGAGGGCCAGCCTTCTGTTATGCCCGGACAGGGCCACCAGAGGGCTCCTTGGTCTAGTGGTAATGCCAGCATCTGGGAAGACGCCCATTGCCATGTGGACCGTGGTCTAGCGGTAGCCTCAGTGTCAAGGAAAAACACCCACTACTTAGTGGACTGGGTAAGGGAGTCTCCCTTTCCCCTGGGGAGTTTAGCAAAGATTCTACTCCTCCACCTCTTGTGGAGGGCCTGACATCAGTCAGGCTCGCCCGCAGTTATCTGGAGGCCTAACCGTCTCCCTGTGATGCTGTGCTTCAGTGGTCATGCTCCTAGTCTGCCTTCATGTTCCATCCTGTACACATAGTGCTGCAGTGGACATATGCCAGCATGTATCTTTATAACAGAATGACTTATATTCCTTTGGGTATATGCCCAGTAGTGGAATTACTGGTCAAATGGTATTTCTGCCTGTAGGTCTTTGAGGAGTAGCCACAGTGTCTTTCCCAATGGTTAGACTGACTTACACTCCCACCAACAGTGTAAAAGCATTCCTTTTTCTATGCAACCTTGCCAACATCGGTTGTGGATTTTTTTCTATTTTTGCCTATGGATGTCCATTTTTTCAGCAGAATTTGTTAACAGGACAATGCTTTCTCCCCTGAATTGTTTTGAACCATTGTCCGCCCATTGGCAGGCATGAGACTGGAGAGAGGACTGTCCTATCATTGGAGGGACAGGGCTTGAAATAGGGCAGGTCTTATGGAAAAGAAAAGGAACACTTATTTTTTCAATGAGGCAGAGGAAAGCCCCAAGCACAAGTGGGGTACTCCCTACCCCATGTGTGGCACACTCGCCTCTGCTCTCCTGCCTCTCCTGCTGCACAAGTTTGGGTGTGCATGGACACTGAGGCCGTGTTGTGCCACTGGGCACATTTGGGCATTGACATCAAATGTGTGGCATCAAATCCCAGAATCTCAAGCAGGCAAGTGACAGGAAAACATGAGACACAACGAAGAATGAAATAATTCAGTTGAAAATGACACACATGTTAGAAATAGCAGACAAGGACATTACAGCAGTTATTATAATTTTAATTAAGTGAAGAATTGGGAGATATTTTTTAATATCAAATTCCATAAGTGAAAACTGCGATTTACAGTCTGAAGTTTAAAAAAAATACACTTGATTAAACATTGCAGAAGAAAAGATTAATGAACTAGAAGGAGTAGTAGAAGAAACTAACACAAATGAAACATGCAGGGAAAAATGAATTGAAAACATAAAAAGCCCATCAATGGGAGGCTTAAACACCCTACTGTAGGGGTAAATGGAATCCCTGAGGGGAATGGAGTGGGTAACAGGGATAGAAAAATATTTAAAACACACTGGATGGAAGCTTTCTAAGCTTCATGAACACCATAAACTGCAAATATCCCAGAAACATAATGTATCCTAAGGACAAGAAACATGAAGAAAACTACACTAAGGAACACCATACTCAAATTGATCAAAACCAGTAATGAAGAGAAAATCCTAAGAGGGCTAAAAGGGGAACAAATATGTTATATACTGAGGACTAAATGTAAGGATGGCATCTGATTTCTCATCAGAAATATTACAAACAAGAAGTTTGCAATACTTTTAAGTACTGAAAAAAAAGTCAACCTAGAATTCTATACCCACTGAAAATCTTTTTCAAAAATGAAGATGAGGCTGGGTACAGTGGCTCACAGCTGTAATCACAGCACTTTGGGAGGCCGAGGCAGGCGGATCACGAGGTCAGGAGTTCGAGACCAGCCTGGCCAATATGGTGAAACACTGTCTCTACTAAAAATATAAAAATTAATTGGGTGTGGTGGTGGGCACCTGTAGTCTCAGCAACTCTGGAGGCTGAGGCAGAAGAATTGCTTGAAACTGGGAGTTGGAGGTTGCAGTGAGCTGAGATCAGGCCACTGCCCTCCAGCCTGGACAACAGAGTGAGACTGCATCTCAAAAAAAAAAAAAAGAAGATGAGCAAAAATGGTTTGGAAAGAAAACAAATTATCTCAATTTGTAGATGACATGATCCTATATAGAGAAAATACCAAATAATACACACACACACACACACACACACACACACACACACACTACGGGAGTTAATAAACTAATTCGGCAAACTTGTAGCACACAAGATAAATGGACAAAAACCAGTTGCTTTAGCAATGAAAAAAATTTTGAAGGAAAATTAATATACTTCATTTATAATAGCACCCATAAGAATAACACATCTAGGAATAAATTTAAGAAGGTGAAATACTTGTACACTGAAAACTACCTAACATTGCTTAAAGAGATTAAAGAAGAACTAAAAAAATGGAAAGACATCCTGTGTCCATTGTTGGAAGATTTAACATGGTTAAGATGGAAATGAAACTCAAAACAATCTACAGATTCAGTGTAATGTTATTCAAATTCCAGTGGCCTGTTTTTTCAGAAATTAAAAAAACAGAACTTTTTATTTGGAAGAAATTGCAAGTATCTGCAAATAGCAAAAGGAATCTTGAAAAATACGATAAATAACTTATATTCCAAAGATCTTTTTTATTTTAATTTTTTAAATTTGTTTTTGAAATGGAGTCTTACTCTGTCATCCACACTGGAGTGCAGTGGTATGATCTCTGTTCATTGTAACCTCCGTCTCCCAGGTTAAAATGACTCCCTTGCCTCAGACTCCTGAGTTGCTGGGACCACAGGCATCCACCAGCACTCCGGGCTAATTCTTTGCATTTTTAGTGGAGACTAATGGGTTTCACCACATTTGCCAGTCTGGTCTCGAACTCCTGACTTCAAGTGATCCACTCACCTTGGCCTCCTAAAGTGCTGGGATTACAGGCCTGAGCCACCACACCTGGCCTCCAAAGATCTTGTATTGCTCTCTGCAATATTTCATAGTCTTCAGTGTACAGGTGTTCACCTCTTTTGCTATGTAGTTCATATTTTTCGATGGTATTGTTAATGTTTGTTTAAAGGAATCTTTTAAAAATTTTTATTAAAATGCTATACTATTAAAGTCTACAACATGATGGTTTGATATACATATACATAATGAACTAATGGCTACAGTCAGGCTAATTAGCATATCCACCTTCTCACATAGTTCCTTTTTTAGTGTAGTGAGAACACTTTTGATCTACTGTTTCAGCAAACTTCAAGTATACAATACAGCATTAACAATAGTTCTCACGCTGTACATTAGATCTCTAAAACTCATTCTGTAACCAAAAGCAGGTCAGTTGCTCACCACATGTAGAGTCCAATTAAGTGTGAGGCCCGCTACAAAAAAAGTGAATTTATTTCCAAAGGTAGCTTGGGGGAGAAGCACAAAACCTCTCCTTTGGAGCAAAAAGTGGATATTTTTATTAGGTAAATGGGGAAGTGAGCAAGGACAGGGAGTCTCCCTGCTCCCAGGCAGTTATCCACTGGGCAGCCAAGGTGGTGCCTTTCTGGTCAGAAGTAAGTTGTAAAAGTGGCCAAGTGAGCCTGCTTTCGACATGCCCTCCTAGTGGGTGTAAGTTCTGAGGTGACCCTTCATTCACTATCGGTAGACACTTAGGCTGTTTTCATGTCTTGACTACTGTGAAGAATGCTGTGATAAACACGGGGGTGCAAATAGCTCTTTGAGATACTGACTTCATTTCCTTCGATTATATACCCAGAAGTTGGATTGCTGGGTTGTTTGGTAGTTCTGTTTGTAATGTTTTGAGGAGTCTCCACAGTGTTTTCTATAATGGCTGCACCAATTTACATTCCCACCAACAATATACAAGAGTTCCCGTTTCTCCACATCCTTGCTAACACTTACTTGTTTTTCTGATAATAACCACCCTGATGGCTGTGAGGTGCTATCTCATTGTGGTTTTGATCTGCGTTTCCCTGAGGATTACTGATGTTGAGCACCTTTTCATACACCTGTTGGCTATTTTGTATGTGTTCCTTGGACAAATGTCTATTCAGATCCTTTGCCCATATTTTAATCAGGTTATTTATTGTTTTGGCTATTGAATTTTGTGATTTCTGTATATATTTTGGATATTAACTCCTTACCCTATTGATGGGTGCAAATATTTTCTCCCATTCCACAGGTTGCCTTTTCTTTTCTTTTTTTTTTTTTATTGTTTCCTTTGCTGTTTAGAAGCTTAGTTTAATGCAATCCCACTTGCCTAGTTCTGCTTTTATTTCCTGTACTTTTGGTGCCATATGCAAAAAAATCATTTCCAAGACCAATGTCAAAGACCTTTTTCTCTATGATTTCTTCTAGGAATGTTAATGTTTCACATCTTACACTGAAGTTTTGAAAGGAGGCTGGGCGTGGTGGCTCATGCCTGTAATCCCAGAATTTAGGGAGGCCGAAGGGGTTGGATCACCTGAGGTAAGGAGTTTGAGACTAGCCTGGCCAACATGGTGAAACCTGTCTCTACTAAAAATACAAGAATTTGCTGGGCCTGGTGGCCCAAGCCTGTATTCCCAACTACTCAGGAGCCTGAGGCAGGAGAATCACTTGAACCTGGGAGGCAGAGGTTGCAGTGAGCCGAGATCACACCACTGCAACCCAGTCTGGTGACAGAGTGAGGCTCCATCTTAAAAAAAAAAAAAGTTGTGAGAGGAAAAGAAATCTCAACACTCCAAACTCACTATGCTAAAAGAAAAAGTGAAGCTGGGAACTGGGTCATGCAAACCTGCCTCCCATTTTATTCCTAAATAGAATAGGTAAAATAAAAATAATAAAAATAATAAGTGGAATAGAATAGAATACAAATATAAAGCTACATAACTTTCTCACAATTTGATCACAGCGACATTCCTTGTGGGCCCCAAGATCTTTACCCTAAAACAGTCCTGTTAAATTTCAACCTGACAATGTAAATTGATAGCTTCTCTTCATAGGTACAGGACAAAGGAAAACACTCAGTCATCCCCTTGCTCACCTGGACAAACACATATGTAATTGCTTTCTCTGTCCTATGTTTACATTATCCTATGTAAAAATGCAGATTCACTGAGCGAGACAAATACTAAGTGATTGAGTATTTACACCCACCCCCCACATGTAAACAGCTGATCAAAGACTCAAAAGAATTGCAACCAGATGCAACAACTTGCCTCGTATCTACCCACACCCTTTAAAAAATGTCTTCCTCTTTCCCCACTACCTGCCATTTTCCCACTAAATATTGAGGTCCCCAGACCCTCTTTGGGTAAAAAGTGGGCCACGGTTTTTCCTGTGGATCTCTGTTCTTTTCTGGGCATATCCTTAATCTTGGTAAATAACCCTCCTAAAATAATGGAGACTTTTTTATTTTTTTAAATTTACATTGATTTTTATTTTTTTTATTTACAAAGTTTTAATCCATTTCAAGTTAATTAAGTATTTCAGATGCACATTCCCATTTACAGTGGGACCACCACTAATAGTGAGGGTGATAATGTGGTATGTCCAAATAATATGTTTCTTAGTCTATTTCTATACTCAGGGTGTTAGCAGTTGGCTGCTGGTCTAGCTGTAACCAAAAAATAGGAGATCCAACAAATCATAAAAGTGTAGGGTCCCTGGCTTGAGCTTAGATAATGCCAGCCCACCCTTTGGATTCTGCCCGAGCTCAGAATCTCTCTTGTTGTTGCAGGAGGCTAGGTAGTTTCCCTGTCCTTCCCTTGTGGGGAGTATGTCTAAATTTCAGATCCAGACACCTTATCTCAGCCACAGCAAAACAAACACACACATAAACACAACTCCACTGTTTTCATGTTTGTAAAAATGTTTACAAACCTGTGCAACGCCTCCAATCTGCTCTGGACTCCCAAGATGTGTGTTTACTGAGTTATTGAGATGCCCATCCTCCTTTCTATCCACCCTAGGAGGAGACCCTGTAGGAGCTCAACCTAGATCACCTGAGATCCCTATTAGCCCATCTGTATAATCCTTCCCTGCTTTTGCTGCTGTGTTTTTCTTCCAAAGATTCTTCTGAGAAGAACTATCCTTGGGGAACTGGAGCCACTTTATACCCAGGTCCCAAAGAATGGGACATATCTGGGAGTAAGGGACCCACACATCCCATTCATCTCTCCCAAGGCACTTAGCCAATCACTAACAGGTGCAGGAGTATGAAATCTGTTTCCTGGGCTAGGGGATGATAACTCTTAAACTTCACTTACCACCAAGTTCCTTGCCAATATCTGGACAAAACTCCCCCAGGGGACTTTGCCTAAGATCACACATACACAGCAATCAACTCAAAATGGATCACAGACCTAAATGATAGACCTAAAATATATAATTTCAAGAGAAACCCATAGGAGAAAATCTTTGTGACTTTGAGTTAAGCAAAGAGTCCTAAGACACTACAGAAAAAACATAAGCCATAAGAGAAAAATATTAGTTGGATTTTATTACAATTTAAAAATTCTGTGCTTCAAAAGACACTATTTAGAGAAAAATATATAAGCCACAGACTAGGAGCAAATATTTGTAATTAAATATGTAATAAAAAACAATTCTATTCACAATACCTAAAGAAGTTTTTCAACTTAACATAAAGCAACACAATTGACCAGGTGCGGTGACTCATGCTTGCAATGCCAGCACTTTGGAAGGCCGAGGTGGGTGGATCATCTGAGCTCAGGAGTTGAAGACCAGTTTGGGCAACCTAGCAGCCAGGGGCAGTGGCTCACACCTGTATTCCCAGCACTTTGGGAGGCTGAGGTGGACAGATCACCTGAGGTCAGGAGTTCAAGACCTGACTTGATTACAGTGGTGCAATTTTGGCTCACTGCAACCTCTACCTACTGGGTTCAAGTGATTCTGCTGCCTCAGCCTCCCAAGTAGCTGGGACTACAGGCACGTGCCACCATGCCTGGCTAATTTTTATATTTTTAGTAGAGACAAGGTTTTGCCATATTGGCCAGGCTGGTCTCAAACTCCTGACCTCAGGTGATCTGCCGGCCTTGGCCTCCCAAAGTGCTGGCATTACAGGAGTGAGCCACCGTTCCCAGCTGATTGGTGAGATTTTGATGCACCTATCTCCTGAGCAGTATATTCTAAATCCAAATTTTAGTCTTTTATCCCTCCCCCCTTTCCACCCTTTCCCCCTGAGTCCCCAAAGTCCATTGTGTCATCCTTATGCTTTTGCCTCCTCATAGGTTAGCTCCCACTTATGAGTCAGAACATACGATGTTTTGTTTTTCATTCCTGAGTTACTTCACTTAGAATAATAGTCTCCAATCCCCTCCAGGTTGCTGTGAATGCCATTAATTCATTCCTTCTTATGGCTGAGTAGTATTCCATCATATATCTATCTATCTATCTATCTATCTATCTATATTTTTTTTTTTCTTAAACCACAGTTTCTTTATCCACTTGTTGATTTATGGCATTTGGGTTGGTTCCCCATTTTTGCAATTGTGAATTGTGCTGCTATAAACACGTGTGAGCAAATATCTTTTTCATAGAATGACTTCTTTTCCTCTGGGTAGACACCCTGTAGTAGGATTGCTGGATCAAATGGTAGTTCTGGCTGCGTGCGGTGGCTCACGCCTGTAATCCCAGCACTTTGGGAGGCCGAGACGGCGGATCATGAGGTCAGGAGATGGAGACTATCCCGGCTAATATGGTGAAACCCCATCTCTACTAAAAATACAAAAAATTTGCCGGGCTTGGTGGTGGGCGCCTGTAGTCCCAGCTACTCGGGAGGCTGAGGCGGGAGAATGACGTGAACCCGGGAGGCGGAGCTTGCAGTGAGCGGAGATCGCGCCACTGCACTCCATCTTGAACAACAGAGCGAAACTCCGTCTCCAAAAAAAAAAAAAAAAAAAGGTAGTTCTACTATTAGCTCTTCAGGGAATCTCCACACTGTTTTCCATAGTGGTTGCACTAGTTTACATTCCCACCAGCAGTGTGGAAGTGTTCCCTTTTCACTGCATCCACGCCAACATCTATTGTTTTTTGATTTTTTGATTATGGCCACTCTTGCAGAAGTAAGGTGGTATTGCATTGTAGTGTTGATTTGCATGGAAACGCAAATTAAAACAACAATAAGATACCACTTTACACCCACTAATGTGGCTATGTTAAAAAAAATACAGAGAACATCAACTGTTACTGAGAAGGTGGAGAAAATGGAACCCTCATATATTGCTGGGAAGAATGTAAAAGGATACAACCACTTTGGAATCCAGTTTGACAGTGTTTTAAAAAGTTAAACAGAAGCTTGCCATACTACTCAGCTATTCCACACCTAGAAATCTATCCAAGATAAATGAAAATACAGGTGCACAGAAAACTTCTTTGGAAATGTTCTTGGCAGTATTATTCATAATAGCAAAAACTAGCTCCTACTGAAATGTCCACCAGTGGTAGATGGATAAATAAAATGTGGCATTATCTGTACAATGTAATTCTATTTAGCAATAAGAAGGAAAAAATCTGACACCTGCTACAGTATGGATGAATCTTAAAGCATTATGCTAAGTGAAACAAGTTAGTCACAAAAGACTACATATTGTTTCATGCCATTTATATGAAAAAGATAAATTTGTAGACAGAAAACATAAATTGTTGGATGAGGTTAGAGGAGGGAGTAGGATTTGCTACAGTGGCAGTGGAAAAATTTGGGAAGGTAAAGGACATGTTCTAAAAGTGGATTATGGTACACGTTGAGAAACTCCATACAGTTGAATCACATATTTACAATGGTAAAATTTTTGTACTTAAATTTAGTTGAAAAGAAAAAGGTAAGGACAAGACAGCCCTAAATCAAAGGGTTGTGGTGTCCTCTGATCCTGTGATGAACATTGCATATTGAGATGCAACAATCTGGAATGAGAGCAAATGGTTACTTAGAAGGTGACTTCTGATGTCACATGCTTGAGGAAGGGATTCAGTGCCTGTGCCTTCAGCCTCTGACCCTGGCAGTTCCCCTGGAATCTAGAGCGTCGATGCGGTGAGTGAAGGTACCCTTTGCATTCCAGGGAGTGCAAGGTGAGCAGTGGCACCATGTAAAGATCTGGGAAAACGAGTTTGCTGGGAGAAGTTTCATGAACACCCTGGGTGATGAAAGGAGGAAATCATGAGGAGGAAGTGAGGGCTGCAGGATGAAGTGGCTGCTTGAAACATAAAAGCTGATCAAAAGTCTTTATAGGTTATGAGTAGGTTCTGTTCCTAAGTGAGCTCAAACCAGCAACCTTTCGGTTAACAGAAGGCGCCACAGAGAAGAACTACCGTGAATTTATATGCTAATATTATGGAATGACAACATACTCCCTACCCCCAAAACTATGTCATTGATTTTAATTTTTACCTTTGTAATTTACTTTCTTCCTAGTTGGAAATTAATTTGTTCTTTTGTAGTTTCTTAAAGTAAAGCTGAGGTCACTGATTTGAAAGCATTTTTTAAATTTTTTTGGCAATTTTATTTTGTTTTATTTTTTATTTTATTTCCAGAGGTTCTGGGGGAACAGGTGGTATTTGGTTACATGAGTAAGTTCTTTTGTGGTGACTTGTGAGATTTTGGGGCTTCCATCACTGGAGCCCTATACGCTGATTTTTTATTTTTCATTTTTAATATAGACCTTCAACGCTATAATCCCCCTTCCTCATTTTGATATATTGTGTTTTCACTTTCATTCTTTTCAGAAAAATTTCTAATTTTGCTGTTGATTTAGTCTTTGATCCATGGGTAATTTATAAGTATTTTCCTCATTTTCCAAATATTTGTTGGAATTTTGCAAAAGTCTTTCTTCTGTTGATTTCCAACTAAATTCCATTGTTATCAAAGAACACATCTTTATGACTTGAATTCTTTTAAATCTTTTGAGCCTTGTTTTGTGGCCCAAAATATAGTCTGTCTTGGTCAATGGTGCATGTGCATTTGAGTAAAATATATCTTATGTTCTTTTTGGGTGCCGTGTTCTGCAAACATTATTCAGGTCAAGTTGGTTAATTGTGTTCTTGATGTCTGCCATAACCTTGTTAATTTTCTGTCTGTTGTATCAATTAATAAGAGAGGGGCATTGGAAACTCTGACAATATGGTGAATTATCTATTTTTCCTTCAGTTCTATTAGTTTTTGCATTATGTACTTTCAAGTTCTGTCATGGTGAGGGGGTGATTATTATGTCTTCTTGACAAATTAATTCCTTTATTATTATGAAATCACCCTATTTATCCCTGGAAATATGGTTTGCTCTGAAATCTACTTCATCTGATATTCATATAGCAGTTTCTTTTTCCTTTTGACTATGTTTAGCATAGTATATTTTTTTCCATCTTTTTACTTTTACACATTTGTATTTTCATTTATACAGTGCATTTCTTCTAAGCAGCACATGGTTAATCTTGTTTTTATCCAATGTGACAATCTCTGCATTTTAATTGGTGTTTTTAGACCCTTTACATCTAATATAATTATTGAAAGGGCTAGGTTTGAGTTTTACCTTCCTCTTAATTTTCAATTTGTCCATTTTGTTTTTTATTTTTCTGCCATCTTTTGTATTAAACTAGTATTTTTATTATTCCATTTCAACTTATTTGTTTATTACCCATTGCTGTTTTGTTATTTTAGTGGTTGCTTTAGGGATTATATTATATATTTTCTAGTTAACACTGTCTACCTTGTAGTTATATTATGCCACTTCAAATATAAAATTAGGCTGGGCACAGTGGCTCAGACCTGTAATCCCAGCACTTTGGGAGGTGAGGCAGGAGGGTTGCTTGAGCCTAGGAGTTCAACAGCAGCCTGGACAACATGGTGAGACCCTATCACTACAAAAAATTTGAAAATTATCCAGGTGTTACCACCAGATACTTGGGAGGCTGAGATGGGAGGATCACTGGAGCCCAGGAGGTCAAGGCTGCAGTGAGCTACATTCATGTCACTATGCTGCAGCCTAGGAGACAGAGCAAGACCCTGTTTCAAAAAAACAAAGAAAGAAAGATGGAGTAAGAGCCTTAGAGTATTATATCTCTCTATCTCCCCTCCTGGACTGTGTGCTATGGTTACAAGAATTTTATTTTAAATATTTTTTAATTTTTTTGAGACAGAGTCTTGCTCTGTCGCCCAGGCTGGAGTGCAGTGGCGCATTCTTAGCTCACTGCAACCTCTGCCTCCTGGGTTTGATCGATTCTTTTGCCTCAGCCTCCTGAATAGCTGGGATTACAGGCATGCACCACCATGCCCAGTTAATTTTTGTATTTCTGGTAGAGACAGGGTTTCACCATGTTGGCCAAGCTGGTCTGGAACTTCTTGTCTCAAGAGATCTGCCCACCTTGGCCTCCCAAATTGCTGGGACTACAGGCCTGAGCCACCATGCCCAGCCAAGAATTTTATTTTTATGTCACAAATTCCACAATCCTTTGTGGGATGCAGAGTTTGTGAAGATTTTCTCAAACTCTGTGGGGTTTCTGTTTACTCTGCTGATGATTTCTTTTACTGGGTAGAAGCTTTTAAATTTAGTTAAGTCCCATCTACTTATCTACGTTTTTGTTGCATTTGCTTTTGGGTTCTTGGTCATGAAGTCTTTGCCTAAGCCAATGTCTAGAAGGGTTTTTCCAATGTTATCGTCTAGAATTTTTATAATTTTATAATTTTTATAATTTCAGGTCTTAGATTTAAGTCTTTGACTATCTTGAGTTGATTTTTGTATAAGGTGAGAGATGAGAATCCAGTTTCATTCTTCTACATATGGCTTGCCAATTTTCCCAGTACTATTTGTTGAATAGAGTATATTTTCCCCATTTTATGTTTTTGTTTGCTTTGCGGATAATCAGTTGCTGTAAGTATTTGGCTTCATTTCTGGGTTCTCTATTCTGTTTCATTGGTCTATGTGCCTATATTTATACCAGTACCATGCTGTTTTGGTGACTATGACCTTATAATATAGTTTGAAGTCAGATAATGTGATGCCTCCAGATTTGTTGTTTTTGCTTAATCTTGCTTTGGCTATGTGGCCTCTTTTTTGGTTGCATTTGAATTTTAGAAATCTACAAGCAACTCAAACAAATCTGCAAGAAGAACACAAATAATTCCATCAAAAAGTGGGCTAAGAACATGAATAGACAATTCTCAAAAGAAGATATGTACAAGTGGCCAACAAACATGTGAAAAAACATGCTCAACATCACTAACTATCAATCAGGGTAATGCAAATCAAAACCACAATGCAATACCACCTTACTCCAGCTCATCTGGTCTTGTGGCTCCCACCCAGGAACTGACCCAGCTCAAGAGGATGCTTTAGCTCCCTATGAGTTCATCTCCCACCTGACCAATCAGAACTCCCAACTCACTGGCCCCCACCCACCAAATTATCCTTGAAAACTCCTGTCCCAGAATGCTTGGGAAGACTGAGTAATAATAAATCTCTGGTCTCCCACACAGTTGGCTCTGCATAAATAACTTTCTTTATTGCAATTCCCCTGTCTTGATAAATTGGCTGTGTCTAGGCAGCAGACAAGGTGAACCCATCAGGTGGTTACACTCCCTCAAAACCCACTACACACTTTATGATTCAGTTTATATGAAAGTAATGGGCAGGAAAAAACTCGCCTGATAGTTTTGGAATCTGTGGAGTATTGTCAGAGTTTGGGGTTGTATTCTACAGATTAAAATTAATCAGTTAAGCACCTCCAATAAAATTTCCCCCAAATATTTTTTGCCAAATTTGGGTGACTTTGTTTCTGTCTTTGCACAATATGAAGTGCTAACATGAGGTAAGTGCTAAGGTCTAGAGAAGGCTGTGGAAGAGATGACAAACTCCAGCATGATGCCTGAGTGTCCAGTGTGCTCTGCTGAGGCAGCATATTTTTGTACATTGCTGTATTTGCAAAAACCCTACAAGATTCACGAAATTGGACAACCATCTTTATAACACTACTAGTGGTAAAACAACTAAGGATGGCTGGTTTGCAGTCATCTGAGCAACCTCTCTAGTTTCATAGATATGGTTTCTCTCTGATATTGAACGGCTTCCAATTTCAAGTAGAATGCTACATCACAAGAATAACGATGTGAAAAGAACTGGTTTCTTTTGTAATCCCAAACGTTCTAGTCAGTGTATTAAAAGCCATTGTTTGAAGAAGGGTGCACAGGCTCCAGCTGCCCGCCAAAGAGGTCCTCAGCAACACAGGCTAAGAACCCGTTTCTGGCCGGGCGTGGTGGCTCACGCCTGTAATCCCAGCACTTGCGGAGGCCGGGGCGGGCGGATCACCTGAGGTCAGGAGTTCGAGATCAGCTTGGCCAAAGTGGTGAAACCCCGTCTCTACTAAAAATACAAAAATTAGCCGGGCTGTAATCTCAGCTACTCGGAAGCCTGAGGCAGAAAAACCGTCTCAACCCGGGAAGGGAGGTTGTAGTGAGCGGAGATCGTGCTACTGCACTCCAGCCTGGGCGACAGGGCGAGACTCCGGTTCAAAACAAAAAACAAAACAAAACAAAAATCAAAACCCTCTTCCTTGGGGGAGACCAGCGGCGCGGAAGGGAGGAAAAAGAAGGAGAGGCAAACGTCACTTCTCCCGCAGGCTGTGGCAGCATGTTGTTCGGCTGAGTGGCGGAGGGTGGGATGGAAAAGCTGACTGGGACGGGGAAGGCGCTGTCAGTGACATCAGGGATAGGGCGACTTCTATGTAGATGAGGCAGCGCAGGGGCTGCTGCTTCGTCACCGGCGGCTTCGCCACGAAGGAGTTCCCGTGCTGTGGGAGGGAGTCCAGGACCGCTGGTCGGACCTGAGAGTCCTAGCTGTGTATCAGGGCTAGGAGGCCTCGAGGGTGCGCGGGGCAAGTGACCGTGCGTGTAAAGGGTGAGGCGTATGAGGCTGTGGCGGGGCGGAAGCGTGCAGACTCACATTTACCTAGCAGAAGAAAAATCGTGTTTACGAAGGTGGTTTTCGCAGGGCGAAGCTAATTCGTGCAACTTCCCCAAATGTGGGAAGCTCGACTGCATAATTTGTGGTAGTGGGAGACTGCGTTCGCTCTTTTCCCCCGTTTTTTTTTTTTTTTTGCGGTGTGGAAAGATAGACTGCATGCAGTCTATCGTGTTATATCCTGGACGGCATCCGAAGTGTTTTTCCTTGTAGTTAGGAGGCTATGAAATAGAAAGTAACGCGTTGGTTGTTGTCCTTGCCGCCGGAGAAATTATAAGGTCAGCCGAGGTGAGATTGTTTAACATAAGCTAACTAGCGCGATGGCCCCAGAGCGCTTTCCTTTCTACGTGGGGCTGCTTTTAGCAGAGATTGGCCCGTGGTCTCCAGTCTCCTGGGTTCTCACGCTCTGTGAAAATCTTCGTGTTTTTCCGCAGCCTCTAGAGTTACCTTTAACAGCCTCTGCTTCTAACCGCTGCCCCACAGGAGTTTATAGGATTTCTGTGCTGGCGGGGAATGTGTTCTCACCTCATAGAGCCAGGTAGAAACTGTACGCCGACGGGCTCAGTTCTTTGCGATGAAAGCAGGGCCTTTGGGGCTCTGTGACCCCCTTCGGTTGTAGACATAACATGCTTATTTTGTGGATGGGAACGGCTCTGCCCGCGCCCAGGTGCCCTTGCGCATATTCACCGAGGCCCGCAGGTCGGAACCGCAGTCTGACCTGTCAGCAGAATGCGCTGCGATCTACTCCAACTACCCGAACTACCCAGCAATAAAATGGGACACATTACAAAACATGAGATAGCATGGATAATCTCAAAAACATTATGCTGAGTGATGAAAAGAGTGCATCCTATGCGGCGCCATCAAGGTGAATTTCTAGAACAGGTAAAACTTACCTGTATAGTGACTGACAGAAACTACATCATTGATTGCTGGGGTCAGGGAAAGCGGGGACTGACTTCAAAGCGCAAAAGAGGACCTTTTAGAATAATAGACCTGTCATCAAACTTGAAATGGATGCATTGTACCTAGTCAACTCACACTTCGATCAACTTAATTGTAAAAAGTAATAAGAAAACCACTCCAGGAGTCATTGCTGTTGCTGTTTGTGAGCCTGTGGCACGGCTCTATGGGACTGGAACTTTAAAGATAGCCACAATGGCTGAAAATGATGATAATGAAAAGATGGCTGCCCTGGAGGCCAAAATCTGTCATCAAATTGAGTATTATTTTGGAGACTTCAATTTGCCAGGAGACAAGTTTTTAAGGGAACAGATAAAACTGGACGAAGGCTGGGTATCTTTGGAGATAATGATAAAATTCAACAGGTTGAACCATCTAACAACAGACTTTAATGTAATTGTGGAAGCATTGAGCAAATCCAAGGCAGAACTCATGAAAATCAGTGAAGATAAAACTAAAATCAGAAGGTCTTCAAGCAAACCCCTACCTGAAGTGACTGATGAGTATAAAAATGATGTAAAGAAACAGATCTGTTTATATTAAAGGCTTCCGAACTGATGCAACTCTTGATGACATAAAAGAATGATTAGAAGATAAAGATCAAGTACTAAATATTCAGATGAGAAGAACATTGCATAAAATATTTAAGGGATCAGTTTTTGTTGTGTTTGATAGCATTGAATCTGCTAAGAAGTTTGTAGAGACCCCTGGCCAGAAGTACAGACACAGGCCTGCTAATACTTTTCAAAGATGATTACTTTGCCAAAAAAATAATATTAATAAAAAAAAAGAAAGAAGAAGAAAGAAAACAAAATAAAGTGGAAGCTAAATTAAGAGCTAAACAAGAGCAAGAAGCAAATCAAAAGTTAGAAGAAGATGCTGAAATGAAATCTCTAGAAGAGAAGATTGGATGCTTGCTGAAGTTTTCAGGTGATTTAGATGATCAGACCTGTAGAGAAGATTTACACATCCTTTTCTCAAGTCATGGTGAAATAAAATGGATAGACTTCATCAGAGGAGCAAAAGAGGGGATAATTCTATTTAAAGAAAAAGACAAGGAAGCGTTGGGTAAAGCCAAAGATGTAAATAATGGTAATCTACAATTACAGAGCAAAGAAGTGACTTGGGAAGTACTAGAAGGAGAGGTGGAAAGAGAAGCACTGAAAAAAATAACAGAAGACCAACAAGAATCCCTAAACATATGGAAGTCAAAAGGACACAGATTTAAAGGAAAAGGAAAGGGTAATAAAGCTGCCCATCCTAGGTCTGGTAAAGAAAAAGTACAGTTTCAGGGCAAGAAAATGAAATTTGCTAATGATGATGAACATGATGAAAATGGTGCAACTGGACCTATGAAAAGATCAGGAGAAGAAACAGACAAAGAAGAACCTGTGTCCAAACAACAGAAAAGAGAAAATGGTGCTGGAGACGAGTAGTTTAGTAAACCAATCTTTTATTCATTTTAAATAGGTTTTAAACTACTTTTGTTTATGGGGGGCTTTTAAAAGGAAAACCGAATTAGGTTCACTTCAATGTCCACCTGTGAGAAAGGAAAAATTTTTTTGTTGTTTAACTTGTCTTTTTTTTGTTATCCAAATGAGAATTTTTTTGAATGCATAGTTCTTTTTGTGTTCTTTCAGATGATTCAAATATCAGAAGGAAGATTCTTCCACTAAATTGCCTTTGTAATATGATAATATATTAGTACAAACTAATAAAATATATACTACATGAAAAGAGAAAAAAACCCTCCAAATCTTAATGTCTTCTTAATTTAGTGTATGTTTAGCCTTAGAAAGGTGTCTCTCTGTGATTGAGAGTTCAGGAATTCCTTGATTTCTGTTTCTGTCTCTTTGTCTTCAGTTAAATTCATGCACTATTAAATGGAATATTTGTAAAATAGAGTCTAAGCTCAATTTTATAAAAGTATATATATACTTATATATAATATATATAAACTACATATAAGTATATATATACTTTTATAAGTGTATAATATATATGACAGACTAACAAGAGAAGAGCATATGTATTTATTTAATGTAAGTTTTACATGACAGGAGTGCCTTCAAAGGAAACGAAGACCTGTGGAAAGAGCTAAATCTCAGTTGTTGTTGGTTTTTTTTTAAACAGTATGTTTTATGAAGAGTGCATACTCATGGAGAAGTATGATAAGACAAAAAAATGTATGATCTAACAGTAACAAACTGGAGATAACGTAGCCAGGTCTCTGTGTTCAGGCTCTTCTCTGTGTCCCTGTGTCTTCAGACTCAAGGATGCACCTTTCCTCTGGGTACAGAGAGGGCACCTCTCACATGAGAGTCTTATGATAGGCTTCAGGGAAGAAGCGCAGGGGGAGGGTGACAGTGACCTTCCTGCTTCTGTTGTTTTCTCAAATTCCTTTAGCATAAATATTTCCTCAAATTCTTTAGCATAAAATATTCAATATCCCATGTATGTAAGAGTGCCATAAATGCTCAATAATTGTCTTCTGTTATTAGTTTCATCAGTAGCATCATCTGAATCATCAGTATTGTCTATTTTTAACAGTGAAAAATGCATAAGGTAACATACATTACCTTATTTAAAGTTCAGAACAACCAAGGAAATGAGTAACTTGTAGCGGGTGTGAGAAGTTCCGTGGCACAGACGGAAGATAGGCATTCAGGGAACACCAGGATAGAAGAGCCGGAGTAGAAGGAGAGAGAGGAAGAGGAGTCCGCCAGGTGGGATGCAGGAAGCCACCGGATAGCTCGGGCGGAGAGAGGGCGCTCCTGCTCCGCAAGCCTCCCGGCGACCGCAGGCCTTCGGCCACCTTCTTCCAGGAAGACGCACCCTCCTTTCCTCTGGTCTCGGTTGAGACACTGCAAAGGGCATCGTCCTGGAGCATTTCTCCTCTCCCCAAGGCCCCTCGAAGGAAGGATGGGCGGACGGAAGCTTCACCCCGAAGTGGTCAAGCGCGCAGAGCTCCAGCTTCCGCAGGAGCATTTCCCGGTGTCTCTCATGGGTAAGAGTGGGTCCTGCAGGATAATGCCTCCCGTTCCCTGAGGAGCAGTGCTGGAGATGCCCATGTGGCCAGCTCCTAGGCCACGCGACCCAGGCCCTCCAGGAGGAGCGAGGAGTCCTGGGCCCTGAACCAGCCCCCTGGACCCGCTGTGCCAAGAGAAGCAGCAAGGGAAGCTCCCGCCTCAGGGTCTCTGTCTTCCTGTGGTTAAGAGACGTGCATCCGACTCCCTCTACAAGTGCTGGAGAGGAGGCTAGGTCTTTCCTACGGGCTGGGGGCCTTGCTGTCCCAAGGACAGCTGGGGAGAAAGAGGAAGCCGGCTGAGATGTGTAAAGCAGCTCTTGCTACCGCGGGAAGGGAGAGGGCGCGCGGGACCCAGGAGCCACTGTGCGAAGCCAGGCCTCAGGAGCAGCCGCCTTGTTCCTAGAAGGGGTGCCTCCATCCATCTGGTGTCCAAAGACTGCAGGGAGACCTTCTCGTCCGGTGGGAAAGCGAGGTCTCCCATGCTTTCCCACCACGCAGGCCTTGTGTCCTTTCTCCTGCTAGTGTCTGCCCGCCAGCGGGCGGGAGCTGCGGCTGCGGCGGTTCCACACTCTGTGGACGCTGCCCGCCAGCGAGCCAAGAGCCGCGCTTGGAGGCGGGAGTCGGGGAGTCGTGTGCAGGTCGGAAGGAGACCCAAGCTCTGGGTCAGGGCTTTTTTGCCAATAGCCAAATTCAGCGTGTAAAAGACAGAGAGCTCACATCTGTCTGTTCGAGAGCTTCAGTGAGAACACCAAGGAAGCGCCCTCAGGAGCCCTGGGAGGGCGGCGAAGGGTCTCTGGCGGCGATATCCGCGTTGGCCGTGAGCCAAGGCAGGTCAGGAGCGTGCGCGAACCCAGCCCCGGGGTAGCACGAACACCACCGCAGACTAGGGCCCCGCGTGTGGGGAAATCGCAGGGGTGAGCGCAGCCAGAGTGCGGTGGACTAGCCTCAACCAGGGAGAACCCCCTTCCTGACCACGGTCTGTCCCCCGCCAGGTAAGGGAAGAGGAGAAACAGCACAGCCTCCTCTCCCCTAGCCGAGCGCTCAGGGTCACCACCTTCCCCTCTGCTCGCTCGTCGCGCCATTCTTCCAAAACGCTTTCCGCGAAAGATTCCACCAACAGTCACCCACAGGACAACCCAGGCCTCCTTTCAACAGCGGCTCCCGCTCCGCAGCCACCGCGCCCTCTCACCCCCGCGGTTCTGCCCGCCGCCTCTGTCCAGTCTGTGCACTTCACCTCCCTGGCTCCGGCTCCCCCCTGAGCTTACAGTGGACGCGGGGTTCCTCCGAACCCCTCTTGGGAATACTGAATGGAAAAGGGGAAACGTGCGCAATTGCTTGGTAGAGTGTAGACAGACATTGCGGGATTTGACTGCGGTACCATCGCTTTGACGACCTAGTGATTTTCACACCTGCCTTCTGTTCACCGGCCACAGTTTTCCATTTGTGCCTGCTCCACGTGCTGTCTTTGTTGGGTCAGCAAACATCGCCTCCCTTTACCGCTCAGTCTACAAACGAGCGGTCCTGGAGGGCCTCACCCGCCGCTCACCCCACTTCCAACCTCGCGGGCATCGCCTCCAGTCGCTTCTTCTGAAGGCCTAAGAAGCACGTTACCCGCGAACGGAGGTGAGGAGGCTCCACTGACCGTCCCCTGTCAGCTGATAATTTGTGGCACGCACAAACGCCACGACTTGCCTTGGCCTCTCTCTTAGTTATTCGCAGCTCAGCCCGATCGGCGCCTCCGGGACGGCAGAGGCGGCAAAGACGGTGGGCTTCTTGGGTGCAGTTCCAGGAGGGCTGGCATCTCTGCACAGCGGTGTACACCTGAGCGAGACGCTCAGTCGCTCTCTAAAGCCGCTTGTGCGAATGACAGACACGGAGATAAATAAGAGCGCTGTGTCATGAGAGGTGGCCCACCAGGAGTTGCCCTCCTTCGCCAGGGTTTGCACCTCGCTGCGGAGACTGTTCTGCGTCTGGCCCTTGGAGAAGGCCCGCTTACAGCGGCGTAAAGGAAGATTCCTGCGGGAAGGCAGTCAGTGCAAAACAATTCCCTGACTGGTAATCCAACCCGAGCTGCGGCGGTGAAAGCGCTAAATTCTAGCCACCAGACCACCAGGGAGGCACAGGAGGGGCTTTTTCAACCTTCTTGCCACTGAAGCGACAGTTTCCCTGTAAGTGACAGTTTCCCTGTGCGCTGGGAAGACTTGGGACTTGTGGAGGTCGCTGGTCGCTCCTGGAGTCGTCTCACAAGGCCGTTCCCTCCCTCCTTTCTCCAAAAGAGGAGCACGCAGGCGACGCACCCAGCACTCCGCTAGGCTCACCAAGGACACAAGTCCCGGAGCCAGTTGCAGCGTCCGGGCAGAACCTGACCACCGACCTAGAGATGCGCCTTTGTGAAGCGGCAGCGCATGGAGAGACAGTAGCGGGTCACCGGGCCAGAGCCGCGCACTGGGTAACCAGGAGCAGGCAGGAGCGAGGAGGCTCCCAGGGTGAGATCGGGGCACCCCGAATATCATAAAAGACTCAGACCTTGGCATCCCCGACATCATAAAGGACTCAGACATATGCGGAAACCAAGACGGGCTGGATGGGAAACTCTTTCCACGAAGGCTCCGGGGCCCTGAACTGGTCTCCGATCTCCCTGCTGGTCTCCCTGCAACCTGCAATACCTGCCATTTTCCCATCTTAGGCTATACTGCAACGCCACCCTTCCGTATGCTCTGGGCAAAGCTCCAAGGGTTCCCGCTGACGTTTGAGTTTTTTCCTCAGGGCCAAGATCGAACTGGTCACCAATTCGTGATTTCCCATCGGCCAAGTGCGTGGGCATTGATCTACACGCGAGTTTCTCCACCTCCGCGGAATGGGTATTACGGGGTGGGGGAGGGGCCCTTCGGTGGATTGTAAGGTGTTTAGCCGCATCCCTCGCCTCCGCTGACTAGATAGATGACAGGGGGTTAACATTCTCCCTCCCCGCTTCCCCCAGTCGTGGCCTAATGTCCCAGCGGGGATGGGGGAGGCGTGTGAGGACGAAGTTGCCCCTTGTCTAGAATTCGTGCGCCTAGTCCTGCTCTCTGAGCTTGTGCAGAGGACTCTCCAGATGAAGACTCAGGGGTCGATCCAGCTCAAGACCCCCTCCCTCCCCGGCACAGTCGGACCTTAGGATTTGAGGCTTTTAACATCTCGACATCATGAGTTTCTACCTTTAGGTCTTTCCTTCTGTTCTGTCCTCCAAATCGGCCTCTTCTGAGCCTGTTGACCAGGGCCAGCCAGGTAGAAGGCTGGGTTCGCTCACCGAGGATCCTCTCGCCCCTCCTGGAGCATCAGGCCTCTTTCGGTTTGGCCTGTAGAGAAGCCTTAGGGGCCACTTCGTTCGGCATCGTAGGGGGCAGGTGGGAGGCGCGCGGGGAAGAGGAGGGTGTGACTGTGGTTCCCGACCCCCGGCGCCCAACCTCCACCCCGGTGCGCGCGCCCTTCCCGGCTCCTGCTGGTCCCACTCGCCCCGAGGTAGGTCTCCGGTCAGCCTAAGCTCCCAAGAAGCCCAGGCCCAAAAGGACAGGTAGGGAAAACAAGCTGCTCATTTCGGTCCTGTCCGGAAGGGACTCCTTTCTGACCGGAAAGAAAGGCGGCGAGTCCTGTCCCGTTGGGTTAGCGGAAGAGAGATCAAAGGGAAGAGAAGAAAAATCCTGTGAGGTTTCAGGATCTAAAGTTACCATGAAGTCGACCTCACCTCCTCTGAAGGTCCTCCCGGTCCTCCAGTGGCTGGAGAAGGTGAGTCGAGTCCCTGTCTCCAGTTTGCAAAGTGGACAAAGCCTACGACAATGGGCCCCGAATCAGCTACTAGGCATCCCTGTCTTTCCAGTTGGTGGTACTCGAGCTTCCCTACCCAGGATTTCTGTGGATTCCAAGGGTACAACTGAACACCTTTTGTCGTTCCAACTGCTCTTATTTGAATTAAGGGCTGATCTGTTGAGAAGCATATATTCGGTAAGACTATAGCAACTGTTGTTGAGACTGTCCCATTCTTCCTCCTCCTCCCTCTTCCTATAATGTACAATGAAAATTAATCCCCACGACGGGCCTGTTATTTCAATGTCCTGTTGGCAGAACCTAAGGGGAGTCTAGGAGGTTCCAGGATAAATATTTGAAGTATGACACAGTCATTTTTATTTACACATGCATTCCAAAAACACATTGGACAAATGCATCCAGTTCACCTGTGCCACACTTACAAAGATATGAAAAGAGGGTCTACACACAAACAAGCGAAAGACGTAATCGAATGGCTTTTAAATATCTGCTGTTTCTACTGAAAGTCTTCTTCTCTGGCTACACCTACCAGTGTCTTCTCTTTCTCCAAAATCAGACATTCAAGTGCCAGACCCTGAAATCAGTTTTTTGGTACCAGCTTATTCTTCCCCATTCTGTATCCCTTCCTTTCCACTCTCTTCTTTCATATGCAGGAAAGGTCAGCTCTCCCTCAGTTTCTAATTTGCAACACCCCACTCGAAGAACTCAACAACCAGCATCAAAAATTAGACACCCTCCATGGGACTCCATCTATGTTTTAGTTGGAGCTTCTATAACAATGTACCATAAACTGGGTGGCTCATCCACAGCAGACATTTCTCACAGTTCTGGAGTTTGGAAGTCTAAGATCAAGGTGCCAGCATGGTAGGGTTATGGTGAGGAACCTCTTCCTGGTCATAGACTGCCATCTTCCCATTGTATCTGCGGGTGGCTGAAAGAGGGGGAGAGAGCTCTCTAGTGTCCCTTTTATAGGGGCACTAATCCCACTCAGGAGGACTCCACTCTCTGGATCTAATTACCTCCCAAAGGCCCCTCCTCCTAATTTTAACACTTTCCAGGTGTGGGTGGAGGAAGGTTAGAGTTTCAACCAAGGCATTTTGGGGGGACACAAACATTAGGTGTCCTGTGATCTTTCTAGAAGAAGAAGAAATTATGAATGACCCAAAGCTTTGTACATTTCACAGTTAGAAATAAAGAAAACTTTTCCTACAATTTTGAAAGGCCTGAAATGTGAGCTTCCTCCCCATCAACCCCACCACCAAAATCTGGACTCTGTGCTGAGTGTTGTGGACTTTTTGCATGTTCATCCTCCCTGCAGACAACTGGAGATTTATTCTCTTCAGAGGGTAGAGGAGAGGATCCTTGGCCCCAGGAGGGCAATCAGCATAGGTGAGCGAGGACATGTGTCCCATACTGAAATGAGAGAGATGAAGTGACAGCATACCTTGATCTATGTGATGGTTACATGAGTTATGACCTATTTCAAAGGTTATTATGCTGTGTGAAAAAGAACAAAACCAGAGGACTTGCACAACCTGAATTTCAGACTCACTCTAAGCTGTTACAGACAAGGCCGTGTGCATGCGGCATTGGGAGACACAAATACATCAACAGACTGCCTTGGGAGACCCAAAACTCACCCACAGCTATATGGTCCATAGGTTTTTTGTTTGTTTGTTAATTTTGTTTTGTTTTCTGAGAAAGGGTCTCACTGTGCTTCCCAGGCTGAAGTGATCCTCCTGCCTCAGCCTCCTAGGTAGCTCATACTACAGGCGCGTTTTAGTAGACATGAGGTTTCGCCATGTTGTCCCGACTGATCTCCAACTCCTGGGCTCAAGTGACTCACCAGCCTCAGCCTCTCACTGTGCTGGGATTATAGGTGTAAGCACCATGCCCGACCATAGGTTTTCAATAAAAGCAGTTCAATGGGGCAAAGGAAATAGTTTCAACTAATGGACTTTCATATGGGGGAAGAGGGAGACCAACAAGGTTATTTCTTCCTCACACTACACTCGAAAGTAACTTAAGGAACATTATAGACCAAAACTTAAAAGTTAAAGGTATAAAGCATTTCGAGGATACTTGTGACTTGTTGGTAGATGAGATTTATTAAACAGGGCACCGAAGAACACATGTAAAAGGGAAAGACTTGATAAATTCGATTTCATGAACATTAGCCATATCTTCTCATCAAAAGACGCCATAAAGAAAATGAAGAAACAAGCCAGCCTCAGATGAGGAGAAAATAGTCACAAAACCTATCTGACCTCCAAACTCTGTGGTGAGATCTTCCTAACTGGTAATTAAAAAAAAAAAAAAAAAAACCCAAATGTGCTAGATGGGTAAAAGACTTGAACAGATACTTTAAAATAAAAGGTACACACATGGTCAACAAAGCACATAAAAGAGCGCTCAATATGATTAGCTATCAGGAAAATTGAAATTAAAACCACATCGAGACACCACTATAACTCCCAGTAGCATGGCTAAATTTATAAGGAGAGGAAACACCCAATCTTGGAGAAGATGAAGAACAACCACAACTCTCACACGTCATTGGTGGAAATGTAAAATGGCACAACTACTTTGGGACAAGTTTTTGCAGTTTTTATGAACTTGAACATATCCCACTCTTTGGTACCCGCAATTCGGCACCTAGGTTTTCCCCAAGGGACACGAAAACAGATGCCCTCAAAATCTGTTGTGGGAAGAATGTTCAAAGCAGGCTTATTCAGAATAGCCAATACCGGTTTATTCAGAATAGCCAATACCCAAACACTCATTATCAGGGTAGGGATGGGGTGGGAATGGCAAACAACCTGTGCTATTTCCCTGTAATGGAATACTACTCAGCAATGAAAGAGGAATGAACTTCTGCTTCCACTAAGCAATGGATAGAGCCAGAGACATTATGCAGAGAGAAAGAAGCATGTAGAACAGAGTAGATGCACCATGATTCCATCTGCATGAAGTTCTAGAAGCAAAGGTAAAGTGAAAACAATCAGGAGAGTGATTGTTCACAAATAAGGCAGAAGACAATGACAATGATTTTTATAATTCTAGTGATTATGTTATTGATTGAATAGTCACTAAATCCAGGCATGTCTGACAACAGCAGTGTAAGGCAGAGTTCTCAAAGTGGCCCAACCTTCCATAGAAAATTGTTGAGGCACATAAAATTTAAGATAGTTAACCAAGGTCAGGCAAGGGCCGACGTAGATTTCCAAAACAGAACCTGGGTTCTTGGACATAGATTAGACTGGACCTGCCCACTTCTCTGTTTCAGGTGTCTCTGGGACTCTCAGCTGCACCAGAGGAGAGAGAGAAGGACAGAGAAAGAGACCAAGGGAGAGAGGAGTAGGGAAGAAATGGAGGGAGGCGCAGGGCCCCTAGCTGTCGAAGAGCAGAGAAGTAACTCTTGCCAGTGTGTTTACACTATAGAGAAGTTTTCTGGGGATCAAGACATTAGCAGATGCTAAGCTTGCTCTGGTCAGGAGATGAATTTGATATGCCATAGATTTAGAAATTGAAACGGAACCCTAAAGTTATTGGAAGAGACTGTAGCTGAATACATTTCTGCCTTACCCTGACGCGCCTGGTTGCGGGGAGCAAAACGGATCAGCTGACTACCCAGACGAGCAACTTTGCCGTGACTCGGATTCGAACCGAGGTTGCTGCGGCCACAACGCAGAGTACTAACCACTATACGATCACGGCGGGCCACAAGGCAAGCGGTGATGCTTGACCTTGCTCTAGCAGTTTTGACGTCAATAGGTTTCCATTATTAGGCGGCTTTGTTCCCAGACAGCCACAGGGGGTTCACGTTTTTCTCCCTTTCATGCCCGCTTTGCTTTCGCCTCCCTCCCTCCCTCCCAATCCTAATACAGGTTGAGAATAATTCTCATCTCCTCCACTGCAGCCTGGGCCTCCCTGCACCAGCCTCGGTCTCCCTGCACCAGCCTTTCTCAGGAGGTCTCTCTGTCCTGGTCCGCACCTCCTCTGCTTCTCTCCCGCCTCTCTGTATTTCTGCTTTTCACCCTTTCTCTCTCCCGCCGCACCGACCGAAGCCGAGTTGAGCTAGGGGAGCCCAAGCGGCGTAGAAAGTCGGGTGAAGGCGGAGCCAAGAACGGAAAGAGCCATCACTAGAGTCCACGGGGCGTTCTGCTTCCTTTGGGAAGTCGCGGACCCGGGCGTTTCCCGGGACGCTGGCTCTGACGCCTGCGAAGGGCAGGACGGGGCTAAGGCCATTCCGCTGCCCTTCCAGCTTTGGAATCACCCAATGCACGGGTTTCAACCGTAGCCAGCAAGATGCGCCTCTCCGGTTTTCTGAGGCTTTGGAGCCTGCACAATTGTTCTACAAAAGGCGGTGGCTCTGCCTAGTGTTGGATGGGCGCGTGCTCTGCATGGTGAGGCGGGAGCGACAGTTGACTGTCCATTCGTGTGTCGCAGTCGGGTGGTGTGCTTGCTTCCAAGTTTGGAGGTCAGTGGTTCGAACCCGTTCGCTCTCTCTCTCTCTCAAAAAAAAAAAAAAAAGTAAGAATGGTATTTCTTAGGTTTTCTTCTAGGATTTTTCTACTTTGAGGTTCCCATATGTATTGTTTCATTGCAGGTGACAACCAACCAGAGATTAATCATTACAAGCCAAGAAAGGGAATTTATTGTTTGCCAGGAAAATCATCTAACACAAAAAAATTAGCAAAGGAGATTCCTGAGTGTCCCTTTCTGTAAAGCATGCGGGATTGTTCTCTGCAGAGTTCAGTAAACATTTTTCTGTAAAGGGCTAGAGAGATCTATTAAATATTGTAGGCTTTTAAGCCAAGAGGCAAAACCGAGGGTATTATGTAGGTGCACATGTAACCAATGAGAAAACAAATTTCTATACCATTTTCGTTGATGAGATCCTAAATTAACAATAGTAACTGAGTAGAACCTCTCAGGTTGTAAATGTTCTTTGCATTGAGAGCCTAGATCTGCCCACCTAGGCTCTCTGGTACAGCCCTCCCTTCCCTCCCCACAGGACATTTTCTCCCTGCTTCCCTCAGATGAAGAGTTCCATACAAAAGACCTACTCCCCTGAGAAGTAGTGAAGTGCTCCTGGGGCCCACCAAGGCCACACAAATCAAGGAGTGGGTGACCTCACCCTGGCTTCAGCTCAGAGCTGATTTTGAGATCACCTTTGCAAAACGACATCGTGCTGGGAGATGTCATCAGGACAAGACCATAGATGTGGCTGTCAAAGGAGGTGAGAAGAGAGATGTCCAGGGGGAGAAGTGGCCAAACACCAACACCTCTGCATCCAACCTCACAAAAGACTCAAAGAGATGCAGAAACGGAGATGGGGGAATGGAAACCTCTTTCAAGCTAGGCTTTGAGGCCTGGTACTGATCTCTCTTCTTCCTCCTGCAACCTACAGCACCTGCAGTTTTCTCACCTCAGTTGATGGAAACTCCATCCTTACGTACACTCAATCCAGAAATCTTAGAGTTTTCTTTGACTGCTGATCTGTCTCTCACCCCATATAGCTGATTAGCCAAGAACTCAAGTTATCTTGAACTGTCAGGTGTGGACCTTAATCCACACCACCCTTTTCTCCCTAGTTTAGGAAATTTGGCAAGTCATTTCTCCCAATAAAGACAATAGGATTTCCTTGAAATTGCATGATTTCAGTCCTTCCTAGATTCATGACTCACTTAAGAGCACTGTTTTGTTTGCTACCATTTTCCCCTATTTTTATTTCATACCTGTTTGATCTGCACTCTTTCCTATATGGCAGGCAAACCAGTTCAGGTGTGCTTTCCTAATCATAGAATTAGCAATAATAGCAGCCTTGGTAACAACTTATTTCTGGCTGCACCACCAGGCAAATGTCACAGGACTTAATAGGTAGAGGATCTTAGGATCATCTGTATTGCTTGATGTTATAGACTGAAGTGTTTCCCTGTGAGTTCATATGTTGAAAACTTAACCGCCAAGTTGACTGTATTTTGAGATAGGGTTTTTAATGTGGTAATTAATGTTAATGAGGTCATACAAGTGGGCCCCTAATCTGGTGGGAATGGTGTCCATATAGGAGGAGGAAGGGCATCAAAGAATCTCTTTCTCCACGCAGGCACAGAGGAAAGACTATGGGAGGACACAGCAAGAAAGTGGCTTTCTGCAAGCCAGGAAGAGAGGCCTCCCCAGAAACCAACCCTGCTAGCACATCCAACCTCACAAAAGACTCAAGAAGAACTTCTGGCCTCCAGAACTTTGAGAAAATGTCTATTGTTAAGCCACGAAAACTTTGTTATCTTTCTGTGGCAGCCTGAGCTGACTAATACCTTTGGTAGGTGGGCGGCATTCACCTAATTGGGCTATATGATGTGAAGTTAAAGTACCTTTAGCAATAGGCACCATCTAATTTCGTTGTATAGATATTGTGTCTTTTGCATTGATATTGCCTCTCTTAGTTGTATGTATATTGATGCATGAGGCTAGGATTACAAGACTAGTCAAAATAGGAAGAAAGAAGAGAAAGGTGGTGAAGATATGAAGTTCCATAATTGCATCCTCTACCCACATCCTGTTCTTAGAATATTTTCCACTGGAGGCTGCACCTGTATACCCTCAAATTCAATCTGAGCACACAATTATTTATACAAGCAAGGCAACTTTTCCAATTTTGCCTATCACCTGCTTGGAGAAACAAGTACTTCAATCACCAATTTGAATATTCATTGAGATAATTGTTAGGAGGTTGATAAAAAATGTGGCATCTCCCTGTATTGTTGCCTTCTCCTGGGCCAACAATGCCGTCTGTACTCTGCTGGTCTGCATTTGACCACAAACTGGAGTTGCAGCAAATCTTAGCCTCTTGGGAAGCCTATTTTTTTTAATTTTATTATTATTATATTTTAAATTTTAGGGTACATGTGCACAATGTGCAGGTTTGTTACATATGTATATGTGTGCCATGTTGGTGTGCTGCACCCATTAACTCGTCATTTAGCATTACATATATCTCCTAATGCTATCCCTCCTGCTTCCCCCCACCTCACAACAGTCCCCGAAGCGTGATGTTCCCCTTCCTGTGTCCATGTGTTCCCATTGTTCAATTCCCACCTATGAGTGAGAACATGTGGTGTTTGGTTTTTTGTCCTTGCGATAGTTTGCTGAGAATGATGGTTTCCAGTTTCATACATGTCCCTACAAAGGACATGAACTCTTCACTTTTTATGGCTGCATAGTATTTCATGGTGTATATATGCCACACTTTCTTAATCCAGTCTATCATTGTTGGACATTTGGGTTGGTTCCAAGTCTTTGCTATTGTGAATAGTGCCACAATAAACATACGTGTGCATGTGTCTTTATAGCAGCATGATTTATAATCCTTTGGGTATATACCCAGTAATGGGATGGCTGGGTCAAATGGTATTTCTAGTTCTAGATCCCTGAGGAATCGCCACACTGACTTCCACAATGGTTGAACTAGTTTACAGTCCCATCAACAGTGTAAAAGTGATTCTATTTCTCCACTTCCTCTCCAGCACCTGTTGTTTCCTGACTTTTTAATGATCGCCATCCTAACTGGTGTGAGATGGTATCTCATTGTGATTTTGATTTGCATTTCTCTGATGGCCAGTGATGATGAGCATTTTTTCATGTGTTTTTCGGCTGCATAAATGTCTTCTTTTGAGAAGTGTCTGTTCATATCCTTCACCCACTTTTTGATGGGGTTGTTTTTTTCTTGTAAATTTGTTTGAGTTCATTGTAGATTCTGGATATTAGCCCTTTGTCAGATGAGTAGTTTGCAAAAATTTTCTCCCATTCTGTAGGTTTCCTGTTCACTCTGATGGTAGTTTCTTTTGCTGTGCAGAAGCTCTTTAGCTTAATTAAATCCCATTTGTCAATTTTGGCTTTTGTTGCCATGGCTTTTGGTGTTTTAGACATGAAGTCCTTGCCCATGCCTATGTCCTGAATGGTATTGCCTAGGTTTTCTTCTAGGTTTTTTATGGTTTTAGGTCTAACATGTAAGTCTTTAATCCATCTTGAGTTAACTTTTGTATAAGGTGTAAGGAAGGGATCCAGTTTCAGCTTTGTACATATGGCTAGCCAGTTTTCCCAGCACCATTTATTAAATAGGGAATCCTTTCCCCATTTCTTGTTTTTCTCAGGTTTGTCAAAGATCAGATGGTTGTAGATATGCGGCATTATTTCTGAGGGCTCTGTTCTGTTCCATTGATCTATATGTCTGTTTTGGTACCAGTACCATTCTGTTTTGGTTACTGTAGCCTTGTAGTATAGTTTGAAGTCAGGTAGCGTGACGCCTCTGGCTTTGTTCTTTTTGCTTAGGATTGACTTGGCAATGCAGGCTCTTTTTTGGTTCCATGTGAACTTTAAAGTAGTTTTTCCCAATTCTGTGAAGAAAGCCATTGGTAGCTTGATGGGGATGACATTGAATCTATAAATTACCTTGGGCAGTATGGCCATTTTCACGATATTGATTCTTCCTACCCATGAGCATGGAATGTTCTTCCATTTGTTTGTATCCTCTTTTATTTCCTTGAGCAATGGTTTGTAGTTCTCCTTGAAGAGGTCCTTCACATCCCTTGTAAGTTGGATTCCTAGGTATTTTATTCTCTTTGAAGCAATTGTGAATGGGAGTTCACTCATGATTTGGGTCTCTGTTTGTCTGTTATTGGTGTATAAGAATGCTTGTGATTTTTGTACATTGATTTTGTATCCTAAGACTTTGCTGAAGTTGCTTATCAGCTTAAGGAGATTTTGGGCTGAGACAATGGGGTTTTCTAGATATACAATCATGTCATGTGCAAACAGGGACAATTTGACTTCCTCTTTTCCTAATTGAATACCCTTTATTTCCTTCTCCTGCCTAATTGCCCTGGCCAGAACTTCCAACACTATGTTGAATAGCAGTGGTGACAGAGGACATCCCTGTCTTGTGCCAGTTTTCAAAGGGAATACTTCCAGTTTTTGCCCATTCAGTATGATATTGGCTGTGGGTTTGTCATAGATAGCTCTTATTATTTTGAGATACGTCCCATCAATACCTAATTTATTGAGAGTTTTTAGCATGAAGGGTTGTTGAATTTTGTCAAAGGCTTTTTCTGCATCTATTGAGATAATCATGTGGTTTTTGTCTTTGGCTCTGTTTATATGCTGGATTACATTTATTGATTTGCGTATGTTGAACCAGCATTGCATCCCAGGGATGAAGCCCGCTTGATCATGGTGGATAAGCTTTTTGATGTGCTGCTGGATTCAGTTTGCCAGTATTTTATTGAGGATTTTTTCATCAATGTTCATCAAGGATATTGGTCTAAAATTCTCTATTTTTGTTGTGTCTCTGCCAGGCCTTCGTATCAGGATGATGCTGGCCTCATAAAATGAGTTAGGGAGGATTCCCTCTTTTTCTGTTGATTGGAATAGTTTCAGAAGGAATGGTACCAGTTCCTCCTTGTACCTCTGGTAGAATTCGGCTGTGAATCCATCTGGTCCTGGACTTTTTTTGGTTGGTAAGCTATTGATTATTGCCACAATTTCAGATCCTGTTATTGGTCTATTCAGAGATTCAACTTCTTCCTGGTTTAGTCTTGGGAGGGTGTATGTGTTGAGGAATTTATCCATTTCTTCTAGATTTTCTAGTTTATTTGCATAGAGGTGTTTGTAGTATTCTCTGATGGTAGTTTGTATTTCTGTGGGATTGGTGGTGATATCCCCTTTATCATTTTTTATTGCATCTATTTGATTCCTCTCTCTTTTCTTCTTTACTAGTCTTGCTAGCAGTCTATCGATTTTGTTGATCTTTTCAAAAAACCAGCTCCTGGATTCATTAATTTTTTGAAGGGTTTTTTGTGTCTCAATTTCCTTCAGTTCTGCTCTGATTTTAGTTATTTCTTGCCTTCTGCTAGCTTTTGAATGTGTTTGCTCTTGCTTTTCTAGTTCTTTTAATTGTGATGTTAGGGTGTCAATTTTGGATCTTTCCTGCTTTCTCTTGTGGGCATTTAGTGCTATAAATTTCCCTCTACACACTGCTTTGAATGTGTCCCAGAGATTCTGGTATGTTGTGTCTTTGTTCTCGTTGGTTTCAAAGAACATCTTTATTTCTGCCTTCATTTTGTTAAGTACCCAGTAGTCATTCAGGAGCAGGTTGTTCAGTTTCCATGTAGTTGAGCGGTTTTGAGTGGGTTTCTTAATCCTGAGTTATAGTTTGATTGCACTGTGGTCTGAGAAACAGTTTGTTATAATTTCTCTTCTTTTACATTTGCTGAGGAGAGCTTTACTTCCTACTATGTGGTCAATTTTGGAATAGGTGTGGTGTGGTGCTAAAAAAATGTATATTCTGTTGATTTGGGGTGGAGAGTTCTGTAGATGTCTATTAGGTCTGCTTGGTGCAGAGCTGAGTTCAATTCCCGGGTATCCTTGTTAACTTTCTGTCTCATTGATCTGTCTAATGTTGACAGTGGGGTGTTAAAGTCTCCTATTTTATTGTGTGGGAGTCTAAGTCTCTTTGTAGGTCACTATGGACTTTCTTTATGAATCTGGGTGCTCCTGTATTGGGTGCATATATATTTAGGATAGTTAGGTCTTCTTGTTGAATTAATCCCTTTACCATTATTTAATGGTCTTCTTTGTCTCTTTTGATCTTTGTTGGTTTAAAGTCTGTTTTATCAGAGACTAGGATTGCAACCCCTGCCTTTTTTTGTTTTCCATTTGCTTGGTAGATCTTCCTCCATCCCTTTATTTTGAGCCTATGTGTGTCTCTGCATGTGAGAAGGGGTTCCTGAATACAGCACACTGAGGGGTCTTCACTCTTTATCCAATTTGCCAGTTTGTGTCTTTTAATTGTAGCATTTAGCCCATTTACATTTAAAGTTAATATTGTTACATGTGAATTTTGTCTGGTGATTATGATGTTAGCTCGTTATTTTGCTCGTTAGTTGATGCAGTTTCTTCCTAGCCTTGATGGTCTTTACATTTTGCCATGTTTTTGCAGTGGCTGGTACTGGTTGTTCCTTTCCATGTTTAGTGCTTCCTTCAGGAGCTCTTTTAGGGCAGGCCTGGTGGTGACAAAATCTCTCAGCATTTGCTTGTCTGTAAAGTATTTTATGTCTCCTTCACTTATGAAGCTTAGTTTGGCTGGATATGAAATTCTGGGTTGAAAATTATTTTCTTGAAGAATGTTGAATATTGGCTCCCACTCTCTTTGGCTTGTAGAGTTTCTCCCGAGAGATCCGCCGTTAGTCTGACGGGCTTCCCTTTGTGGGTAACCTGACCTTTCTCTCTGGCTGCCCTTAACATTTTTTCCTTCATTTCAACTTTGGTGAATCTGACAATTATGTGTCTTGGAGTTGCCCTTCTCGAGGAGTATCTTTGTGGCATTCTCTGTATTTCCTGAATCTGAATGTTGGCCTGCCTTGCTAGATTGGGGAAGTTCTCCTGGATAATATCCTGCAGAGTGTTTTCCAAAATGTTTCCATTCTCCCCGTCACTTTTAGGTACACCAATCAGACATAGATTTGGTCTTTTCACATAGTCCCATATTTCTGGGAGGCTTTGTTCATTTCTTTTTATTCTTTTTTCTCTAAACTTCCCTTCTCACTTCATTTCATTCATTTCATCTTGCGTCGCTGATACCCTTTCTTCCAGTTGATCACATTAGCTCCTGGGGCTTCTGCATTCTTCATGTAGTTCTGGAGCCTTGGCTTTCAGCTCCATCAGCTCCTTTAAGGACTTATCTGCATTGGTTATTCTAGTTATCCATTCGTCTAATTTTTTTTCACAGTTTTAAACTTGTTTGCCATTGGTTTGAATTTCCTCCTGTAGTTCAGAGTAGTTTGATCATTTGGAGCCTTCTCTCGACTCGTCAAAGTCATTCTCCATCCAGCTTTGTTCTGTTGCTGGTGAGGAGGTGCATTCCTTTGGAGGAGGAGAGGCACTCTGCTTTTTAGAGTTTCCAGTTTTTCTGTTCTGTTTTTTCCCCATCTTTGTGGTTTTATCTACTTTTGGTCTTTGATTATGGTGACATACAGAAGGGTTTTTGGTGTGGATGTCCTTTCCGTTTGTTAGTTTTCCTTCTAACAGACATGACCCTCAGCTGCAGGTCTGTTGGAGTTTGCTAGAGGTCCACTCCAGACCCTGTTTGCCTGGGTATCAGCAGCGGTGGCTGCAGAACAGCGGTGGCTGTAGAACAGTGGATCTTGGTGAACCACAAATGCTGCTGCCTGATCATTCCTCTGGAAGTTTTTTCTCAGAGGAGTACCTGGCCGTGTGAGGTGTCAGTCTGCCCCTACTGGGGGGTGCCTCCCAGTTAGGCTGCTCGGGGGTCAGGGACCCACTTGAGGAGGCAGTCTGCCCATTCTCAGATCTCCAGCTGTGTGCTGGGAGAACCACTACTCTCTTCAAAGCTGTCAGACAGGGACATTTAAGTCTGCAGGAGTTACTGCTGTCTTTATGTTTGTCTGTGCCCTGCCCCCAGAGGTGGAGCCTACAGAGGCAGGCAGGCCTCCTTGAGCTGTGGTGGGCTCCATCCAGTTCAAGCTTCCCAGTTGCTTTGTTTACCTAATCAAGCCTGGGCAATGGCAGGCGCCCCTCCCCCAGCCTTGTTGCTGCATTGCAGTTTGATCTCAGACTGCTGTGCTAGCAATCAGTGAGACTCTGTGGGTGTAGGACCCTCTGAGCCAGGTGCAGGATACAATCTCCTGGTGTGCCATTTTTTAAGCCCATTGGAAAAGCTCAGTATTAGGGTGGGAGTGACCCGATTTTCCAGGTGCCGTCTGTCACCCCTTTCTTTGACTAGGAAAGTGATCTCCCTGACCCCTTGCACTTCCCAAATGAGGCAGTGCCTCGCCCTGCTCCACCTCGTTCACAGTGTGCTGCACTCACTGTCCTACACCCACTGTCTGGCACTCCCTAGTGAGTTGAACCCAATACCTCAGATGGAAATGCAGAAATCACCCATCTTCTGTGACGCTCACGCTGGGAGCTGTAAACCGGAGCTGTTCCTATTTGGCTATCTTGGCTCCAGCCTCCGGGAAGCCTATTTTAAGATAGTCCCTATCTCAAACTTGTTTTAAGACTAGTATGCTTATTGAGAAGAGGTAGCCTCATTGTAAAAATTTAACTAGAGCTAGCGTGAACCCAGGTGGTGGAGCTTGCAGTGAGCCTAGATCACACCACTGTACTCCAGCCTGGGTGACAGAGTGAGACTCCATCTCAAAAAAAAAAAAAAAAAAATTTAACTAGAGCTGTGGGTGACAGTTATGAGTTTCAGTACGGGTCTGGGCCCAGGTTTCCCTTGAGCACCAAATGAATATGCTCCTTTGCAGGGATCTTCAAGGTGCTCATTATTTCTATCTCATAGCCTCAAAAAAAGTGATCAGCTAACAGAATTTGTGTACTATCCTGAAGAGAAATTAGTCTAGAAATAGAGAAGATAAAGAATTTATAAAATAGATTCTACAGTTGTTTACGACATAGAAAGCTGAAAGAGACAGTTGTTCCACTCTAATGACAAGAGAAAGCTGTCTGGTCTGCAAAATCATATTTGTTTTGATCCCACCAGAGAGGTGAAGTTTGAAGGCCACTAGATCAACTGAAGTCCAAAGCATGAGAACCCCCACCAAAGAAGGACAAACAAATGAAGCAGTTTCCTTCCAGATAATGGAAGAAAAATATGGCAGCCATAAATGTTGATTGGAGAAAATCACTGAAGTTTTCATCATTTCTTAAAGGTCAAGTGTGAACTATTGTGACAGAATCTATGTGAGTCCCAGATATGTAGCATGTTTTTGCCCATTTGCCAAGTTTTTTCCTCCCACATTTCCTGAGTGCTAACAAGAAACATGTCGCAGGGAAAGAGAATTTCTTTTTTTGTTTTGTTTTGTTTTTTGAAGATAATGTTTTTATTTTTTTTATTTTTTATTTTTTTATTTTTTTGTAAATGGAGAAGAATGGAAAGAGGGAGGGAGAGAAGAACGAAGGAAGGAAGGAAGGGAAAGGAGGAGAGAAGGTAATTGAGAGGGTTTTTAGTTGTCATGTCTTTTTATTTATTTTATTTATTTATTTATTTATTTTCATTATAGAGATACATCCTTTTATTTCTTATTTTAATCAAGCCCCTGTTAAGGATATGTTCATTCTTTCTTTTTTTTCTTTAATTTTTTTAGTATTTATTGATCATTCTTGGGTGTTTCTCGGAGAGGGGGATTTGGCAGGGTCATAGGACAATAGTGGAGGGAAGGTCAGCAGATAAACATGTGAACAAAGGTCTCTGGTTTTCCTAGGCAGAGGGCCCTGCCGCCTTCCACAGTGTTTGTGTCCCTGGGTACTTGAGATTAGGGAGTGGTGATGACTCTTAAGGAGCATGCTGCCTTCAAGCATCTGTTTAATAAAGCACATCTTGCACCTCCCTTAATCCATTTAACCCTTAGTGGACACAGCACATGTTTCAGAGAGCATGGGGTTGGGGGTAAGGTCACAGATCAACAGGATCCCAAGGCAGAAGAATTTTTCTTAGTACAGAACAAAATGGAGTCTCCTATGTCTACTTCTTTCTACACAGACACAGTGACAATCTGATCTCTCTTTCTTTTCCCCACATTTCCCCCTTTTCTATTCGACAAAACCGCCATCGTCATCATGGCCCTTTCTCAATGAGTTATTGGGTACACCTCCCAGATGGGGTGGCGGTGGGGCAGAGGGGCTCCTCACTTCCCAGACGGGGCGGCCAGGCAGAGGTGCCCCCCACCTCCCAGACGCCACAGCTGGCCGGGCGGGGGCTGCCCCCCACCTCCCGGACGGGGCGGCTGGCAGGGCGGAGACACTCCTCACTTCCCAGACGGGGCAGCTGCCAGGTGGAGGGGCTCCTCACTTCTCAGACGGGGTGGCTGCCGGGCGGAGGGGCTCCTCACTTCTCAGATGGGGCGGCCGGTCAGAGACGCTCCTCACCTCCCAGACGGGGTGGCTGCAGGGCAGAGACACTCCTCAGTTCCCAGATGGGGTTGCAGCCAGGCAGAGGCACTCTTCACATCTCAGACGGGGCGGCAGGGCAGAGGCGCTCCCCACATCCCAGATGATGGGCGGCCGGGCAGTGACGCTCCTCACTTCCTAGAGGGGATGACAGCCGGGAAGAGGCGCTCCTCACTTCCCAGAGTGGGCGGCCGGGCAGAGGGGCTCCTCACATCCCAGACGATGGGCGGCCAGGCAGAGACGCTCCTGACTTCCTAGACGGGGTGGCGGCCGGGCAGAGGCTGCAATCTCGGCACTTTGAGAGGCCAAGGCAGGCGGCTGGGAGGTGGAGGTTGTAGCGAGCCGAGATCACGCCACTGCACTCCAGCCTGGGCAACATTGAGCACTGAGTGAGCAAGACTCCATTTGCAATCCCGGCAACTCGGGAGGCTGAGGCTGGCAGATCACTCGCGGTCAGGAGCTGGAGACCAGCCCGGCCAACACGGCTAAACCCCATCTCCACCAAAAAATACGAAAACCAGTCAGGCGTGGCGGTGCGCACCTGCAATCCCAGGCACTTGGCAGGCTGAGGCAGGAGAATCAGGCAGGGAGGTTGCAGTGAGTCGAGATGGCGGCAGTAGTCCAGCCTCAGCTCAGCATCAGAGGGAGACTGTACAAAGAGGGAGAGGGAGAGGGAGAGGGAGAGGGAGAGGGAGAGGGAGAGGGAGAGGGTGAGGGAGAGGGAGAGGGAGAGGGGGAGAGAGAGAGAGAGAGAGAGAGAGGGAGGCAAAAGAGAATTTCTTGAGCTTCCCTCAGTGGTATAGGCATATAGGTCATGATTGGCCACCACCAAAGTACAGGCACAAAACCTGGTTGCTTCTCTCACATGAAACAAAAGGCATCTGCCACTGATGTTGGAGGAAGGAACCCTTCTTACCCTTGGTCCCAGGTATAGGTCACCTGCTGAGTAGAGTTTGACACAAAAGCTACCTATACTAGACAAGGAGAGGAGAGTTGCTCTTTCCCAAGACTTCCCATCATTGAAAGGTAGAGTTCCACCACCCCAAAGGGATGTCACAGGAACACTAGGACTCAGGCACCCATGGCCTGAGGTTTGGTACACATTCAATGCAATCAGTAACTTCAGTTGGTTTTGACCAATCATTTGAATTGGTTGCAGATCCTTTCCTTTAATGAAGAAAAGCTCTGATATGGGTACAAAGTTTCCATGTTCGGGACAGATTGGCCTTGTCCTTTAGGAAATTATATGAATTGGGATTTCTCTCAATCTAGTTGTTTTTACCATTATTAAAATTAAGCGACATTCACTTGGATTAAGTGGTGATGAAAAAAATGATGTGAGACTTTCTAGTGATTTTTGAACCCAAGCCTTGTATCACTGTTAGGCCTTCATGTGTGTACTTGAAAACAAAACATGTACAAATATTGCACTGGTTTGAAGATTTTAGTGGTGAAAGTGACCTAATCAGTAATCAGTAGAAACCAATCTTGGAAATATGTGGTTATGCTCTTTTAAAATAGCTGAAAAGAGGGCCCGGTGTGGTGGCTCATGCCTGTAATCCCAGCATTTTGGGCGGCCAAGGTGGGTAGATCACCTGAAGCCAGGATTTTGAGACCAGCCTGGCCAACACTACCAAACGCTGTCTCTACTAAAAATACAAAAATTTGCTGGGGTTGGTGGTGCACACCTGTAATCCCAGCTACTTGGGAGGCTGAAGCATGAGAATCACTTGAACCTGGTAGGTGGGGGTAGAAGTTGCAGTGAGCCAAGATCCTGCTACTGCACTACAGCCTGGACAACAGAGGGAAACTTTGTCTCTAAATAAATAAATAAATAACATAGCTGAAAAAATTACTGTGTGTTTATTCTCACTTTGTCCTTGTTTTGTTGTATGGTGTTTAAAGAAAAGGAGATTATTTATCCCCATAGTAAATTTCCAAAACTGTTCTTTGCATTTACCATTTTGTTAAATGATAGAGAGAAATGTCAATTGTCTTACTTTGATAAGTTTGGCATAGGCCCTGTCACATTTTTGATGCTTTTGGTCATGGTTCTGTGATTAGAATGCTGGCAATTAGGTACATGCAAGGAGTATCCTAACCGCTTTAATACAATGGTTTGAAGTGCTTCAGGCAGTAACTACTGGACACCAAATCACAGTGTTTTCATTTGTGACATGTTAGAGAGAAATAGGACTTCCTGCAGTACCAACATCCTATTAACTGATCCCTGTGCTTTTAGCTTACAGGGCTTTGACTCCTGGGTCTGAAAAAAGGCACCTACTCTTGCTAAATCTTGAACATTGATGCCAATCAATGCCTCGTCTTCAGAACCTGGAGAAGATGACAACCAAAATGAACTGCTTTCATGAGACACAAAAGCAGAAATTGAAACCATTCAATCCATCTAGGCCCAACAATCCCACATGCACCTCTCTTCTGCCTCATGCCCCCCTCTTCCTCTAGGCAGAAGAGATGGGCACATAAGATTTGTAAGGTCAGAGTTTGAGGAATAAGTTTAGTTCAGAGATTTTCTCTTCTTTAATTTTCTTTTCTTTCTTTCTCTTTCTTTCTTTCTTTCTTTCTTTCTTTCTTTCTTTCTTTCTTTCTTTCTTTCTTTCTCTCTCTCTTTCTTTTTGTCTTTTTGGTAGAGACAGGGTTTCACTACATAGCAAAGATGTAAAAGCCAGCCAGGCTCACAATAGTATCAAGAAATATCAACTACATAGAAAACATGTGAAAGCCAGCCAGGCTCAGCTTCAAATACCAACACTTTGGAAGGCCGTGGCAGGAGAGTCGCTTGAGCTCAGATGCTTGAAACTAGCCTAGGCAACATAGTGAGCCCTCATCTCTACTGAAAATCAGAAAAATTATCCAGGTGTGGTGGTGTGAGTCTGTAGTCCCAGGAACTCAGTGGATGAGGCTCTAGGATGTCATAGGCCTGAGAATTCCATGCTGCAGTGAGCTGTGATCATGCCACTGTACTCCAGGCTGGGTGAAAGAGTGAGATCCTGCCTAGAAACAAAAGAAAAAAAATGTGAAAGCCTGTATATTGAAGACTACCAAGTATTGCTGAGAGCAGTTAAAGACCTTTGGAATAGAAAATGTTCCTCCTTGCGTTTCAAGATTGCTTTTGTTTTGAGGGGACACACTATTTTTTAGGAATATGAAGTTCTTCTTAGCCATTCTTGTAAAAAAGGCCACTTTTTGATAGGATTGTATTGAATCTGTGGATGGCTTTGAGTTGTATTTTTATCTTAACCATGTTACAACTTCCAACCCATGGACAAAATATGTCTTTCCATTTATTTAGGTCCTTCTTAATCTCCATGAGCAATGTTCTGTAGTTGTCTGTGTACAAGTACTGCACCTTCTTGAACAAATTTATTCCCAGGCATATTATTCTTACCAGTGCTATTATAAATGTAATCGTTGTGTCAATTTTCTTCTCAGATTGTTCATTGCTAACACAAGTGATTGTTTGCTGAAAGTTTGCTGAATTAGCTTACTAACTCTAGCAGAGTGTGTGTGTGTGTGTGTGTGTGTGTGTGTGTGTGTGTCTGGTGTCTATGTGCATGTATGTGTGTTTGCATTTGTATTATTTGGGATTTTCCATATATAGGATCACATCATCTGCAAATTGAGATAATTTTGTTTTCTTTTCAAAAATATTTTTTCTCATGTTTATTTTTGAAAGATAATTTGGCCAGGTGTAGAATTGTAGGCAACAGTTTTTCTTTTTTTAATTACTTTAAAACTATTGCAAACTTCTTGTTTGTCAAGTTTCCTATGAGAAATCTTATGCCATCCTTATATTTAGTCCTCTGTATGTAACATGTTCTTTCCCCTTTTATTACTTTTAAAACTTCCTCTTTATCACTGGTTTTGATGGATTTGATTAAGATGTTCCTGGTTAAGTTTTCTTCATGTTTCTTGTTCTTAGAATAATCATATTTCTGTAATATTTGAAGTTTATGGTTTCCATGAAGCTCTTTAATCTTTCATCCGGTATGTTTTAAATATTTTTGTCTCTCTTCTCCACTACACACCCTTCAGGGATTCCATTTAGCCCTATACTAGGGTGTTTACAGTTTTTATGCTGATAGTCCTTTTATGTTTTCCAGTCATTTGTTACTGTGGGTTTCATTTATGTTAGTTTCAACTTCTATTCCTTCTAGCTCAATAATCTTCTCTTCTGCAATGTTTAATCCAGTGCCTTCTTCCATTTCAGACTGTAAATCATAGTTTTTATCTACAGAATCTTATATTTAAAAAATCTTCAATCTCTCCATTTAATTAAAATACAGTTATAACTGCTCTAATGTCCTTTTCTGCTATTTCCAACATGTGTGTCAATTTCAACTAGATTATTAGATTCTTCATTATGTATCATGTTTCCTTGCTTCTTTGGCTGCTTGATATTCTTTTATTTTATTTTATTTTTTGGGATGGAGTTTCGCTCTTGTTGCCCAGGCTGGAGTGCAATGGTGTGATCTCAGCTCACTGCAACCTCCGCCTCCCAGGTACAAGCGATTCTCCAGGTACAAGTGATTCTGTGCCTGGGCAAGTAATTTACTTTCACTGGGATTTTTTTTCCCCCACATCTAGAAGCTTAAGTTGGCAATTAACTTTCTCAAAGAAGTTATGTGAGAATTAATGAGACCTAAAAATTGCATCTTTAATATGATAGCTAACCTTTATTAGTTACAGTGTTCATGCTGGGTCAGGTACTGTTTTAAGATCTTAATGGATATTAACTCATTGAATCCCCACAAGTTCATGGGCACATTCTATTATCCCTGTTTTATAGAGGAGGAAACAGATGTCTAAAGCTAAGTAACTTGCCCAAGCTAACATAGCTAATAAGTAGCAGATCCAGTATCAACCTAGGCAGTATAGCTCCTCCGTTTCCTCCACCGTGTGCCGTCGGTTAGTACAGAAATAGAAACCATCACTATGATAGCAAACATAGTGTTTAGTATTCCTTTCAGCTTATCATTTTATGCTTATCCCTATAAAGTTACACTGGGGAGAAAACAAATAAATGAACTGAGTGTCCATTTATCCTCATCTAACATTAATTGTTACATGCCCTGAACAAATAGGAAAAAGACTTATTTCAGAAAACAATATGTATGTAAGTGGCCACTAAAGACAGTTTTCTGTATTGTTTGTATTCATTCCTGGGACATGTATTTAGAGACTTCTGTGTTCCAGGCTTGTGCTAGATCTGGTAAAACAAAAATGAGTAAAACATGATACTTATTCTCAAGTATCTCACACTCCTTCTTCTATGATAGATTCTTATAAGCCCTTTGATATTTAGTAGAGGCAGTTCTTTCCTCCAGAAACTTACAGTGTCCTTTCTGCATTAGGATCTTAGTGCAACATTGCTCTGCAAACTTGGACCAGGGCAGAGTGAGATAGCAGAGGAGCTGTGCCAGCGTCTACAGCGAAAGGAAAGGATGCTGCAGGACCTTCTAAGTGATCAAAACAAAGAAGTGGTAGAAGATGAAATGGAGATTCAAGGCCTGCTTTGGTCTATGCGCACCGGGGAGCAGGAAAGCCAAGTAAGGATTAATGCACAGATCAGAAAAGTATCACATAGTGCATTTATAGTCTGCAAATAGGAAGCATTTGCAGACTATAGATGCATGTATATTTATATATTTTACAGTCAACTCTGTTAGTTTCTTTCCTTCTATTTATTACCTAGACCACAGTTTTATTTATTTATTTATTTAGAGGTGGGGGTCTCGCTGTGTTGCGCAGGCTGGTCTTGAACTCCTGGGCTCAAGCAATCATCCTGCCTTGGCTTCCCAAAGTGCTGGGATTATAGGTGTGAGCTGTTGCACCTGGCCTTAGACCACAGTTTTACATTAATCATCAAAGTATGAAACATTTCTTGAAAACCTTGCATTTGGAAGGGTGCCTAAACAATACATGTATCCATTAACTTCATTACATACATTTTCTTTTCCTTAATAATCTGATCATTTTGAGAGAAAGGAGTAGGGGTTGTGAGTGTTTTGGTTTTGATTCTAAATTATTAAGACTTGAGTGATATTTTGCATTTCCAGTCAAGGTATGGGAAAACTTACACTCAACATGTTTACTCTTAGTTTTTGTAAAATCTGAGTTATCTTAAGAGGGAAAAAAGATTGCATTTTTCAGAGGTCATGGTGAGAGTAAACAATCTCATAATAGTATGGGGTATATTAATTTCACAATATTTAAGAAGTAAATTCTTTTTTTTTTTCGAGAAGAGAGAATATGGTGCAAGCCTTAATGGAAAGAAATTCAGAATTACAGGCCCTGCACCAATATTTAGGAGGGAGAGACTCCCTAATGTCCCAAGCACCCATCTCTAACCAGCAAGCTGAAGTTACCTCCATTGGCCCCCACTCTTGGAGAACAGACTGATCAAGTAAGAACTATGGACTTAGATAATTCATGCTGATTCCATTTTCTTTTTACATTTGAGGTGTAAGTTTGATAATTTTAATACCAAATTCTGAGAATATTCTCAGTACTGTCATTGTGGTCATAGTTCCTGCATCTTCCTAAGTCCCCCGACTTTTCCAATTTTTTAGGGTTCAATGCAGATACCTTCCAGAGATGATAGCACTTCATCGACTGCCAAAGAGGATGCCAGCATACCCAGATGCACATTAGATAAGTATCAAATTTCATTTCATTAAGGGACTTTGTTTTTCTCTTGTTTTTCCTTCTAGTAATCTCCGTATTAATAGGTTTGGCCAAGACTCTTTTCTCTTCCTACCTTAATGGAACAAACAAGTTTGGAATTCCTCTGAAAGGCTGAAGAACTGTACTTACCTTATGTTGAGTTGAGGTTATTGCTCTGGGTTCACAATTTGGCCAGAGAAACTCTATCATTATTCTCCTTTTCAGATAGCTTTGCAGGGATTCAGAAATGCAGGAGGTTCCAATCCTGCACAGCAGAGCCATGAGCTGACTTTTTTCCGGGTATCTTTCAAGTCTGGGGCCACTCACTGTAACTTGACGTCACCTACATGAAACTGTTAGGAAGGGTAGGTGGTGTACATTGAGTTATTTGCCAAGCCTAGCCCCATTCAGGGGATGGTTTAGAAAAGCCTTACAAGTAGTCATTCTCTAGCAAGAAAGCTTTACACTAATCAAAGAGTAAAAGAATGTTGGATTTGTTTTATTTATTCTTTATTTGCCTTTTTAAAAAAGTGTACTTTTCCCTAAAGTTTTTGATTTTGGAAATTTCAAACCTACAGGAAAGTGGCAAAAATAGTATAGTGAATACTCATATACATTTTTATTCAGACTTACCAGTTATTAACATTCTGCCACATTTGCCTTTTTTCTTTCTATTACACACACATATGTAGTTGTAATGTATTTTCTGAACCACTGGGGAATTTCTTACAGAAATCATGACATTTTATTCCTAAATACTTCAGTAAGTATTGCCTAAGAACAAGGGCATTCTCCTACATAGCTACAATATAATTATCACACTCAGAAAATTTAACCTTGATATAGGCTTCGTATCTAATATACAGTCCACATTCAGAGTTCCTGTTGTCCCCATAATGTTCTGTATAGCTACTTTGGTTTCCCCCAACCCAGGGGTTATGCATTGTGCTTAGTTGTCATGTCTCTTAGTCTCTAATCTAGAACAATTGTCTAGCTTTTTTTTTTCTTTAGTGAGATTTGCATTTTTTTTCTTGTTAGCTGGATATATTTCTTTTCTTTCTTTTTTTTTTTGTCACAGAACACTGTTTGCAATAGAGGAAACTGGCATTGCAGTCTGGTGGTATAATGGCTTATTCACATAAAACAGTACATGTTCATCCTTTAGCACAAAAAGTCCTAATGGCGCATACCCTATTAAAATTCAGGACATCTCCAATATTATCTCTGTCTGTTTTTCTTTGTCATCTTTTTTTTTTTAAATAAACATTTTCAAGGTTTGTCCAAAAGAAGGCCATATAGGTTCTTGGCTAGCAGAAGACAATTCAGAACAGCTGTTGCACACTTGGACTGTCACCTTCTCCAGGCTGGCAGTTGATATCTTATTTTTTTTCCAACTAATTTTTATTAAAAAAAATTAAAAAATGCTCCAACTATCAGTTTTACAAAATCTCTAAGGGAAACACAAGAGCAAGGTGCTGAGGTAAAAAACACCTGAGGCAGCTTTTTCTGTGTGTTTTTCCCATTAAAAAAATCTGTAAATTTAATGCCCTGGGCCAGCAACCTTGGTAAATTTCTACTTTCCTCCACATTTTTTTTAAAGAAAGAAATCATTTTGCTGAATATTGATGGCTTATACACCAAAATGCAAAAAAGACAAAACACCTTCTTTCATTGTGGAATTTTTTCTTTGTTTGGTTGATTGGTTGGTTTGATGGGTTCCTGTTTTCCTCTTCCAAAACGCTAGGACATGTACCATTGACTCTTGTTCTTTTGAGTAACCAAGTGTAAATTGAGGTTGGTTTGTGTGTTTCACTTTTGTTCCTTTCGTGTGATGCGATACTCAGAGCACTGCTTTCCCTGTGAGGGAGTGAGGTGCATAGATACGGGATTGAGATGGAGGGATGAGGGAATTCAAAAGAATGGAGATGAAGAAGACGGGGAGGGGAGGGAGGGGAGAGATAAACAGAGAGAGATGGATAATTATATAGCAGTATGCAAAAATCCAGTTTAAAACCTGTGAAGCAAAGAGAAATGGGTGTAAGAGCTAGACAGGCATGAGGAGTGACAGAGTTTCTTCTTCAAGGAGATGGTATCCCTTCTGTTGACATACACAGGTGATCCAGAACTGCTGTGATTGTCCTTCCTTTGAGATTTCCCTCTGGGTGAATTTTGTGTGGGTGGCCTCAAAGCTCCTGTCTATACTGTGAGACCTCCCAAAGAAAGACTTTATTCTTTTAAAGTCTAGAAAAGCCTGCTTTCTCTTTAAAAAGAAAAAAAATTAATGATTGATTAAAAATTGTAGATGAGTTATTTGATATATTATTTCTAAAATATATTACTGCTGCAGGCACCCTGTGTAACCCACAGGCCACATATCTTAACATCTTTCCCTTCTAATATGTATACACATGTACAGAGATGACTTGTCACAAAAAAAGGGTGTGCATTTTGCTTGGCTTTGAACGCATCACTATGTTAGTTCAACTAAAAGGGATAGCGTCGTGGGAGTTAAGGAGAGATCGGAGTGGATGGTGAAGTGGATGGCTGAAGCCTGCAGAAGCCCTGATGGGGGTGAGAAGCGGGCCCAGTGGTTCTGGCAAACCTGGCTGACCTTCCCCACCCCTCCTCGGCCCCTGGAATTCTCAGGGCCTCTTCAGAGTCCGTGGCAGCCTCCGCAGACTTCTCATTCCTCAGATGGTCTTTGGTTTGCTCCCGATCTGGCTGGCTGTGTTTGGTCTCATTCTGTCAGGTGTTGGAAGGGCTCCATTCATCCGTTGTTTTGCTGGTGCCTGTGGGAGCCTCACTTGCTGTGCTGTGAGGCGACTCCCTGAGGGTATTTCTGCTCTTGCTGCTTCACCTGTTGTACAGTTTCCCTGATCTTGTGCTATGCAGTTGGGGTAGCAAAGAAGTGTCCAATAATTCTGACGATCACTTCCTCATTTTCATCTGGCCTTTGGTCACGAGGCACGATGACTTCTGCACTGGTTAAGTTCTGCAGTTCATTCAAGGTATTGACACCTTTGCCAATCACCCGGCCAGCTGTGGAAGAGGGCACTCTGATACGGGCTTCCAGCTTCACTTCTTCTTTGGGGTTAAAGAAGTTTTCTTCTTTCAGTTTCCCAAAGATCCGTCCCTGGGCCTTGAACTGGGCTTCCGGTGGCCGGGTGATGATGACCATCCTTTCGTTGACGTCTGGGCCTTCCGCAAGGGCGATCTTGATGGAGGCTGTGGCGAATCTCGCCAGCTGTTTGATGTGTGCTCCCCTCTTCCTGATAATGGCGCCCACAGCCTGGGTTGGGATGAAGAGATTCACAACCTCCTGCTCTGGATAAGAGTGATGATGCGGGAACGGGCCAACCTGGTGATGGGGGTACAAGCTGGAGAAGTATCCGGAGTGCGTATTAACAGCCAACATATCATTTTCAAAGGTCTCACGCAGCTTCTTCATAATCTCTATCTCAGCACTGGCACAGGCCTCAAACTGTGCCCTTCACAGTGATGATTCTTTCCTGGTTATTTATGCTCAAATCCTGCAAAGATGAGATTGCTATCTTGGTCCCTGTTTCATGTTCAATTTTCTTCAAATTTCTGCCTTCTTTTCCAACCAAGCCATTGTGGGCCAAGATTTTCAGAGGAATCTCTTCGGCTAGTTTGTTCTCATCTGCCTCTTTCTGCATGATTTCAAGAATCATGAGGCATGCTTCAGAAGTCCCCCCTGGGGTGGCATGGATGGTGACAGGCTTCTCTGCAGCTCCAGAGTTCTCTTTTCTATGGATATCTATCCGGGACTGGGTCTACTTAGTGATGTTCTTTATGGTCAAGCCCTCCTTTCTGATGATGGCACCAACAAACTGCAAACTGTAGGGGACCAGGACCTGCAGCAGGAAATCAATCTGTCTGGCCTAAGAAGCGCCCCCAGGGTCGTGGCCTTGCTCCCCGGGAAGAGTGGTCCCCACGCTGGGCTCGCTGAGGGGGCGAAGGGGAGCTCACCTCTTCATCCGGGATGTAGGAAATCTTGAAGGACTAGTTCTCAAACTGATGCCCGCTTAGCCTCTCCATGTCTATTTTCTTCTCTTGTTGCATATGTGACGTTGACAACAGTGGTTTCTGTGTCTGTGTTGACTTGTTGTTCCACATTCTCCACTGTTCCATATTGAGCCAAAAGTCCATCCAACACCTCCCACTGGAGGTGAGGAGGGATGTTTCGAATCTGAATTTTTCTCCTCCTTAGCTTTTTAGAGACTGAGTAATCAACTTCCATGATTTTCCCATGCAATTCCACTTTACCCGAGAGGGTCTCGATGGCGCGGATGGCCCAGTTCTTGTAGGGGTAGTCCACGAAGGCATAGCCGGACTTGAGCAGGACCTGTCCGGTGGGGGGCAGCTTCCTGTCCCCAAAGAGCTGCCAGAGGTCGTCGGCGGTGACCGCAGGGCTAAGGTTCCCGATGTAAAGATTGTTCATCACCCGTCTCTTCCCCGGGAGCCCGCGCCTCCCCCGGCCTGGTACCCGGCGCTCCTCGCCTCCTCCGCTGCCCTCCCCGCCCACCGCCCGCCGGCCACCCACCCCCACCCTCAGCCTGGCTCCCCCGACCACTGCCGCCCGGCCCGCCCGGGGGCAGAGGCCGAGATTGGCATTTTGAAGAATCCAGGCCAGATAATATTCCTCAATTTAGCTGTGATTGTTTCCTCATGGTTAGATTCGAGTTAAACATTTTTGGCAGGAATACCATATGGGTGACTTCCTTCCTTCCCTCCTTCCTTCCTTCCTTCCTTCCTTCCTTCCTTCCTCCCTCCCTCCCTCCCTTCCTTCCTTCCGTCCTGCGTGGCTGCCTGCCTGCCTCTCGGTTTCAAGCAATCTTCCCGCCTCAGCCTCCCAAGTAGCTGGGACTACAGGCATGCGCCACCATGCCTGGCTAGTTTTTTTGTATTTTTTCTTAGAGACAGGGTTTTGCCATGTTGGCCAGGCTGGTCTGGAACTCCTAGCCTCAAGTGATCCACCTACCTCAGCCTTCTAAAGTGCTGGCATTACAAGAGTGAGCCACCGCGCATGGCCTGGATGACATCTTTTTTGGTGCCACACGTCATTGCATGATAATCAGTTTGTGTCATCCTTGGTGATATTAAATTTAGTCATTTAGTTAAGGTTGTAGCTGCCAAATCTCTCCATTGTAAAAGGTTTATTTCCCCTTTAGTATATAAGTGATCTGCTGGCTGAATGTAAACTACGTTGGTAGTTTAAAAATAGTGATTTTCAGGGTTGGGCGCGGTGGCTCATGCCTATATCCCAGCACTTTGGGAGGCTGAGGCGGGCAGATCACTTGAGCTCAGGAGTTTGAGACCAGCCTGGCCAACATGGTGAAACCCTGTCTCTACTATAAAATACAAAAATTAGTCGGGCTTGATGGTGCATGCCTATAATCCCAGCTACTCAGGAGGCTGAGGCAGGAGAATCGCTTGAACCTGGAAAGAGGAGAGATTGCCCCACTGCACTCCAGCCTGGAGGACAGAGCAAGACTCAGTCTCAAAAAAAAAAAAAAAAAAAAAAAAAGAAATTATGATTTTCTGTTTGTAAAATTTCTTCTTTGTTTATTTGTGGGTATTATTTATAAAGAAGAGCTGTCCTTTCCTTATCTCTATACCCCATTTGTTTTTATTAATATGGAGTTTTAAAAATCATTATATTATTGATTTTGGTCATTATTTCCTTTAATGCTCAAATTAACCCATATTTGGTCAGTGGGAGCCTCATCAAGCTGTTTCTCTGAGCCTTTGCCATATCCCCATTAGTTTTTTTTTTTTAGCATAGTTTGATAGTTTCTGGCACAATAAGATGTTCTATGATTACCTTTTGCTTTACCTGCCTCAGTCCCAGAATCAGCCATTATCTTAAAGAGCTCCCTGGTTCCTTTTGGTGGGTAATGGCATTCAGAAACTATGATCTGGACACAAGATGTGTTCATTGCTACATGAATGCCTTTTGCTTCTAGGCCCTTTTAAGAGAACAGAGCTAGCAATGAATATTTTTAAGTATGTTTGTGCGTATTTGTATACATAATGAAGATTTGATACTGATTTCTGTAATTCCAATTTAACAATATAGGTTCTTTTTTCCCTCATTTCATATTTGTATCTCCTTGAGAGCCCTGGTTACTTATAGCATCAATATGTTTCAAAATATTTACACATTTGCAGAATACTATAGTATGCAAAGGTAGTTTCAGAATTGCTACATAAATACCACCATCAACAATAAAGTATTAAGTAATATTTAAGATTTTTTTGTAATTCTTTTTATCCTTAGGATATTTTGCACTGACAGTGTTCAGTTAGAGTAGTGAGTTCAAAAATTATTTGGATTAATTTTTTTATTATCTTCTGGGTAGTTTCATTATCTATTTGCTATATAGCTCTATTTATTTATATTAGTATTCAATTCTAGACATTTTCTCTCCCATTCATTGTCAAGCTGACTTACACTTAAAAATTAAACATTTACACAGTTCAAAACTCCAGTATATAAAACAATATACTCAGATGTCCCATATTTCCCTATCCCTTCTCTCCTGTTTCCACTCATCTCCTTCAGGTAATCAGTTTCATTTCTGGGTTATTCTTCCTGTATATCTTTTTGCAAAAATAAGCAAATGAATCATCTGTGTATATGTGATGTATATATATATATTCTTATTTCCCCTTTTTCCTAATATAAAACCTACTACCTTAGATGTATTCTTAAGCACATAGCTTGTTTTACTTAACATATTCTTAGAATCTCAAAATCAGTCCATAAAAGTTCATAAAGATCATCCTTATTCTTTTTTTACAGCAGTATATAGTGCCATCTGTGAATATACTATAGTTTATTCAATCTTTTCTTTATAGCATCTAGGATGATTGCAGTATTTTGCTATGATAAATAATGCTACAAAGAACAATCTGTGTATGTTTTCTTTTTTCTTATTATTGGAATGTGTCCTCTATAAATTACTCAAAGGAGGCAGCAAATATCACATTATGTTAATAACAATGAAAACTAGTGCTATATTTTCATTTTAGGAGACTTGGACACAGTTGTAGGGCTGGACAAAGAACTGAGTAATGCCAAAGTGGAACTTGAACTCATGGCTAACAAAGAAAGAGAAAGTCAGGTGAGTTTTCTAGTCAAGTCTTAATTTCTAAATCCCTATTATTTTTTCTTTCAAAATAGTTTATATTTAAAAGCATATAATTCTCCAAGTATAATATCTGAGTCCAAATGCCAGGTATGACTTTTTTCTTTTTGGAGATAAGTTATTTTATATATACATTATCTCAAAAAGATGCTCCTGTTTTTAGATTGGGACCATTAAAACTTATTAAGTGCTGGAAAAACGTAACCCTCTCTCCCCATTGCTAACTGGAATAAAATAATTGTAAGGGCCGGGTGCAGTGGCTCATGCCTGTAATCCCAGCACTTTGGGAGGCCGAGGTGGGCGGATCACTTGAGGTCAGAAGTTCAAGACCAGCCTGGCCAATATGACGAAACCCCGTCTCTACTAAAAATACAAAAATTAGCCAGGTGTAGTGGCGGGTACCTGTAATCCCAGCTACTTGGGAGCCTCAGGCAGGAGAATCGCTTGAACCTGGGAGGTGGAGGTTGCAGTGAGCTGAGATCGTGCCATCACACTCCAGCCTGGGCAACAAGAGCAAAACTCCGCCTCCAAGATAATAATAATAATAATAATAATTGTAAAGCACTAGTGAAAAAAGGAAGTGTTGTGTGATTGCTGCTTAGAGTTATGACATTAGACCCATGAAATCAGTTTTAGAAACATGAAACGAGAAATTTGAGTATAATCAATGTTTATTGAGTACTCATGTGCAATGTACTGTGCTAGGTATTTAAATTAGCACTAATGCTCACAACTCTACACAAAGTAAGTGGTGTCGGCCCAATTATTATAGACGAAGAAGTTGAAACACTGATTTCTCTTTTAAAATGGGAGTGGAAAATAGTCAGGTAACTAATAAATGCCAGAGTTATGATTCAAACTCAAGCCTTTTGTGACTTCACATACTTCCTAAGAAGATTCATTTCCTAGAGCACATTTTTCCCACCTTATGCTTTAACTCGCTCTAGCATAGAGTTCTCATCAATTTTTTTAGAAGAGGCCTTTCAGCCTTAGAGATTCCCTTCCCCCTGCCTTTCCTCCACAGCTAGTTGCATATTCAACTATGATGTTGAAGAAATACTAGGACCACAGCGCAGAGTTACAGACTGAAACTAAAAGCTTATTTGTTACTATGTTGGCATCTCTTTTAGAAGATCAGTCAGTGTCATGGCTTCCTAAACTCAGTTTAGCTAGCTAGTCCAAATAGCTCTTAGTTTTTTTTTTTTACCTTTTGCCATAGCTAGATCTGTAATATAAAACCTGTGTTTCTATTTGTGATGGAATTATCATATTTTATCTTTTGATTTCATTACCATATTTCTGCTTACTAACAGACTCATGTTTTTCAACTCAATTAGTTTTCAGGATATGAGAATGTGTGGCATTTAAGAAATACCAGTTTTAAAAATCCCCTAGTCTCCCTTCCTTTTTGTGGTTCTACCTTAGCCGTTATCTGAGTATTCATATCAGATATTTTAGTTTCCACATCCTCTTCCTGTGTTTCTCACATTTATCAAATCCAGAGTAATGTTACTTTTTGATTCTGTCCTGTTTTCAGGATCATGAAATTGTAATGCCTATGAATAGATATTTTGAGTGAGTGATATTTAGCTATTGCTAAATTCCTTTAAAGGGTTTATTTAAAATAATTTGTCCTTACCATAAAGATTGTATGGATATATGGTATCTACAGGAAAGACATTATAGCCTAGTGGCTCTGTGTCAGCTTCCCTGAGTTCACATTCTGGATTTACCACTTACTAGCCAGCCCTGTGATTTTTGAACAAGCTCCTTAATTTCCCTCAGACTCAATCACCTTGTCTGTAAATTGAAGAGTAGAAGAAATCACCTTATGTATAAATCAAAGAGTAGTTATCTCATAGGATTTTTGTGAGGATTCACTCATTCATTCATTAGCTATATGGGGACCTTCTCTAAGCTTGGGCTAGTGCTGGGGATGAGGTAGTGAATGAAATCAGTAAGGTCTCTGGCTGTATGTAGTTAATTTCTCCTGGGGAGATACAGACAATAAATAAACATTATAATTATAGAGTATAGTAAGTGATATGAGGGAAATGGTAGAAAGCAACATGGATGGAGACCATCTTAAATAGGGTGGCCAAAGAAGGCTTCTCTGAGCAGACGACATGTAAGCTGGGACCTGAGGATGAAAAGGAGGCAGCCCTGGGAAAGATATTTCAGGCAAAGGGAGTAGTAGTTGTAAAGGCCGAGTCAAGAGAAAGTCTGGTGTTCCTGGAACAGAAAAAGTCTAGTGTGCCTACAGTCATGAGTGAGCAGTAAAATGGCAGATATCAAAGTAGGAAAAGTAGGCAGGAGCCAGATCACTAGGTTTGTTAAAAGGATTAAATATACACAAAACATTTATTAGAGCACCCGGGGCATAGTAAGTGTTAGCAGCTATGGTTATTATCAAGATTTTTTTTTTTTTGAGACGGAGTCTTGCTCTGTTGCCAGGCTGGAGTGCAGTGGCGTGATCTTGGCTCACTGCAACCTCTGCCTCCCGGGTTCAAGTGATTCTCTTGCCTCAGCCTCCTGAGTAGCTAGGATTACAGACACACACCAACACACCTGGCTAATTTTTGTATTTTTAGTAGAGATGGGTTTCACCATGTTGGTCAGGTTGGTCTCGAACTCCTGACCTCGTGATCTGCCCACCTCAGTCTCCCAAAGTGCTGGCATTACAGGCATGAGCCACCGCGCCCTGCCTATTATCATGATTTTTAATGAACTTTGTCATAACCAAGTACTTGTCATTTTCTGGTGAGAACACTGAAAGTTTAGGGCATGTAGTGCCAGCTTTTGGCAATATTTCTTCATAGGTGGTGGCGTGTTCTTCCATCAGGAGGCATGTAATGTTTGGTGATCTCTTGTGATGTTAGCAGCTGTTGCTGTTTGATGCCTTATCCATTAATTCATTAAGGGTTGCAAAATGGAGATATCCTAATGCTATCATTGTTTTCATTTGTTAGGTGAAATACATAAAAACTTCATCTCTTCTTGCTTCTGCTAATGGTGACCATTCTTTTTCAGTATCATAATAAGCTTGTTAAACAAATTTGATGTGTTTCATAGTGCCAGCTAAAGTGGAAGACATCATTAAGAACAACTATGACATCTTCCCATAAAACATCCTTTGTTACCATACTGCATGGATTATTGATTTGATGCTGTAGAGCCCTATTCATGTTCTCGTTTTCTTTTGCATTACTGGCTGATAGTGATATGATATGCAAAAGCATTTGCCTCAGTGTTAAAATGTAAACATGGCAGACATTGTTTCCTCTTTTCACAGATGGAACTTTCTGCTCTACAGTCCATGATGGCTGTGCAGGAAGAAGAGCTGCAGGTGCAGGCTGCTGATATGGAAAGAAGATCTCATAAAGGTCTTTCAAAACTTTTTAAAGACCACTGGAAATGTTCACAGCTCAGAATACTTGTAGGGCCTCTTCAGACAATATTTGCACACATTGACTCCCTTGGCCAGTGATTATCCATATCCCACTTGAAAGTATAGGCAGAATATTTCAAGAACATTTGTTCCCATGCTCCCCTCTGCTGAATAATCCTTTTATTACTATTTTCACATCCACACTTATTTTTTGACTTCTAGGACCTGCAAATGCAACTGGTTGATCCTGAAGACATAAGAGCTATGAAACGCCTGACCCAGGAAGTCTTACTTCTTTGGGAAAAAGTTGCTTCAGTAGAATCCCAGGGTCAAGAAATTTCAGGAAACCAAAGACAACAGGTAAGTTATTGGAATATAAACCTTATTTATTTATTTACTTTTTTTGTATTTTTTTTTTTTTAGTAGAGATGGAGTTTCACCATGTTGATCAGGCTAGTCTTGAACTCTTGACTGCAAGTGAGCTGTCCTCCTCAGCCCCTCAAAGTGCTGGAATTACATACAGGCATGAGTCACCACATTGAGACAGGGTCTCACTGTGTCACCCAGGCTGGAGTGCAGTGGTACGATCATAGCTTACTGCAGCCTCAAACTCTGGGGCTCAAGGAATCTTCCTGCCTCAGCCTCCTGAGTAGCTGGAGCTGCAGGTGCACACCACCATGCCTGGCTCAAACTTAATTTTTCTACTGTGAAATAAACCATGGTAAAGCTGTCAATCTCAGCTATTTGTGGAGGGTTAGTTGATGGTATTTCAGAGAGAAACTGTGCTCTGAAGTTTCTTACTTTGGTCGGTAGCAGCTATAGATGCCCCTTTCTGACATTTGTAGTTCTGAAAAGAGCAGCAGTTCTTTTGGACACATACCAATAGTTATCCTCACACTCATACCTAAGTCACCTCCCTCTCAACTGAATCTTTCTCTTTTATCTGCATTTAACCATGTTCAAATCTCTCCCAGTCAAAAAAAAAAAAAGAAAGAGAAAGAAACCCCTACATTTGCCCCAAATTTCTTTGTAGCTACAGCCCCATTTAACTTTTCTTCAATGCCAGACTTTTCCAAAAGACTCATCTCTCTCACTAACTACTCACCCCACTCCATTCTGGCTTTTAACTCTACCTTAAACAACTCTGGTTATACATTATCATAGCTCATTACCTTTATAGCACTTATTACACTCACAATGACACACATCTATGATTAATGAATGTCTTTTTCCTCCCCTAGATAGTAAGCTTCCCCCTAGAACCTAGAACAGAGTCTGTCCCATAGAAGGTGCTCAGTAAATATTAATTGAATGAATGAAGAATACTAGTAAGTCCTATTACATACATTTCCCTCTTGCTTGTCCTGTTTCCCTCTTACTCTTTTCTCTTAGCTGCTTTCCTGTGCTTCTAGCTTCTCTCCTTTTTCTTCTTTTTGCTCCCATGTTTGAATTCTACCTTACAGGTTTTAAAGATTAAAAAAAAGATAATATGACACTGATTCAAAAACCATAAAATAGTATCAAAAGCTTAAGTACTAAGATAGTGGGCTTTTTAAGTCATAGTACATGCTAATGCATTTTCTTGTTTCTCAGGATTAACTGTGGTTTCATGTCTCACTGTGCCATTTGCGTATTGCTTCTTCTCTCTTCTTTTCTCAGTTGCTGCTGATGCTAGAAGGACTAGTAGATGAACGGAGTCGGCTCAGTGAGGCCTTACAAGCAGAGAGACAGCTCTATAGCAGTCTGGTGAAGTTCCATGCCCATCCAGAGAGGTAAGAGAGTGGCTGTTTTTTCTTTTATTCTTTATTGAAATTTTTATTTCTTTTACTATTGTATTCTTTTTATGCCTTTTATTCTTCATTAAGTGCAGATGCTTATGATACTGAAGAGGGGAGAAAAAACAGGGACAATTACCAGGGCCACCCACTTTGTCATTTGTTTTATGAATTGCTCTGAGCCTCAGTGTCAAAATCTTAAGTCGGGAATAGTGCCTGTTTCATACAGCTATTGCAGAGATTAAATAAGAAGACAGCTTTGGTGTCTAAAACAATGCCTTGTATATACTAAGCACTCAATGTATGTTCATTTCTTTTCTGTGATCCATGTCCTGTTAAAGGCTGTTCTATTACAAACATAAGGCTATACCCTGTCTCTACTAAAAATATAAAAATTAGCTGGGTGAGTTAGTGCACGCCTGTAGTCCCAGCTACTCGGGAGGCTGAGGCAGGAGAATCACTTGAACCTGGGAGGCAGAGGTTGCAGTGAGCCGAGATCGCACCACTGCACTCCATTCTGGGTGACAGAGAAAGACTCCATCTCAAAAAAAAAAAAAAAAAAAAAAGTAAGGCTATAATGGGCTCTGATATTCATTTAATATCATCAAAGAAAATATAATAATTGGGATGGCTAATATCATCCTGGGACCGCCGATAACTATCATGATGAATACATTTTCTTCTACCTCTTGATTTTTGGTCACATATATGATACCTCTCTGGATCATTTTCTATTCTCTTCATTTTTTTTTCTCATTTTGCCTCCCCTACTAGCTCTTTTTCCTCTTTTTCAATTATTATTATTATTATTATTTGCTATTCAGTTTCTTGTAATTTATTGTTGGGCTTTAAAAATGTTTTCTTTCTACCAGGAAAATGAAGGCAGAGGAAAGGTATGATAGGACCAGTTGATTGTATTACCTTTTAAAGAACCTCTGGAGCTTTAGTTTTTATGAACCAGATTCCTTTTCAGCACACCATCCCACCGTCAAGTTTGATAACAAATGAGAAAACAAATATCTTCAGTAGTGGTTCTACTTGGCTCAGTCTTGCTCCAGTTTATATTTAGTTTGTCCTGGGTTTTAGTTTTTCAGAAACAAAAGCTTTTAGCCAAATAACGAAATTTCTCGTTTGGGCTATAGGGGTGTGAAATAAGTCTTAGGAGCTATAATTTTATGTGAAATTGGCCCAGAATCTAGCATAAGGGGTAAGCTTTTAAAAAAAGCAATGGTCCTTACTAATCTATCAGCAGTGAACACGAAAGCCACACAAAGACTACATTCATTTATTGTGTCCTGGAGAATAATTACTTTACAAAATCGTGTGGCTCAAAATGGCATTGATGGTTCTTTGGAAGCAAATACGGACTCACTACAGTTGATAGCTAATCCATTTTCCTTCTGTGAGGCATGTTTAATAAGCTCTGAGAGAGACCAAACTCTGCAGGTGGAACTGGAGGGGGCTCAGGTGTTATGCAGTCGGCTAGAAGAAATTCTTGGAAGAAGCTTGGAGTGCTTAAACAGTCTGGAGACCCTGGCTGCCATTGGAGGTGGGGAACTGGAAAGTGTTTGAATTCATCACAAGCTTGCCTACTGAGCACTGGCGGGTCAGACTGCAGCCCAAGATGAAAAACCTTGTTTGCACTAACCAGAAAGATCCTTGTCTGACTTTGGCAGAATTAAACGGTGACTTACTAATGATAGAACTGGTACAAGTAGCTTCAACTACAAAGTGAAACTCACTTTAGCCTACATGGATCTCATTGTACATATATATCAATTCCTAAATTGAAAGGTGGAGGTTGCAAAGTGTATTTGCACATTTTAAATCATTCTGTTTTAGTTTTTCCATTTTCGTTCATTCTTATCCCTAGCCCCTTCTCATTCCCTCATCCCTTCTGTGGGCCAATAAAGTTTATTCTTCCCCCACTTTCACAATCCATTTCATGTGTCCCATATCATATCATAAATGCATGTGTGTGTAGTATTTTTGCCATTCAGTCAACTTCTCTTTGAGTGAGAGCATTTTTTAAATCAAAGGAATACAAGTTTTAAGATGAGAGAGTGGGAAAGAGATTGAGTCTATAAGAATGACTTCGCAAAAGTGATATAATCCTTATCAGAAGGTAATCAAAACCAGGAGAGTAGTCTTGTAATAGTAGACTGCAAGTATTGGGAAGGCCAAGTTAAAGAACAGAGGCAAGAACTATGAAAGTGATCATAGTCAACTTTTATTTCCAATACTGTCTCAGAGTTGACTGTTGTACACAAGTGAAATTAGATTAGGTACAGGTTAAATTCTACTTAAAATTTGTTCTTTACTGATTCCTTTACGTTTCTTTAAGCCAAGGTCATGCTATTTAGTCAGAACATGACTTCTAGAATGGCCTTCCAGAGTCAGAATTCTCTGTTTACAAGATAATTTCAAATGTAGTATCCCTCTTTACATTCAGTGTTTCACCAAATAACTCATTACAGCCAGAAGAGGGTATTGCTTCTTCCATTTGTGGCACTAGATAGGATCCTATGTTTTTCACTATTTAGTATGCATACATTTCTCCATATAAAAATAAGTAATAGGCTTCAGGCTTTGAAGTGCTAGAATAGTTTAGAAAGAAATGTTACAGATGTATGTTTATAGTTTTAATCATTGCCTCAATGCTTTCTTGTGGCAGCGTGACAGGTATAAGGAGAGGGGCACCAGAGATTGTATTTCTGATGTCTCGAATGTCAGAAGTGTGAAAAGTAACCAAGATTGCTTTGCAGCTTTGTGGGTTCAACATCATGAATTTGTTTTTATTTCCTCTGGTTTTAAGTTTCCTAGGTTAGAAGCTGAGGTTTCAGTTACTTTAAACATGGAATTTGGGACAGGGATTGAGGCTTTCTAGCACAATAAATGTGACTGAATACCCTTTCTAAACTAAGTGGGGCACAGTGATTTTTTTCCTTCCTTTTTTTTTTATGTGACACTTTATTTCTTTCACATGTTGACATGGCTTGTATTACGTTCTAAATTTCATCTGTTTCTGTAACTTTAGCTGTGTCTATAACAGATAGAGAATCAGTCAAACTAGAGTGGACAGGGAGAAAATGTTCTACTGGGGAAGCACTCTGGAATCTTCTGATTAAGTAATTTGCCAAAGATTGATAGCCATAAGCCTTACTCTTAATGGATCTGCCATTTCAGTTTCAATGGCTTTTGAGGAAAAAGGAGTCATTTAAGGAAGGAGATAGGAAGTGTAGGCCGATCCATCCACTTTTCTTAGTCTTCTAATTTTAAGAGACCCTTTCTTGCACAAAATTTTTTGTAACTTTCCAGAAGTAAAGAGGAAGGTAATGGAGCTATAGAAATGTCAACCCATCAAAGACTAGTTTGTTGTGTCATCACAACAAGGCATTTAGGGAACATCTTTCCTTAATTCTACTAATAGACCAGAGAAGCCTTCTGAGTCTGCTATTAAGATTCAGCTCCGGGTGATTCTTGGTTTCTAATGGCTCATAGTGATTACAGTTTATGTTAATAATCACTCCTACTTCTGTCAACCTCCAGCAAGAGTAGATTGATAGAAGGATAAATTAAAAGTCTGATCTTAATGTCATAAATGTGACTAAAATATGGTACTAACTTTTTCTAGTCTAGATAGCTGGAATGAGGCTTGCAAACAGTGTTATCTGGAGAGAGCTTGCTGGTCTAACAACTTTGTGTGTTGGACACATCATTTAATAATATTTAGCATGATATAATATTCCATTTTCTCTTCAGGAGCACAGACTCTTTCTCATACTGGATTATTCTTCCTTTGACAGTCATTTTTCAACATGACAGTAATTTTAGATAAAGCATCCTGTGCTTATAGAACCTTGTGCTTGAGTAAAAATAATCTTCAAATAAAAATAATGAAGTAAATTTTTACTTAGGCCATGCTTAATTGGAAGCATAGAACTTAAATTCAGAAAAAAATCCATATGATAAATTTTGTTTTTCTCATGTTTCCTTTTTGAATAATAGCAAATAATGCAGAGTAATGGTTGTAAGAGTTCAGGGTAGATGAAATCTGTAGGTTTTAGAAGTATAGAGTTGCAAAGAACCTCCAAGAGGACTTATTTAATGAGTGAAATAAATGTCCTTAGATAGATATTTTCCCAAACTCTTTTCTATTGAAAGTTTATAGTATGGAAAATTTGATGACTATTAGTACCTAGTATAAATCAACATTCATCTGATGTTCTCTTTTTAGATAACCAAGTTATAACTTTTTTGACAAGACATTATTGGACTATGTTAGTAGGTCAGCCTTTTTCTTTGGTAGTGTGTACTCTTATCTGCCACCGAATCTTCTCCACACCCTCTTCTCTTCATTCAGCTGTGGACAGCAGTAATATTTTCAGTACCTTTGCTTCTTAGAGGAAATACATTTTTCCTTATTTATATTTTTAAAAGATGTTTCTATTACATTATATATAGCAAGAGATCTATTAAGGATCCAGAAAATCTTAACCTGTAGAGGATATGAGTTCCTAACCATAAGAATTAGTTTCCTTGAGGGTTCTTTAGTATATTCTCTTTACACGGTTTATGCATAAGTAAACTCTGTGGCCGATGTACATAAAAAACCTATCACTTTTATGCTCATTCATCCTCCTAATTCAGTGTCTGGGTCATGAGATGTTTGGCTCATAGCTTCAAAAACAGTTCAAGAAAACTGATTTCAGTTCTCTCTATGTTGATCTTCCAGTTGGATCTGGAGTCTTCTGATTGTGGAAAGGAGTAGCAGATCACATTATACTGAAAATTGTCCTTTTCATTGAGAAATAAAGGTTGACTGAGCTACCTAAAGTCACTTTCCTTTGGACTGTGAGCCTTAGAGAGAACAATAATACCTTTGCTTTTCTTGAGGTACTATTAGAAAACTCTAGTTCCCATTGATAGGATAAACTTGTTTTCTCATTTCATGATCTTTTTATATAAAACAGTCACAAAATCTTGACATTTGGCATCCCTGAAAAGCTCAAGTGGCCTTTTCAAATAGGGTATCATGTAGTATTCTGCAGGTTTACAGTCAGTATCCTGCAAGGAAACGTGACAAACTTCCTGTGAGGTTAGGAAGAAATATTAGCAACACACACACTTAAAGTCCGTTTTCCATTTTACCTTGTAGAAATTGTACTAGAGATAGAACAAATGAAATTAGATTTCTTTTCCAGATATATCCTGTGAGATACCAGCACAGAGTATTTTCTCTCAGTTCTCTCAGGGTTAAAGCTCAGTGAGCTTTTCTTTTCTCTTTGGTAGTGTGGAACCATTTGTACCGTAGAAAGAATAGCTGGAAATATGGAACTCCAATGTGGCAATACAGTAATAAACAGAAGGAATGAGTCAGTAGGATAATATATTGGAGTGATTTCTGTATATTTCAGTTATAATGTTTTTTATATAGTGTATATTTCAGTTATTTCAGTTATAATGTGTTTTAGAATGTGGATTTAAGCCACCTTCTCACCCTTTGCACCAGTAGCTTTGTTAAAACATTTTATTATGATCGAATAACAAGCCTGTTGCTTTTAAGTAATCTAAGTGTTAACAGAAGGTAAGTCTTCAACTTCTCCATGTTCTCACCTGGGCCAAGATCAATTTTCTAAATAAAAAATAGCATCGTAATTTGCCTCCAACAAAGAATGGGAAACGGAAATAAACACAAAACTGTGGTCCTGACAATACTAATTCTACCAGGTTTCAAATAAGAATAATGAAACTTATAAAGTGACATACTGATTATTTTTGTGTTACTCTCCCTTTTTGTTGTTTAAAATCAAATTCCAGAAGTAAAAATCTTTATCATATTGTTTTGCTCTTACTTAAACTGGAAGGGTAAAATAGAAAGTTCAGCAACATCAGAAAATGTTGTATTTAAAATAATATGGAGAATAGGGGTTTTAAGTACATAAACCAAATTGGCTTCCTTGCAGGTTTACTTTTAGTGTATAACATGAATATGTAGTGTTTCTTTTTACAATAATCAAAGTCATAGCTCCAAGATAGTGACCTCTCTCTCAATCTATAACCTTTGGAGGCATGTGCATATATCAGCACATTTTATAAATTATGAGTTTCTATCTTTGTCCATGAAGTCTTGTTAGTTTTCACTTAAAATTTTGTAGGTTGTTGAGAAGAATTAAAGTGATTCATAACTTCATGCTTGAACCTGGGAGGTGGAGGTTGCAGTGAGCCGAGATCATGCCATTGCACTGCAACCTAGGCAACAAGAGTGAAACTCCGTCTTAAATAAATAAATAAATAAATAAATAAAGTGGTTCATAACATCAGATGAAGAAGGAGGTGAGTGATGTATTAAATGATCAGAAACTTGGCATTACATTATTTCCAGGACCATTTCCCCACCAAAATAAGCTGTATATTTTTCATTTCTTCATGGCACTGTGCTGTTAATTTGTGTTAACATTTGTGCTAAAATGGAGTGTAATTTTTACATATAAGTGTTAGAATTTTAGCTATCTTAGTTGAGACACAAAAAATTGTTACTGATCCAATAAACTTATCAAAGGCCAATAGAAACTATTTGGTTTTATTCTTAAAATATTTATTAAAAAAAGAAGTAGAGAAAGCTTGTATCTTTTTTTTCCTTATAGGAGAATCAGTTTATTGATTATTTACTAAATTCCAAGTCAAAGCAAGGCTTGTAGAATGAGTATTTATTTAACTAAAGGAAGGAAGAAGAAACCCCAATTTTTCTCCTCTTGAAGAAATGAAAAGTGTAACACTAAAGAAACAGTGTTACACTTTCCCCAGAAATGCGACATAGGCTAATTTACCTTAAAAACCCTTCCTTGCTTTCTTTGCTGTAGGAGAATAGCAGAAAGCACGACAGACGTTTGAGGAGCCAACTGCGGTGGGTAGTGCTGTCTCTAAACATTCCTAGAAAAGCCTGTTTCTTGTGTTCTTTGAAGAAAAAAAGAGACCATGAGCAGGAAGAATTTCTTGACATTACAGAATTATGGCATCACAAAATAGGTGCAGTGGTCATATCTCCTGGTCTGCCCAGGAGTCCTAATTTACATGTGCCTTGGTTAGCCTAAGGATAGAAGACTGTAGTTATATTGAATAATTACCCTTTTGGAGAAGTAGAAACTCTTTCCAGAATTTTAGTGGGATTTCATACCCCCAAAAGTATTTTAGATTATGATTTGGCCTTTTCAAGTCACTTAAAACAGCTACTTTCTGAAACATGTGAGCTGGAAAGCCCTAAGGCTACTTAAGAGATGTTGCAATTTAAAGACAAAGATACACCATAAAGGGGTTTGACTGCAGACAGCAGTTTTCTACCACTTCTGTTCCACGATCAGAATCTGTCTAGATAGAGAATTTTATTTCTTAGCAGAAACTATGGAGGACTATATGGAATCTTAATAGTTTTCTTATGATCCTGAAGGGAATGTGTGCAGGTGAAATTGTAGTTTGATAGGAGGCCTCTTTTCCTTGATTCTCTCATACAGCACCATAACATTAAAGTCAGCAATAGTTGGTTCATGACATGAAAATGTGAGCGTTCTTGTAATGAATGCATGGCGGTGTACCTGGGAGTCAGAGTGAAATTGGGCTGAGAGTATTAGACACAAGGGCCCAGTACCGAAGGAAAGAACACTTGGCACTGCCAACTTATTCATGCTTAAAGTTTTAGTTCTTCAGATCACCTTTTAAAATGAATAAAATATGATCTCTTGCTATATTCTAAGTAACTATATGGAAAAACATCACTCCTTTTCTGTTGATCCCATATTAATGGCTTAAAGGGAGATAATAATGACTGCAGAGTAGAATTTGGGGGAAATGGTCTTGACTCCACCCAGTTTGGACTCATTACTAAAGAACATGTCATGAGCCAGGTGTGGCGGCATGCACCTGTGGTCACAGTTACTTGGAGGCTGAGGCGGGAGGATCCCTTGAGCCTAGCTGTTCAAGACCCACCTGGGCAACATAATGAGACCTCATCTCTAAAGCAAAATAAAACAAAACAAAAAAAGAGGTCATGAAGTTTCCCCTAAGGCTTATTTATGCATTTTGGAGTTTTAAGACAGTTATCATTTAATGATGAGTAATCCTTTTTGTAAGGCACCTATTCCAAAGAGTTCAACCTACTTTACTGACAACTCCTTAGTTTTTCGATGTCCTGTGAGGCAGAGAGCAAAGAGTGTCATTTCAAGCCTCCTGCTGGGGGAAACAAGTATTCAGAAATGAAGAAGTGCAGGTAGAATTAATCAAGATCATTCAGATAATAATATCAAGTATAAAACTTCCTTCTGCTGATGCTATTTAGGTTCTATGGCCTTCAACTTTCTCAGCTTTCAACTAATAAGCCCATGGACTACTTCAGTTTACCTACAATAACAATAATAATAATATTGTTTAAGGATGGTATTTATTGAGTACACACTGTGTACTAAGCACTTCAAAATCAGCAAACCCTTTAAACTTCACAACAGTATGGAGTGGATAATGCTCTTAACCCTAGTTATTAAATGAAGAAACTTAGTTATGGAAAGGTTATGAGTTGCCTAAGGTGACATAACTAACGAAAAAAGCACAATTCAAATCTAGACAGTCTATCTCCATAGTTCATGTTCTTAATTATTATTCCATACTCAAAAAGTTCTACAAAAGTATGAATTTTTGCCTCAGTGATAAGAATACCTTACATTTGCATAATGCTTACATTTTCACCCAAGGATTTTATGGTCTTATGTTTTAGAGGCTTATTTTTGTGTACTTGGTAGAATTAGATAGCTGATAGAAAATAATCTTATAAATCTAAATAACGGACATCTTGGTATCACCTCCATTTTGTATTGTTCAGAGCCCAGAAACTTCCAAGAACCACAAGTTAAGAACATTTATTGAAGCCTCAAATAAAAGTTTTTGATAAAATTGGCAGTCTAACATGTAAAACTTAATATTGAAGAAGCAAGTTAAATGAACAGATTCTTAGCTTTCAGAGAATCTAAAGGTGGCAGACTATTTTATATTTTATCAAAAAATAAGCAGAAGAGTCATCAATATGAAAGCATAGTTACCTTTAAATTAGAAATTCAAAGTATTCCAAGTTAGTTCTGAAGACAGTGTTTCATTGTGCTGTAAAAGTTTAGAAAAAGGTACCACTCACAAAAGAGAAGTTCTCTCATTTATTTAAAAAATGAAAAATAGTAAAAGATGTCTAATGTTAACTTATATACAGGACCTTGTATGAGATAACTTACCCTTTTATTTCCATATTTTCTATAAATTTTTAGCTTTACCCCTCAAACATGGGAGAAAAAGTTTCAGCATTTTAATTCAAATTGGTAAAAGGCTGAGCAACCCTTAAAGCTGCCGTAATGGAAGAAGACTGTGAGCTAGCTTAAAAAAGAGAGAATGAAGGGGAAGAAACAAAACCCCTGTGTGGCAGAGTGTCGAGATGAGATGAGCATTTATTTGTCTCCATCTAATTCCTTATGAAGCCAGAACCATAGCATCCTGCTCTTAAGTGAAATAAGATGGAGCATTATCCAAGAATGCAGACATGGCACCAGAAAGGCTGCCAAAGATAAGTGGAGGGCAGAAAGTGTCAGATGAAAACCTTCAAGACCAGTGATAGTCACCCTTTCCAATTCTCGCTTCTGGAACCTGGCAGGAATGGTCCTGGGATGTGGGCCCAGCCTGACTCCACAACCCAGCAACAATGGTAGGGGATGAGGATCCTGACCTCATAGAGCTGAACTTTCTTCAATTACAGGATCCTTCTCTAGCCCCATGTTCAAATGAGAAACAATGTGAACAGTCTGTTTTCTGTCACTGAGTGAGACAATTCATTTCCTTTGCTGGAAAAACGTAAAAGATTGTGATCCCTACTGTTTTACAGGGAAAAATTTTCCAAAGTAAGCATAACATGATATGAGTGTCCTAGGTAAATTAGTATCCTGGGTTCAGTAAGTTTTAAAGCAGCCAAAGATTAGGCAATGTGTCCATACACCTCTACTCAGCTAGCATCCTGAATGAGATGGTTTCTGGGGTTGGTTTGAATGAGGAAGTATTGGAAATTCCTCTTGTACACTGTCTGCCACAGAACTCTAAAGATGCTGAGTGGTAGAGGTGGTAGAGGCTACACTGAACAGGACCCTTCCTTGATCCAAAGTTAACACAAAGTTCATGGTGTAGATGAGGAAACCTAAGCTGTTATCACAGCATACTTACTACCTCTTAGCACTCTATGAGATCAGCCTGGGCCATTGCAAATATGTAGATGTGAACTGCCCCTGCTTACCTTATCTGCATTGGGTAGTGAATGCTCATGATTCAAGCAAAGCCTTTCATGCCTGGATGTCTGAACTCAACATCAAGGTTCTTTGGTCTTGGAGGAAGAAGCAAAGATAAAGATCTGATTTGTCACCAGAAGAAAAAGTGAGTGGCTTCTGTCTAAGAGTCCACAGTCTTGACTTATTGGTGCAGCTCTTGTGAGGGCTAGTTGTGTAACCTTGGACACACCACCTCATCTCTTAGAGGTCCAGGTTAATCAGTGGTCAGAAGTGGAGTTGTAACTGGTTGGTTGCCGAGGCTAGGATCAGAACAAGATTTCAAGATTCTTTAAGTTGGGGAGGTTCTATAAGACACGGTGAGTGTCACAGTAGATTTTCTTTGATAAATTAACCATAATAAATTTCTACACTTCCCGAAAAATACAGTAATGTAAAAACATAGCTCTTGGTCTTAAAATGTATGAACAGTCTTAATTTTAATCAATATAAGGAGGAAGAAACACCCTAGATTTGTGCTGTCCAATAGGGTAGCCACTAGCCACATGTAGTCGTTTAAATATAAGTTAATTTAACTAAAATAAAATTTAAAATTGAATGCTTTGAAATGTGGGCCATACTACCCACATTTCAAAGCTCAATAGCCATATATGACTGTGTCCACCGTACTGGGCAACACTGGCACAGAACATTGCTGTCATTGCAGAAAGTCCTCTTGGTCAGTGCTGCCTTAGACCTTTGCCCATACCACAAACTGCAGCTACTTGTACCTTAGAGCAAGGTGTAGATGTTTGGGCCCTAGAGTGGCTGTGTTGATCTCTGGAGAATGAAAGGATGGGTTAAATCTCATGTGGAGAAAGCAGTGCAAGGAACCCTTCAGGCAAAGGGTGCCTGCGTAGAATAAGAGTTTGAGAGAGGTGAGGAGGAAGGGAGGTTAGAGGAAGAAATTAGGGAACAACTGAATCATTGGGTGTCTTGAATCTTGACTAGACCTGAACCTTACTAGGACACAGGACCCCCAGAGGGAAGTTCCTCAGAGAGATTGTCACCCTATGCACAACTGATCCCAACAATAGATACCTCTGAGAGATTCAGGGCAGCTCTAATTTCTAGACACTCAGTGGTGGGGAAAGGGTTAGGCATGTTAGACTCATGTTATGGAAGAGAAAGTTTTTATGTAGCCAGGCAGTGGGGAACAATTCAGGCTTTCTTGACATTCGAGTGGGGTAACCAGTGCATCCGACAGTCGGCTCCTTAGAAATGGGTCTGTGCAGGCAAAGTCAGCTTATGTTGTGAGGCTCAGGCTTGAGTATGAATAAGAAAGTGTCTGTGATACAAAAAGTTCTATTTTTCTTGCCAGCCCTGCTGGCTAGGGAGAATTTCTTCCCCATGTATATGGAGAAAGGAAGAAATGAGAGGCAGCTGGCAAAAAGAGTATAATTTAACCTGCTCTCTGGAAGCCATCTGTGAAGGGAATCACTTTTCTTTACTGGACTTGTTTCCAGGTGCACCTGCAGGGGATGACACCAAAGATGCAAGCACTGAGTTCACTGACATTATTGAGGAGGCCGCACACCATAGTCCCCAGCAAGTAAGTCAGTTTCAGGGTCTGGGGCTTCCAGGGTGGACTACACACAGCCCTTCTGAGGTCTGATGGTCTCCTGCAGCCCTTACAGACTTAGAGTGAGAAGATATCTTTTTATATAAACCACTTCTCAGTCATCTTCCTGTTCTCCTTGAGCAAACCAGCTGCCTTTCCAACCCATATCTTCACTCCATTTTTCTCTCCAATCCACCCTTTGGTTTGTGTTGTACCTCTTTCTTCTGCCTCCTGCCCCCTCCTACCCAGCTTTGCCCCTATTTATTCTCTGTAGCTATAGCTTCAGAAGAATTTTTACTTGCAAGACAATCGAGACATTCCTCTTGGGCTTTTTGTAACTGAAATGCACCACAGAAGACAGGGAGTCATCGAAGGGCTGCTCGGGGAGGTGGCAGGGCGGAGGACCTGCTTGGGAAGAAACTCCAAGAAGATTGGAATGCTTCCAAAGCAAGGATCTTTCTCAGTGAAATCTCATTATGCAAAGAGAACCTTATGCAACCTGACAAACCATTGAGGTCATGGTGACTCAGTGATCAGCAGATGGTACTTCAACAACAATCCCCTGTTAAACCTCAGAACTTGAGCTGAAACATTGCTTCCACCCACCATCAGTGAAGATGTAACTAGCATGTTACAAGAGTGAATAATCTGGACTTCAGAGATTAAGTCACCAATAGTGATCTCACAAGCACTCACCGGAACTCCTATAATGTCTCCACTTTGTCCATGCCATTTAGCAATCTCATCTCCTAGATGGACTGTGCCTATGATTCTTAAGGAGAAAGTGAATCATTGGTAGATAACCCGCACAAGCAGCTGGACTTTCCAGTGATAGCTTTCTTGGGGCTATTAGGAAAATTAAACAAGAAATGAGGCTTTCTGGGTCTGCCTGTATGTCTTCTGCATAAGAAAAAGAAGAGACATCGAATCAACCAATAAGAAGAGCCCAAGCAAGCATCCTCAAATCTTTTGGGATTTGGCACTTGGGGACATGAGTAGCTGTCTGGGATATGTCATGTTCTCAACAGTTTCTTTATAGTAGTAGGATCACCTTCTTATAATAGGATCACCTTCTTGTTGCTTTAGCTGTACCCAACCTTCCCTTCTCCCTTGAGTGCTTGCATGAACTCCATTTTTCTTTTCGCTTGAACAGCTTCTCCTGAGTCCTCCTTACTGATGGTTGTGACTTTATATACATCTCTCTCCCTCCAGAGAGATCCCTCTGTCCTCACTCTCTGATGTCATTAAGGATCTTGGGTGAGAGAGAGGGACCTGCAGGATGAACAAATGTCTACTCTAAGACAGCTAGATTGGGAGGTTGGCTGGTCACTGATGGTTATAATGACTGTGGGACAGGATTAACTTCAGAATAAATGAACAGGAGACACAGATATGAAGACAGTCAGATTCTGATTGATATGGTCTGAAGTACTCCAGGTACTGCAAGTCATTTGCTCTAATTCTCAACTGTAGGCAAACTGCTTTGTAAAGTTGCTTCTTCTTCAGCCTTCTTTCCTGTAGCCTAGCATGGAGAATCTGACCAGACCCCATTTTGAGGAGGTCAGCCCACCCTGGAATGTATTTTTTACATTAGGGCGTTAGTATTTCCATCACAATACTTGCCATATTACTTGGCATAGGAGAGATGCTTAGTGTAATTATGAGTTAACAAGCCTTTGGATCAGGGCTTGACTCATGATAGACAAAGTATATGCCTGCTGGATGGAAGAATCTCTTGGGTAAGCATCATTTTTCTTTCTATCACCTTTCCTTGAAAATACATCTTCAGCTCTGGGTAGGAGGAATCTTGGTGTATGAAATCATTGCAAATTTACTTCATCTTTTCTGGAGTTTGAGGTTGTGACTCTCCTGCTACCAACTAAATAAAGCTTACTTTACCATAACTGTTTTGTGTCCAGATTCTCAAAATTTGTTTGCTTGTTTCCAGGGAAGTGGTCCCTTAAGATAGATTTTGAGCTTCTCCTTGTTATGTCCTTCCTTGGAAGGTAAACTTTTGCTTGACACAAAGCTCCCTTCCTACTCCAAGCATTCATACACTTTCACTAACAGACACATCCAACCTTGTCTTTCTTCCAAGGTGAGAATCACCTTTTGGCCAATGCAACTTGCTTCCTCCTTATTTTTTGGACTCAGCCACCTCAGGAAGCCTCAAGTCTGGCATGATAGTAATTTTCCCTAGATTTTCTCCCACAAAATTCTATTCTCAAGCAGATGTAAGATCTATAATAAATACCTATAAAATTGCTGTGAAAGAAACTAATCAACCATTGCATTTTTTTATGTGAACTTTTGTAATGGAGAAAAAGTTAATCAAGAATAAAGATTCAAGCCCAGGTAGTGTGCATCTATAGTTGCAGCTACTCAGGAGGCTGAGGCAAGAGAATCTCTTGAGCCCACGAGTTCAGGGCCAGCCTGGGCAACATAATGAGACCCCCACCTCTTGAAGAAAAAAAATCAAGATTCAAATACAAAGAACAGACATTAGTAGTCAAAGTGTGATAAACTTCAAAAAGGCTATTTAAAAAATTAGTTACTTTTGATTGACAAATCATAATTATATACATTTATGGGGTATGATATGATTATATGTATACACACACACATATATATACAAACAAACAATATGGAATGATTAAACCAAGCCAATTACATATTCATCAACTTGCCTACCTATCATTTTTGGTGGTGAGACACTGGAAATTTACTCTTATTTTGAAATATACATTATTATTGGCTATAGTCACCCTGCTATGCAATATACCTTAAGACCTATTCTTTTTGTCGATACCTTCGATCAACAATTCCCCCTACTCTCCCTCCCCACTCCACCAGCCTCTAGTAACCACCATTCTACTCTCTGCTTCTATGAGTTCAACTTTATTAGATTCCACATATAGGTGAGATTATGTGGTAGGTGTCTCTCTGTGCCTGGCTTTTTTCACTAAGCATAATGACCTTCAGATTCATTCATGTTGTCACAAATGACAGGACCTATCCCCCAACATTTTAAGGTTAAATAGTATTCCATTGTGTATTATCTGCAACATTTTATTTGCCCATTCATCTACTGATGGACCTAGGTTTGTCCTACATCTTGACTATTATGAATAATGCTGTAATGAACATGAGAGTGCAGATATACGTTTAACATATTCATTTCAGTTCCCTTGGATATATACCCAGAAATGGGATTACTGGATCATAGGGTAGATTCTATTTTCAGTTTTTTGAGGAAACTCCATACTGTTTTCCACACCAGCTGTACTAATTTACATACCTATTCACAATGTGTTTTCCGTTTTCTCTGCATTATCTCTAACACATCATTCACCTTTTTGATAAATGCCACTCTAACAGGTGTGAGATGATATTCATTATGGTCTTAATTTGCATTTCCCTAATGATTAGTGATGCTGAGCATTTGAGAAAAGCTAATTTTTAATGCCTTAATGTTGAGAACTGACTTAACATTGTGACAGATATGAAGCAATAGGGTAAAAACAAAACAATGTCATTCAAACAGGATATCAGATTTGCACAGAGGCCCAAAATGAACAATAACAAAGTCTAAAAGTTAACAAATTCCCATTTGAGGAAAAGCCATAAGTTCTGCTTTAATTAAAACTTTGATGAGTAACTTCAAGGGTGTCTTCGAGAAATAGGTGCTGGGCAATTGTTCCTGCCTCTGTTTTTTCCACATGCTGAGATTTGTAGAGAGAGTTTGTCTGGCAGCATCAGCACAAGGATAATTACCAAAAAGTGAGGTTGGCTGCTTGGCAGGGTGGCTTCACCTCCACCTTCCAGTAGCTGCGGCGTTGGCTGCTTGGCAGGGTTTGTGTAGAGGCCCCTCCCCCTCCTCTCAGCTCCTGCTCATAAGTCCTTCAATCATAGAGTATCAATTTTAATCATCTCTGCTGCTTTAGTAATTTTACAGAAATCACAGATAGCTCATTCATTGGTTAGATTGGCCACTCTGTCTTTGATGGCTTTTTGTCAAAAGCTCCTTGGAGAACATGCTGATACTGTAGGGCTGATCCATTTATTCATTCGCTCCCAGGACTATCATCATCACTGCCTGTTTAAAGTACAGCTGTACGACTTCTAAATCATGCCCTGTTGTTTCCCTGCATGTTACATGCCACTTAAACTTCCCTGAATAATGTTAGCACTTTGAAAAGGGCCCAGGCATCTAGCCTCATGTCCTTGTTTCATAGCTGAGGAAACTCAGGCCTAGAAAGTTTCAAGTGACTTGCTCAAGGTTGCATAATATCTGTGGCTCCCAATTTCTAACATCTAAACCTTGCTTCTATACTACATACTTTGTCAAACAATTTTTAAAAAATTCTTGTGATTGTTCTAAGTGCTGATTCTTTTGCCCTGAATTATCATAATAACTTTTTCCTTAAGTTCTACTTAAAGCATATTATTTTACTTAAATTTTTGCATATGTAAATGTAATTGAGTTGTCATGGGTAAGAACAGTACATCTCTTTTGATTCTATTGTTGAACCTACAATCAAACCCTCTGTAGATATCCCTGTGGATTATTTTCCTTTGTCCTCAGAGTTACTAACCTGAAACTCTGATTTGTTCAACCCTCCACCCAACCTACAGAATCACTGATACTGTAGAAGGTAGAATCTAATGCATTGTTCTTCCTTTCAAGAAAGTTTTGTTGAATTTTTCTTTTATTTGTTTGTATTTAGAAACATCAGTTTTTTTAAAACATAAAGTTAGAACATAATATTAAATATCCTTTTCCATATACACATGTGCCCTCTTTATCCCCCATTCACATCCCAGTTTCGGTAAAATGCCTATCCCCTTTTTCTTTATTGAGAAACTATCTCATAGATTGTCTGTCTGTATGCTATGTCCTATTTTCCTCCCAGAAACACACCAGACAAGCTCTGCTCTAGGTTCCAAGACTCCTGGATTCTGAGAAATCCGATCTATGTGCATAGGCCACTACTGATCCTTCAAGTTGTGAATTACCCATTTCCTGTACATCCTCTAGCTCAGGGGTTCTCAGTTTAGCATGCTTAAGAATCACCCGTGGGCCGGGCGTGGTGGCTCATGCCTGTAATCCCAACGCTTCGGGACGCCAAGGCGGGCGGATCACCTGAGGTCAGGAGTTCGAGACCAGCCTGGCCAACATGGTGAAAGCCCATCTCTACTAAAAATACAAAAATTAGCTGGGCATGGTGGTGCGTGCCTGTAGTCCCAGCTACTCGGGAGGCTGAGGCAGCAGAATTGCTTGAACCCAGGAGCTGGAGGTTGCAGTGAGCTGAGATCTTGCCACTGCACTCGAGCCTGGCAACAGAGTGAGACTCTGTCTCAAAAAAGAAAAAAAAAAGAATCACCTGTGGAACTTAAGTAAAATGTGGATTCATAGACCTTAGCTCTACAGCTTTTTTTTTTTTTTTTTTTTTTTTTTTTGAGATGGAGTCTGGCTCTGTCACCCAGGCTGGAGTGCAGTGGCGTGATCTCCGCTCACTGCAACTCTGCCTCCCGGGTTCACGCCATTCTCCTACCTCAGCCTCCCAAGTAGCTGGGACTACAGGTGCCCGCCACCACACCTGGCTAATTTATTTGTATTTTTAGTAGAGACGGGGTTTCACCGTGTTAGCCAGGATGGTCTCGATCTCCTGACCTCGTGATCTGCCCACCTCAGCCTCCCAAAGTGCTGGGATTACAGGCGTGAGCCACCGTGCCTGGCAGCACCACATGGGATTCTGCTGTTGGTATTTCTCAGGTCTGCAGCTAGTACAGCAGGCATTGAATGACTTCCCTGTTAGACCCTGAGCTAGCCATACCATATATGCAATTTCATTTAAGCATCTGCTAACTCCACTAGGTAAGTGTTATCATCCTTATTTTATATAAAAGGAAACTGAGGCTCAAAGAAGTTAAGTGAATAGACTTGTTACAGCCATGTTTGCTTCCACTCAACCCCAGTATGAGTTTGTTGTTGTGGAAAGAATTTATCTGGAATGTCTTGGTGAAAATTAGTCCTCAGTGGTGACGGCTAGGTGTGCATGTGCTTCACATGCAGGGTGTTCCAGGGCTCCTGAAAACTGTGGTTGCCTTTACTCCCTAGATTCTGCTGTGTCCCCTCCAGTCCGGGATGTTGGTATGAATTCCCAAGCTCTGGTCCTCCCCAGCTCTGCTTCCTCTACTTCTGGCTCAGAAACGGCCATAATCAACAGAACAAATGGTAAATATGGCAACTACAGGGCCCAGGGACTGATGATGGAAAGAGATTAATGCAAACAACCTTTGGTTGTCTCTAAACATATTATCTGTATTTAGAGAGTTTTCTCTGCATGCCCCAAGTCCTTTAGCCCTACTCCCTGCACCTTCTGTGGCTGCCTTTCTTGCCATTGTTCATCCTCCTGTAGTTTTCCTACTGCTGTTTTTGCTTCATTGCACCGTAATCTCTCCATTCTTGAAAATGCTCTCTGTATCCAGCTTGATTTAATTGTCTGTGTCTTCTCTACTCAGAAACTTATTATTTATTGTGATTTGTCCTATTTCATTATCCAATAATGAAAAAGTTGTCTCCTGGCAAATTTATCATTAAGAGATAATGTAAGAAAGATTATAAAAATATAGAAGCCAGAAGATCTCTATGGACTTTGCCCCACCCTTGTACATTCCAAGGCTTCCTTTCTTGTTCCCGGCCTCGTCCTTTTCTTGTTTCCTACCTCTTTTGAGTTGGAGTAAACTGATGATATCACTATGAATAACAGAAGATTCTGTTGTGTTGTCATTTTCTTTTTCAGGCTTGGGTTTGGATACTTCTCCAGTAATGAAGACCCCTCCCAAGCTAGAGGGTGATGCTACTGATGGCTCCTTTGCCAGTAAGCATGGCCGCCATGTCATTGGCCACATTGATGACTACAGTGCCCTAAGACAGCAGATTGCGGAGGGCAAGCTGCTGGTCAAAAAGATAGTGTCTCTTGTGAGATCAGCGTGCAGCTTCCCTGGCCTTGAAGCCCAAGGCACAGAGGTAATCACATCTGTAGCTTTAGGTGCACTCTTTCCTTGTGCCCTTTCTTCCTTTGATGTTATCTCCTTCTCCCACCATTTTTGTTTTTTTTCATGCTTTGCATCTCTCCAGAGCTGAGGCTTCCTCTTCCATGTATAGCAGCCAGGCCCTTTCTTCTCTATCTCCTATTTTCACTGTGAGTTCTGCTCTGTTCCATATGTAGCTGACTGGATATTTCCCCTCAAACCCACAGAAACATGTGGCATTGCCTAGCAGCCTTTGGTAGCTTATTATCTACCACAGTCATGCAGGCACATGAACCATCTGTGGGCAGAGTAGACTCAATGGGATGGACAGAAACTGAAGGATTTGCAGGTGTATGGCCCCCACGTGTGGAAGGGGTGAGAAGCCTGGCAGCCAAGGCATTTCCTTGTGCAGACTGCATAGAGGGAGGGAAGGCAGTCAGCAAAGCTTCTGAGAGCACCTTGCCAGTGAGAGAAACCAGGAACCTGTGGCTGTGCTGTCTGAGCTGCTGGAGACCCATAGGTGCGTAGGGACAGCCCTGCCTCCACGGAGCCCCCACACTAGAGGGCAAGACACACACTCAAGTAGATAAGCACAGTAAGGGACTACAGGCACAGTATGAGAAGTCATCCTCTGTGCCGTGAGAGCGCCAATGCAAATGTGGTCATTTATCTCAGGCAAGGAAGGTAACAGGTTCATAGAGGACATAGCAAGGGGGGTGAGTTTTGAAAGCCTTGTGGGTTCTGCAGGTGGAGGAAGGCATTCCTGGTAAAGGGAGCAACACCTTAGTTCTGAGAGCTGCAAATGGTTGTGCGACGGCTTCACAGGTTCAAGCAGGCCCATGTTCTGTGCCTCACTCACAAAGGAACTTGAGCCCATGCAAGGGGAAGAAAGTAATCTCTCCGCTCCTGTGGTGTTACCTTTCCCCAGGTGCTAGGCAGCAAAGGCATTCATGAGCTTCGGAGCAGCACCAGTGCCCTGCACCATGCCCTAGAGGAGTCGGCTTCCCTCCTCACCATGTTCTGGAGAGCGGCCCTGCCAAGCACCCACATCCCTGTGCTGCCTGGCAAAGTGGTAAGATACCAGTGTCCTTTCTTGGTTCAAACCCAGTTCTCCTGCCCTCCAATACTGTTCTGTCTCCTCAATGTCACAGCTTTTCCAGAAAATCAGGAGCCACATAGTGAATTGGGATAGACACGAACTTAGAGGAGTGTCCCTGGAGGGACATCTCTGACCCACAGTCGCTGTTTTCATTGCAGCTCTAAATACATCCCATTCCCCACCAGCCCCCTGGCCCCTGGATAAGAAACCAAAGAAGAAGAGGAAGGAGTGTGGAGAAGGCAGAGACATCATAACCCTGGCAATCCACAAATGTTCAGTTTCTTTACCTCTCTGAAGTTTGGATGAGCTGAAATTCAGTTAAAGCTTTAGCATCCATCTCCTAACCCTCAGGTCCCGTGGTCAAATTATCACAGAATGCCCCCATGAAACAGCCTTTTTAGCCACTGCCTGGAATCCCAGCATATCACTTAAGCTGGCATTGCTGGACCAGGCCTGGGGAAAGTCAGCCTCCCCTCAGGATCTGCTCAGAGCTCAGGCTAACTCTGATTGGCAGACCCTTGTGTAGGCAGGTTTCAGGATCCCCTCCCCAGGGATTCTAGCTCCAGGTCAATGGCACCAATACCTTTTGGATCCAACTATGCTAATTCCAGGGAGAGGGTGTTTTGCTATCTTCATATTGGCACAAATATTTACAAACTTGCAAACTTTCCTGAGTCCAGATCTCTCTCTCCCAACAGAACATTTCTGAACTCTCAATCTTACCTGTGAAGGGAGAGTGACAGAACTGATATCAGGACTAAAGCAAGGTCCTCTTCAGAACTGGGAGTTTTATACCAGCCTGAAGCAAGGTTCTCTTAAGCTACAGGTGTGTAGGCCTGTGCTAGTCTGCATGGGGAATTCCAGAGTCTCAATATTCCTACCTAATGGCCTCATCCTAAACTGTCCTCAGCTGGAGGTATTCGAGGCTGTGAAGGAGGAAATCCAGTTCAGGGGAGTTGAGAAGATTGTAGAATCCTTCTTTGAACTGGAAAGAGCCACAAAGCACGGGGTGCTTTATGCCTTCTGCCTGTTCAGTAAGAGTCTGTTCCTCTTATCCAGAGAGAATCGACAGAAAGGGAACTTCTAGAACTGAGAACCAAAGTATCCAAACAGGAGTGGCTCCTTCAGAGCACAGCTGAGCATCTGAAGATCGACAACCAGCAGAAAGAGAGCATGGAGCAGTTCATCATCAGCCAGCGTAGGTTCCCTGAGAGGGAATGGGGGAAGAAACGGGCAGTCTTCCCGATGCCCCACTTGTGCTGCTGATGAGCAGTGACTGGGGGGCTTGGGGATGTTGGGAGTGGAGGCTGATTTGATGTCCCCAAACCTCCTGTGCCCCGAGCAGTTGTGGATGCAGAGGGAGGGGAGGATAGGGGGTGGATAGCAGGAAACTCCAAGCTGAATGGCCAGAGAGAAATAAATGCTTTAGGATTCTCATGCTAAGCAAGTAGGGTTAATTTCTGCTGATGATTTCTACTCTGTGGTGCTCTTTTGTTGTTTCAGTAACCAGAACACATGATGTTTTAAAGAATGCAAGGACTAACCTAGAGTTAAGGAAACTACTGCACCAGTCAGAGGCACCAAGCCTGTCCCCAACCCATCACCATCTGTTAGCAGATCTTGTAGGTGACGCTTGGCCTGCTTTCGCCTTCCAGGAGAAGATTTCCAGTCCACTTGTAAGATCACAGGTCCTCAGTGGGCTTCCTGCTAGTTTCTGTTCCCATCACCCTCCCACCCTGTCAGCTCCTGCCCCTGTATCTTGGTTCACTCTCACATTGTTAGCATCTCTCCTTTTTACTCCAATTTTTCTTCTTTGATACCAAGTCAGGAGACTGGAGAAATGCAATTCAGCTCACTCTTGAAGTCATTAGACATTTGGGAGTCTGTCTCTGAATGAGCTTTTGGTAGAGGGATCTTGAGGCCAGTTATGTGTTCTACTCTTCATGAAAAAGTAAAAGCAATTTGCAACCTAATAAACTGATTTCACTGCACACTCCTGGGTTAAGAACAGCAATTTGATTTTGATATTTCTTTAAGTAACACGACAAAAGAGATCTTTTGGGTCTCATTTGTCTAAAAGAGAATTTGTTAATAAATAACAACTGAACCTTCAGGGGAAAAATGTTATATATATATCAGACATTATCTACATTTACTTAAAACACTAAGTGTTTAATCATTCCCTAGGAATTGCTTTGAAGAAAAACTTGAGGTATATGAAATGGTTTAAAAATCAGAAACTAAACCTTTTAACGTGGACTTCAAAGCTTTGCCATAAGCAATTGAGCATATTCCTAGAAATGTTTCTAAACCATAACCTGAGAGAATGTTGATCTCCATAGTGTGAAAATGACTTGGGCCAGTTTAACTTGTACTTTTTTTTTTCTAAACTAATTCCGTTTTGTTTTTCTCTGATAATTCTTCTCTTTCCTGAGCCTCTTTAGAGCAGCACTTACAGGATTGCCTGTGTAAAGCCTTATTCCTGTCCCAGAAAAGGTAACCCAAAAAGTCTCTAGTATCCACTGAAAGGTAACCCAAATGTTTCTAGTATCCACTGGCTTTCTCCAGTGTGGAAGCTTTCCCCTCCACCTCCCACAGATCACTGGAAAGGACCCGAGGCCTCGGTCCTAATCCCTGGCTTATCACTAACTGGTGTGTGGCTTTGGCTTGTCCCTTAGTCTCTGTGAGACTGCTGCACCCTCACCTGTCAAAGATGGAACTGGACTTAGTTGAGCTCTGAGGTCCCTGTGGACTTTGCCCCTCCACATCCTCATTATGGCGACTGGACATAAACTTAACAGAGGACTTCCCTGCAGAGTGTCCTCTTCTTCCTACAACAGGCTGCTTCTATATGTGCATGTTTCATGCTAAGCACTTCTTTCTTGGGTGGAGATGACAAAGGCCCCTTTCTGCTGAGACAAAGTGATTTGGAGAGTCACTTGGCCCCTGAAGAGGGAGTGGTAGGATCCAGCCACCCAGTGTGCAGTGAATTGGAGCAGGGATCTCAGGACACAGGGAGGTGGGGAGGCTCCCCCTAACCTCGGGCACCTGTTGCTTCTCCAGACTGCAGTGCATGCTCTTAGCTCATCCTCTTAACTGGCTCTCACTGTGCTCCTGGCTTTGGTCACCCCATAGTTCTCACTCCAGCTTCGGGTAGCCATCAGTAGGGCCTGGCAATATACACTGATTTGGTTTGTTTTATGTTTGTCTGCAGGTGAAATCCCTAAGGGCTCTGCCATGTACTCCAGCCTTGTGACCCTTGCCTTCCAGGAACCATGCAAGAAGTGCAGCCACCGGAAGTCCTTAAAACAGCAGGAAAGGTTGGCCTGTCCCCCTTTTGTGCAGCTACCTATCTGCTGAGGAGCATCTGGGCCTCATTCCTCCAAGTCCACTGGAGGGTCCAGAAGAGGGAGTCAGAGTTGTATCCTGGTGGAGCTGGCAGAAAGGCAGAAAGCCTTTCTGACGGCTATGGAATACGATTAGCCAAGGTCCACTTGGCCCAGCACTAAGAAGAAGATGCATAGTTTGCACAGAAGGTTTTGTGATACTGCCTCTCAACAGCCCCAGCAGCTTGGGAACTAGCAAGAGCGCATTTCTTGCCTCATCAGCTGTCCTGAGATGGAAAACTCAGTGAATATAGGACCCTGATTCCGATGAATGGGGCACGTGGTCCTATTGCTGGAGCTCCTCTGGCAGGTTCTAAAAGCACACTACGGAGCAGCGGTGCCCTGCCAGACACTGCTCGTGGGGGCTCAGTGAGCACTACTCACAGATCCACACCTGACCCTGTTGGGTCGAGTCAGGCTGGGTTTTGGTCTGCACTGTAGCACCTGTGTTCTTTCAGTTCACATCATGAATGTGACTTCCCAGATACCATCTCAGGCTTAACCTAGCACATCCTATTTCTTTTCTTCTATGATATCCAAATTGGACTGACCTCACTTCAAATATCTTGTCCCATTTTGTCGTCCTATCTTACCTCGGGGAAATTGGGGACTGATGGCCAGACCAATTCTGTTGAAATTCTTGCATAGAGCAAACCTGTGCTCATTTTTAAGTGGCATGGGAGAGGCCCCCAGCCATAGTAAAGCCTAGTCTGTGTCTTCACAGTTTTGATAGAATGTGCTTGTGTGTATAGATGTATGATACAGATTTATTTATGTTGCTATCGCCATATATTGAAGGCCAACATAACTGGTGGACAGGGTGGGTGACAGAAAATGAAAGTCTTTTTGGTGATTGTTAAAGCAAGATGTGTATAAAGAAATAAATAGTTGTTCTTTCACTGCTTTGTTTCCCATTTCTGCCCCAATTCCTTGACAGTATAAAGAACTGGAAAGAGAAAATGGGAAAGACAAACTGTGTTTAAGAAGTGCACAGTCTAATGGTTGAACTCTAACTTTAAAAGATTAAGGTTTTCCTTCTTTGTCATTTTGTAAGAATCCCCAGTCTGAAAATATGAAAGAATGGTTCTTAAACTTGGTGTACCTTACAAGCAGCTGTGGAGATTATAGGAACTACCTCCTGGTCTCCAATCCCAGGAGATTTAGTTGGTGTGAGCCCTAGAATCTGCATTTTTTTAATATAAGCACCCCAGGTGATTCCATTACATGTGGGCTGCAGATCACAGTTTAAAAAAACAGTGTTCTATAACATTGAATCAAAACTAAAACTACATTTAAGAACCTTGAATCAAAAAGTATGTCATTCCATAAACATTGATATAAAAATTTTAAAATATTCCTTGGGAAAAGTTCTTAGCTACATGCTTTTGATCCCCAAGATTAAAATAAACGTATCACTTCACAATTATTTACTAGAAACATTTAAAAAATAAACAGGTAAAAGGTGGAGTAAGATGGTAGAATAGAATTCTCCAGCAATGGTCTCCCTGAAGGAACATCAAATTGAACAACTATCTATGCAAGAAAACACTCTCACGAGGGCTAACCAGGTGAGAGATCATAGCACCTGGTTTTAACATGATAACAAGAAAAGATGCATTGAAGAAGGGAGGAAGGACAGTCTTGCATTGCCTATGACACCTCTCCCCCAACCACAGGAAATTCTCTGAGAGAGAATCTAATGGCTTGGGGACAAAGAGGAAAATGTGGGACTTTATATTGAAACTTAGTCTTGCCATAGTGACACATGACACTGGACAGAACCCCACAACACTTGATTCCAGGCTGGTGCCCACAAAAGAAGCATTTAGACCCACCCTGGGCCACAGGGGAATCAGCTGCCTCAGGAGGAAGAACCCACCAAAATTCTGGCCAGCTTTATCACTGGAAATTTATTGGGCTACAAATAAATTTCAGTGGCAGGCAGGCTGTAGTGGCCGCAGTCCTTGGGCAAGCCCTGATGCTGCATAGGTCTGGAAGACCCTGGACTTGTGGTGTGAGCCAGTATGACGGCAGCAGCTGCAGCAGCTATGGAAATGCCTGTATCACACCTCCCCACACTCCAGGCAGTGCAGCCTGAAGAGATTCCTTTTGCTTGGGGGAAAGAAAGGAAAGTAAGCTAGGGGCTTTACCTGGGAATGCAGAGAATAATCCCTGATCTTTCCCAAGTCCACAGGGCTGGAGACCTAACAATCTGTAAGAATTGCAGTGTACCTGGGCCTAGGGTGCCCTGTAGTACAAAAATGGCTGCAGTGATCACTGGCTTAAGGAACTCGTCAGCCCACTTTGAATTCCTGGAAGGTCCTCTGAAGGACAGGTACAAACAAGACCTGACTGCAAAGGCTGGAATAAATACCTTATCCTTCAATGCCCAGATATTGACAAACATCAACAGTATCAATAACATTGAAGCCAATATGACCTCAACAAATGGACCAAGTAAGGCACTCAGTGACCAACCCTGGAGAGATGGAGACGTGTAACCTCTCAGGGAATTCAGAATAGCTATTTTGAGAAAGCTCAATGAACTTCAAGAAAACACAGAGAAACAATTCAGAAACATATCAGAAATTTAACAAGATTACTGAAGTAAGAGAAAAAAATCAAATGCTGGAGCTGGAAAATGCATTAGTGGGTCTCAGTAGAATTGATCAAGCAGAAGAAAGAATTAGTGAGCATGCAAACAAGCTATTTGAAAATACAGTCAGAGGAGAAAAAAGAAAAGAAGAATGAGCAGGAACACAGAATGCTTAAGAGATCTAGAAGAGGGCCTGAAAAGAGAAAATCAAAGATTCATTGGCCTTAAAGAGGGAGTTGAGAAGGAGCAAAGAGTAGAACGCTTATTCAAAGAAATAATCTTTTTTTAAAAAAAATACTTTAAGTTCTAGGGTATATGTGCACAACGTGCAGATTTGTTATATAGGTGTACGTGTGCCATGTTGGTTTGCTGCACCCATCAACTCATCATTTACATTAGGTATTTCTCCTAACGCTATCCCTCCCCCAGCCTCCTACCCCACAACAGGCCCCGGTGTGTGATGTTCCCCTCCCTGTGTCCATGTGTTCTCATTGGTCAACTCCCACTTAAGAGTGAGAACATGCGGAGTTTGGTTTTCTGTCCTTGTGATATTTTGCTGAGAATCACGATTTCTAGCTTCATGCATGTCCCTGCAAAAGACATGAACTCATCCTTTTTAATGGCTGCATAGTATTCTTTGGTGTATATGTGCCACATTTTCTTTATCTAGTCTATTATTGATGGACATTTGGGTTAGTTCCAAGTCTTTGCTATTGTGAATAGTGCCTCAATAAACATAGGTGTGCACATGTCTTTATAGTAGCATGATTTATAATCCTTTGGGTATTCACCCAGTAATGAGATTGCTGGGTCAAATGGTATTTCTAGTTCTAGATCCTTGAGGAATTGCCACACTGTCTTCCACAATGGTTGAACTAATTTATACTCCCACCAACAGTGTAAAAGCGTTCCTATTTCTCCACATCCTCTACAGCATCTGTTGTTTCCTGACTTTTTAATGATCATCATTCTAACTGGCATGAGTGGTATCTCATTGTGGTTTTGATTTGCATTTCTCTGATGACCAGTGATGATGAGCATTTTTTCATATGTCTGTTGGCTGCATAAATGTCTTCTTTTGAGAAGTGTCTGTTCATATCCTTTGCCCTCTTTTTGATGGGGTTTTTTTTTTTTTCTTGTAGATTTGTTGAAGTTCTTTGTAGATTCTGGATATTAGCCCTTTGTCAGATGGATAGATTGCAAAAATTTTCTCCCATTCTGTCGGTTGCCTGTTCTCTCTGATGATAGTTTCTTTTGCTGTGCAGAAGCTCTTTAGTTTAATTAGATCCCATTTGTCAATTTTGGCTTTTGTTGCCATTGCTTTTGGTGTTTTGATCATGAAGTCTTTGCCCATGCCTATGTCCTGAATGGTATTACCTAGGTTTTCTTCTAGGGTTTTCATGGTGTTATGACTTACATTTAAGTCTTTAATCCATCTTGAGTTAATTTTTGTGTAAGGTGTAAGGAATGGATCCAGTTTCAGCTTTCTACGTATGGCTAGCCAGTTTTTCCAGCACTATTTATTAAATAGGGAATCCTTTCCCTATTGCTTGTTTTTGTCATTTTGTCAAAGATCAGATGGTTGTAGACGTGTGGTGTTATTTCTGAGGCCTCTGTTCTGTTCCATTGGTCTATATCTCTGTTTTGGTACCAGTACCATGCTGTTTTGTTTACTGTAGCCTTGTAGTATAGTTTGAAGTCAGGTAGCATGATGCCTCCAGCTTTGTTCTTTTTGCTTAGGATTATGTTGGCTATGAGGGCCCTTTTTTGGTTCCATATGAAGTTTAAAGTAGTTTTTTTTCCAGTTCTGTGAAGAAAGTCAGTGGTAGCTCGATGGGGATGGCATTGAATCTATAAATTACCTTGGGCAGTATGGCCATTTTCATGATATTGATTCTTCCTATCCATGAGCATGGAATGTTCTTCCATTTGTTTGCGTCCTCTTTTATTTCACTGAGCAGTGGTTTGTAGTTCTCCTTGCAGAGGTCTTTCACATCCTTTGTAAGTTGGATTCCTAGATATTTTATTCTCTTTGAAGCAATTGTGAATGAGAGTTCACTCATGATTTGGATCTCTGTTTGTCTGTTCTTGGTGTACAGGAATGCTTCTAATTTTTGCACATTGATTTTGTATCCTGAGATTTTGCTGAAGTTGCTTATCAGCTTAAGGAGATTTGGGGCTGAGACGATGGGGTTTTCTAAATATACAATCTGTCATCTGCAAACAGGGACAATTTGACTTCCTCTTTTCCTAATGGAATACCCTTTATTTCTTTCTCTTGCCTGATTGCCCTGGCCAGAACTTCCAATACTATGTTGAATAGGAGTGGTGAGAGAGAGCATTGCTGTCTTGTGCCAGTTTTCAAAGGGAATGCTTCCAGTTTTTGCCCATTCAGTATGATATTGGCTGTGGGCTTGTCATAAATAGCTCTTATTATTTTGAGATATGTTCAATCAATATCTAGTTTATTGAGAGTTTTTAGCATGAAAGGCTGTTGAGTTTTGTTGAAGGCCTTTTCTGCATCTATTGAGATAATTATGTGGTTTTGTCATTGGTTCTGTTTAAGTGATGGATTACATTTGTTGATTTGTGTATGTCGAACCAGCCTTGCATCCCAGGGATGAAGCCAACTTGATCATGGTGGATAAGCTGTTTGACGTGCTGCTGGATTCGGTTTGCCAGGACTTTATTGAGGATTTTCACATCGATGTTCATTAGGGATATTGGCCTAAAATTATCTTTTTTTGTTTTGTCTCTGCCAGGCTTTGGTATCAGGATGATGCTGGCCTCATAAAATGAGTTAGGGAGGTTTCCCTCTTTTTCTATTGATTCGAATAGTTTCAGAAGGAATGGTATCAGCTCCTCTTTTTACCTCTGGTAGAATTTGGCTGTGAATCTGTCTGGTCCCGGAATTTTTTTGCTTGGTAGGCTATTAATTATCACCTCAATTTCAGAACCCGTTGATGGTCTATTCCAGGATTTGAGTTCTTCCTGGTTTAGTCTTGGGAGGCTGTATGTATCCAGGAATTTATCCATTTCTTCTAGATTTTCTAGGTTATTTGCATAGAGGTGTCATAGTATTCTCTGAGAGTAGTTTGTATTTCTGTGGGATCCATAGTGATATCCCTTTTTTCGTTTTTTACTGCATCTATTTGATTCTTCTCTCTTTTCTTCTTTATGAGTCTTGCTAGCGGGTCTATCCATTTTGTTGATTTTTTTCAAAAAACCAGCTCCTTGATTCATTGATTTTTTTTTGAAGGGATTTTTGTGTCTCGATCTCCTTCAGTTCTGCTCTGATCTTAGTTATTTCTTGCTTTCTGCTAGTTTTTGAATGTATTTGCTCTTGCTTCTCTAGTTCTTTTAATTGTGATGTTAGGGTGTCGATTTTAGATCTTTCATGCTTTCTCTTGTGGGCATTTACTGCTATAAATTTCCCTCTACACACTGCTTTAAATGTGTACCAGAGATTCTGGTACATTGTGTCTTTGTTCTCATTGGTTCCAAAGAACCTCTTTGTTTCTGCCTTCATTACATTATTTACCCAGTAGTCATTCAGGAGCAGGTTAATTCCATGTAGTTGTGCAGTTTTGAGTGAGTTTCTTAATGCTGAGTTCTAATTTGATTGCACTGTGGTCTGAGAGACAGTTTGTTGTGATTTCTATTCTTTTACATTTGCTGAGGAGTGTTTTACTTCCAAATCTGTGGTCAATTTTAGAATAAGTGTGATGTGGTGCTGAGAAGAATGTATATTCTGTTGATTTGGGGTGGAGAGTTCTATAGATGTCTATTAGGTCTGCTTGGTGTAGAGCTGAGTTCAAGTCCTGAATATCCTTGTTAATTTTCTGTCTCGTTGATCTGTCTAATATTGACAGTGGGGTATTAAAGTCTCCCATTATTATTGTGTGGGAGTCTAAGTCTCTTTTTAGGTCTCTAAGAACTTGCTTTATGAATCTGGGCACTCCTGTATTGGGTGCATATATATTTAGGATAGTTAGCTCTTCTTGTTGAATTGATCCTTTTACCATTATGTAATGGCCTTCTTTGTCTCTTTTGATCTTCATTGGCTTAAAGTCTATTTTATCAGAGACCAGGATTGCAACCCCTGCTTTTTTTTGCTTTCCATTTGCTTGGTAGATCTTCCTCCATCCCTTTATTTTGAGCCTATGTGTGTCTCTGCACGTGTGATGGGTCTCCTGAATACAGCACACCGATGGGTCTTGACTCTTTTTTTTTTTGTTTTTCAATATATATATATTTTTTATTATACTTTAAGTTCTAGGGTACATGTGCACAACATGCAGCTTTGTTACATATGTATACATGTGCCATGTTGGTGAGCTGCACCCATTAACTTGTCATTTATATTAGGTATATCTCCTAATGCTATCCCTCCCCACACCCCCCACCCAACAGGCCCCAGTGTGTGATGTTCCCTTTCCTGTGTCCAAGTGTTCTCATCGTTCAATTCCCACCTGTGATTGAGAACATGCGGTGTTTGGTTTTTTGTCCTTGTGATAGTTCGCTGAGAATGATGTTTTCCAGCTTCACCCATGTCCCTACAAATGACATCAACTCATCCTTTTTTATGGCTGCATAGTATTCCATGGTGTATATGTGCCACATTTTCTTAATCCAGTCTATCATTGATGAACATTTGGGTTAGTTCCAAGTCTTTGCTATTGTGAGTAGTGCCACAATAAACATACATGTGCATGTGTCTTTATAGCAGCATGATTTATATTCCTTTGGGTATATACCCAGTAATGGGATGGCTGGGTCAAATGGTATGTCTAGTTCTAGATCCCTGAGGAATCGCCACACTGTCTTCCACAATGCTTGAACTAGTTTACGTCCCACCAACAGTGTAAAAGTGTTCCTATTTCTCCACATCCTCTCCAGAACCTGTTGTTTCCTGACTTTTTAATGATCGCCATTCTAACTGGTGTGAGATGATATCTCATTGTGGTTTTGATTTGCATTTCTCTGATGGCCAGTGATGATGAGCATTTTGTCATGTGTCTGTTGGCTGCATAAATGTCTTCTTTTGAGAAGTGTCTGCTCATACTCTTTGCCCACTTTTTGCTGGGGTTGTTTTTTTCTTGTAAATTTGTTTGAGTTCTTTGTAGATTCTGGATATTAGCCCTTTGTCAGATGAGTAGATTGCAAAAATTTTCTCCCATTCTGTAGGTTGCCTGTTCACTCTGATGGTAGTTTCTTTTGCTGTGCAGAAGCTTTTTAGTTTAATGAGATCCCATTTGTTAATTTTGGCTTTTGTTGCCATTGTTTTTGGTGTTTTAGACATGAAGTCCTTGCCCATGCCTATGTCCTGAATGGTATTGCCTAGGTTTTCTTCTAGGGTTTTTATGGTTTTACATCTAACATTTAAGTCTTTAATCCACCTTGAATTAATTTTTGTATAAGATGTAAGGAAGGGATCCAGTTTCAGCTTTCAGCATATGGCTAGCCAGTTTTCCCAGCACCATTTGTTAAATAGGGAATCCTTTCCGCATTTCTTGTTTTTGTCAGGTTTGTCAAAGATCAGATAGTTGTAGATGTGTGGTGTTATTTCTAAGGGCTCTGTTCTGTTCCATTGGTCTGTATCTCCGTTTTGGTACCAGTACCATGCTGTTTTGTTTACTGTAGCCTTGTAGTATAGTTTAAAGTCAGGTAGTGTGATGCCTCCAGCTTTGTTCTTTTGGCTTAGGATTGACTTGGCAATGTGGGCTCTTTTTTGGTTACATATGAACTTTAAAGTAGTTTTTTCTAATTCTTTGAAGAAAGTCATTGGTAGCTTGATGGGGATGGCATTGAATCTATAAATTACCTTGGGCAGTATGGCCATTTTCACGATATTGTTTATTCCTCTCCATGAGCATGGAATGTTCTTCCATTTGTTTGTGTCCTCTTTTATTTCCTTGAACAGTGGTTTGTAGTTCTCCTTGAAGAGTTCCTTCACATCCCTTGTAAGTTGTATTCCCAGGTATTTTATTCTCTTTGAAGCAATTGTGAATGGGAGTTCACTCATGATTTGGCTCTCTGTTTGTCTGTTATTGGTGTATAAGAATGCTTGTGATTTTTGCACATTGATTTTGTATCCTGAGACTTTGGTGAAGTTGCTTATCAGCTTAAGGAGATTTTGGGCTGAGGTGATGGGGGGTTCTAGTTATACAGTCATGTCATCTGCAAACAGGGACAATTTGACTTCCTCTTTTCCTAATTGAGGAAAAGGCTCTATTTCTTTCTCCTGCCTGATTGCCCTGGCCAGGACTTCCAACACTATGTTGAATAGGAGTGGTGGGAGAGGGCATCCCTGTCTTGTGCCAGTTTTCAAAGGGAATGCTTCCAGTTTTTGCCTATTCAGTATGATATTCGCTGTGGGTTTGTCATAAATAGCTCTCAATATTTTTAGATACGTCCCATCAATACCTAATTTATTGAGAGTTTTTAGCATGAAGGGCTGTTGAATTTTGTCGAAGGCCTTTTCGGCCTCCATTGAAATACTCATGGTTTTTGTCGTTGGTTCTGTTTATATGCTGGATTACGTTTATTGATTTGTGTATGTTGAACCAGCCTTGCATCCCAGGGATGAAGCCCACTTGATCATGGTGGATAAGCTTTTTGATGTGTTGCTGGATTCGGTTTGCCAGTATTTTATTGAGGATTTTTGCATCGATGTTCATCAGGGATATTGGTCTAAAATTCTCCTTTTTTGTTTTGTCTCTGCCAGGCTTTGGTATCAGGATGATGCTGGCCTCATAAAATGAGTTAGGGAGGATTCTCTCTTTTTCTATTGATGGGAATAGTTTCAGAAGGAATGATATCAGCTCCTCCTTGTACCTCTGATTGAATTCGGCTGTGAATCCATCTGGTCCTGGACTTTTTTTGGTTGGTAAGCTATTAATTATTGCCTGAATTTCAGATCCTGTTATTGGTCTATTCAGAGATTCAACTTCTTCCTGGTTTAGTCTTGCGAGGGTTTATGTGTCAAGGAATTTATCCATTTCTTCTAGATTTTCTTGTTTATTTGCATAGAGATGTTTATAGTATTCTCTGAAGGTAGTTTGTATTTCTGTGGGATCAGTGGTGATATCCCCTTTATCATTTTTTATTGCATCTATGTGATTCTGCTCTCTTTTCTTCTTTATTAGTCTTGCTAGCGGTCTATAAATTTTGTTGATCTTTTCAAAAAACCAGCTCCTGGATTCATTGATTTTTTGAAGGGATTTTTGTGTCTCTATATCCTTCAGCTCTGCTCTGATCTTAGTTATTTCTTGCTTTCTGCTAGCTTTTGAATGTGTTTTCTCTTGCTTCTCTACTTCTTTTAATGGTGATGTTAGGGTGTCAATTTTAGATCTTTCGTGCTTTCTCTTGTGGGCATTTATTGCTATAAATTTCCCTCTACACACTACTTTAAATGTGTCCCAGAGATTCTGGTTTGTTGTGTCTTTGTTCCCGTGGGTTCCAAAGAACCTCTTTATTTCTGCCTTCATTTCATTATTTACCCAGTAGTCATTCAGGAGCAGGTTGTTCAGTTTCCATGTAGTTGAGTGGTTTTGATTGAGTTTCTTAATCCTGAGTTCTAGTTTGATTGCACTGTGGTCTGAGAGACAGTTTGTTATAATTTCTGTTCTTTTACATTTTCTGAGGAGTGCTTTTCTTCCAAGTATGTGGTCAATTTTGGAATAGGTGCAGTGTGGTGCTGAGAATAATGTATATTCTGTTGATTTGTGGTGGAGAGTTCTGTAGATGTCTATTAGGTCCACTTGGTACAGAGCTGAATTCAATTCCTGGATATCCTTGTTAACTTTCTGTCTTGTTGATCTGTCTAATGTTGACAGTGGGGTGTTAAAGTCTCCCATTATTATTGTGTGGGAGTCTAAGCCTCTTTGTAGGTCTCTAAGGATTTGCATTACGAATCTGGGTGCTCCTGTATTGGGTGCATATATATTTAGGATAGTTAGCTCTTCTTGTTGAATTGATCCCTTTACCATTATGTAGTGGCCTTCTTTGTCTCTTTTGATCTTTGTTGGTTTAAAGTCTGTTTTTTCACAGACTAGGATTGCAACCCCTGCCTTTTTTTGTTTTCCATTTGCTTGGTAGATCTTCCTCCATCCCTTTATTTTGAGCCTGTATGTTTCTCTGCATGTGAGATGGGTTTCCTGAATACAGCACACTGAAGGGTCTTGACTCTTTATCCAATATGCCAGTCTGTGTCTTTTAATTGGAGCATTTAGTCCATTTACATTTAATGTTAATATTGTTATGTGTGAATTTGATCCTGTCATTATGATGTTAGCTGGTTATTTTGTTCATTAGTTGATGCAGTTTCTTCCTAGCATCGATGGTCTTTACAATTTGGCATGTTTTTGCAGTGGCTGGTACTAGTTGTTCCTTTCCATATTTAGTGCTTCCTTCAGGAGCTCTTTTAGGGCAGGCCTGGTGGTGACAAAATTTCTCAGCATTTTCTTGTCTGTAAAGTATTTTATTTCTCCTTCACTTATGAAGCTTCATTTGGCTGGATATGAAATTCTGTGTTGAAAATTCTTTTCTTTAAGATTGTCGAATATTAGCCCCCACTCCCTCCTGGCTTGTAGAGTTTCTGCCAAGAGATCAGCTGTTAGTCTGATGGGCTTCCCTTTGTGGGTATCCCGACCTTTCTCTCTGGCTGCCCTTAACATTTTTTCCTTCATTTCAACTTTGGTGAATCTGACAATTATGTGTCTTGGAGTTGCTCTTTTCGGGGAGTATCTTTGTGGCGTTCTCTGTATTTCCTGAATTTGAATGTTGGCCTGCCTTGCTAGATTGGGGAAGTTCTCCTGGATAATATCCTGCAGAGCGTTTTCCAACTTGATTCCATTCTCTCTGTCACTTTCAGTACAGCTATCAAATGTAGATTTGGTCTTTTTACATAGTCCCATATTTATTGGAGTCTTTGTTCATTTCTTTTTACTCTTTTTTCTCTAATCTTGTCTTCTCGCTTTATTTCATTAATTTGATCTTCAATCACTGATATTCTTTATTCTGCTTGATTGAATTGGCTATTGAATCTTGTTTATGCTTCACGAGGTTCTCATACTGTGGTTTTCAGCTCCTTCAGGTCACTTAAGCTCTTCTCTACACTGTTTATTCTAGTTAGCCATTCATCTAACCTTTTTTCAAGGTTTTCAGCTTCCTTGTGATGGGTTAGAACATGCTCCTTTAGCCCGGAGAAGTTTGTTATTACCGACCTTCTGAAGCCTGCTTCTGTCACCTCATCAAACTAATTCTCCATCCAGTTTTGTTCCCTTGCTGGTGAGGACTTGTGTTCCTTTGGAGGAGAAGAGGTGTTCTGGTTTTTGGAATTTTCAGCCTTTCTGCTCTGGTTTCTCCCCATCTTTGTGGTTTTATGTACTACTTTGGTCTTTGATGTTGGTGACCTACAGATGGGGTTTTAGTGTGGATGTCCTTTTTGTTGATGTTGATGCTATTCCTTTCTGTTTGTTAATCCTTCTAACCAGGCAGGTCCCTCAGCTGCAGGTCTGTTGGAATTTGCTGGAGGTCCACTCCAGACCCTGTTTGCCCAGCTATCACCAGCAGAGGCTGCAGAATAGCAAATATTGCTGCCTGATCCTTCCTCTGGAAGCTTTGTCCCAGAGGGGCACCCACCTGTATAAGGTGTCTGTCGGCCCCTACTGGGAGGTGTCTCCCAGTTAGGCTACATGGTGGTCAGAGACCCACTTGAGGAGGCTGCCTGTCCATTATCAGAGCTCAAATGCCATGCTGGGAGAACTACTGCTGTCTTTAGGGCTGTCAGGCAAAGACGTTTAAGTCTGCAGAAGGTGTCTGCTGCCTTTTATTCAGATATGCCCTGCCCCCAGAGGTGGAATCTAGAGGCAGTAGGCCTTGCTGAGCTGCAGTGGGCTCTACCCAGTTTGAGCTTCCCTACCACTTTATTTACACTGTGACCATAGAACCACATACTCAAGCCTCAGCAGTGGCAGAACCCCCTCCCCCTGCCATGTTCCAGTGCCACAGGTTGATCTCAGACTGCTGTGCTAGCAGCAGGCAAGGCTCCATGGGCATGGGACCTGCCGAGCCAGGCACAAGAGGGAATCTCCTGGTCTGTCGGTTGCAAAGACAGTGGAAAAAAGCACAGTATTTGGGCAGGGGTGTACTGCTCCTCGAGGTACAGTCACTCACATCTTCCCTTGGCTAGGAAAAAGAAATCCCCCAACCCCTTGCACTTCTCGGGTGAGGCAACACCCCACCCTGCTTTGGCTCATCCTCCATGGGCTGCATACACTGTCCAACGAGTCCCAGTGAGATGAACGAGGTACCTCAGTTGGAAATGCAGAAATCACCTGTCTTCTGCGTCTATCTCACTTGAAGCTGTAGACCGGAGCTGTTCCTATTCAGCCATCTTGGAAGCAACCCTCTTTTTCTTTTTGTATTTTGGTAGAGACAGGGTTTCACCATATTGCCCAGGCTGGTTTCAAACTCCTGAGGTCAAGCCATTCTATAAAACAAACTTATATTTGTTTTATCTGAGTTCCTTCCTCAGGAAAGGACTCTCAGGCCTCTCAAAAAGCATCAGAGACCTGAAACTCAGCCAATCACAGCATCCAGACAATGAGATGCCAGTCCCCTCACTCATCACGAGTGCTTCCTCACCCCTCCCTAGTTCCTCTTTTCCTACACACAGTTAACTTTTCTTCTGCGCTATATAAACCCCTAACTTTAGTCAATCAGGGAGACAGATTTAAGACTCATCTCCTGTCTACTCAGCTGCAGCACCTGATTAAAGCCTTCTTCCTCAGCAATACTCAATGTCTCAATGATTGTCTTTCTGTGTGCTGAGAACACTGAAGCCCTGGGGTTTTGGTAAAAATACATGTACACTTTTAAAAACCCCAATTAATGGGTTGTGGTATATTGAGAAATTGGAGTGGCGTCAACTTGGCCAATTCTGAGGAAACACACTGTGCTTAAGTGTCAGGGCCCTGCCTCCTGACCTCGACAGTTTATGGTTGATTTTGAGGCACAGCAGGGGAGTATGGCCTGGTTTGAGTGTTTTATAGAAATGTAAAACATGGCTGATTACTTTTTATTTTAAATCCAACAAATTCTCCATTTCTGGTGAGAAAATCTTGCCAAAACCAACCAAACAAATGCATAGAAGTATATGAAGAAGAAAATGAAAGATTCCCTGCCTCCGAATCCCACTTGCTTGGTGTCAGCCATTATTTATCACATGGAGGATGGGGGCAAGACACCCAGGAAGTCCCAAGTCCTGTTCTCACAATCATCTGGCCTCCCTGGGCAAAGGGAAAAGAGGGAAGGCAAAAAGAATATAACACTACTGTTTGCGGAAATTTCCCCTTGGTACAGGAAACTCTGGTAAACTGAGAGAGTATGTTTTCCAGAGGGAGGCCTCAAGGGCTCTTCTCTGGCCCTAAGCCCAAACTGGATTTTGCCTCATTTTCTGAGGTGCAAATGAAATGATAAAAGTTGATCAAAGGAGAGGGCAGAGAGAAAGAAAGAGGATGAATCCTCTCTCGCAGGTCCACCTTCTTTGGTGTTGCTTGAGGGATCAGAAGAAATGCCTTAACATAGGTGTGTGGGAACTATGGCTGCTAAGTATGAACTCAGTTACCTCCAGTTATAAGCTAGTGTGAGGTTCCATGGTGTAATGGTGACCACTTTGGACTCTGAATACAGTGATCAGAGTTCAAGTCTCACTGGAACCTTTCTGTATAATTCCAGTGAGGTTCCTCTCTATTGCTCCATAAGCAGAATGGGGGAAATTGCCCAATCGTGGTCACAGACCCTCCATGCCACTGGCTGTGTGCAATTGGAGTCCCGGACCCAGCGACCAGCAAGACCGCTCCCCTGTCAGGATGACCCTGGGCCTCCAGGTCACAGGTCTCCACTAAAAAGGCTGCCTCCCCTCAATCCTAGACCCTGAGTTTTCTTTTCTTCACGTCATTGGGCCATTGCCCTATGTCTCTTTGGAAGAAATGACCTATATGAAAAATTTTACTTCCAGGATTCCCTAATTCCTTCATCCCCTAGGACAGTGTAGTTTTTCATCTCCTGATCTTGGTTCCAGTACTAATGCACGCGTTTCATCTTGTTTTCATGGGATCCCCTCCAACCGGCTACCAGTGGATTCCTGCCCTTGGGGTCTCTGTGGATGGTAACTAGATGCTGCTCTTGTCCCAAATCCTGACACCTCCCTCCAGGGAATTGCCTCCCTTCGCCTCCTAAATCAGCCAATATTTAGATTTGAGCCTGGAATCCCAGCATCTGTGGAGAACGGAGGTTCCTGATCCCTGGCCAGCCTCCCGCAGTGAAGGGGAGAGGAGCAGAGCAGCTGGGAGGGGCAAGTCCAGGGCCCTGGGCAACCCCCTTCTTCCTGCCCAGACTCTGCTCCAAGGAGAAGTTGCCTTAGGACCAGATCAGATGGAAACTCTTGTTCTCTTCTCATCAGCAGAAAAATTTAGGCAAGAGCTCTGGAGGACCTTCCTAGCTCATAAAAATACTGTGGTTAAGTCTCTCCAGTTTTGGAAATGTCCAAGGTTACCAAGTGTTTTGAGGGCTCACTTTGGAGCCTCTGAAAAGGAGGGGTCAGGGCCCATGGAAGGTACCTGAGGGATTCAGGAGAGAGAGGGGAAAGAGCAGACAGGAGGGAGGAGAGAAGGAGGGAGGGGGAGAAAGGGTGTGTGAGGGCCAGGAGCCAGGATTCACCCTGACAGTTCAGTGACTGCTCCCTGACCCCAAGGTTCCCACTGTGGCACCTTCCAGCAGGTGGTTTCCATCTCTTATTGATGTCCTGAGAACTTGGCTCTACAGAATGGTCCCACCCTATTTGTCTGGCATGAGTCCTGCAAAGTTTCTTTTCATCATTTGGGGGATGAGATGGGGGTATATAGGTTTGCAAGTGACTAGGAGCTAAGTCAGGACCTTGTGGAGCCACTCAGAGTTAACTGTCAAGTAGCCTCCTTTCCCCCTTCCCTTGCAGGATGATTGCCTGCAAGACAGGGCCTGGAGGCCAGGGCACCCAAGGCCACAGAAATGCCCAGGGATGAGTCCTGGCTGGAGATGCCTTGGCCGAGCTGACTGTGCACTTCCAGGGCTCACAGGGGTCTGGCCAGGAGACTGAGCAAGGGGACCAGGGAGGTTGTGTAGCAGGCTTCTGCACAGCAAGGCAGACATTCTTCTTGGAGCCCCCAACCCAAATCAGGTCTTCCACCTCCTCTTCCTAAAGACCCTTTACTGCTGTCGTTCCTTTACTGAACTACAAGTTTAGAGGACATGGATTTCAGTGCCCTCATCTGGCCAACCATCTTCAGCTGCCAATGGACAAGGTAACCTCCCTCCCTGCCAAGACCTGACTCAGGACCTTTCCTTAAGGAGATGTCCTGTTCTTTCTTTCCCACCAGAACTGCCCTGGCCCAGACCCCATTTCTGTCTGGTGACCAGGACAGTCCCCTCACCAGTCTCCCAGGTTGGGGAGGGCAGATCCTCCTCAGCTCCCTGCCCCTGAGAGACCCCAACCATCTTGTGTGGCTCCGGCCCACAGAGTGATATCCATGGCCCATATCTCTCAAAACTCTCCCCTCCCACTCTGAATCCACCCTCTACTGCATGCTCCCCTCACAGAACAGACTAATTTTTGTGTGTGTGTCCTTGTTTTGCCTACCTGTACCCCAGACAGACTTTTCTGTCTTAGAACTACCTGTCCCTCTTTGGACAGTGTCTTCCTGGTACTGCACATGAAGATGTCCCGCTCTCCCCTGCTCAAGGAGAGAGTGCCTGACCTGAGCTGGGCCCATCAGATCCAGTACTTACCTGGAATAGGAAAAAGATGGGGAGAGTGACCAAAGACTACAAAAATCTCTGAAGCTTATCTACTTGAGAGAGAGTCCCTGAAGATACTGGCCTCTCATTCCTGCTATGTATATCCAATGTGACTGAACTCTGAATAAAATATACAAGTTATAACAATGTAGCAATTGACCCAGCAAACGAGGACACAAACGTGTTGAAGGGTAAGGTGGTGAGAGGCGTGTTTGGGGGTGGTGGTGATGAGCAAGTATGTGAAGGAGAGGTAGTGCCTAAACTTGAAAATCAAAAAGTAATAATATCTATTTAGGCATAAGGAGATAAATAATGAAATAATTGCTTCTATGTGATGAAACTCTGGGAGTACACAAGGGCACTGCTATTTTACTAAACAAATTTTCAAGTATATATAACTTTGATAAAGTATCCAAATAATTCCTTTCCCATATAAGTATGTGTATATATGTATTCATTGTATTTTGAAGATAAGTTTTTACACAGTCATGTTAATCGCTTTCATTTAAGGATTTGAGTTTGATGTCTTGCATACAATGTGATCCCACTGTATGACTACACAAATGTTGGCAAAAGTAAGTTCAGAGGAAATGGTAGGCAAGTACTTCCCAGTTTTGACCAGAAGATGGAGAAAAAAGAATTCTCAAAAAATATTAAAAGTATGACATATTATATTTTCTTTTCACAGTAATTTAGACAGAAATTAGCAAAATCAAACATGTATAAATACTTTGGTCTGACAATTCCATCTCCAGGTGTCTACGGAGAAATAGACAAGCGATGCACGACAGATACATGTGTCAGTCTGGTCCCTGCAGTTGTATTTGTAATAATACACATTGGAGCAATTTCATGGCCATCGGTTAGAGAATGTTTGAGGAATGATCCTTTCATATCAAGAAGGACATTTCAAAGATCAAAACCTGATGGAAATGCTGGAGACCATGGCGCTGATAGGAGCTCATGCGTGTTGTCCAATTACTACGTGACAGGCATTGGCTCCATGCTTTTCCTGCACTGCTCATTTAAACACTGGACAACCTAAGTGTTCTGATTTAGCCCATTGGACAGATAGAAATGGAGGCACAGAAGATTAATGTGTTTAACTTCAAACCCTGGCAGATTAGGTTTTTCATCCAGAGCCTGTGGCTTCACCATAGCTGTGATTCACGTTCTGTCATTCTCCTCTTTAGGAATTTCCAGTATTCCAAATATGAGAAGCTGAGAAAACAAACAACAAACTCAAAACCCTAAAAACCAGGATACGTAAGGGTAGATGTTTGTTGGGTGTGGATTAAAAATGGACTTTTTTTGCCCCAAGCAACAAAGAGGCACCTTAGAAAATAGACAAGAGACAAGAAGAAGAGAAGCTTTAAGAGATATTTGGTCCAAGGAAGAGACTCTTCAGATGGAAGGTCACGTCAGCTAGAAACATTAATATGACTGGATGGGCTCAAACCACTGACTTTTCAGTCAACATCCGACAGCACTAACCTAGTGTTCCAGAGACACTGCTTGTTAAACAGTGAAAGCTGTTGCTCAATTGTGTCATCCGTAATTGTCAAATATTGCCATTTAGTAGCACAAGGAAGTATTCTCCGTTGCCAAGCTAGAGCACCCATAACTCTTCTGTTTTGTTGAACATTCTTCCCCACCACAAACCCTCTTTAGAAGACTGGGGGCTCCTAAAGCATTGAGGCCGAGAGTCCCATCCTTGTGCATGTTTGGGCATTGATCCATGGCCAAGTCAGTGGGAGACTCCTCCACCCCTACGCCAGGTCCCCAGGTGACAACTGCAGTCTCTGGATCTGAAGTCATCCACTTTCCCATTCCTAGCTCACCTCACCCATCGTGAAGCCTGATTAGTATTGCCAGAGACCCGAGTGGGCAGATGCCCACACCAAAGACAGAACCTGCTGTGTGCCCACCTTGCTGATCCCTCCATCCTTCTAGACAAAGGCTTCATAAGCCAAGGACCTTGGGTTTGCTCACAAGGCAGCCCCTCACCTAGTAGGCATTAGTTCATTATGTATATGTATATGTAGTCCTCAGGTTGTATTCCTTAAATATATATAATTTAAGGATATGTATTATATATATATATAAATATATATGTAATTCCTTAAATATATAATTTTAATACAATTTTTTTTTTGAGACGGAGTCTCACTCTGTCTCCCAGGCTGGAGTGCAGTGGCACCATCTTGGCTCACTGCAAGCTCCACCTCCCAGGTTCACGCCATTCTCCTGCCTCAGCCTCCCAAGTATCTGGGACTACAGGCGCCCGCCACCACGCCAGGCTAATTTTTTTTTTTTGTATTTTTAGTAGAGATGGGGTTTCACCATGTTAGCCAGGATGGTCTCGATCTTCTAACCTCATGATCCACCCACCTCGGCCTCCCAAAGTGGTAGGATTACAGGCATGGACCACCGCGCCTGGCCAAAACAAAGTTTTTAAAAGATTCCTTTAATAAACATTTACAATAGCATCAAGAAATATAAACGACATAGCAAATATGTGAAAGCCAGCCAGACTCTCAATGGCATCCAGAAATATAAACTACATAGAAAAGACATGAAAGCCAGCCAGGCTTGGCCTCAAATCCCAGCACTTTGGAAGGCTGTGGCAGGAGGGTTGCTTGATCTCATAAGCTTGAAACTAGCCTAGGCAACATAGTGAGCCCTCATCTCTACTGAAAATCAGAAAAATTATCCGGGTTTGGTGGTGTGAGCCTGTAGTCCCAGGAATCAGTGGATGAGGCCCTAGGATGTCATAGGCCTGAGAATTCCATGCTGCAGTGAGCTGTGATTGTGCCACTGTACTCCAGCCTGGGTGAAAGAGTGAGATCCTGTGCAGAAACAAAAGAAGAAAAAAAGAGATGTGAAAGCCTATATATTGAAGACTACCAAGTACTGCTTAGAGCAGTTAAAGACCTTTGGAATAGAAAATGTTTCTTCTTGCATTTCAAGATTGCTTTTGTTTTGGGGGGACACACTATTTTTTAGGAATATGAAGTTCTTGTTAGGCATTCCTGTAAAAAAGGCCACTTTTTGATAGGATTGTATTGAATCTGTGGGTTGCTTTGAGTTGTATTTTTATCTTAACCATGTTACAACTTCCAACCCATGGACACAAGATGTCTGTCCATTGATTTAGGTCTTCCTGAATCTCCTCGAGCAATGTTCTGTAGTTGTCTGTGTACAAGTACTGCACCTTCTTGAACAAATTTATTCCCAGGCATATTATTCTTACCAGTGCTATTATAAATGAAATCATTGTGTCAATTTTCTTCTCAGATTGTTCATTGCTAACACAACTGATTGTTTGCTGAAAGTTTGCTGAATTCGCTTATTAACTCTAGTAGTGTGTGTATGTGAGTGTGTGTGTGTGTGTGTGTGTGTGACTGGCCTCTGTGTGCATGTATGTGTGTTTGCATCTGTAGGTATTATTTGGGATTTTCTATGCATAGGATCACACCATCTGCAAATTGAGATCATTTTGTTTTCTGTTCAAAAACACTTTTTCTCATGTTTATTTTTAAAAGATAATTTGGCCAGGTGTAGAATTGTAGGTGACAGTTTTTCTTTTTTTTAAGTTCTTTATTGCAAACTTCTTGTTTGTATGAGAAATCTTATGCCATCATTATATTTAGTGCTCTGTATGTAACATGTTCTTTCCCTTTTTATTCCTTTTAGGATTTCCTTTTTATCACTGGTTTTGATGGATTTGATTAAGGCGTTCCTTGGTGAAGTTTTCTTCATGTTTCTTGTTCTTAGAATAATCATATTTCTGTAATATTTGAAGTTTATGGTTTCCATGGAGCTTCTAAATCTTTCATCCAGTATGTTTTAAATATCTTTGTCTCTCTTCTCCACTACACGCCCTTCAGGGATTCCATTTAGCCCTATACTGGGGGGTTTAAAGTTTTGATGCCGATGGTCTTTTTATGTTTTCAAGTCATTTGTTACTGTGTGTTTCATTTATGTTAGTTTCAAATTCTATTCCTTCTAGTTCAATAATCTTCTCTTCTGCAATGTTTAATCCACTGCCTTCTTCCATTTCAGACTGTAAATCATACTTTTTATTTACAGAATTTGATATTTAAAAAATCTTCAACCTCCCTATTTAATTAAAATACAATTATACTAACTGCTCTAATGTCCTTTTCTTCTATTTCCAACATGTCTGTCAATTTCAACTAGATTATTAGATTCTTCATTATGTGTCATGTTTTCCTGCTTCTTTGGCTGCTTGATATTCTTTTATTTTTATTTATTTTTTTTGCGGGGGGATAGAGTTTTGCTCTCGTTGCCCAGGCTGGAGTGCAATGGTGTGATCTCAGCTCACTGCAACCTCCACCTCCCAGGTACACAAGCGATTCTCCTGTCTCAGCCTCCCAAGTAGCTCAGATTACAGGCATGCACCATCATGCCTGGCTAATTTTTTTGTATTTAGTAGAGATGGGGTTTCACCATGTTAGTCAGGCTGGTCGTGAACTCCTGACCTCAGGTGATCCATCTGGCTGCTTGATATTCTAAGATTTGATGCTGGAACTTTGGTGTCAATGCTCAAAATGCCCAAAGACACCACTCAACCTCAGTGTCTATGCACACCCAAGCTTTTGCAGCAGGACAGGTAGAGCACAGATGAGTGTGCTACAACATGCTGGTAGAGGGTACCCCCAATTGTGCTTGGGGATTTCCTATTCCTCATGCAAAAATGTGTCTTCCTTAATTTTTCCCATAAGAACCACCCTACTTCATGCCCTGTCTCTCTGTCCAAACACCAGGACAGTCCTCTCACCAGTCTCAACCACCCAATGGATTGACAAAGGTGCAAATATGATTCAGTGGAGAAGGCATTCTCTTGTCAACAAATTGTGTAGAAACAACTTTTTTTACACAATTTGTTTTTTTTATACCCAAAGGAAAAAAATTCACCTGAACCTCAATACTAACTCAAAAACTAACTCAAAATGGATTATGCAACTAAATATAAACTATAAAACTAGAAAAAGTATAGCAGAAAATATAAGACAAAATCTTCATGACACAGAGTTAGGCAAAGTGTTCTTTATTATCAATAAACACAAACCATTAAAGAAAACATTGATAAATTCGACTTTATAAAAATTAAAAGTTTTTGCTCAACAGTATTAAGAGAACAAATATAAGCTGCAGTTTGGGAGAAAAACAGTGGAAATCACCAATATGACAAAGGGCATGTGTGATAGTTACTTGTAGTTGTCACTGTGACCGAGCACCAGGGTGCCAGGACATTTGGCCAAACATGATTCTGGTTGTGTTCCAGAGAGTCTTTCAGATACGATTAACATTGGGATGGGCAGACTAAGTGAAGCAGATTGCCCTCCTTAATAGGGGTGGGCCTCATGCAATCAATCAAGGGCCAGGAGAGAATTAAGAGGCCTAATGGGAAACAAATGCTTTCCTGGATATCCAGCTTTCCTTCCATCTTGGGAATTTCAGCCTCCATAATCTCAGAAGCAAATTCATGCATATATATACACACACATACATTTCATAGGTATGTGGCTAAGATTGTATTTTTACAAGTTCAGCCATGAGATGATTGGTGAAGCCAGCCAATGAATAAGGGTGTGTTCTATTATACGATTCAGTCTTCTTTTGTAAACGATTGAAGTTCTGCATTTGAAGTAGGAGGATAGGAGGGAGCAAGTCCACCTAGGATGATAACAGCTGAATTTCTCAACTTACACTTCAGAGCCGTAGGGGTCAACTTAGAGACTCAAAAATCTCACCCATAATCCTGCCCTAAACACCAGGGCTAGGGAACACTGTGGCCCTCAGGTGATTTTCTTTAGCCAGGTCTGGGAGCCACACGACGGCAGAGGGAGCAGGAAACACTATGCAAATAGAGGCCAGGACAGCAGGGAGGGCCTGTTCATGATAGAACCCAGGCAAAACTCTCCTCAGAAAGCGAGTGTGGAGAAACATAGATCATGCCTGAGACCTGGTGGATTAGAGCACTGGCTACTGGGGAATTGAAAGGAAGGGGCTTCACCGTGCAGAGGACCAGAGGTGCCCATCTTGGAAATGCAGAATTGCTGGGAGATGGGGAGGCACGGACCATGGAAGTATCCTCTGGAGACTCATGGTGAAGAGAACAAATGAATGAAGTAACTGGCAGAAATTAGAGGTCCTGGTAGAACAAAATAGAATCCCACAATGAGAACATACACCATGTATGTCCCCCAAGGATGACAATATCTCCTAAAAGCTCCAGAAAAATCATTTTGGACAAGCACCTTATATCTAGTAATGTGATCCATGTATCGAGACCGTGAGAAAAGATTATTAAACATGCTAAACTCAGCGAGACCTGATTCCCTCATGAGGACTCTGTTAAGGATGAGTACCACTCAGCAAGTGATGACTGTGACATTCACTTTTGAATAGCTCATGAGCGTTAATATATTTCATTATGGATCTAAACCACAATGGATAAAAACCAAGGTAGGGGCAGGATGATAATCACAGAATGTCACCGGTATATGTTTAGGTTCAAATACTATTATGAGAAGTGGCAGGTAAAGGAGGTAGGAAAAAGAAAACACATCATGTAATTGACTGTTGTATGGAAATATTTGATGCTGAAAGTTATAATTTAAAACTATAAACCAAATATTAGAAGTGTGTCTAGTTCAAAGGGAGGAAAACCATCAAAAACATTTTTAGTGCAATATTTAACATGAGCTATACAACCCTTCCTAAATGCCAAAGGCACACACAGACACACACACACACACACTCACGAAGAATACAAATGACTAGAACCAAGAAATGTAAATACATTCTGCTACGTATGGTAAACATAGCCTACAATGTGGAAGAGATTAGAAAATAAACATGGAAATGAAATGTTTTTATTAATTCACATCAGTACCCACCAAAACCAATCAGCATAATCAAATATTATAACACTGAATGTAAAAAACAATCCAAAAGTCCAGAGTGATAGGCAAAAGGTTTTAATTGTATAGATTAAAATTAACTTTGGACAAAAATTAAAACTCAGGCAGAGAATGTTTTCTTCTTTTTGCAACAGCAGACACTAGTAAAAACAAAGGCACAGTAAAAATTGAGACCCAAAATTTGCAGCGTAGAGATATGTATATAATAATAGACACAGGCAGGGAGGATTAATAAATGATAAAATGTTTAGAGGATGATCATTAGAATACAGGATATTTATACTCTTGAAAACCGCTTTCCCAAGTACTTCATTATAAGTAAGGTGTCTCTAAAAGGGACAGATCTCCTAGACCCCTCCTTAACCAAGTAACCAGTCCTGATATCATAATGGTGATGGACAAACTAGACCTTCTCTGCCCGCAGATGGGCTGAGGTTGGAAACTCACAGCATTGTCTCTGCAGTGTTCCCAGCAAAAAGTTTAGGCTGAATTTAATCATGAAGACATTTTCAGACAACTTCAGAATGTAGATCATTGAGCCAGAGAGCTGACCTGTCCTCTATAAACAAGTCCATGTCACCACCATCAATGACAACAACAAAAAGATGAGGAAATATTTGGGGTTCAAAATAACTAAAGAAATGCAGCTACATTATCTTTTTACTTTTTTTCAACCCAAAATATCTCTTCTCCTTTTTGTTGTGTGATTTGTGGTGATATGGACTATGTGAAGGAGACAGGTCAGTTGTCCTGCTCAGTGTTCTACATTCTGCAGTTGTCTGGTGATTACCTCCTATGAAACTCAGGCTAAGCGTTTTCTGCAAGAACATGGCATTGCTCATATTCTGCACCGGCAGAGTCCTGGGTGACATGCTGTCTCCTGCCAGCGGCTCCTGACTCCTGTTCTCTACAGGATGGAATTGAGAGGAGCAGGGCTAAGGCCTCCCAATGCTGTTTGTCCATCTAGCTGTGGTCTTCCTAAGTACTGACACCAATTGGAGGCTGAAGGACTGTGGCTTCTCTAACCAAAGGAGCCTAGTGGGTTAACAATTGTCAAGAGCAGTTGGTGGTTCTGAAATACAATCCTCAGCCAAGGATCCCTCCTGTGTTACAGATGGATCAGCTAAAACAAGCCAACACTGAAGACACAAATAATGAGGTTAGGTTCATTGAAACCAGGGTAACACCTTTGGATGAACTAAACACAAAGATGACACTGACCTTGAGTAGGTATAGAAGCTCAGAGACATGCCTGCAAAATGAAATCCCTGAGGAATTTTGTAGCTACCCAGAGATACATGGTTCAAATTAAAATGTCCGGCTGATCACTCCCGGCATGTGCTGCACAGTTATGTGAACGTGTCACACCTAACGTGGGTCCATTGTCTTCAGACTGAGCACAGGTTGCCACTGGCATGCTCTGAGAATAGGAATAGAGCCATGCCCACTGACCCATCCTATGTCTGGGCTTCCAAATGGAACTATAGTTTCATTCAAATCTTCAGGTGCCTATAGGTCCTGCCTGCAGGAATGAAACCTCTCGGCTTAGTAAGGGCTGCTTATTGTGGGAATATGACTCCCATCTGGAAGACCAGGTGGAGACTTGTCACCGTCAAAGTAAAAAAGCTATTGTCCATGTCAAGGGCAAAGGTGATGTGCTGTTCCTCAAATGAGTAAAACACACTTCTGTAGTGCTGGAATGAGTCAGGTAGTTCAAAGTACATTGATGGAGTCGAATAACATCTATCCAGTGAGTCCTGCAAGACTTCAGGCTCTTCCACTTCCATCAGCACGCTGTTGAGCCTGGAAAAGGAGACAAAACTAAAGAAGCAGCCAGGGAAAGTCAGACACCACAGAGCCTCACTAGATTTCAGAAGTAACATAAGGAAGTGGTTAGAAAAGAAAAAGGACAGATCCATTAATGAGGTAACAAATTATTGCCTTTATGTTGGGATAGAACAGGGCCAGGTAGAAAACAATGAAAGAGAAAGACAGAGAGAGAGAGACAGAGACAGAGACAGAGACAGAGACAGAGACAGAGAGAAAGTGAGCTAGTGAATTGGCCAGGTGACATACTGGTAAGGGAGTCAAAGGACACTCTGAGTTAGTGCCCTCATGACACACAGCAAACTGTGATCATGAAAAGAGTGAGCTCAATAGTTTTCCATAAAATATGCTCAAAATTCGATGCAGTGGCCATGAGAGTACAGCTTTTGAAGTATGGTCAACCTATGGTACGTTACTAAATGATAAGGGGAGGAAGAAATGGAAACCTAAACATCTACTGCAATGAAAACCAACAGCAATGACAGTAGGAGTAATTCAGCCTTCGTTGAAAACATGACATCAAACACACTCTGGTTTCCCTGAATCTGTTGCCTCCAGGTGTTAACACAGAATTAAGCATCCACAATTGCTGAAAGTTACCTGGGGCATGGTGGGTTTTGATCTTCTTCCCCTTCTTTTCTTCCCCTTCTTCTTTTCTTCTTTGATCTTCTTCCCCTTCTTTTCTTCCCCTTCCCCTTCTTTTCAATTTCTGCAATAAATTCAGACATGGACAGACACATTAAGCTGATTCCCCTACACACATAACAATCCACTGTCTAATCCTCACACAGGGACCTCAGGCTCCTCAGCATAAGAATAGGACACTGTGAGAGATATATTTCAGGAGGCCTGAAGGCTGGTCATGATAGAAATTCCTCGGTTTTTCTCCCAGAAACTCTGGGTAAAATGTCCCTATTCTAGTAGATCGTTATCCCAATATCATTTGTCCCAAGTTTGTGCAAACAGTTATGCCTTATTTTTCCAATCAATTTAAAGCAAATACCCTCAAATGATTTCTAGGAGAAAAACTGCAATATTTAGCCCTGTCTCATCAAATACTCAGATTGTTCATGGTTGTGAGGACTCCAGACACTGAAATTAGAGTGAAAAAGGAAATCTACAAACCCTCGAGTCAAAATCATAGTTCTCTGAATTTGTCACATCTGCCCAGGTCCAATGTCATGAGAGTAGAATCAGAGTGCCACAGGCATGGCCTGAGACTAGGAAGAGAGCCATGCTCACTGACCCATCCCATGTCTGGGCTTCCAGGTAGAACTAGAGTTTCATTCAACCTACATGTGCCTATAGGTCCTCACTGCGGCAATGACATCTCTCAGCTCAGTAATGGCCACTTGGAGCAGGAATATGATCTTTATATGGAAGACTCAGTGGATCCTTATCACCTTCATAGAAACGTACTCACCTCCCACGTCAAGAGAAAAGCCAACATGTTTTTCCTCCAATGCATAAAAGGAACTTCTGTAGGGCTGGCAGGAGTCAGGCTGTTCAAGACAACTGGAAGGAGTTGAATAACATCTATCCAGTGAGTCCTGCAAGACTTCAGGCTCTACTACCTCCAGCAGCTCCCTGCTGAGCCTGGAAAAGGAGGAAAAAGTAAAGAATAAGCCAGGGGAAATCAGACACAACAGAGCCCCAACTAGGTTTCATGGGTAGCATAAGGAAGTGGTTAAAAAAAGTAAAAGGATAGATCCATTAATGAGGTAACAAATTATTGCCTTCATGTTGGGACAGAACAGGGCCAAATGGAAAAGAATGAAAGAGAAAGACAGATAGACACACACACACACACACACACACACACACACACACACACACACACACACAGAGAGAGAGAGAGAGAGAGAGAGAGAGAACGAGCTCAGTGAATTGTCCAGGTGACACACTGATGAGGGAGTAACAGGACACTCTGAGTTAGTGCCCTCAGGACACACAGCATACAGTGATCATGAAAAGACTGTGCTCAATAATTTTCCATAAAATGTGCTCAAGTTTCCATGCAGTCACCATGAGAATACAGTTTTTGAAGTCTGGTCCACCTGCAGTAGGTTAGTAAATGATAAGGGGAGGAAGAAATGGAAACCTAAGTATCTACTGCAATGAAAACCAACAGCAATGTTAGTAGGAATAATTCAGGCTTGGTTGAAAAGATGTAATCGATAATGTCAGCCCGCTCTGTTTTCCCTGAACCAGGAGTCTCCAGATGTCAACACAGAAGTAGCTGTTCACAATTGCTCAGTTACCTGGGGCATGGTGGGCCTTGGTCTTCTTCCTCTTCTTGGTCCTTTTTAATTCCTGCAATACATTCAGGCAGGGACAGACAAAATAAGCCAATTCACCTACACCCATAACAGTCCACTGTCTAATCCCCACACAGGGATCTCAGGCTCCTCAGCATGAGAACAGGACAATTTGAGGGATATACTTCAGGAGGCCTGAAAGCTGGTCATGATATTCTTTGGTTTGCATCTCAGAACCAAGGGTGAAATATCCCTATTCTGGTAGATCGTTATCCCAAAATCATTTATCCCAAGTTTGTGCAAACAGTTATGCCTTATTGTTCCCATCAGTTCAAAGAAAATGCCCCAGAGGATTTCTAGGAGGAAAACTGCAGTATTCGGCCCTGTCTCATCAAATGCCCAGCTCGTTCACGGATGCAAGAATTTTAGACACTGAAATTAGAATGAAGGAGGAAATCTACAAACCCTTGAGTCCAAATCATAGTTCTGTGAATTTTTTACATCTGCCTGGGTCCAATGTGCTGAGAGTGGGCTCAGGTTGCCACAGGCATGGCTGGAGACTAGGAATAGAGCCTTGCTCACTGACCCATTTCATGTCTAGGCTTCCAGCTGAGACTACAGTTTCATTACAACCTATATGCACCCATAGGTCCTGCCTGTGGCAATGACGTCTCTCGGGTCAGTAAGGGCCACTTGGAACAGGAATGTCACCCCTATCTGGAAGGCCAGGTGGAGGCTTATCACCTTCATAGTAAGGTACTCACTGTCCACGTCAAGAGCCAAGCCAAGGTACTGTTCCTCCAATGAGTAAACAGCACTTCTGTAGGGCTGGCCTAAGTCAGGCAGTTCAAGATAACCTGAAGGAGTCGAATAACATCTATCCAGTGAGTCCTGCAAGACTTCAGGCTCTTTCTCAGCCAGCAGCTCCCTGCTGAGCCTGGAAAAGTAGGAAAAAGTAAAGAATAAGCCAGGGGGAATCAGAAACCACACAGCCCCAGCTAGATTTCATGGCTAACATAAGGAACTGTTTAAAAAGAAAAAGGACAGATCCATTAATGAGGTAATGAATTATTGCCTTTATGTTGGGATAGACCAGGGCCAGGTAGAAAAGAATGAAAGAGAAGACAGGGAGAGGGAGAGAGAGAGAGAGGAGAAAGTGAGCTCAGCGAATTGGCCGGGTGACACACTGATGAAGGGTTCAAAGGACACTCTGATTTAGTGCCCTCGGGACACACAGCGAACAGTGATCATGAAAACAGTGGGCTCAATAATTTTCCATAAACTTGCTCAAGATTCCATGCAGTTGCCATACGGCCTTTGAGGTATGGTCAACCTATAGTAAGTTAGTAAATGACAAGGGGAGGAAGAAATGGAAACCTAAACATCTACTGCAATGAAAACCAACAGCAATGGCAGTAGGAGTAATTCAACCTTCGTGGAAAACATGAAATTGAACACACTCTTCTTTTCCCTGGACCTGGCATCTCCAGGTGTCAACACAGAATTAAGCATCCATAATTGCTCAAAGTTACCTGGGGCATGATGGGTCTTGGTCTTCTTCCACTTCTTGGTACTTTTCAATTTCTGCAATAAGTTCAGACATGGACAGACATATGAAGCTGGTTCTCCTACACACATAACAATCCACTGTCTAATCCTCACACAGGGACTTCAGGCTCCTCAGCATGAGAATAGGACACTGTGAGAGATATTCTTCAGGAGGCCTGAAGGCTGAGCATGATAGAGATTCCTTGGTTTTTGTCCCAGAAACTCTGGGTAAACTTCCCTATTCTGGTAGATCGTTATCCCAATATCATTTCTCCCAAGTTTGTGCAAATGGTTATGCCATATTTTTCCAATCGATTTAAAGCAAGTGCCCCCAAATGGTTGCTAGGAGAAAAACTGCACTATTCAGCCCTGTCTCATCAAATACTCAGATTGTTCATGGTAGCGAGGATTTTAGACGCTGAAATTAGAGTGAAGGATGAAATCTACAAGATCTACAGAATTCAGACAAAATCAGAGTTGTGTGAATTTGTCACATCTGCCCAGATCCAACATCTTGAGAGTAGGATTAGGGTGCCACAGGCAGGGCCTGAGACTAGGAAGAGAGCCTTGCTCACTGACCCATCCCTTGTCTGGGCTTCCAAGTGGAACTAGAGTTTCACTCAACCTACATGTGCCTATAGGTCCTCCCTGTGGCAATGACATCTCTCAGCTCAGTAAGGGCCACTTGCAGTAGGAATATGACCCTAACCAGAAGACTCAGTGGATCCTTATCACCTTCATAGAAAGGTACTCACCATCCATGTCAACAGCCAAGCCAACACGCTGTTGCTCCAATACGTAAAAGGCACTTCTGTAGGGCTGGCATGGGTCAGTCAGTCCAAGATAAACTGAAGGAGTCGAATACCATCTATCCAGTGAGTCCTGCAAGACTTCAGGCTCTTTCTCAGCCAGCAGCTCCCTGCTGAGCCTGGAAAGTGGGAAAAAGTAAAGAATAAGCCAGGGGGAATCAGAAATCACACAGCCCCAGCTAGATTTCATGGCTAACATAAGGAAGTGGTTAGAAAAGAAAAAGGACAGATCCATTAATGAGGTAACAAATTATTGCCTTTATGTTGGGATAGAACAGGGCCAGGTAGAAAACAATGAAAGAGAAAGACAGAGAGAGAGAGACAGAGACAGAGACAGAGACAGAGACAGAGACAGAGAGAAAGTGAGCTAGTGAATTGGCCAGGTGACATACTGGTAAGGGAGTCAAAGGACACTCTGAGTTAGTGCCCTCATGACACACAGCAAACTGTGATCATGAAAAGAGTGAGCTCAATAGTTTTCCATAAAATATGCTCAAAATTCGATGCAGTGGCCATGAGAGTACAGCTTTTGAAGTATGGTCAACCTATGGTACGTTACTAAATGATAAGGGGAGGAAGAAATGGAAACCTAAACATCTACTGCAATGAAAACCAACAGCAATGACAGTAGGAGTAATTCAGCCTTCGTTGAAAACATGACATCAAACACACTCTGGTTTCCCTGAATCTGTTGCCTCCAGGTGTTAACACAGAATTAAGCATCCACAATTGCTGAAAGTTACCTGGGGCATGGTGGGTTTTGATCTTCTTCCCCTTCTTTTCTTCCCCTTCTTCTTTTCTTCTTTGATCTTCTTCCCCTTCTTTTCTTCCCCTTCCCCTTCTTTTCAATTTCTGCAATAAATTCAGACATGGACAGACACATTAAGCTGATTCCCCTACACACATAACAATCCACTGTCTAATCCTCACACAGGGACCTCAGGCTCCTCAGCATAAGAATAGGACACTGTGAGAGATATATTTCAGGAGGCCTGAAGGCTGGTCGTGATAGAAATTCCTCGGTTTTTCTCCCAGAAACTCTGGGTAAAATGTCCCTATTCTAGTAGATCGTTATCCCAATATCATTTGTCCCAAGTTTGTGCAAACAGTTATGCCTTATTTTTCCAATCAATTTAAAGCAAATACCCTCAAATGATTTCTAGGAGAAAAACTGCAATATTTAGCCCTGTCTCATCAAATACTCAGATTGTTCATGGTTGTGAGGACTCCAGACACTGAAATTAGAGTGAAAAAGGAAATCTACAAACCCTCGAGTCAAAATCATAGTTCTCTGAATTTGTCACATCTGCCCAGGTCCAATGTCATGAGAGTAGAATCAGAGTGCCACAGGCATGGCCTGAGACTAGGAAGAGAGCCATGCTCACTGACCCATCCCATGTCTGGGCTTCCAGGTAGAACTAGAGTTTCATTCAACCTACATGTGCCTATAGGTCCTCACTGCGGCAATGACATCTCTCAGCTCAGTAATGGCCACTTGGAGCAGGAATATGATCTTTATATGGAAGACTCAGTGGATCCTTATCACCTTCATAGAAACGTACTCACCTCCCACGTCAAGAGAAAAGCCAACATGTTTTTCCTCCAATGCATAAAAGGAACTTCTGTAGGGCTGGCAGGAGTCAGGCTGTTCAAGACAACTGGAAGGAGTTGAATAACATCTATCCAGTGAGTCCTGCAAGACTTCAGGCTCTACTACCTCCAGCAGCTCCCTGCTGAGCCTGGAAAAGGAGGAAAAAGTAAAGAATAAGCCAGGGGAAATCACACACAACAGAGCCCCAACTAGGTTTCATGGGTAGCATAAGGAAGTGGTTAAAAAAGTAAAAGGATAGATCCATTAATGAGGTAACAAATTATTGCCTTCATGTTGGGACAGAACAGGGCCAAATGGAAAAGAATGAAAGAGAAAGACAGACACACACACACACACACACACACACAAACACACACACAAAGACACACGCACACACTGAGAGAGAAAGAGAGAGAGAGAGAGAGAAAACGAGCTCAGTGAATTGTCCAGGTGACACACTGATGAGGGAGTAACAGGACACTCTGAGTTAGTGCCCTCAGGACACACAGCATACAGTGATCATGAAAAGACTGTGCTCAATAATTTTCCATAAAATGTGCTCAAGTTTCCATGCAGTCACCATGAGAATACAGTTTTTGAAGTCTGGTCCACCTGCAGTAGGTTAGTAAATGATAAGGGGAGGAAGAAATGGAAACCTAAATATCTACTGCAATGAAAACCAACAGCAATGTTAGTAGGAATAATTCAGGCTTGGTTGAAAAGATGTAATCGATAATGTCAGCCCGCTCTATTTTCCCTGAACCAGGAGTCTCCAGATGTCAACACAGAAGTAGCTGTTCACAATTGCTCAGTTACCTGGGGCATGGTGGGCCTTGGTCTTCTTCCTCTTCTTGGTCCTTTTTAATTCCTGCAATACATTCAGGCAGGGACAGACAAAATAAGCCAATTCACCTACACCCATAACAGTCCACTGTCTAATCCCCACACAGGGATCTCAGGCTCCTCAGCATGAGAACAGGACAATTTGAGGGATATACTTCAGGAGGCCTGAAAGCTGGTCATGATATTCTTTGGTTTGCATCTCAGAACCAAGGGTGAAATATCCCTATTCTGGTAGATCGTTATCCCAAAATCATTTATCCCAAGTTTGTGCAAACAGTTATGCCTTATTGTTCCCATCAGTTCAAAGAAAATGCCCCAGAGGATTTCTAGGAGGAAAACTGCAGTATTCGGCCCTGTCTCATCAAATGCCCAGCTCGTTCACGGATGCAAGAATTTTAGACACTGAAATTAGAATGAAGGAGGAAATCTACAAACCCTTGAGTCCAAATCATAGTTCTGTGAATTTTTTACATCTGCCTGGGTCCAACGTGCTGAGAGTGGGCTCAGGTTGCCACAGGCATGGCTGGAGACTAGGAATAGAGCCTTGCTCACTGACCCATTTCATGTCTAGGCTTCCAGCTGAGACTACAGTTTCATTACAACCTATATGCACCCATAGGTCCTGCCTGTGGCAATGACGTCTCTCGGGTCAGTAAGGGCCACTTGGAACAGGAATATCACCCCTATCTGGAAGGCCAGGTGGAGGCTTATCACCTTCATAGTAAGGTACTCACTGTCCACGTCAAGAGCCAAGCCAAGGTACTGTTCCTCCAATGAGTAAACAGCACTTCTGTAGGGCTGGCCTAAGTCAGGCAGTTCAAGATAACCTGAAGGAGTCGAATAACATCTATCCAGTGAGTCCTGCAAGACTTCAGGCTCTTTCTCAGCCAGCAGCTCCCTGCTGAGCCTGGAAAAGTAGGAAAAAGTAAAGAATAAGCCAGGGGGAATCAGAAACCACACAGCCCCAGCTAGATTTCGTGGCTAACATAAGGAACTGTTTAAAAAGAAAAAGGACAGATCCATTAATGAGGTAATGAATTATTGCCTTTATGTTGGGATAGACCAGGGCCAGGTAGAAAAGAATGAAAGAGAAGACAGGGAGAGGGAGAGAGAGAGAGAGGAGAAAGTGAGCTCAGCGAATTGGCCGGGTGACACACTGATGAAGGGGTCAAAGGACACTCTGATTTAGTGCCCTCGGGACACACAGTGAACAGTGATCATGAAAACAGTGGGCTCAATAATTTTCCATAAACTTGCTCAAGATTCCATGCAGTTGCCATACGGCCTTTGAGGTATGGTCAACCTATAGTAAGTTAGTAAATGACAAGGGGAGGAAGAAATGGAAACCTAAACATCTACTGCAATGAAAACCAACAGCAATGGCAGTAGGAGTAATTCAACCTTCGTTGAAAACATGAAATTGAACACACTCTTCTTTTCCCTGGACCTGGCATCTCCAGGTGTCAACACAGAATTAAGCATCCATAATTGCTCAAAGTTACCTGGGGCATGATGGGTCTTGGTCTTCTTCCACTTCTTGGTACTTTTCAATTTCTGCAATAAGTTCAGACATGGACAGACATATGAAGCTGGTTCTCCTACACACATAACAATCCACTGTCTAATCCTCACACAGGGACTTCAGGCTCCTCAGCATGAGAATAGGACACTGTGAGAGATATTCTTCAGGAGGCCTGAAGGCTGATCATGATAGAGATTCCTTGGTTTTTGTCCCAGAAACTCTGGGTAAACTTCCCTATTCTGGTAGATCGTTATCCCAATATCATTTCTCCCAAGTTTGTGCAAATGGTTATGCCATATTTTTCCAATCGATTTAAAGCAAGTGCCCCCAAATGGTTGCTAGGAGAAAAACTGCACTATTCAGCCCTGTCTCATCAAATACTCAGATTGTTCATGGTAGCGAGGATTTTAGACGCTGAAATTAGAGTGAAGGATGAAATCTACAAGATCTACAGAATTCAGACAAAATCAGAGTTGTGTGAATTTGTCACATCTGCCCAGATCCAACATCTTGAGAGTAGGATTAGGGTGCCACAGGCAGGGCCTGAGACTAGGAAGAGAGCCTTGCTCACTGACCCATCCCTTGTCTGGGCTTCCAAGTGGAACTAGAGTTTCACTCAACCTACATGTGCCTATAGGTCCTCCCTGTGGCAATGACATCTCTCAGCTCAGTAAGGGCCACTTGCAGTAGGAATATGACCCTAACCAGAAGACTCAGTGGATCCTTATCACCTTCATAGAAAGGTACTCACCATCCATGTCAACAGCCAAGCCAACACGCTGTTGCTCCAATACGTAAAAGGCACTTCTGTAGGGCTGGCATGAGTCAGTCAGTCCAAGATAAACTGAAGGAGTTGAATAACATCTATCCAGTGAGTCCTGCAAGACTTCAGGCTCTTTCTCAGCCAGCAGCTCCCTGCTGAGCCTGGAAAAGTGGGAAAAAGTAAAGAATAAGCCAGGGGGAATCAGAAACCACACAGCCCCAGCTAGATTTCATGGCTAACATAAGGAAGAGTTTGAAAAGAAAAAGGACAGATCCATTAATGAGGTAACAAATTATTGCCTTTATGTTGTGATAGACTAGGGCCAGGTAGAAAAGGATGAAAGAGAAAGACACACACACACACACACACACACACACACACACACACACACACACAGTGTGAGCTCAGTCAATTGGCCGGGTGACACACTGATGAGGGAGTCAAAGGACACTCTGTATTTGTGCTCTCAGGACACACAGTGAACAGTGATCATGAAAAGCATGGCCTCAATAATTTTGCATAAAATGTGCTCAAGTTTCCCTGCAGTCACCATGAGAATACAGCTTTTGAGGTATGGTCAACCTTCACTAGGTTAGTAAATGATAAGGGTAGGAAGAAATGGAAACCTAAACATTTACTCTAATGAGAACCAAAAAACAATGCAGTAGGCATAATTCAGACTTGTCTGACAAGACAAAATCATTATTTTCAGCGTGTACTGTTTTCCCTGGACTTGGCATCTCCAGGTGTCAACATCAAATTAACTGTCCACAATTTCTCAGACTCACCTGGGACCTGTTGCCTCTTGGTCCTCCTTTTTCACTTGATCCCACCGATGTCCTGCAAATAAATTCAGATGGGGCCTCTTACATTAGGCAGTTCTTCCTTGCACACAGAAACATTCCTCTGTCCAATCCTAACACAGGGACATCAGTCTTGTCAGTGTGAGAACAGGAGACTTTGAGAGAAATATTCCAGTAGGCCTGAGGTCAAGTCTTGAGAAAACTGGCTTGGGTTCTTTCATGAGCCTTGGGCAAAATTCCCCTGTGTTGGAATGTTATCTTCCCTATGTGCTCTGTCCTAGGTTTATGTACACAAATGAGCAATTTTTTCCCCAATAAATTGTAGGCAAATAGTTCTAACACCTCATAGGAGAGATACTTCAATATTAAGCTTTCTCTCATCAAATACCCAGAATTTGATAGTTTATGAGATTGTGGACACAGAGATTTGATGAAGGGGTGCAATGTACCAGCTCTTGAGTCAAAATGAAACTTGGTTCTACACAGAAGCATCAGCTATTATGGCTTTTGTGGGTGAAAAGTAAGCCATTTATCTAGAAAACATACCAGGAACATGACGGACAGATGAGCTAAAACAAGCGAACTTAGAAGACACAGAAAATGGGGATAAATTCAGTGAAACCTGGGTCACATCTTTCACTGAGAGGTAGACAAGGGTGACACTGGCCTTGGGCAGGTAAAGAACCACACAGACATGCTTTGGGAACAAAACTCATAAGGAATTTTGTAGCTGGCAAGAGACATTTAATTCAGATGAGCTGATCTGACAGACAACTCCTGGGCATGTGCTACATAGTTTGGTGTGAGTTTGCCACACCTGCCTTGAGTTCAATGTCGTGACAGTCAGTCCAGGTTGGCACGGGCATGGCCTGAGACTAGGAAGAGAGCAGAGCTCACTGACCCACCCCATGCCTGTGCTTCAGACTCGACTCCAGAGTGATTGAAATCTACATTGATATATAGGTTCAGCCCACAGTGATGGCAACTCTCAGCCCAACAAGGGGCACAAGGCCCAAAGATTATGGGGTCTACCTGGGCAATGAACTGGAGCTTTATCACCTTCACAATGGAGTACTCACTGCCTATGTCAACAGCCATGCAGACTTGCTGTTCCTCTAATGAGTGAAATGTGCTGCTGTAAGACTGGTATGAGGCCAACCTTTCAGGAGGAATTGAGAGAGTCGAATAACCTTCATCCCAGGACTCCTGGGGGACTTCCTCCTCTTCAGACTCCTGCAGATTCCTGATGAGCCAGGCAGGACAGGGATGATAGAAGATTTAACCAACAGACATTAGACAACAAAACCTCCCAGATGATCTGATGGGAGACAGAATGGAGTGGTCACAGAAACCAAAGGCATTTTTCCTTTAAGAGAAATAAAACTATCCTTCTAAATACAGGGTGGAGGGTGACTGCTCTGGGGACAGAGCAAAAATGGGCAGCATGTGCTCAGTACATTTGCCACAGATGAGCCAACTCAGGGCACCCAGACTCTCCCTGTAAACTACCATCATGACTTGCAGCACAGAGAACTGACACAGGGCTTCAACTACTTTGCATAAATTGGGTTGAATTTTACACGCAGCATTCAAGTCAAGAGAGTTCTTGACCCAATGCAGACACAGATCTTGTGTATTAAGGGCCCCATTTTCCCAATATTTTGATATAATATATTTACTTTTTCAATTTCTTTTCTTGCAAAAATACTAGCCAACATACTACCAACAAATGGGAAGAAAGCATATATACATCTCTCCCTGGATTTAAACACATGGGAGAGAATAGGCAACACCAAGAAATCCCTGTTTGAGGGTCTGGAGTGGACTTCCAGCAAACTCCAACAGACCTGAAGCTGAGGGACCTGACTGTTAGAAGGAAAACTAACACACAGAAAGGGATAGCATCAACATCAACAAAAAAGACATCCACGCCAAAACCCCATCTGTAGGTCACCATCATCAAAGACCAAGGGTAGATAAAACCACAAAGGTGGGGAGAAACCAGAGCACAAAAGCTGAAAATTCCAAAAACCTGACATCCCTTCTCCTCCAAAGGATCGCAGCTCCTCGCCAGCAATGGAACAAAGCAGGATGGAGAATGACTTTGACGAGCTGACAGAAGTAGGCTTCAGAAAGTCGGTAATAACAAACTTCTCTGAGCTAAAGGAGGATGTGCGAACTCATCGCAAGGAAGCTAAAAACCTTGAAAAAAGATTAGACGAATGGCTAACCAGAATGAACAGTGTAGAGAAGACCTTAAATGACCTGATGGAGCTGAAAACCATGGCACGAGAACTACGTGATGCATGCACAAGCTTCAGTAGCCAATTCGATCAAGTGCAAGAAACGGTATCAGTGATTCAAGATCAAATTAGTGAAATGAAGCGAGAAGAGAAGTTTAGAGAAAAAAGAGTAAAAAGAAATGAACAAGCCTCCAATAAATATGGGACTATGTGAAAAGACCAAATCTACGTTTGATTGGTGTACTGAAAGTGATGGGGAGAATGGAACCAAGCTGGGAAACATTCTTCAGGATATTATCCAGGAGGACTTCCCCAACCTAACAAGGAAGGCCAACATTCAAATTCAGGAAACACAGAGAACACCATAAAGATACTCCTCGAGAAGAGCAACCCCGGGACACATAATTGTCAGATTCACCAAGGTTGAAATGAAGGAAAAAATGCTAAGGGCAGCCAGAGAGAAAGGTCGGATTACCCACAAAGGGAAGCCCATCAGACTAGCAGCAGATCTCTTGGCACAAACCCTACAAGCCAGAAGAGAGTGGGAGCAATATTCAACATTCTTTTTTTTTCCATATGTATAGTTTTCCTTTATTATTTTTTGTGTGTATGTATATATATATATATATATATTTTTTTTTTTTTTTTTTAATACTTTAAGTCTTAGGGTACATGTGCACAACGTGCAGCTTAGTTACATATGTATACATGTCCACATTGGTGTGCTTCACCCATTAACTCATCATTTAACATTAGGTATATCTCCTAATGCTACCCCTCCTCCCTCCCCCCACCCTACAACAGGCCCCAGTGTGTGATGTTCCCCTTCCTGTGTCCTTGTGTTCTCATTGTTCAATTCCCACCTGTGAGTAAGAACATGCGGTATTTGGTTTTTTGTCCTTGCAATAGTTTGCTGAGAATGATGGTTTCCAGCTTCATCCATGCCCCTACAAAGGACATGAACTCATCATTTTTTATAGCTGCATAGTATTCCATGGTGTATATGTGCCACATTTTCTTAATCCAGTCTATCATTGCTGGATATTTGGCTTGGTTCCAAGTCTTTGCTATTGTGAATAGTGCCACAATAAACATATGTGTGCATGTGTCTTTACAGCAGCATGATTTATAATCCTTTGGGTATACACCCAGTAATGGGATGGCTGGGTCAAATGGTATTTCTAGTTCTAGATCCCTGAGGAATTGCCACACTGCCTTCCACAATCGTTGAACTAGTTTACAGTCCCACCAACAGTGTAAAAGTGTTCGATTTCTCCACATCCTCTCCAGCACCTTCAACATTCTTAAAGAAAAGAATTTTCAACCAAGAATTTCATATCCAGCCAAACAAAGCTTCATAAGTGAAGGAGAAATAAATCCTTTACAGAGAAGCAAATGCTGAGAGATTTTGTCACCACCAGGCCTGCCCAAAAAGAGCTCCTAAAGGAAGCACTAAACATGGAAAGGAACAACCGGTACCAGCCACTGCAAAAACATGCCAAACTCTAAAGACCATTGAAGCTAGGAAGAAACTGCATCAACTAACGGGTGAAATAACCAGCAAACATCATAACGACAGGATCAAATTCACACATAACAATATTAACCTTAAATGTAAAGGGGCTAAATGCCCCAGTTAAAAAACACAGAATGGCAAATTGGATAAAGAGTCAAGACCCATCGGTGCGCTGTACTCAGAAAACCCATCTCACATGCAGAGACACACATAGGCTCAAAATAAAGGGATGGAGGAAGTTCTACCAAGCAAATGGAAAGCAAAAAAATGCAGGGGTTGCAATCCTAGTCTCTGATAAAACAGACTTTAAACCAACAAATATCAAAAGAGACGAAGAAGGCCACTACATAATGGTAAAGGGATCAATTCAACAAGAAGAGTTAACTATCCTAAATATATATGCACCCTATACAGGAGCACCCAGATTCATAAAGCAAGTCCTGAGAGACCTACAAAGAGATTTAGACTCCACACAATCATCATGGGAGACTTTAACACCCCACTGTCAATATTAGACAGATCAATGAGACAGAAGCTTAACAAGGATATCCAGGACTTGAACTCAGCTCTGCACCAAGCAGACCTAAAAGACATCTACAGAACTCTCCACCCCAAATCAACAGAATATACATTCTTCTCAGCATCACATCACACTTATTCCAAAATTGACCACATAGTTGGAGGTAAAGCACTCGTCAGCAAATGTAAAAGAATGGAAATCACAACAAACTGTCAGACCACAGTGCAATCAAATTAGAACTCAGGATTAAGAAACTCACTGAAAACTGCACAACTACATGGAAACTCAACAACCTGCTCCTGAATGACTACTGGGAAAATAACAAAATGAAGGCAGAAATAAAGATGTTCTTTGAAACCAATGAGAACAAAGACACAACATACCAGAATCTCTGGGACACATTTAAAGCAATGTGTAGAGGGAAAATTATAGCACTAAATGCCCACAAGAGAAAGCAGAAAAGATCTAAAATTGACACCCTAACATCACAATTAAAATAACTAGAGAAGCAAAGCAAACAAATTCAAAAGCTAGCAGAAGACAAGAAGTAACTAAGATCAGAGCAGAACTCAAGGAGATAGAGACACAAAAAACCCTTCAAAATATCAATGAATCCAGGGCTGGTTTTTTGAAAAGATCAACAAGAAAACCCTGTTTGGCTAGTTCACCTGGCTCATCTGATGGCAAGTTCCTATCTTGAGAGGACTATGAAATTAAAACCAACACAAGTGCCACAAATAACATACAACATTGTAAATCAGCACAATTTGTAGCTGGGTGAATGGAAGAAATAGTTCTATTCATCACTTCCTCATTTTCCCTAAATCTACAATCTCCAGATGTCACTACTGAATTAACAGCCAACAATTCCACAACATTACCTGGGAGACACTGGCCCTTTTTCTTCCTCTTCCTCATCATCACTTTCATTTTCTGTAAATAAATTCAGAGAAGCAGGTCACATTAAGCAATTCATACTTCACATATGACCAAATCACTGTCCAGTCATAGCACAAGGACATAACTATTCTCAGTGCAAGAATAAGGATTCTGACAGGAATATTCTAGGGTGCCCTAGATTAACTTTGGTGAGAATTAGATGACCCTGCTTTCCAGACCCACAGGCCAAAATCTCCCTCTACGTGTAGACCATAATGCCATATTCCCTGCCTGAGTCAAAGTTAAACAAAATTTTTTCCCCAAAAAAATCTCCAAAAATTGGTCAAACAATTTTCTAAGAATGTTGCTGCAATACGGACTTATATCACCAGGTAACGTGGACATAAAATGTTTAGAGGCATCTATACATGAAACACGACTGATAGATAAATTTGAACAACTCTTGCTTTAAAAAGAATCTGTGATTTGGGAGGCCAAGACAGGTGAATCATTTGAGGTCATGAGTTCAGGACTACCCTGGCCAATATGGGGAAACCCTGTCTCTACTAAAAATACAAAAATTAGCCAGATGTGATGTTGTGCACCTGTGGTCCCAGCAACTCAGGAGGCTGAGGCAGGAGAATCACTTGAATCTGGGAGGCAGAGGTTGCACCAAGTCAAGATGGTGCCACTGCACTCCAGCCTAGGTGACAGAGCAGGACTCCATCGCAAAAAAAAAAAAAAAAAAAAAATCTACGACGCTACAAACAAACATTGGATCAGCCATTGCATTGACAGGGTGGAGAACCAGGGTCCAGCCTTGCTTTATGGAAATATATCAGCAAAGTAAAGAAGAAAAGTTTCCATCCTGATTTCAGGGTGACTGTGCAGCTAAGCAAGCTGACTTAAAGGAGATCCAGATGAAAGCTGAGAGCAGTGAAGCCTGGGGAACAATGTTTCCAAATACAAAGGCAAGGCTGCCAGCTTCCTTAAACAGGCATAGAAACTCCATGGACATTGTTCATGGACAGATGACTAAATCACAGATGACAAGAGATACTGAATGGAAGTTAGGAGGCCTGACAGATACTGCCTGTGCACCTCCTGCACTGAGGTGACTATGAGATTGTCACACTTGCCTGGGGTCGAGTAACTTGATACTGGGGACTGGCAGACAAAGGCATGACATTAGCTGAGAAGGACAAAAAAACTCCCTGATATCTGTTTAGAAACCCATCACAGTTTTTTATTCAAATGAATTTGTGTTTATAGAGCCTGTCTTCAGAGTTTATCTTCCTCAGCCTAGAGAGAGGTATGAGACACAAGGAAAACAGAGGCTACCTGGGATAATGTGTACAGCATCCTCCCATTCAACATGAGAGGATGAGCCAATGAGAGTTGAGTCGACTTTGTCTTCCTCAAATGTGATTTTGGTTTTCCTATGTGGCTGGTTGGAGTCATAAGGGCCATGGCTATTTGAACAAGTGATGGCACACTCCTCCAGTGAGTCCTCAGGGACTTCCTTTTCTTCAGCCTTCTGCATCTCCCTGATGAGCCAGGTGGGACAGAGATGACAGAAGATTAAACACAGAGGGATTGGACCCCAGGGAGTCCTAGCTGGTTTTGACAGGCGGCATTAAGAGAGTGGTCCCAGAAAGCAAAATGGACGTTCCCATTAAGAGGGAACATGCAATCCTGTTCTGTCTGCAACAGAGCACGGCTGCCATGGGAACCAGAGAGGAAGAGAGCAGCTGCTGTTCATTGCACTGGACAGATAGGAGCTGAGAAGGATGAAGACTCAGCTATCCCTGTACGGTGCAGACATGACACTCGGCACACATAGAGAAACATGACACCTGCCGCACCCTGTGTCTAAGCTGGGTTATATTTCACATACTGTGGCCAAGCGAATGCGGGTTTTTGGCCCATCATACATGCCAGAGAGGGTGTGCCTCCTAGATATTCTTCATATGTTACCATCCATTAATTGTTCCTGAGTATTCAGTGTTACCTGGGGGAAGACGATTTCTGCACTTTCTCAGCCACCTCAACTTGAACATCTTCATCGTCATCGTTATCATTTTCTGTAAATACAGAAGTGTTCATTCAGATATTTCCCACTTCACAGTCTGCAAGCACAGTCAGCCCAATGTGCAACAGGGACATGAACATCTAGGCATGGGTCACCGTTCAACTGAAAACTCTCATGTTTTATCTTTAACAGAATGCCCTGGCATGGTTTCCTGGTCCATCAGGCAATGCATTTCTGATCTGGAGGGCCACCATCAAGATGTGGCCAAATACTGAAAAGATCTTTTGCTTCCCATATCACTGGAGGCTTGTGCAGCCTCTCTCTGGACTTTGGCAGCTGTCTCCCCCATCCTGCCAGATCTGATTCCCAGGAACAGGCTTGGTGTCCTGTCACAGTTTGCATTTCAAACCTAATTCTTTCTCTTAGAAGCAAACTTGTCCCACAGTCCTCTATGCATTAGAAGATTTCAAGCCTCCAAGTGGCTTCTGCTGTGTTATTCAGGGACATTCTATCCATGGGGAGTGCTCCAGTCTGAAGCACTTCCTACCACAAAATGCCCCCACATCAAGTGCCTTCTCCAACACCACACGGAGAGGGGCTTCATCTCATTTTGGAAAGCAGTTGTAAGTGTTCCCACATTTGAAAGCTTCAGACCCTTGCAAGAGACAATTTGTCTGCCATGGAGAGAGAGAAACTCAGGAAGGACAAGTCATTCACTCACCGACAGTTACTAAGAACATTGCCGAAAAGACAGCCTGGGAACCTTCATTCTTAGTCCAGAGCTCTTTTCACTCTAACAAGCCTGCTCCCATCGCAGCCTCCTTCCTGTCCTTTAAAACTAGACAGATGCTGCCTCTTACTCCAAAGACCACCTTCCATCAAGGAAGGAGGGACACTTGCAATACTGTGACCTCCAACCCCATGGGTTTCCCATCTCCGTTCTTACCCAGGAAGTCCTGGTCATGTCATGGCCACATAAGCTTAGTGGAAAAAAACACCATTGATACAACTGTCATTGTGAAAGTATGGAGGTCTGGAGCCTCTCATAAGCCTGGGGTTTTGGGTCATCAGGGCCTATGGCCACCTTACCTGGGCTGAGCTTTTGGACAAGGTGTTGTGCCAGTCTACACCCCTCAGCCAGCTGTTCTTGGAGGTCCTGCCCCTGGGACTTGTCCGGCTCATCCGGAGTGAGGAGGGCCTGGAGATGCTCATTCAATGAGCGGGAGGCATCTCTCCCTTCCCGTAACTTCTCCCTTAACTGGGTCAGCTCTCGTTCCTGAGAGTGAACCAGGACTTTATATTGCCTAAGGTGAGACGGTAGAGAAAATTTAAGAGTGGAAAGGGTTGAGTGATCCGTTCAAATATTGCAACAGAGATTTCTGAGACAATGTCCTCAAGGAGACCTCCAAGCAGAAGGTCAGCACATGTTGAAAGGAATGTCTGTGGCCAAGAGAAAGAATAGAAAATGGTTTACAGGCTTCCTCTGTATCAGAGAGGGCTCCTGCAAGATCCTCGATGATGTTCCATTCATCTTTCCCCTCTGTAAACAAAAGTAGGTGTCTTCCTAATTCCGTTTCAAAAAGACATCCTTTCAGTTCCTCACTCTGGCCATGGACATTTCCATGTGAAAATACACATAGTGCATCTTGCGGCCATTAGATACAAAGCCATGTACAGAAATGAGGCCAGATGCAGATAGGGCGAATTGAAAAGACGAAAGAAGAAAAGAATGACAGGGTCGAGAAGGCAACATTGATTGAGTGAAAGAATGAGAAGCCGCAGTCAGTCAGGAGGTGATTCTCACTAAGGGTAAGTGGGATGGTGATGGCACACCATTTTGAGTATACTGAATGCTGCTGTGTGGTTCACACTCCTTTGGTTAATTTTGTGTTATGTAAATTTCACATCAACAATTACTTGTTTGAAAAAGAGAAAACAAGGCTCTGAGAAACAACTGCAACCCATAAATTTTTATTATCCTTCTTCTCTGTTTGATAAATATTTGTGTGTAGCAAACCTGCCATGGCAATTCCTGCCCTTCCCCTGGCCCAGCTTAGCTCTTACGTCTCCCCACTGAGCTACTGTACTTCAGAGATTTACACACCTGCCCCCCTGTCTGCCCCCATGGGGTCCCCTCACCTGAGCTCCTCAGCTTGCTTCAGCTGCTCTGCAAGCTTCTCCTCCTTGAACTGTAGCTCATTCCTCAGCATAGATTTTAGGAGGTCTTTGCACTCTTCATATTCTGAGAAAAGACAGACACGCCTGCATCAGTGGAAGGCTGGACATGCTGCTGTGGTCATTGCCTACAGGGCAGGAGCCAGGTCCATCCCAAGGACAAAACTCTCCACAGTACCAGGGTCTAGACAGGGATTTCCACGTCTTTACTCTTCAGTCTCCTGACTTTCTGGCATCTGATCCTCCAAAATTTAGAGATGAAGAAAGAGAACCTCAAGGGCACATCAAGGAAGTTGACAAGATGATTCAACCACAACGAAGTGGAGTCAGAATTCACAGTCCCTGAGGTCTGACTCTGAATTCGGGGCCACTTTCCCAAGACTTGCAGCCTCTCCTCTAAAACACTGCACTGGGGCATGAAGTAGTGATTTCTTGTACAGTCAGGAAGGCTCCTAGAACTATGGGACTGATGGTTTCCCTTTTACTGGGAATTTCAAGGACAAGTATGTGAAAGATTTTAAAAATCTTTGATTTTTTAATCATATCTTCAGTTATGATTTTAAGAATCATATCTGAAGCATAAAGTGTGACACATAACACCATAAGGCCATGAAGGAAATCCTATGCCCAAATGCTAATGAAGTTTCTGTTAATTTAGAAACAGCAGAATGAAGAACTAATAGATAGTGTTTACTCTGTGCCAATAAATGTTCTAGGAGATTGACAAGAAATAGCTGATGTAATTCATTGCAGCAATTTACAGAGGTAGGTATTATTGTAGTACCCTCTGAACAGGTGAGGAAACTGAGGGACAGACAAGACAAGCAACTTGGATGGAGCCCAGGAGACAGGCCCATGGTCCCTGCTCTGTACACTGCACTGCTACCTCCACACATTCTCGGGTGCGATCTTTCTTCCTCTTTAGGAACAAGACTCTGTGCCCCAGGAAGCAGGACTTCACTCTCACCAAGCTACTCTCTGCTTTTTATTCTTATTTTTATTTCTCATTATTATTTTTTTTTAACAGTCTTGCCCTGTCACCCAGGCTGGAGTGCAACGGCAAAATCTTGGCTCACTGCAACCTCAGCCTCCTGGGTTCAAAGGATTCTACTGCCTCAGCCTCCTGAGCAGGGGTGATTACAGTCACCTGCCACCATGCCCATCTACTTTTTGTATTTTTAGTGGAGATGGGGTTTCTCCATGTTGCCCAGGCTGGTCTCAAACTCCTGACCTCGTGCTCTACTCGCCTCAGCCTCCCAAAGGGCTGGGATTACAGGAGTGAGCCACCATGCACGGCCCCTACTCCCTGCTCTTGATGCTGTCACTTATAGATAGCACAGGTTCTATTAGGAGCAGACTCCTCTTGAAGCCCCTCAGAGCGGGTACTGGCTACTATCACCAAGTTTCCCTCAGAGTCACTAGAACAGAGCTTTGCGTATTGGGCCTCAACAGAAACTTGAACTGAATAAAAGTTCACTAGTCTCAGACATTTAGAACAACAGACTAGATGTTATTTGTCTGCAGGATCTTATATGGTACAGAGAGGATTCTTGAAAACACGATTGAGCCTCTTGGAGAAAACAGGTCATTCTGTGCCGGTGTCAGAAATCAATAAATGGCAGTTTAATTCTAGTCCCACCCCCACCTGATTGCAAACATGGAAAGTTGCTAAATACTTTGGTACCTCTGTCTTCCAACTTTAACAAAATGTTAAAATACCCATTTCTGTTTTCCTAGAAGTATGGGGAGGATGACATTATTTTTGATGGAGAGAGCACTTAGTTTCTCAGAGAGAAGACAGGACTTCGTTCATCACTTTCATGATGGTGAGCATATAGATCTTACTGTATTTGTTCTGCTGCTTGGCCAGGAAGCAGGCCACTTGAGTTACAAAACATTTCTCTTTGAGGCTTCTGAACTGCTGTTTCTTCTCTGCCAGCTGGGGGCGCAACTTCTCATTGATTTCTAGAATGTTCATCTCTGCCTTCTCGCTGGACAAAGGGCCGGCTGATACCACCATGCTGACGTTTGTGGCAGAAGAGGTGGGGCCAGGGACTGGGGAGAAGAAAGGCAAACACATGATGGGTTAAAAACTGATGAAATGAAATAGGCTTAATCAGGACTGAGGGATGTCACTGGTAGCCTTGTCTACTTATTTGAAGATGTTGTTTCCCTGGTTTCACCCTTGTCATCTCCAGTCTTGATCTCCTTTAAGTCAACTTGTCTTAGCTATGCAGTCACCTTGAAACCAGGACATAAACACTTCTACACTTTTCTTGCTTATAAGTTTCTATAAAGCAAGGCTTGGCCCTGAGATTTTTACCCCATGAGTGGCCAATGTTTCTGTGTAGCACAAAAGATTTCATTTTGCTTTTTTAATTTTTTTCTTTTTTGGTTTTTTGTTTTCTGTTTGAGACGGCGTCTCACTCTGTCACGCAGGCTGCAGTGCAGAGGCACAATCTCAGCTCACTGCCACCTCTGCCTCCCGGGTTCAAGCGATTCTCATCACTCAGCCTGCCAAGCATCTGGGATTACAAGCGCCAAGTAACATGACAGCTAATTTTTGTATTTTTAGTAGAGATGGGGTTTCGCCAACTTGGACAGGCTGGTTTCGAACTCCTGACCTCAGGTGTTCCACCTACCTCCGCCTCCCAAAGTGCTGGGATTAAGATGTGAGCCAGCGCCCCTGGTCAGAGACTTACTTTTTTTTTTTTTTTTTAGATGGAGTCTCGCTCTGTCTCCCAGGCTGGAGTGCAGTGGCACAATCTCGGCTCACTGCAAGATCCGGTTCCTGGGTTCATGCCATTCTCCTGCCTCAGCCTCCCAAGTAGCTGAGACTACAGGCACCCAACACCGCGCCCAGCTAATTTTTTTTTTTTTTTGTATTTTTAGTAAAGATGGGGTTTCACCGTGTTAGCCAGGATGGTCTCAATCTCCTGACCTCGTGATCCACCCGCCTCGGCCTCCCAAAGTGCTGGGATTACATGTGTGAGCCACCGCGCCTGGCCAAGACTTCTTATTAATAGCTAAGACAAGCCAATGAAAAGGAGAGAGAGTCTAGCCTGAGAGGAGTGAACGAGAGTGGGAGGATCGTGTTAGCCGATCCTCCCACCTAAGTCTCCTGAGCAGTTGGGACTATAGGCACGCAGCACCATGACTGCCTAATTTTTTGTATTCTTCGTAAAGATGGGTTTCACCATATACTCCAGGCTGGTCTTCAACTCCTGAACTCAAGTCATCCTCCCACTTGGGCCTTCCAAAGTGCTGTGATTATATGTGTGAGTCACAGCACCTAGTTCCATCCTAGTTTCTGACTAAAACAATAACAATATGTGTATATACAGCCTGTCCTCAGAATTGATCTTCCATAGCCTAGACAGAGGTATGAGACACAAGGAAAATAGAGGCTACCTGGGAGAATGTTTAGAGCATCCTGACATTCATCATGAGAGGATTCTCTGTCTACAACCAGAGATGAGTTGACTTTGTCTTCCTCAAATGTGATTTTGATGTTCTTGTGAGGCTGGTTGGAGTCACAAGGGCCGTGGCTATTTGAACAAGTGATGGCACATTCCTCCAGTGAGTCCTCAGGGACTTTGCTTTCTTCAGCCTTCTGCATCTCCCTGATGAGCCAGGTGGGACAGAGATGACAGAAGATTAAACACAGAGGGATTGGACCCCAAGGAGTCCTAGCTGGTTTTGACAAGCGGCATTAAGAGAGTGGTCCCAGAAAGCAAAATGGAGGTTCCCTTTAAGAGGGAACAGGCAATCCTCTTCTCTCTGCAACAGAGCATGGCTGCCATGGGAGCCAGAGAGGAAGAGAGCAGCTGGTGTTCAGTGCACTGGACAAATAGGAGCTGAGGAGGATGAAGACTCAGCTATCCCTGTATGGTACAGACATGACACTTGGCACACATACAGAAACACGACAGCTGCCACACCCTGTGTCTAAGCTGGGTTGAATTTCACATACTGTGGCCAAGGGAATGCGGGCTTTTGGCCCATCATAGATGCCAGAGAGGGCATGCCTCCTAGACATTTTCATATGTTAACACCCATTACTTGCTCCTGAGTATTCAGTGTCACCTGGGGGAAGATGATTCCAGCACTTTCTCATCCTCCTCAACTTGAACATCTTCATCCTCATCTTCATCATTTTCTATAAATACAAAATGTTCGTTCAGATATTTTCCACTTCACATTCTGCAAGCACAGTCAGCCCAACGTGCACAGAGACATGAACATCTATGTATGGTTCAGCATTGTACTGAAAACTCTCATGTTTTATCTTTCACAAAATGCCCTGGCATGGTTTCCTGGTCCATCAGGCAATGCATTTCTGATGTGGAGGGCCACCATCAAGATGTGGCCAAATACTGAAAAGACCTTTTGCTTCCCATATCACTGGAGGCTTGTGCAGCCTCTCTCTGGACTTTGGCAGCTGTCTCCCCCATCCTGCCACAGATCTGATTCCCAGGAACAGGCTTGGTGTCCTGTCACAGTTCGCATTTCAAACCTCATTCTTTCTCTTAGGAGAGGACAAACTTGTCCCACAGTCCTCTATTCGTCATGAGACTGCACAGGCCCTCCATGTGGCTTCTGCTGTGTTATTCAGGGACATTCTATCCATGGGGAGTGCTCCAGTCTGAAGCACTTCCTACCACCAAATGCCCCCACATCAAGTGCCTTCCCCAACACCACACCGAGAGGGGCTTCATCTCATTTTGAAAAGCATTCGTAAGTGTTCCCATATTTGGATGCTTCAGACCCTTGAAAGAGACAATTTGTCTGCCTTTGCAGATGGAGAGAGAGAAACTCTGGAAAGATAAATCACTCACTCACCGACACTTACTAAGAACATTGCCAAAAAGAAGCCTGGGAACCTTCATTCTTAGCCCAGAGCTCTTTTCACTCCAACAAGCGCCCTCCCATCACAGCCTCCTTCCTGTCCTTTAAAACTAGATAGATGCTGCCTCTTGCTCCAAAGACCACCTTCCATCAAGGAAGGAGGGACACTTGCAATACTGGGACCTCCAAACCCATGGGTTTCCCATCTCCGTTCTTACCCAGGAAGTCCTGGTCATGTCATGGCCACACATGTGTAGTAGAAAAAAACCCCACTGATACAACTGTCATTGTGAAAGTATGGAGGTCTGGAGCCTCTCATAAGCCTGGGGTTTTGGGTCATCAGGGCCTGTGGCCACCTTACCTGGGCTGAGCTTTTGGACAAGGTGCTGTGCCAGTCTACACCCCTCAGCCAGCTGTTCTTGGAGGTCCTGCCCCTGGGACTTGTCCGGCTCATCCGGAGTGAGGAGGGCCTGGAGATGCTCATTCAATGAGCGGGAGGCATCTCTCCCTTCCCGTAACTTCTCCCTTAACTGGGTCAGCTCTCGTTCCTGAGAGTGAACCAGGACTTTATATTGCCTAAGGTGAGACGGTAGAGAAAATTTAAGAGTGGAAAGGGTTGAGTGATCCGTTCAAATATTGCAACAGAGATTTCTGAGACAATGTCCTCAAGGAGACCTCCAAGCAGAAGGTCAGCACATGTTGAAAGGAATGACTGTGGCCAAGAGAAAGAAGAGAAAATGGTTTACAGGCTTCCTCTGTATCAGAGAGGGCTCCTGCAAGATCCTCGATGATGTTCCATTCATCTTTCCCTTCTGTAAACAAAAGTAGGTGTCTTCCTAATTCCGTTTCAAAAAGACATCCTTTCAGTTCCTCACTCTGGCCATGGACATTTCCATGTGAAAATACACATAGTGCATCTTGCGGCCACTAGACACAAAGCCATGTACAGAAATGAGGCCAGATGCAGATGGGGTGAATTGAAAAGATGAAAGAAGAAAAGAATGACAGGGTCGAGAAGGCAACATTGAGTGAAAGAATGAGAAGCCGCAGTCAGTCAGGAGGTGATTCTCACTAAGGGTAAGTGGGGTCGTGATGGCACACCATTTTGAGTATACTGAATGCTGCTGTGTGGTTCACACTCCTTTGGTTAATTTTGTGTTATGTAAATTTCACATCAACAATTACTTGTTTGAAAAAGAGAAAACAAGGCTCTGAGAAACAACTGCAACCCATAAATTTTTATTATCCTTCTTCTCTGTTTGATAAATATTTGTGTGTAGCGAGCCTGCCATGGCAATTCCTGCCCTTCCCCTGGCCCAGCTTAGCTCTTAAGTCTCCCCACCGAGCTGTTGTACTTCAGAGATTTACACACCTGCCCCCCTGCCTGCCCCCATGGGGTCCCCTCACCTGAGCTCCTCAGCTTGCTTCAGCTGCTCTGCAAGCTTCTCCTCCTTGAACTGTAGCTCATTCCTCAGCATAGATTTTATGAGGTCTTTGCACTCTTCATATTCTGAGAAAAGACAGACACGCCTGCATCAGTGGAAGGCTGGACATGCTGCTGTGGTCATTGCCTACAGGGCAGGAGCCAGGTCCATCCCAAGGACAAAACTCTCCACAGTACCAGGGTCTAGACAGGGATTTCCACGTCTTTACTCTTCAGTCTCCTGACTTTCTGGCATCTGATCCTCCAAAATTTAGAGATGAAGAAAGAGAACCTCAAGGGCACATCAAGGAAGTTGACAAGATGATTCAACCACAACGAAGTGGAGTCAGAATTCACAGTCCCTGAGGTCTGACTCTGAATTCGGGGCCACTTTCCCAAGACTTGCAGCCTCTCCTCTAAAACACTGCACTGGGGCATGAAGTAGTGATTTCTTGTACAGTCGGGAAGGCCCCTAGGACTATGGGACTGATGGTTTCCCTTTTACTGGGAATTTCAAGGACAAGTATGTGAAAGATTTTAAAAATCTTTGATTTTTTAATCATATCTTCAGTTATGATTTTAAGAATCATATCTGAAGCATAAAGTGTGACACATAACACCATAAGGCCATGAAGGAAATCCTATGCCCAAATGCTAATGAAGTTTCTGTTAATTTAGAAACAACAGAATGAAGAACTAATAGTGTTTACTCTGTGCCAATAAACGTTCTATGAGATTGACAAGAAATAGCTCATGTAATTCACTGTAGCAATTTACAGAGGTAGGTATTATTGTAGTACCCTCTGAACAGGTGAGGAAACTGAGGGACAGACAAGACAAGCACCTTGGATGGAGCCCAGGAGACAGGCCCACGGTCCCTGCTCTGTACACTGCACTGCTACCTCCACACATTCTCGGGTGCGATCTTTCTTCCTCTTTAGGAACAAGACTCTGTGCCCCAGGAAGCAGGACTTCACTCTCACCAAGCTACTCTCTGCTTTTTATTCTTATTTTTATTTATCATTATTATTTTTTTTTAACAGTCTTGCCCTGTCACCCAGGCTGGAGTGCAATGGCAAAATCTTGGCTCACTGCAACCTCAGCCTCCTGGGTTCAAAGGATTCTACTGCCTCAGCCTCCTGAGCAGGAGTGATTACAGTCACCTGCCACCACGCCCATCTACTTTTTGTATTTTTAGTGGAGATGGGGTTTCTCCATGTTGCCCAGGCTGGTCTCAAACTCCTGACCTCGTGCTCTACTCGCCTCAGCCTCCCAAAGGGCTGGGATTACAGGAGTGAGCCACCATGCACGGCCCCTACTCCCTGCTCTTGATGCTGTCACTTATAGATAGCACAGGTTCTATTAGGAGCAGACTCCTCTTGAAGCCCCTCAGAGCGGGTACTGGCTACTATCACCAAGTTTCCCTCAGAGTCACTAGAACAGAGCTTTGCGTATTGGGCCTCAACAGAAACTTGGACTGAATAAAAGTTCACTAGTCTCAGATATTTAGAACAACAGACTAGATGTTATTTGTCTGCAGGATCTTATGTGGCACAGAGAGGATTCTTGAAAACACGATTGAGCCTCTTGGAGAAAACAGGTCATTCTGTGCCGGTGTCAGAAATCAATAAATGGCAGTTTAACTCTAGTCCCACCCCCACCTGATTGCAAACATGGAAAGTTGCTAAATACTTTGGTACCTCTGTCTTCCAACTTTAACAAAATGTTAAAATACCCATTTCTGTTTTCCTAGAAGTATGGGGAGGATGACATTATTTTTGATGGAGAGAGCACTTAGTTTCTCAGAGAGAAGACAGGACGTTGTTCATCACTTTCGTGATGGTGAGCCTGTAGATCTTACTGTATTTGTTCTGCTGCTTGGCCAGGAAGCCGGCCAGTTGAGTTACAAAACATTTCTCTTTGAGGCTTCTGAACTGCTGTTTCTTCTCTGCCAGCTGGGGGCGCAACTTCTCATTGATTTCTAGAATGTTCATCTCTGCCTTCTCGCTGGACAAAGGGCCGGCTGATACCACCATGCTGACGTTTGTGGCAGAAGAGGTGGGGCCAGGGACTGGGGAGAAGAAAGGCAAACACATGATGGGTTAAAAACTGGTGAAATCAAGTAGGCTTAATCAGGACTGAGGGATGTCACTGGCAGCCTTGTGTACTTATTCGAAGATGATGTTTCCCTGGTTTCACTCTTGTCATCTCCAGTCTTGATCTCCTTTAAGTCAACTTGTCTTAGCTATGCAGTCACCTTTAAAGCAGGACATAAACACTTCTACACTTTTCTTGCTTATACGTTTCTATAAAGCAAGGCTTGGCCCTGAGATTTTTATCCCATGAGTGGCCAATGTTTCTGTGTAGCACAAAAGATTTCATTTTGCTTTTTTAATTTTTTTCTTTTTTGGTTTTTTGTTTTCTGTTTGAGACGGAGTCTCACTCTGTCGCGCAGGCTGCAGTGCAGAGGCACAATCTCAGCTCACTGCCACCTCTGCCTCCCGGGTTCAAGCGATTCTCATCACTCAGCCTGCCAAGCATCTGGGATTACAAGCGCCAAGTAACATGACAGCTAATTTTTGTATTTTTAGTAGAGATGGGGTTTCGCCATCTTGGACAGGCTGGTTTCGATCTCCTGAGCTCAGGTGTTCCGCCCACCTCGGCCTCTCAAAGTGCTGGGATTAAGATGTGAGCCAGCGCCCCTGGTCAGAGACTTTTTTTTTTTTTTTTTTTTTTTTTTTTTGAGATGCAGTCTCGCTCTGTCTCCCAGGCTGGAGTGCAGTGCCACAATCTCGGCTCACTGCAAGATCCGGTTCCTGGGTTCATGCCATTCTCCTGCCTCAGCCTCCTGAGTAGCTGGGACTACAGGTGCCCACCACCGCGCCCAGCTAATTTTTTTTTTTTTTTTGTATTTTTAGTAAAGACGGGGTTTCACCGTGTTAGCCAGGATGGTCTCAATCTCCTGACCTCGTGATCCACCCGCCTCGGCCTCCCAAAGTGCTGGGATTACAGGTGGAACCCACTGTGCCCAGCCAAGACTTATTAATAGCTAAGACAAGCCAATGAAAAAGAGAGTCTAGCCTGACAGAAGTGAATGAGGGTGGGAGGATCATCTCAGCCCATCCTCCCACCTAAGTCTCCTGAGCAGTTGGGACTATAGGCACGCAGCACCATGACTGCCTAATTTTTTGTATTCTTCGTAAAGATGGGTTTCACCATATACTCCAGGCTGGTCTTCAACTCCTGAACTCAAGTCATCCTCCCACTTGGGCCTTCCAAAGTGCTGTGATTATATGTGTGAGTCACAGCACCTAGCTCCATCCTAGTTTCTGACTAAAACAATAACAATATGTGTATATACAGCCTGTCCTCAGAATTGATCTTCCATAGCCTAGACAGAGGTATGAGACACAAGGAAAATAGAGGCTACCTGGGAGAATGTTTAGAGCATCCTGACATTCATCATGAGAGGATTTTCTGTCTACAACCACAGTTGAGTTGACTTTGTCTTCCTCAAATGTGATTTTGATGTTCTTGTGAGGCTGGATGGAGTCACAAGGGCCGTGGCTATTTGAACAAGTGATGGCACATTCCTCCAGTGAGTCCTCAGGGACTTTGCTCTCTTCAGCCTTCTGCACCTCCCTGATGAGCCAGGTGGGACAGAGATGACAGAAGATTAAACACAGAGGGATTGGACCCCAGGGAGTCCTAGCTGGTTTTGACAGGCGGCATTAAGAGAGTGGTCCCAGAAAGCAAAATGGAGGTTCCCTTAAAGAGGGAACAGGCAATCCTCTTCTCTCTGCAACAGAGCATGGCTGCCATGGGAGCCAGAGAGGAAGAGAGCAGCTGGTGTTCAGTGCACTGGACAGATAGGAGCTGAGGAGGATGAAGACTCAGCTATCCCTGTATGGTACAGACATGACACTTGGCACACATAGAGAAACATGACAGCTGTCGCACCCTGTGTCTAAGCTGGGTTGAATTTCACATACTGTGGCCAAGGGAATGCGGGCTTTTGGCCCACCATAGATGCCAGAGAGGGTGTGCCTTCTAGACATTTTCATATGTTACCACCCATTACTTGCTCCTGAGTATTCAGTGTTACCTGGGGGCAGATGATTCCAGTACTTTCTCATCCTCCTCAACTTGAACATCTTCATCCTCATCTTCATCATTTTCTATAAATACAAAATGTTCATTCAGATATGTCCCACTTCACATTCTGCAAGCACAGTCAGCCCAACGTGCACAGAGACATGAACATCTATGTATGGTTCAGCATTGTACTGAAAACTCTCATGTTTTATCCTTCACAAAATGCTCTGGCATGGTTTCCTGGTCCATCAGGCAATGCATTTCTGATGTGGAGGGCCACCATCAAGATGTGGCCAAATACTGAAAAGACCTTTTGCTTCCCATATCACTGAAGGCTTGTGCAGCCTCTCTCTGGACTTTGGCAGCTGTCTCCCCCATCCTGCCACAGATCTGATTCCCAGGAACAGGCTTGGTGTCCTGTCACAGTTCGCATTTCAAACCTCATTCTTTCTCTTAGGAGAGGACAAACTTGTCCCACAGTCCTCTATTCGTCATGAGACTGCACAGGCCCTCCATGTGGCTTCTGCTGTGTTATTCAGGGACATTCTATCCATGGGGAGTGCTCCAGTGTGAAGCACTTCCTACCACCAAATGCCCCCACATCAAGTGCCTTCTCCAACACCACATGGAGAGGGGCTTCATCTCATTTTGAAAAGCATTCGTAAGTGTTCCCATATTTGGATGCTTCAGACCCTTGCAAGAAACAATTTGTCTGCCTTTGCAGATGGAGAGAGAGAAACTCTGGAAAGATAAATCACTCACTCACCGACACTAAGAACATTGCCAAAAAGACAGCCTGGGAACCTTCATTCTTAGCCCAGAGCTCTTTTCACTCCAACAAGCGCCCTCCCATCACAGCCTCCTTCCTGTCCTTTAAAACTAGATAGATGCTGCCTTTTGCTCCAAAGACCACCTTCCATCAAGGAAGGAGGGACACTTGCAATACTGGGACCTCCAAACCCATGGGTTTCCCATTTCTGTTCTTACCCAGGAAGTCCTGATCATGTCATGGCCACATATGTGTAGTAGAAAAAAACCCCACTGATACAACTGTCATCATGAAAGTATGGAGGTCTGGAGCCTCTCATAAGCCTGGGGTTTTGGGTCATCAGGGCCTATGGCCACCTTACCTGGGCTGAGCTTTTGGACAAGTTGCTGTGCCAGTCTACACCCCTCAGCCAGCTGTTCTTGGAGGTCCTGCCCCTGGGACTTGTCCGGCTCATCCGGAGTGAGGAGGGCCTGGAGATGCTCATTCAATGAGCGGGAGGCATCTCTCCCTTCCCGTAACTTCTCCCTTAACTGGGTCAGCTCTCGTTCCTGAGAGTGAACCAGGACTTTATATTGCCTAAGGTGAGACGGTAGAGAAAATTTAACAGTGAAAAGCGTTGAGTGATCCGTTCAAATATTGCAACAGAGATTTCTGAGACAATGTTCTCAAGGAGACCTTCAAGCAGAAGGTCAGCACATGTTGAAAGGAATGTCTGTGGCCAAGAGAAAGAACAGAAAATGGTCTACAGGCTTTCCCTCTATCAGAGAGGGCTCCTGCAAGATCCTCGATGATGTTCCATTCATCTTTCTCTTCTGTAAACAAAGGTAGGTGTCTTCCTAATTCCGTTTCAAAAAGACATCCTTTCAGTTCCTCACTCTGGCCATGGACATTTCCATGTGAAAATACACATAGTGCATCTTGCGGCCACTAGATACAAAGCCATGTACAGAAATGAGGCCAGGTGCAGATGGGGCGAATTGAAAAGATGAAAGAAGAAAAGAATGACAGGGTCAAGAAGGCAACATTGATTGAGTGAAAGAATGAGAAGACGCAGTCAGTCAGAAGGTGATTCTCACTAAGGGTAAGTGGGGTGGCAATAGCACACCATTTTGAGTATACTGAATGCTGCTAGGTGGTTCCCACTCCTTTGGTGAATTTTGTGTTATGTAAATTTCACCTCAACAATTACTTGTTTGAAAAAGAGAAAACAAGGCTCTAAGAAACAACTGCAACACAGAACTTATTATTATCCTTGTTCTCTGATAAATATTTGTGTGTCATGAGCCTGCCATGGCAATTTCTGCCCTTTCCCTGGCCCAGCTTCGTTCTTACTTCTCCCCGCCGAGCTGCTGTACTTCAGAGATCTACACACCTACCCGCCTGCCTCCCCCCATGGGGTCCCCTCACCTGAGCTCCTCAGCTTGTTTCAGCTGCTCTGCAAGCTTCTCCTCCTTGAACTGTCGCTCATTCCTCAGCATAAATTTTATGAGGTCTTTACACTCTTCATACTCTGAGAAAAAGACAGACACGCCTGCCTCAGTGGAAGGCTGGACATGCTGCTGTGGTCACTGCCTACAGGGCAGGAGCCAGGTCCATCCCAAGGACAAAACTCTCCCCAGTACCAGGGTCTAGACAGGGATTTCCACATCTTTACTCTTCAGTCTCCTGACTTTCTGGCATCTGATCCTCCAAAATTTAAAGACGAAGAAAGAGAAACTCAAGAGCACATCAAGGAAGTTGACAAGATGATTCAACCACCACGAAGTGGAGTCAGAACTCACAGCCCCTGAGGTCTGACTCTGAATGCGGGGCCACTTTCCCAAGCCTTGCAGCCTCTCCTCTAAAACACTGCACTGGGGCATGAAGTAGTGATTTCTTGTACAGTCGGGAAGGCCCCTAGGACTATGGGACTGATGGTTTCCCTTTTACTGGGTATTTCAAGGACAAATATGTCAAGGACTTTAAAAATATTTCATTTTTAAATCAATATTCAGATATGGTTTTAAGAATCATATCTGAAGCATAAAGTGTGAGACATAAGAAAATAAGGCCATGAAGGAAATATGCCCAAATACTTTATTAGTATGAGAGGCAGCATTAAGATTTAGATTAGTTGTGTTAATTTAGAAACAGTATAAGATTAGTTTGTGTTAATTTAGAAACATCAGAATGAAGAACTAATAGTGTTTACACTGTGCCAATTAATGTTCAAGGAGATTGACAGGAAATACCTCATGTAATTCATTGCAGCAATTTACAGAGGTAGGTATTATTGTAGTACCCTCTGAACAGATGAGGAAACTGAGGGACAGACAAGACAAGCAACTTGGATGGAGCCCAGGAGACAGGCTGAGGGTCCCTGCTTTGCACACTGCACTGCTGCTTCCACACATTCTCGGGTGTGATCTTTCTTCCTCTTTAGGAACAAGAGCCTGTGCACCAGGAAGCAGGACTTCACTCTCACCAAGGTACTCTCTGCTTTTTATTTTTATTTTTGATTTATTTATCCTTTTGTTTGTTTGTTTTTTGACGAGTCTTGCCCTGTCACCCATGCTGGAGTGCAATAGTGCAATCTTGGCTCACTGCAACACCTGCCTGCTGGGTTCAAAGGCTTCTTCTGCCTCAGCCACCCGATTAGTGGTGATTACAGTTGCCCGCCACGACGCCCATCTACTTTTTGTATTTTTAGTGGAGATGGGGTTTCTCCATGTTGCCCAGGCTAGTCTCAAACTGCTGACCTCGTGCTCTGCCCGCCTCAGCCTCCCAAAGTGCTGAGATTACAGGAGTGAGCCATGCTGCACGGCCCCTACTCCCTGCTCTTGATGCTGTCACTTATAGATAGCACAGGTTCTATTAGGAGCAGACTCCTCTTGAAGCCCCTCAGAGCAGGTACTGGGTACTATCACCAAGTTCCCCTCAGAGTCACTAGAACAGAGCTTTGCCTGTTGGGCCTCAACAGAAACTTGAACTGAATAAAAGTTCACTAGTCCTAGACATTTAGAACAACAGACTAGATGTTATTTGTCTGCAGGATCTTATATGGTACAGAGAGGATTCTTGAAAACACGATTGAGCCTCTTGGAGAAAACAGGTCATTCTGTGCCTGTGTCAGAAATCAGTAACTGTGAGTTTAACTCTAGTCCCACCCCCATCTGACTGCAAACATGGAAAGTTGCTAAATACTTTGGTACCTCTGTCTTCCAACTTTAACAAAATGTTAAAATACCCATTTCTGTTTTCCTAGAAGTACAGGAAGGATGAAATTATTTTTGATGGAGAGAGCATTTAGTGTCTCAGAGAGAAGACAGGACATCATTCATCACTTTCATGATGGTGAGCCTATAGATCTTACTGTATTTCTTCTGTCGGTTGGCCAGGAAGCCGGCCAGTTGAGTTAGAAAACATCTCTCTTTGAGGTTTCTGAACTGCTGTTTGTTCTCTGCCAACTGGGGGCGCAATTTCTCGTTGATTTCTAGAATGTTCATCTCTGCCTTCTCGCTGGACCAAGGGCCGGCTGATACCACCATGCTGACGTTTGTGGCAGAAGAGGTGGAGTCAGGGACTGGGGAGAAGAAACCCAAACATATGATGGGTTAAAAACTGGTGAAATCAAATAGGTTTAATCAGGACTGAGGGATGTCAGTAACTGAAATTCTTAACTTACTGTTGTGAAAAATGTGATCACTCCCCACAGCACTTTAGGATCCTTCACCACAAAAACAAGGTTCGAGGTGCCTCAACTCAGAGCTGAAAGCACTGCTCAGACTCTGATAAGAGTGAGGTAGATTGTGGCCAGCGTGCCAGGTAACCGTCTGCAGTTGCAATAACAGAATTAGAAGGTAGGGGTGTCATGGAATCTTAGGAGCCCTGCATTCCAATTGCCCAGGCTTTGCTGAAACACAGGCACCCTAGTCTCACCTGAGGGTCACCACCAATGGGGATCATTCCTTCAGCATTCACTCTCAGTATTCGTGTACCCTTGTGACAATGCCACAGACCCGTGTCTTTCCCAATACATCTAAGCATATTCCTCACTGTTTATCTCTTGTCTGTACAACATCATCAAGGCAGAAACAGTTTCCCAACAGGTTATATTTTCTTAATGGTAGTCATGAAGTCATAAATAAAAAAATGGAATCATTTAGTATGTTCTCTTGTTTTGACTTTTTTTTTTTTTTTTTTTGAGACAGAGTCTCACTCTGTCGCCCAGGCTGGAGTGCAGTGACGCGATCTAGGCTCACTGCAAGCTCTGCCTCCCAGGTTCACGCTATTCTCCTGCCTCAGACTCCCAAGTAGCTGGGAATACAGGCGCCCGCCACCACGCCCGGCTAATTTTTCATTTTTTTTTTTTTGTATTTTTAGTAGAGACGGGGTTTCACTGTGTTAGCCAGGATGGTCTCGATCTCCTGACCTCGTGATCTGCCGCCTCGGCCTCCAAAAGTGCTGGGATTACAGGCGTGAGCCACCGCACACGGCCGACTTCTCTTTACTCAGGTGGGAATATATGCCACTAATTTGTTTGATTGTGTTTTTCCCTTGTTTCATTTTGTTTTGGCCAAGTAATATCCTATTGATTGTATGATTATCACACAATTTGATATCCATTTTTCTGATGGGAGACAGGTTTACTTGATAACTACTGTGCATAAGTAACTATGAATATTCTCATACAATTATTTCTGTGAAGATACATACTTATTTTCCTGGGTATCTATAGCTAGGGATGGAGTTGCTTGGTGAATGGGTAGAAAATGTTGGACAGAGTTTTGCAAAGTATTTGTATTGTTTTACATTTCTATGAAAGATGTAGGCCATTTCCAGTTGCTCTACATTCCCACACACTTAATATTTTCAGTCTTTTAAACTATGCCAGGTGTGTAGTGATATCCTAAAATTTGGTTTTCTCATGCCTAATGTTCATTTAGATATCTTCTTATGGAAAATATCTTCTCAAATTTTTATATTCATTGATATACTGGGCTGTTTGTCAATTTCTTTGTAATAGGAGTTCTTTATATATTTTGAATGAGTCCATTTATACATACATATTTTTTGCTGTATTATATAGCAAATAATTATTCCTGGTCTAGAGATAGCGTTTAAGTTGTTAAACAACAACATAATAAGGAGAAGCTTTTTAAAAATGAAGTGCAATTCGCTTGATTTCTTATTGTGGTGAGTGCTACAGTATCTAGTCTAAGAAATATTTTCCTGTGTCAAGTTCATGAAACTATTTCCTATTTTTCCTTTACAAGGTTTCTAATTTTAACTTTCACATCTTAAGTTAATTTCAATATATGATGGAGAGTGGTTAATATTAACTGTTTAAAACAACAAATATTATTTCACTCAAAATCGTTTTACTTAAAAGTCTTTCATTTCCCCAATGAAGGGCATTGGTGTCTTTGTTTTTAAAACATTTAGAAGCGGCGGTGCGAGCATGTTCTCACTCATGGGTGGGAATTGAACAATGAGAACACTTGGACACAGGGCGGGGAACATCACACACCAGGGCCTGTCATGGGGTGAGGGCTGGGGGAGGGATAGCATTAGGATATATACCTAGTGTAAATGACGAGTTAATGGGTGCAGCAAACCAACATGGCACACGTGTGTATATGTATATAATATATATACACGTGTATATGTATTATTTATATATACACATGTATATATATATATACACACACATATATACATGTATACACGTATATATAAAATATATATACACACACGAATATATATTATATACGTGTATATACATACGTGTATATATATGTGTATATACATAATATACAATATATATAACACGTGTATATATATATATATTATATTTTTTTTTTCTTTTTTAAGTGGCGGAGCGAGGGCTACTGCACAGCTAGCAGAGTCGTGGCGAGGAGGACAGCACCTGCATCGAGCTCTCCGCCTCCCCCACCTGCCAGCCCAGGCGGCCCCAGCAGCAGCGACCAGAGGAGCCCCTGCAGCAACGCAAAGGCCAGGTGGACACCTCCATCTACAGCCTCGTGGCGGACGGGACCTGTTAGGACACGGCCATTGTGGGCAACAAGGACCCACCTTCCATCTGTGCCACCGTCCCAGGGAAAACCTTCCTCAACATCACGCCAGCTGAGGTTGGTGCCCTGGTTGGCAAAGACTGGTCAAGCTTTGTCATGAATGGGCTGACACTGGGGGGCCAGAAATATACTGTGGTCCTGGACTCACTGCTGCAGGATGGGGAATTGACCACGGATCTTTGTATGAAGAGCATCAGTGGAGCCCCCACCTTCAACGTCATTGTCACCATGACTGCCAAGACGCTAGGCCTGCTGATGGGCAAAGAAGGTATCCATGGCAATTTCATCAACAAGTAATGTTATGAAATGGCCTCCCACCTTCAGCGTTCCCAGTACTGACCTCCTTTGTTCCTTCCACTCCACCGCTCCCCACAGCTTTGCCCGCCTTTCCTTCACATACACACACCATTTTAATTTCAGGAGTCATTACCCCACACACCTTATTGCTGCCAAAACCACATGGGCTGGGGGCCAGGGATAGATGGACAGACACCTTCCCCCACCCATACCCCTCCTGTGTGTGGCTGGAAAACTTTTTTGTTTTGATGGATTTTTTATGAATAAAAAAGATTCTACTAAAAAAAATCAATAACTGTACATATGTGGGCATATTGTTTGAATCTGTATTCTTTTACTTTGATATATTTATGAATACTTACACCATTACTACTGTTTTTAAATTACTGTAGCTTTAAAATCAGGTTTGAAATCTAGCAGAGCAAGTCCTCCAACTTATTGCTTCTTCAAGACCGACTTGCTTATTCTAGGTTCTTTGATTTTCAAATACATTTTGAAACTAGCTTTCAAATTTCTCTAAAATCTCCTACTAGAAATATTAATCAGAATTGTGTTGATGTAATATGCTAACAAAATTGAGTCTTCCAATCAATGAACATGATATATATTTATTTAGCCTTCTTTAATTTTTCTCACCAATTGCTTTTAGGGGCCTCGTACCTGCTTCATTGCATGTGTTGTTAAGCATGTAATGATTCTGGCTATTAATCTCTATTATGTTTTATTGAATTTCATTTTCTAGCTGCTAATTGCTAGTATGGAGAAATTAAGATGATGAAATCAACTTTATAAAGGCATAATTTCGGTACAACAGACTGCACCACTTTAAAATGTGTAATTCAATGCACGTTTACAAATGGATGCACTAACGGAACTACTGCCACAACCAAGATAGAGGAAATTCCCTATGCCCCAAAGTTTCTTGTACCCCTTTGCAGTTCATCAGCCTTTCAACCCTCAGCCCCAAGGAGCCACTGTCACTTCAGGTCCGTTTGCATTTTTAACCATTTTCTACAAATGAAATGATACCTGTGTTCTTTTGTGTCTGCCTTCTTTCATGCATCAATGTAATTTTAAAATCCATCTGTAATGTCTTGTAAAGACTGAGTAGTATTCCTTCATGTGGCTATACCATGTATGTTTGTACTTTCACTTATTATTGGACATTTCTATCATTCCGCGTTTGGGCTATTATGAAGAAACTATCATGAGCATCCATACGTAGCAGGCCAGGTCTCACTAACACAGGCCTCCCTAACAACTGTTTCAGTAGCGACTGAGTGGTTCAATTAAATATTAAGAGGAAAAAAAAAAAGAAGCCAGTGCCCTTATACAAAGGCTGGAATGTAACAAAAGCCCACCAAGAGTTTTGCCTAGGTTTTTCCTGGGCCTTAAAGCATGACGAAATAACGAAGGCATTCTTAACAGGAGCCATTTAGTATTAAACGAGTTTTACTGGGGGTCTGAAGAAACTCCCCAGGCCTCCACAAACAAGTTTATTGGAGATCTGAAGGGACTCTCCAAACCTCTGTGATTTAGCAGGAGACAAGATAAGGGCCCCCAGCACCTAGACCCACTTAGATTAAGTGAATTTAACTGAGGTTCCAGAGGAAGGTCTTTAGGACTCAGACTTAGTTATAGATTAAAAGAAGTTAATCACTTATGTATTTAGATGAATGCACACTTCCACATACACATATAGCTTAGAAGGTACATTAGCTCAGGAAAACTTTCCAATTTTGAGTTGGTCTGGTGATAATTTCCAGGCCGTTTCCCTGTAACCAGTTGCAGAAGTCAAAACTCTCTTCCTCCCCAGTTCATCTGTGTCTCGTTACTGAGCCACGAGAAATAGCAGCCCGCCCCTCAGGTTGGTCTGGAAACACACATACAGATCATTGTGCAGACACAGTGTGTAAATTCCTAGGAATGGAATGACTGTCTATCTGATTTGTGTTATGTTTAACCTTTAAGAAACTGTTAGATTTTCAAAGGAGCAATACCATTTTTCATTCCTACAAGTATAAGACTTCCAAGTGCTTTATATCCTCACCAACATGTGCTATTTTCAGCCTTTTTAATTTTAGCCATTCTTATGGATATGTACTGGTATCTCATTGTTGCACTGATTGATCTCCCTGATGACTAAACAGTGGAGCATCTTTTCCTATGCTAATTGACCATTCATGTATCTTCTTTTCTGAAGTATCTATTCAAGTCTTTTGAGAAATTGTTTCATTGTGCTGTTTATCTTATCAGACTGCAATATATATATGTGTGTGTGTGTGTATATATATATATATATATATATATATATATATATATATATATATTCCCTATTTGGAGATGATAATCTTCAAAACGGTGAATATATATATATACACACACACACACACACACACGTTTGTGTGTGTGTGTGTGGGTGTGTATACATATATATATGTCCTAAGAATCAATTAGACATACATGTGAGTATCTATTTCTGGATTCTCTCTTCTCTTCCACTGATATATATTCTATTTTTTTTTCAACAAAACACATAATCTTGATTTTCATAGCTGTATGTAGAGTAATTCTGGAAATAGGTAGTGAATTCATTCACCATTATTCTTTTATAATATTGCTATTTTATTATTCTTGATCATTGACATTACCATATAAATGGTAGAATCAGCTTGAAAATTTCTACCAAAATGCCGCTTGGAATTTTTATTAGAATTGCATTGGATCTGGAGATCAATTTACGAAGAACTGACTCTTTAAACATAACAACTCTTCTGATCCATGACAAGGTTTATCTCCCCACTAATTTAGTTCTTTCATAATTTCTCAAAGCAATTTTTTGTAGTTTTTGGTGTACTGGCCTTACATAAATTTTGTTGACTTTCCTTTTTTTTTTTTTTTTTTTTTTTTGAGACAGAGTCTTGCTCTGTTACCCAGGCTGGAGTGCAGTGATGCGATCTCGGCTCACTGTAACCTCTGCCTCCCAGGTTCAAGTGATCCTCCTGCCTCAGCCTCCCAAGTAGCTGGACTACAGGCACATGCCACCACGCCTAGCTAATTTTTTGTATTTTTAGTAGAGATGGGGTTTCACTGTGTTAGGCGTGATGGTCTCCATCTCCTGACCTCATGATCTGCCCACCTCGGCTTCCCAAAGTGCTGAGATTACAAGTGTGAGCCATGGTGCCCAGTCTGTTGAATTTATTTATAAGCACAACATGTATTTAGATGTTACTTTAAATGAAATTGTATTCTTATTTCATTTTCCAAATGCTCATTGCTAATATACAGAAATACAAAAGACCACTTACATTGAGAGCTTACATTCTGCAACACTACCAAACTCACTGATTAGTTCTGGTAGATTTTTGTAGATTTCTAGCATTGTTAACAAACACAGTCATTATCTGTGAATAAAGACAGCTTCAATTCTTTCAATACTTTATTAATTTTTCTTACTTTATTGCATTGACTTAGAGCTCTAGTATAATGCTGAATTAAAAGAGTAACAACAGGTATTCTACTTTTTTCTCTGATTTAATAGAAAAGCATTCAATCTTATGCCATTTAATATAATGTTACTTGTGGGTTCTTCAAATCTGCCCTTAATGGGGTTGGAAGTGTTGCCTTCTGTTCTCATCATGCTGAGCATTTTCTGGGGTTTGTTTTTATAAATCATGAAAAAAGTTTTCAATTTTGCCAAATGCTTTTACTGTGTATGACAAGGTAATCATACGGTTTTTCTCTTTTGCCCTGATAATATATAAAATGATATTTTTTAAATATAAAAAAGAGGCCGGGCATGGTGGCTCACGCCTGTAATCCCAGCACTTTGGGAGGCTGAGGCGGGCGGATCACACTTGTGGCAGCATTGAAGGCTTCACTCTTCCCCAAGGGATCCAATCTCCCCCCAGTCAAGAAGCTCCAGGTATCTGAACTGGATACCAGGTCATAAATTTCCACTATGGTGACTCCAACAGGTCTCTGTCCTCAGAACTAGAGCTTTTCTAATTATTACATAAGTTGACTTCTTAGTAGATTTCCCATCCATTACATCCCAGACACCTCACAATGATTAGTAACCACCACATGTCCCTGCCTCTCAAGGAAATCCCTCCCGCCTTGTCTCTAGACAGCCAAGTCCCACGGCCTGTCCTCTGAGACTCTTCCAGAATCCTGTTGTTCTGACAGCAGGGAGGGCAAATCCATGCAGCATCTCCCGCCATGACCTCCAGCCTGTAGAGGAGAGGCGCCACAGGACCTTTACAGGCACGCCGCTGTTCCCCTCACCCATGCATTTCTTAATGCCTTGGTGAGGAGAATGCCTCTGGGTCTTCCTTGGTGGGAGCTAAAGGAACAAAGGTAAATAATGCTATGGGACCCACTGAGAATTGGGGCTGTGGAAGAGTGGCCACTGAAGTAATAGACAGATGCAGCTATTGCCAGATACTCAGTGCCAGAGCAGGGAGGGAGAGGGAAGAAATACGGACCTCACCTTCCTCTCACTTCCAGGCTCCATCGGGTGCCCACATTGCTAAACCTAACTAGAAGTGTGCACACAGGGGAGCCAGGGATGCATTCTAGAAGGGACAAGCCCCAAGTGGCGTAAGACAGGATGGAAATGAGTGGAAAGTGGATCTGTGGGAAGGAGGAGGGGATGTTATGGGGAAACAAAAGGAGAATACTAGCTAATAACGCTAGGTGACACTAATATCCCCAAGTCTGTGCTCATATTCAGAAAAGAAAGCTCAGCATAAAGCACTCAACCAGGAGTCAAGATATTGTTATTTTCAACTGTTGTTCCAACAGTTGTATTATAAAGGGCCAGTTTATTTCATGCCTTTCTAATTTGACATAAAGTGCTACACGGCATTGGGGCTGGTACAGCCTCGCTCAATTATGTTTTGAAGAGTACACAGAGACTGCCAGGCTGAGGGACGATGCAAGAGAATAGAAGAGATGCTCACAGAGAACCACAGACCACACGGCCCTAGAGTCAGGGGCAGCACCAGCCACTGTCAGCTGCTCATTTGTCCAGACAGAGCCCACAAGCCTCAGCCATGCTTTGCTTCTGCAAGATGCTTCTTCACCTTTTCAATAAACCTGCCTGAATTAAAGCTGATGGGAGTTTATTTCTCCTTCATCATAAAAGAAATTCTTCACCACAACAATCTCCAATGAATTGTGGGCACAGAAGGCAGACCCATCCCTGCTTCTCTTCCACTATCTCCCCTGTAGGCTGAAAAGGAGGAGGTACTGAATTACCTCCAAATGTTCCTCTGGCTCTGATATTCTGTGACTCTGGTTTCTTTTTGGCTACTTTGTTTTTGGAAGCATGTATCCTAAGGCATCCAGTTGAAAAACCTTTGTCTACTGTGTCCAGACATTCCTGGTGGTATTTCAGATAAGACACTCTTGGGTTGCTGCACTCACAAGCACTGAAACAATTCTATGACCATCTGTTTCATGGCCACCTGTTTGCTCATTTTCTATGTACATAAAGGGAGGGGACAGACAGCAAATTTGCATATTATAAATTGTATCATCTTAAAAAGGAAACAAGGCAATATTTTGCAATAAAACCTTAAGATACATTAAATTTAAGCCTAATGCAATAAAGAATGCCCATAAAATTATTATCTAAAGAATGTTTAGAAAATTGTTGAACAAGGGACATCATCATTTAAAGTGATATGAAGAAAACTCAGCTAAGCATATGGGCTAGATTAGAGAGAAAAATAAAGGACACATCTCTGCCCTGGAAAAACTACTGGTAGCATCTTTCAGAAAGCTCTCTGTGTTTGAGTACGCACCTTGATCCATAGGCTCACATTTGATCCCAACTGGCAGCTGCTTCTTGGCATTAACTTTGGATTCCCAACCAGTAAATCTTAGCAAGATCTGAGTTTCTCCAGGTATGATATTATTTTGTTTGACCATCCTTATCTTCAAGGGCTACCAAGAAGAAACAAATAATTTATTTACCTCCCCAGAGGAAAAGGTTTTACCAATGAGACACTTTCTTACCATGACCCCAGGGCCCCCATGCCCTGTTCACTTGAGTGCCCTGTGTGGCCTGAGAGAAGCTCATACTGGTCACAGGATTCTTTATATGATTAAACTCCTTCCTGAATCCCAACTTCATGGTGGTGGTGATGACAGGTATCCCATGCTCATGTCCCTGAAGTCATCAGCCTGTCTCCAGTTAGAAAAAATTACATGTATATAGAGAGGCCTCTTTGGAAGTAGCAAAAGCTTTCTCACCTTCATACATTAATGGTTGGAATGTACAATAGTATAAACACTTTGGGAAAAAATGTCTGGCATATTCTTACAGAACTAAACAACTACCTATTCTATGACTCAGTAATTCCTAAGCATTTATCCAAGAGAAATTAAAACATATGTGCAGAAAATGATATATACAAGAATGTCCATAGCAGTTTTATTCGTAATAGGAAAAACTGGAAACATTCAAATATCTATCAATACAAGAATGGATACATTCTTGTATTCAAATATCTATCAATATACATTCAAATATACATTCAAATATCTATCAATACAAGAATGTGATACATTCATTCCATGGAATGGCTAAAGGAACAAACTTTTGACACACAAAACAACATGGATGAATCTCAAAAACATTTTGAGTGCAATAGGAGCCATACGCAAAAGAGTGTGAGAAAAATGATAAATAATAATGGTTTCAAGAAATGCAGAGCAGAGAGCCCAGAGGCAAAGACCCACAGGACAGAGGGTCAGTCCCAGGCTGTGGATCCTAACTAAGAAACTCCTGCTGGATTTTGCCCAGCTCCATTTCCAAACTATTTTGGGTTAGTGACTTCTTTATCCCCTCCATGTTCCCTCATTTTGAACTAGAATCACTGTAGTTGTTATTCTATGTCTGTCCCATCATTTCACATTAGGGACAGATAAGCTGTTTGTTCAGTTTCACAGGTCGACAGAGGTAAGGGAATTATGTCAAGGATCTGCACTTAATGGACACTCTCGGAAGCCTCATTCACACCTGGTGTGGATGTTTTAGATGGGATTTTAAACTTTTGATCTGATGTGGTCTACATGACATTTTTCATGTTGAACTAATGCTTTAATGACATGAAATCTGGAAACCTCAGGGGAGAGGGTAAATGCACTTTGCAGATGGGGGAATGTGCGTGTCCTACTGTGGTAGATGGAATTTCTGAAATGGTCCCCAAACATGCCACACCCTTGTCTCTAAAGCCTCTTAACGTGATGAGACACCATTCCTGTGACTATGTTGTTATATGCCAGTTATATGACTTTAAGATGGTGAGGTTACCGCATGAACTGGATCTAATCACATCACTCCACACATGACAGAGCTTTGTGTGGCTGGTTGGAGAAGATGAAGTCAGAGAAGGTGGGAGCTTGAGAAGGACTCCATAAGTTGTTATTGGTTGAAAGATGAAACAGACAGGTAAGGAGGAAAGCACGTGGCCTCTGGAGTCAGAGTAGAGTGTCTCCCTGCTGACAGCCAGCACAGAAAAAGGGCCCTCAGTCCCCCACAAACAAGAATAGGAACTCTTTCATTATCTGTAGTGAACCTGGAAAAATAGCTTGAGCTCTAGGAAAAAAACATAGCCAGCCCATTCCCGGATTTTAGTCTCACATGACTCTGATCAGAGAACCCGGCCGCTTCATTCCAGACTTCTGTGGTTTCAAACCACTGGTTTGTGGTAATGTGATAATAGGCAGCGAGAGAAAACTAGTACAGGTGCCTGTCTCTCCTCTTGAATTTCAATTTCAGATAAATGTATGCTAACCCTCTAAGAGAAAAAAATCAATCAATCGACCAATCAATGAAAGAACTACAGTAAAAATATTGCCCTCACCTTTATGTGGCTGTTCCAGAGCCCTTGCCACCTGAAGAAGACAATGAGGGGTATTTCAGGCACTTGAGGAGTGTGGCTTTACTGTTATCAATCACATTTCTGAAAGAATAAAAATGGTTCAGTGAAGGGATGGGTTGCCCCTCCACACCTGTGGGCGTTTCTCGTTAGGTGGAAGGAGAGACTTGGAAAAGAAAGAGACACAGAGACAAAGTACAGAGAAAGAAAAATGGGCCCAGGGGACCGTATGCTGAACGCATACGGAGGACCCATGCCGGAGGACCCATGCCGGCACTGGCCTCTGAGTTCCCTTAGTATTTATTGATCATTATCGGGCGTTTCCGGAGAGGGGGATGTGGCAGGACAATAGGATAATAGTGGAGAGAAGATCAGCAGGTAAACACGTGAACAAATGTCTCTGCATCATAAACAAGGTAAAGAAAAAAGTGCTGTGCTTTTGATGTGCATATACATAAACATCTCAATGCCTTAAAGAGCAGTATTGCTGCCAGCATGTCCCACCTCCAGTCCTAAGGCGGTTTTCTCCTATCTCAGTAGATGGAATATACAATCGGGCTTTACACCGAGACATTCCATTGCCCAGGGATGAGCAGGAGACAGACGCCTTCCTCTTATCTCAACTGCAAAGAGGCCTTCCTTCCTCTTTTACTAATCCTCCTCAGCACAGACCCTTTACGGGTGTCGGGCTGGGGGACAGTCAGGTCTTTCCCTTCCCATGAGGCTGTATTTCAGACTATCACATGGGGAGAAACCTTGGACAATACCTGGCTTTCCTAGGCAGAGGTCCCTGCAGTCTTCCGCAGTGTAGTGTCTCTGGGTACTTGAGATTAGGGAGTGGTGATGACTCTTAACAAGCATGCTGCCTTCAAGCATTTGTTTAACAAAGCACACCCTGAACAGCCCTTAATCCATTTAACCCTGAGTTGACACAGCCCATGTCTTAGGGAGCACAGGGTTGGGGGTAGGGTTACAGATTAACAGCGTCTCAAGGCAAAAGAATTTTTCTTAGTACAGAACAAAATGGAGTCTCTTATGTCTACTTCTTCCTACACAGACACAGTAACAATCTGATCTCTCTTTCTTTTCCCCACAGTTCAGGTCAGGCCGTGGCTCATATCTGTAATCCTAGCACTTTGAGAGGCCAAGCAGGTGGATCACTTGAGGTCAAGAGTTAGAGACCAACCTGGCCAACATGAAGAAACCCTGTCTCTACCAAAAATACAAACATTAGCCAGGTGTGGTAGCAGGCGCCTGTAATCCCAGCTATTCAGGAGGCCGAGGCAGGAGAATCACTTGAACTCAGGAGGTGGAGGTTGCAGTGAGCTGAGATGGCGCCGTTGCATTCGAGCCCAAGGAAAAGAGAAATAACTCCATCTCCAAAAAAAGAGATAAAATAAAATAAAGACGGTTCACTACTTAACTCCAAATATTATTATGTGAAAATGTATCATCTCAATTTTAATAGCAGATTTTAAAAAATTCCTTTTCTTGTGCTCACCAGACAAGGTTTGGTAACAAATACCAGTCACCAGCACAGAAGAACCAATTCAAGGAGAGCCATAAACAGGACTACTATTATGTTCCCCCAAAAACCATCCCTAGAATGCAATCTCTTCTCTACTTGTCACAAAACGAACACAATAGTCCACTACATAAAGTCCCAAACACAGGAAAATGTAAATATAATGAAGTCTGCTTTCCAAATGTTTATTCTATTCAGACCCAGTCATGGGGACCAGGGATTAGGAAATGACTACAAACAGGTTCAAGGGAATTTGGGAAGTGACAAAATGTGCTGAAGTAGAACTCTGCTGATGGCTGCACAATTCGATAAATCAACTTACATCATTGAGTTGTACATTAACAATGGGGGACTTTTATAACAAGTAATTCTTTAAACAAACTTTTGGGTTTCTATTTCAACATGGAAAGAGCTAGGCAGTCATCACTTGTCCTCACAGCTAGAAAAAAGCTGAACAAACTGAAAGTCAACCCTTCTAGGGTGGATCAGAGAATTGAGGTCACAGGGAAAACTGCCACCTTAAAAATGAGAAACACAGGCTAACACATAAGGAGTCACAGGTCACAGGGAAGAGAAGCTACTGGGGACAGCAAGTGGGAGGAGCACTTAAATGATATTGACAGATTACTAGAAGCTGAGGGTAGCCTGGCTAGAACATTAAAAACTCCTTGAAGACCAGACTAAGGGGGAATCTTACACATTTCCAAGTTTTACTACAATGATCTCAACCAGGTTCTCATGATGAAGTTCAGAAAAACTCCCTGAGGTTTGGCACTACCAACTTCAGGACTTACATTAAGCTACAGTAACCCAAATAGTGTGAAGTTGGTGAAAAGAGAAAACACACACAAATAGATGCATGGAAAAGAATACGGAGCCCAGAAGCAGGCCTACATACAGTCCACTGATCTTCCATGGAGCTTTAGAGACAATTTAAAACAGCAAAGATAGCCTTTCCAACTAGTGGTGCTAGAACAGCTGGACAACCACATGCAAAAAACTAAATAAATCCAGGTATGCATGTTATATCCTTTATAAAATAAATCTTACACGTAAATGTAAGTGCAAAACCATAAGAATCCTAGGAGATAACATAGGAGAAAATCTCGGGGATCCTGGGTTCAATGATGGCTTCTTAAATACAAAACCAAAAGCACAATCTACTAATGAAAAAAAATTAAGTTGAGCCTCATTAAAATTAAAAACTTCTGTTCTGTGAAAGACACTGTTAAGAGAATGGAAAAAGCAAGTCACAGACTGGGAGAAAATACTTACAAAATAATCTGATGGAAAAACTGCTGTCCAAAATATATGAAGAATTCTGAGAACTAAACAACACAAAGCAAAAAAAAAAAAAAAAAAAAAAAAAAGGTGAAAGATCTGAACACCTCATTAATAAGATATACAGATGGCAAATAAGCATATGAGAAAGATGCTCAAAATCATTTGTGAGGGAATTGCACATTAAAACAACGAGATATCACCGTAAACCTATCAGAATGGCTAAAACACAAAACGGTGAACACACCAAATGCTGTCAAAGATCAGGAACAACCAGAACTCTCCATAGCTAGTGGAAATCAAAAGTGTAGTCACTTTGGAAAACTTAAGTTCATTCAAAATCCTGCACGTAAGTACTTACAGCAATTTTATCATAATTGTCAAAACTTGGAAGTACCCAAGACGTCTTTCACCAAGTGAATGAATAAACAAACTGTGTTGTAGCCATACAATGAAATCTGATTCAGTGATTTTACAAAACAAGCTATCAAGTCATGAAAAGGCGTGGAGGAACTTAAAGTACATAATGCTAGAAAGAAGCCAGTCTGGAAACCTACATACTGTAATTCCAACTCTAGGACATTCTTGGAAAGTCAAAAAGATAGAAGTAGTAAAACGATGAGTGGTTGTCAGGGGTGGAGGAGAGGAGGAGGCATGAAATGGTGAAGCACAGGGAATTTTCAGCAGTGAAACTATTTTGCATGATGCTGTATTGAGGATTTAGGACATTACGTAATTGCCAAAACCCACAATCTGTGAAACTCAAAGAATGAACTCTAACGTAAACTATGGACTTTAGTTGATAATGATGTATCAACAGTGGTTCATCAATTGTAACGAATGGACCACACTAATACAATATACTAATAGGGGAAATTGTGTGCTGGAGGACAGGGGAGCCTAGGAGAACTCTCTGTACTATCTACTCCATTTTTCTGTAAACCTAGAACTGTTCTAAAAAATAACATCTATTACTTTTTTTTAATTAGGATGCAGCAGCCCCTTACCAAGGTTTTGGTGGCATCCTGTTATTGTTTGGTTAGTACTTGGCATTGAAGTGCACCAACCTGGAGTCAGAGCAGTTGGAGATTTCAACGCCTATGCCATTTACCTCTAACCCTGGGGTGCCCCCGGAACACAGCTAGCAGATCAGTTAGGCAGAAGCAGCCTCAGTCATCTAGACAGTGCAGGGTTCTGGTAAGGACAGGTGCAAACCATCTAGGTGGGCAGAACTTGGTGATGACTAGGAACCACTGAGACTCAGCAGCTGCCCCAGTGGCACCCACAAATCAGAGGAGGAGGAGGCTGGGAGGACCTAAGGGCTACAGGATGAGCTCCCTGCCTACAAGACAGAAGCAGCTCCAGAGATTTTGATAAGTAATGTAGATTTCAGTGCAGTGTGGTCTATTTAAAATAGTAGAACAAAAAGGAAAGAAAAAGAGAGAGCATGAGAGAGAGAGAAAGAAAAAGAAAAGAAGAAAGGAAAGAATGGAGGGAGGGAGGGAAGGAGGGAGGAAGGGAGGGAGGAAGAAAAGAAGGGAGGGAGGGAGGAAGGCAGGGAGGGAGGGAGGAAGGAAGGGAGGGAGGGAGGAAGGAAGGGAGGGAGGGAGGAAGGAAGGCAGGGAGGGAGGGAGGAAGGGAGGGAGGAAGAAAAGAAGGGAGGGAGGGAGGGAGGCAGGGAGGGAGGGAGGAAGGGAGGAAGAAAGGAAGGGAGGGAGGGTGGAAGGGAAGGAGGGAGGGAAAGAATGAGAGAGAGAAAGAGAGTGGGAGGGAAGTAGGGAAGGGAGAGAAGTAGGGAAGAAAAGAAGGAAGGAAATGAACAAATTTACATGAAGATGAGAACATCCAGGGGAACTTACACCACCAGTATTTCCATTAACAGGAACATGCTAACTAGTTATTAGAGAGAGACGCACTACTGTAAAACTATATACTGTTTCCATGGGGTACAACCCCTTCTTCCTCCTGAAACACATTATTCCTCTGGCCCGCTGTTGCCAGAGACACTGAGTCTTGTCTTTGGATAAGTTCTGGTGCCCCAAAGAATGAGATGAGACAGTGGATCCCAGAACACCAGGCCGCAACCTTCCCTGCTGCTCCTTGTCCACTCCAGAAGCTGCCCGGCTGCAGGTGGGGGCCTCAGCCCCTGGGTCTGACATCGTCCATTTGTCATTCTCACTGGACTTCCCTCCTTGCACTGGCTCCCACTCCCCCAGGACCTGGTGGATGGCCACGTGAGAAGGATACAAACAGGCCATGCCCCTTTCTTTCTCCCCCTCTCAATGCCTGCAGTGGTGGGTTCCGTGGGGTAGTGACCTGAGATTTACTCATTATGGGGCCTCTAGCCCAGAGCAGGGCATGGTACCTAATAGTCACCCCATGAATGGTCAGTGAAAGAAGGCGTCCACCACAAGGTCCTGGGGAACCAAGAATTCCACTGTGGCCCATAAATTCTAAGTCCTACAGGATTCTGGAATGGGAGATGGGATCGGCCTTCAAAAGTGGTCTCTCTTTTAACCCATTATACTGGCAACTGAGCCATGTTTCCCCATCCTGGACACACCTAGAGGGCACTGCCTAAAACCACACACATCTCCCCACCCAGGACAGTGCAGAGCCTTAGCCTGGGGGATGCGGGTGGACAGGGAGGGGGTGAGCCATGAAAGCTGAAGAGGAGAAAGCAGGTGAAAGAGGACAGCAGGGTGGAAACAGAGACAGAAATGGGGGCAGAGAATGGGGGGTGAGAGGGGAAGAGAGAGGAGAGGGATGCAGATCTAGCTACCAAGGAAAAGTCCTGAAGAGAACATGTCCTCTCCTGAAGTAAAATCACTTTCACCCGACCATGGCACTACAAGTCCAGGGTGGCACATGCTGTGAATATTTGTTCATTCATTTAACAAATATTTATTTAATATCTGTTTGATGCCACGCAAGGCCCTGTGATGTTTAGGGCCCTTGGCATCTTCCCTTCACATCTGAGTCATAATAGAAAGAGGACTCTCTGACCCCATCGAGCTGGCAATGCCTCAGGATTTTTACCTGTTGGATCTGGCAGCTCTTCATGTCGGCCCACACCATGTGAGGCTGCTCTTGGTGCACTGAATGGGTAAGTTTCTACATCGGTGCCTCGGAGAGTCCACCAGAAGCCCTGGACAGTGGGAGTTGGTGGCACCCCCAGTGTGGAGGCCAAGAGCACACAGCACTGAAGCTCCAGACATCCTCAGGAGAATGATAAGGGACAATCTGCTCATGAGAGCCTGGGTCACCAGGAACCTTTGCCTGGGTCTAAACAGGATTTGCCTTCAGAATGCCTATGAGATAAAAGAGAGAAATCAAGGTTAACATTGAGATTTGGGGCTTGGGCAACTTGAAGGGTGAAGCTGCCATTTACCGAGACTGGGAAGACCCAGGCAGGAGCAGGTTGAAAGGTGGTGGGGAACTAGAGTTGGTTGGGTTTCTGTCATATGTAATCAACAGTCCTCACCAGCCTGTGCAACATAGTAAGACCCCATCTCTGAAAATAAAAAATGAGAAATTAGCCGAGCATGGTGGCGCACACTTGCACTCTCAGCTACTCGGGAGGCTGAGGCAGGAGGATTCCTTGAGCCTTGAGTTAGAGGTTAGTGAGCTATGATGGCACCACTGCACTCCAGCCTGGGGGGAAAAAATAGAGTCCTGACTAAATATTTGAGTAGCCAGGGAAGTTTTCATAAAGTAAGGAATATTTGAGGTAGATCTTAGTGAACAAGAATTCGATTCTTTCTGTTAGGGAATTAAGAGTGTGTGGGCGTAGTTAATGCTTCTTTGGAATCTCATCTACTGGTCTATCTGGTCTATCTGTACCCGTATATTCTACAGGCTGTCTCACTGAGCTTTCACTAGGTTATGCTGCAGTAACAAAAGCCCCAAAATCTTAGCAGCTACACATACAAAGGTTTATTTTTCATTGGCATTTCCTTTTATGGCAGCTTGACTATGATTCTGCTCTATACAAGCTATTTTATTTGTTAGATGGTGAAAACCGTGACACTTGGAGATTGCTGAATATGGTATTAGTATGTTCATTCATTCATTCATTTAACAAATATTTATTCAATATCTGTTTCATGCCAGGTGAGGTCAAGTACTGAGAATACAGTGGTGAATAAAAGAAACAAAATCTCTAATTTCCAGGAGCTTATATTGAAAATGAGATTGAACACATACAAAAAAAATAATAACAATAATGAATACTATATTTACAAATAATAGCTGTAAGAAATTTTAGTACCTGTTTTAAATTAGAAAAATATAAAAATTATTAAAACTAAAATGGCCAGATGTGATGGCTCACACCTGTAATCCCAACACTTTGGGATGCCAAGGTGTGACAATCAACTGAGCCCAAGTGTTTGAAACTAGTCTGGGCACCATAGGAAGACCCTGTCTACAAAAAATAAAAAATTAGCTGGGCATGGTGGTGCATGCCGTAATCCCAGCACTTTGGGAGGCTGAAGCAAGCAGACTACTTGAGCCCAAGGGTTTGAGACCAACCTGGGAAACATGTTGAATCCCCATCTCTACAGAAAATACAAAAATTAGCCAGGCATGGTGGCACACGCCTATAGTCGCAGCTACTCAGGAGGCTGAGGCAGGAGGATTGCTTGAGCCAGGAGGTGGAGGTGGCAGTGAGCTGAGATTATGCCAACACACTTCAGCCTGGGCAACAGAGTAAGACCCTGTCTGAAAAAAAAAATGCAAAAACTAAAATAAAATTGCTATAAGGTTAATATAGAAAAGTGTGTTCATATTCTTAGGCTAGGCATTGATTTCTTTTTTCTTTCTTTTTTTTTTTTTTTTTTTTGGTACAAGACAGAGTCTTGCTCTGTCAACCAGGCTGGAGTACAGTAGTGTAATCTCGGCTCAATGCAACCTCCGCCTCCTGGGTTCAAGCAATTCTCCTGCCTCAGCCTCCTGAGTAGCTGGGATTACAGGTGCCCGCCACCACATCCAGCTAATTTTTGTATTTTTAGTAGAGACGGGGTTTCACCATGTTGGCCAGGCTGGTTTCATACTCCTGACCTCGTGATCCACCTGCCTAGGCCTCCCACAGTGCTGGGATTACAGGCATGAGCCACCGCACCTGGCCAGGCATTGATTTCTTAAACAGGACACAATAAGCAGTAACCATAAAGGAAAAGATTGATAAAGTATATTTCATTAAAATTAAGATACTCTGGCCGGGTGCAGTAGCTCATGCCTATAATCCCAACACTTTGGGAGGCCGAGGCAGGTGTATCACTTGAGCCCAGGAATTCCGTATCGGGCTATGCAACATGGCAAAACCCCATGTCTAGTAAAAATACAAAAAACAGCTGAGCATGGTAGTGGTCTCCTGTAGGTCCCAGCTACTTGGGGACTGAGGCAGGAGCATCACCTGAGCCTTGGGAGGTCGAGGTTGCACTAAGCTGTGATTGTACCACTGCACTCCAGCCTGGGCAACAGAGTGAGATCTTGTCTCAAAAAGAAAAAAAATTAGAGAATCTCCATTCATGAAAAAACATCATTAAAAGAGTGAAAACGCAAGCTGCAGATTGAAAAAAGAGAAATGCAATCCATATATATCCTAGAAAGGATGCATATCCAGAATAAAGTATTACAAATCAACAGAAAAGCATATCAATGAAAACTGGATAAAAAGATTTAACAGGCACTTCATGAAAGAGGACATATAAATGGCAATAAAAGATACTCAATCTCAATACCAGGAAAATGGAAGTTGAAACCGCATTGATATATTACTGCACCTCTACGAGAATAACAAAATAATTTTTAACTGACAAGCATCAGCAAGGATGTGGGGTAACTGGAATATTCCCTGCTACCTGATAAAACACTTTGGGAAAATGTTCAGCCATATGTAATACTAAAGTTTTATCATTCATATAGCTCTAAAACCAACAATGCCACTTCTACATATATACCCCAATATAGTAATGTTCTATTTCTTAATCTGTGGTGGTTCATTTAGTAAAAACTCATGACCTGTACTTTTTTTTTTTTTTTTGAGGCAGGGTTGCACTCTGCCATCCAGGCCAGAGTGCACTGGCACGATCACTGCTCACTGCAATCTCAACCTCCCGGGCTCTGTTGACCACACACAGCTAATTTTTGTATTTTTAGTAGAGATGGCATTTTGCCACGTTGCCCAGGCTGGTCTGGAACTCCTGGGCTCAAGTGATCCGCCCACCTTGGCCTCCCGAAATGCTGGAATTACAGGTGTGATCTACCACGCCCAGATCACCTGCACGTTTAAAATTGTGAACTTCTTCTGTATACTTCAGTAACTTTTCGAAGATTTCTTTGACACAAAGTTCTCAGAAATCTTAAAGCTAGCATTTTAGAATAGAAAAAAAAAGAGCTTTTGGTTCACTGGTGAAATTTTACTAATTAAATTCAAAAACAAAAAGAAAGCTATTAATGCATAACAGCTCAGAACAAAGATTAAAAACCACCAGCACATCAGTTTTCCTTAACTTCGTGAAGCAGTGGGATTCATTCTTTCGGCAAAGAAAGGATGAACAACACTGTAACTCAAAGAAAAGATACCACTGCAAGAAAAGGCTTTTTTTTTTTTTTAGAGGGAGTCTCGCTCTGTCACCCAGGCTGGAGTGCAGTGACAAGATATCTCCGCTCACTGCAACCTCCGCCTCCCAGGTTCAAGCGAGTCTCCTGCCTCAGCCTCCCGAGTAGCTGGGACTACAGGCACCTGCCACCACTCCCGGCTAATTTTTTGTATTTTCAGTAGAGATGGGGTTTCACAGTGTTAGCCAGGATGGTCTCAATCTCCTGACCTCATGATCCGCCCGCGTCGGCCTCTTAAAGTGCTTCTTTCGAAAGCAGCTCCACCAGCAAAAGGTAGGAAGAAAGCGAGGAAACCATTCCTCGCTTGGTTAACTCTTGGGTGAAAGGACGCCAAATGAGATAATCTAAGAAGTCTCAAAGAAAGACAGACAGGCACAGAAAAATCACAGCAACTCTTTGGACTGCAAACACCAACACCACAGTCCAACCTACCAGAAATCCTGTGGTTAATTGGAGGCTTGCCCCGCTAGTCATGAGGTGATTCAGTGATCGCTACAAACGCTCCTCACATGCATCCTGGACCTGGCACACCTGGCTTGCCCATCACCAGCCTGGAGACACCGCCAGGAGCAGAATCCCGGAGGCCAATAAAGACCCCAACTTTGCAAGTCAGGGGCGCGAGCGCTCTTGCCCAAGTTCCCAGAAGGAACGGCCTCGAGGGTGGGGTGCGAAGTCAGTGTGCTCCACAGGACTTCCGAAGACGTGCCCCCGAAGCTGCTCCGTCCCTCCACCCCCTGGGATGCCACAGAACACCCGCCAGGGAGTTTCTTCCCCAGCGCCCACGAGAGGAGGGCTGTGGGCTGCAGCGGCAGGCGAGGAATCAAGCGCAGGGAACTTAGGCCCCGGCGGAGCCCTGCGGAGCCCGGCAGTGCCCGGCGCAACCGCCCCGCTCGCGTAACAAAACTTGCGGCGGCCCAGCGCGCCGCGCCTCAGCCCAGCTGTGCGCCCGCAGGTCCCAGACTCACCTGCCGCCCGGCCTGGCGCGGCGCCCTCACCTCCGGAACGCTGGGTGGACTTCGCAGTAAACTTGAACTTCCCATCCAGGCTGCAGCCGTGCCGCCGTACCTCGGCCCCGCTCCTGGCGCCGCAGGTCGCCCGTCCCGCGTTCCCAAAATCACCAGGCTCACTCAGAAGCTCAGGCAGCCTCGCGACCCTCACCTACCCCTCCCAGCACCGCCGCTATCTCAACCGCCGCCCAGCAACTTGCTTGCGGCCCGCTGGCTCCTCAGGGTCCGGATGGGCCGTGTCAGGAGAGCCCAAGGCACAGGCGCAGCTGGGCCTTAAAGGGACCCGGCTGCCTCTACCGCACAACGGGTTCGGGCCGCGGGCGGAGAAAAGGAGTAATGGAGGACGGAGCGCAGCTGGGCCTTAAAGGGACCCGGCTGCCTCTACCGCACAACGGGTTCGGGCCGCGGGCGGAGAAAACGAGTAATGGAGGACGGAGCGCAGCGGGGACGGGAAAATCCCTCTCTCCCCTCCGCCTCTCTTTCAAAGCACCAGCCCTTGACCCTGCAATTCGCCGATTTCCCCGGCCACTTGAACCGCCCCTGCCAGGTTAAAGAGGCGGGAGACACACCCCCTCGGAAGCCTGGAGCGACCCCGCCTTTAGGACTGCAGGCTTCGCGCTGCCGCACCGCCCCATAGTCTGACTTCCGGGCTCCGCCCGCGGCGCAGACGCACAGGAGTCGGAAGGCAGCCCCCAGCTCCCGCGAGAGGTGGCCTTAGGTCACTCGCAAAAACAATAACCAACGTGTCAATGGCACTTGTATTTATTTTCTAATTTAAATTTATAACAGATTTCGCAGATGGGCTTCCACTGAAATAAGCCTTTGAGAAAAAGAAAAACTTTTTTTTAACAAGATTAGGAAATACCAAGAAATATGAAGTAAAGCCATGCCATCTACCCAGCTAAAAACTTTGAAAACTTGAAATTTTATCTAAGGCAAATGTTTGCATAATTTTAAGTCGTGCCATTATTTAAAGTCAATTTCAATTAACAATTTCATTGCAACTAAATACATCTTCTATAAGAAAACTAAGATACATCCCTGATAATCTACCTTTCCCCTCCTATATTCCGTCCATCAGCAAATCCTACTGGTTTTTACCTTCCAAATTTTCCTTGAATCTGTCCTCTTCTACCTCCTCCATCACCACCCTAGTCTAGGCTACCTTCACCTGGGGAGTGGGGGTGGAGGGACTACTGACCTAGTCTCCTTGTGGTTTACCCATATCCCCTTTATCGCCTCTCTAATCTCAACACAACAGGCAGAGTGGCTTTTTCAAAATGTAATGTGACCCTGTCACTTCCCAGCCCAAACCACTTCCCGTTCTCTTAGACAAAACCTCCTAACTAACCAAGCCCTGAATGGCCAGGCGCTTTGCCCACCTCTCCATGTCTTCTTACAGGTCAGACCAATTCCATCCTGCTCTCTCTGCTTCAGCCAAACTGGCCTCTTTTATTCCCTATTTACTCAGCTTCCTGGACTCCACAGAGCTTTTGCTCATGCTTTGCTCTGTGCCTGAAGATTCTTCCAACCCTCATCCTTCTGACGACAGCTGTAGTCTCCACCTCTGAGAGGCAACTTCTGACCTCCCTACGGTGGTCCCTTACTCCCATCACATTGCATAAAACTGTAATCAAGTGGTTATGTTGGGGAATCTACCATCAGCTCCGTAAGTCCAGGATTTGGTTTTGTTTGGCTCATGGTTGTATTTCCACATTTGTGAAATACATATTTGTTCCTAAATGAGAACGATAGATGCTAGAAGTTGAAGTAAATTTGGCATAAAGTCAGAGAAAGGTAAAATGTCACAATCTGATATTTGGAGGCAGAATCTAAAAACTTCAGTTATATCAAAACTGATTTTATATCGTTTTAGGCTGGATTGTTGCAGGGACTCTTTGGGTAATCTTTAAAACTGAGTTCTCAGAGAGCCTTGTATAAACACCTGAATTAATAATGATAGCCCTGGGATGGTCCACATAAAACGAATAACATTGGTTGCTTCAAGAGAGGAAGACCGAGCCAGGCACAGTGGCTCATGCCTGTAATCCAAGCACTTTGGGAGGCCAAGGCTGACAGATCATTTGAGCTCAGGAGTTTGAGACTAGCCTGGGCAACTTGGTGAGACCCTGTCTCTACACAAAATACAAGCAAAATTAGCTGGTAGTCCCAAACACCTGTAGTCCCAGCTGTGTGGGAGGCTGAGGTGGGAGGATTGCTTGAGCCCAGAAGATTGAGAGGCTGCAGTGAGCCATGATCATGCCACTGCACTTCAACCTGGATGACAGAGCAAGATCCTGTCAAAAAAAAAAAAAAAAGAGAGAGAGAGAAAGAAAGACTCTTGACTGGTGGCTACTGGTGGGAAAGAGGTTTTTACTACATCCCCAATTGGACCTTTTTATTTTAAAGTATGTGAAGATAAATAAATGACACAAAAGAGTGCATACCATCCCATTTATTTGAAATTCCAGAAAAGGCAAAATTAATCTGTGGTGAAAAAATCATAACAGCAGTTCCTTCTAACAGGATATTGACTGGGAAGGCACACAAGAGAAATTTCTGGGTGCTAAAAATGGTCTGCCTTGATAGGGGTAGGAATTACAAAAAATTCAGTTAACATTTCAATGAATGTAAATTTTATCTTAAAAACTATAAAAATAATTTAAAATTTAAAATCTAGTAGCTAACACCTAGTTGAGCGCTCAGTGTCTATGGGTATTGGCCAAAGCTATACATACACAATTTTGTTTAGTCCTCATACTGTCCTCACGAGGTAGGTATTATTATCATAACCCCCTTGCATATGAAGAAGCCCAAATTTAGTAAATACTAAATAACTTTCCTTAATTTATACCCCCTGGAAAATGGGGGAAGAGCTTTGAATACCGTCAGTCAAATGCCATAAGTTATTAAATATTAGACCCTATAGCACTTCTCTGAAATTGTAATATTTTTGGTATATATATATATATATATATATATAACTCATCTACTAGATCAAGAGCTTCACAATGATTGAAATCATAGTTTGCTTTTTGTTTGAGGTTTATGGGTTTATTTTATGTCATTATTTTAAAGACTGGGTCTTGGCTGGGCATGGTGGCTCACGCCTGTAATCCCAGCACTTTGGGAGGCCAAGGTGGGTGGATCACTTGAGGTTAGGAGTTCGAGACCAGCCTGGCCAACATGGTGAAACACCATCTCTACTAAAAATGCAAAATTAGCTGAGTGTGGTGGCGCATGCCTGTAATCCCAGTTACTCGGGAGGCTGAGGCAGGAGAATCACTTGAACCCGGGAGGTGGAGGTTGCAGTGAGGCAAGCTTGTGCCACTGAACTCCAGCCTGGGCCACAGAGTAAGACTCCATTTCAGAAAAAAAAAAAAAAAAAAAATACTGAGTCTCACTATGTTGCCCAGGCTGCACTTGGACTGTTGAATTCAAGCCATCCTCCTGCCTAGGCGTCTTGAGTAGCTGGGACTACAGGCACACACTATCACGCCCAATATTTTTGTCTTAAGTTTCTAAGGAGTCCCAACACTGCACAGTAGCTGTTCAATATATTTTGAGTGAATGATTAAAAACAAGCTTGGTGTTGATTTTATTGGTACAATTTATATTTACATATGTAATGTTTATATTATATGCTTTTTATATATTTATATGTGTGTATGTATATAATTGGCACCAACGTAGCATTGCTGTGCTTAAGTGCCTGAGATGTATCTCAAATGAATAGACCTGAGGAGAGAAGCTTGTGTCATTAGCTCTGACCCTGCAGCACTAATCCTGGTTTACCCCTTTATTTCACTCACCCTGAGCACATCAATTTATTTGGTGAAAGAGCTTACACTTTAACATCTCACTGAAATAGCTCATTCCAAAGAAAGAGCTAGTTCTAACCTCTCACAAGTGCTTGAGCATTTGCATAAGTGAAATTTCACTGTGTGAGTTTCACCCAACACCACCTCTGCTCCAGCTCCTGCTACTCTGCTGCTCATACCGTGGAACTCCACAGGTGGAGTAGAAGATCATCAGAGAGAGTTTTATTTGCAGTAAATTCGGTGTGCAACAGGCCAAGCAACGAGGAGTCAAGGTGAGGCAGAAGAACAGCAGAGGGAAGTGGAAGTTGGATAAAGGGTGAACTGAGTAGGAGCGGAAGCAGGATAAAGAGGTGGGTGAGCAAGAAGCAAGATAAGCAGAAGTTGAGCAGCGAAAACAAAAGTGAGATGGAGTAGTGAGTAAAAGTTTATGGCTGGCAGGATCCAGAGCAAACCAGTAAAAGGCATGCATATGACAGAGAAAAAGTAGCCTTAAAATGACCCCGTATGATAATCAGCTCATTAAAGCTAATGCATATGGAGTGCATATCATGGGTGTACTTAA